>NC_000001.11:37678835-38303835 GCF_000001405.40 Homo sapiens
GGCATACATAAAGGAGGAGCACCAGAAGTATTCCCAGTGTGGTGACTCTCCCTGAATTCGTTTATCAATTTAGTGATTCTAGTAAAAAATACTGACAATTTATTTTTTGTTGTTGGAAGGTGATGGGGTTAGCTAAATGGAAAATTCCAGGTGGTGGAGGGGAGGCCTAATGAACAAGAGTGGGAGTACAGGCGGGTTGCTACTATAAAAACCAATAGGTATTAAGACTTTGGAAACAAATGTCCACCCTAAGGAGCTATTTTAAGTAAATTATGGTTTACCCACACAACAGAAATCTATGCAACTGTTTAAAACAATGTAAGGAAGCTCTTTATATAGAATGAACTCCAAGATACGGTAAGAAAGAACAAGGTGCAAAAGTGGGTATATGGTATGTTAGCATTTATATAAAAATGAAGGGAGGTTTTTTTGTTGTAGTGATTATCTATCGCTGTGGAACAAATGGCCCCCAAACTTAGTGATTTAAAACATTTATTATCCCAGTTTACATGGATCAGGAATCCGGGCACTGCTTAGCTGGCTGCCTTTGGGTCGGGTCTTCAAGAGGCTGTAGTCAAGCTGTCAGCAGGGGCTGTGGACCCATCAGAAGGTTCAACTGTGGGAGGGAGGATCTGTTTCCAAGTTCAGTCACATGGTTGTTGGCAGGCATTGGTCTCTCACATGAGCCTCTCCACATGGCTGCCTCACAGCATCGCAGCTGCCTTTCCCCAGGGTGGGTGATCCCAGAGAGAGAGAGAGAGAGAGCACCCAAGATGGAAGCTGCAGTCTTTTTTACCTATTTCAGAAGTGACATCCTACCACTTGGGTAGTATTTTATTCATCAGAAGTATATCTGTGGCCGGGCGCGGTGGCTCACGCCTGTAATCCCAGCACTTTGGGAGACCAAGGGGGGCAGATCACAAGGTCAAGAGATCGAGACCATCTTGGCCAACATGGTGAAACCCTGTCTCTAACTAAAAAATACAAAAATTAGCTGAGCGTGGTGGCACATGTCTGTAGTCCCAGCTACTCGGGAGGCTGAGGCAGGAGAATCGCTTGAAGCCGGGAGGTGGAGATTGCAGTGAGCCAAGATCACGCCACTGCACTCCAGCCTGGTGACAGAGCGAGACTCTGTCTCAAAAAAAAAAAAAAAAAGAAGTATATCTGTCAGTCCAGCCCATCTGGAAGGAGAGGGGAGTACACAAGGGCAAGAATACCAGAGGTGGGAGCACTGGGGGCTGTCTTTGAGGATACCTACCCACCACACTCACACAGGCATAGTATTTTTGGAAAGATACACTAGAAACATTCAATATTGGTTGCCTTCAGGGAAGGGAATTGGGAAACTCCCACCTCAGCCTCGCAGATAGCTAGGACTACAGGCACACACCACCACACCTGGCTCTTTTTTTCATAAAGACAGGGTTGTCTGGCTAGTCTAAACTCCTGACCTCAAGCCATCCTCCCACCTTGGCCTCCCAAAGTGCTCGTACAGGCAAGAGCCATTGTGCCCAGCCTAAATATGCTCTTGCATACCTATTTTACAATATTGATATATCACTTAAAAAATAAATCAGGCTTGGTGTGGTGGCTCATGCCTGTAATCCCAGCACTTTGGGAGGCCGAGGCAGGCAGATCACTTGAGGTCAGGATTTGGAGACCAGCTTGGCCAACATGGCGAGACCTTGTCTCTATTAAAAATACAAAAATTAGGCAGGCATGGTGGTAAGCACCTGTAATCCCAGCTACTCTGGAGGCTGAGGCAGGAGAATCGCTTGAACTTGGGAGGCAGAGGTTGCAGTGAGCTGAGATTGTGCCTCTGCACTCCAGCCTGGGTGGGAGTGAGACTCTGTCTCAAAAAAATAAATTTTATTTTAAATTTAAAAAGAACAATGAAAAATATGGCATTTTAACAGACACAAAGCTAAGAGGGAACAAAATAAAAACAATACTTAAATACTATATAGTTATTACTGAGCACCATAAACGTGCTTGTTTCTACTTAGCCATTACTTGCTTCTATGAGGGAGGTTTAAAAACCTCTTTATTACACATGCATACACATAAGCGAGCATCTCCCACTTGTAGAGCAAAATACAAACGCTTGAGCTGGGACTCATAATCCTCTTCACAATTTGGTTCCAGTCCACCCTTACTGACCCACTTCCTGCCATCCTTCTATCCATCTGTGAACTTGTTATTTGTGATACTGAACTATTATTTGCCAGTTGTGGAGGGTAAAGGCAACAAGCACAATGCCTGGCACACAGCTAGCTTTCGTCAAGTGTTGGCTTCCATCCTGCCTCAAACATGGCCTTTGTTTAGATTATCCCCTGTGCATGGAATGCCCCGCACCCCTCTCCTAGCCCCAGGTAAAATTCCCTTCAAGGCCTACCTCAAATGTCACTGTCATCAAGAAGGAGTTCCACAGGCAATTAGTTATCATCTCTATTCTCCCACAGCACCTGTTTTTACCTTAACTATAACACTTTTATTATTGTATTACAACTTAAGTCTCTGCAATCCAAAGTCTGGTCCTTGGACCATTAGCTGAGACTTCGTTTGAAATGCAGAATCTGGGCCCCATCCCAGACCTACAGAATCAGAATCCAAATTTTAACAAGATATCAGTGACTTATTTGCACATTAATCTTTCCCTGGTGGAACTGTGAGCCTTTCTAGGGCTCTCTTTTATTTCTGTCCCCAGAGCCCAACATAAGACTTGACACTTAAATGCTTTTTAAGTTTTATTTGCAATACTTATATGATAGATGTTTTTTAATTCCTGGAAAAATAAATACACATTATTAATAATAGTTATCTGGTAGATGGATAACGGTACATTTCTATGTAACATTTTCATTTTTTGTAATCAGAATGTATTACCTTTACAGATAGGCAAACACAAAGATTTGGGAAAATGCATGTAAAATCTAAGAAAAAAGGTAAATTGTAGATATAATACATTCACAAAAAGAATATAACTGTGTTGAGCTATATTTACAGATATAAAAAGATGAACAAATTACATTAGGTTTTTTAAAAAAAGACAACCTAACAGTATGTATCGATGATAGCACGTTTGTTCTTTAAAAAAATTTGTGAATTGGTCAGGAGCAGTGGCTCATGCCTGTATTTCCAATATTTTGGGAGGCTATGGTGGGAGGATCCCTTGAGCTCAGGAGTGAGCTGGGCAATATAGTGAGACCCTATCTATATTAAAAGAAAAAATTTGTAAATAGACACTGAAAAGGTATCTATCAAAATATCTCTAATGAAGTTTGTTTTACAATTTTCTACATTTTACATTTTTTCTAGTTTTCCTATGATCTTTATAAAAGCTTATCACTTATAAGAAAAAAAGTTATTTTCATTTTTGAAAAATATCTATACCCTTTACTAAGTCCCTTTACATTCAATGACCAAGATTCCCACAACACTCTGGGAAGCTGAAAGATCTGAAAGTAACACGGCCATTACATAGATGAAGGCAGCAGACCTTGGAAATGTAACCCCGATGGACTGACTCTGGGCTGGCATTCTCCCACCCCTGCGGCTACTCCAGACTCAGAGGAATGTGGCAAGTCAGATGCCAGCTTTGGCCAAAAAAACTCCTGTCATTTTAGGAGTCTCACCATGCCCAGTTACTTCCTCTGAGATGGTAACAGCAATAGGGGAACACTTCAAAGACAAAGCATTCAGAATGATTCATGCTGCACCACCTCCCCCTGGTGGCAGGTTCTGGAAATTGGCTTGAGGATAACTATTGCAATTGGTCAAAATTTTTAAAATATATTTTCTGTCAAAATCACCCTTATTTCTTTAAATCATCAAAACCACTTTTTCTTTTGTCAAGGATTCAGGTATTGACAAAAGACACAAAACCAGGACCTGGTGTCAACCAGACAATGCTTTGGATGATGCCAAGGGCAGTGTGGCTCTTTGCCTCTTGTCCTTGCTTCCCCACCTCTTTAGGTCCACAATAGAGGAAAGACACTATGTTCTTCAGCACCGTCTTTCCTGTTGTCTCTCTAGCTCCATCCACTTCCCTGAGCCTCAGAAAAGGGCAAGGCATGGCTCACATACTCTCAGCCACGGCCTGGCATGCTGCAGCTCCAAAATCAGACATCTAGGCGCTAATCCTCCCCAAGACCCAGTCCTAAGGTTCAAGGCACTGATGTTTCAAATATGTCAGACTGAAATACTGACGTTTCTTTAGAAACATCAGGGTTCAGAATGTCAGTCTTCAACTGTGGTACCCGTGGTCTCCAGATACGCATAGCTTCCTTACTCTTCCAGGAAGAAGGAAACATTCAATAGGATATCTGAAATAGGAAGACAGAAAAAATGGCATTATCACCTCTCCCGAGAACATAAAACACACAGAGGCACAGCAAGGGCACCTTCCTAATGCTTCCAAAGAGGCGAGCCACAGGGAGAGAAAGGAGGAGAGGAGACACAAAGGAAGAACACAAACCAGTACCTTGTACAAGATCTTGGTGTTCGTCTTTTGAAATTCGGTCCCAGGCCTTGGGCAAAGCTTGTATGTTTGCCAAGTCTCCCCACTGGATAGACGAAAGAAGATACTTTCTCTTCAGGTACCTTTCTGGAAGTTAAGGACTGCTCAAAAGAAAATGCAGTATGCTGAAGTGAAAAAAAACACCCTGGTGAGAACCAGAGGGAGCCATAAAAGTGAAAGTGCAGATATCCTTACATTTTACCAGGTGGGCCTGATTCACCTATGCTACAAATATTTCCTGAGCAACTGTTTACTAACATGGCTTTGTGCTACAGGGAAAGAGGAATGAAACCATCCCTGAAATCTGGGATCTCAGCATGGTGAGGACAAAATCAGATCCTGAAAAGAAAGAACAAAAGGGACATGAGAGGTAAAGCTAGCGGAGGTTCAGAGGATAAATACATCCAATTCAGAGGAAGCAGGGACACCCCAGCTGGTAGGAAACATGAACAAAGGCACAGAGGTGGAGATGCATAGAATGAATTCAGGGAAAGCAAATCTTCCAGTCTGCTCAGCATGGACGCCACATGGAGAGCAGTCAGAAAGGCTGAAAGGTGGGCTGAGCCAGAACAGAAAGAACACCAAGTACCAACGCAGGGCTCTGAACTTTATCCCATTAGCAACAGGAGCTATTCCTATACAGTACAGAACAATTCTGATCCTAACTATCAGGATCAGAACCAGACTTCCTGCAGATATAGAGGTCATTCATTGGAGTCAGCTTAGAAGGAAAGAAACTAGACAGAGAAAACTGTCAAGAGGCAATTAAGAGTCCAAGTGAGAGCTAAGAAGCCATGTAAGCAACAGAGGGGATGGGGACAGAGAGGGAAAATCAAAGAAGCACCAGGGAAACAGAAGGAAAGGACTTGACAAGTGACTGTGTAAACATTCTAGCACATAGCAAGTGCTTAGTAATGTCAGCCGCAGCTCTTGCTCCTTCTGCCCATGCTCCTGTTGCTGTTACTACTACTGCTACCAATGCATTTAAAAGGGAAAATAAGCCGGGCGCGGTGGCTCGAGCCTGTAATCTCAGCACTTTGGGAGGCCTGAGGTCAGGAGTTTCAGATCAGCCTAGCCAACATGGTGAAACCGCCTCTCTACTAAAAGTACAAAAATTAGCCAGGCGTGGTGGCAGGTGTCTGTAATCTCAGCTACTTGGGAGGCTGAGGCAGGAGAATTGCTTGAACTCGGGAGGTGGAGGTTGCAGTGAGCCAAGATCGTGCCATTGCACCCCAGTCTGGGCAACAAGAGCAAAACTCTGTCTCAAAAAATAAATAAATAAAAGAGAAAACAGGGTGGGTTCTACGACTCAAGGAAAAGGGGGCTGAATTTGAGGGCTAGATTGAGGAGTTCAATTTTAAACTTGAGTTTGCAGTTCTAAGAACAATCCAGTTGGAGGCATCTGCAGGAAACCAAAAGTCAAGACCAGAGACAAGAAAAGTTGGGGTTTGGGAATTATTCACATGAAGGCAGAAACCTAAGCTAGAGGCTAAAATCAGGTGTCAGACAAGAATTGAGAGAAGACCAGGCATGGTGGCTCACACCGGTACTCTTAGCACTTTGGGAAGCCAAGGAGGTAGGATCATCAAGGCCAGGAGTTCAAGACCAGCCTGGTCAACACAGCAAGACCCCATCTCCTAGGCAAAAAAAAAATTTTTTTGAGAGAAAAATGTTAGAGCTTCAACTAACTGGTCTTTCTGCTTTTACCCTTGCCCCCACTACCCCAAATCTTACCCTAGAACGAAGCCAGAATGATACTGTTAAAAACATAGGTCTTATCCTGTTACTCCTTAATCAAGTTTCTAAGAGGTTTTTCTGTCACTCGAATGCTTTTTTTTGGGGGGGGGGGGTGGGCGGGGGGTGGTTTGAGACAGGGTCTTGCTCTGTCACCTAGGCTGGTGATCACACCCAGGCTGGCAATCAAGGCTCACTGCAGCCTTGACCTCCCACGCTCAAGCAACCCTCCCACCTCAGCCTCCTGAGTAGCTGGGACTATAGCTGCACACCATCATGCCTGGCCCAAAATTCTTTTTTTTTTTTTTGGAGACAGAGTTTCACTTTATCACCCAGGCTGGAGTGCAGTGGCACGATCTCAGCTCACTGCAGCCTTGACCTCCCCCAGTTCAAGCAATCCTCCAGCTTCACCCTCCCGAGTAGCTGGGATTACAGACTTCAGGCACATACCACCATGCCTGGCTAATTTTTGTATTTTTTGTAGAGACGGCGTTTCACCATGTTGCCCAGGCTGGTCTCAAACTCTCGGGCTCAAGCAGTCCTCCCACCTCAGCTTCCCAAAGGGCTGGGATTACAGGTGTGAGCCACCACGCCCAGACCCCAAATTCTTTCAAAGACCTTCAAGGCCCTAGAAAGTCGAGCCCCCTGTCTTTCTACCCTCACCTGCTGTTAGGCTCCTCCTCATGCTCCAGTCTAGCCTCCTTACTATTTCCTGAATAGACCAGGAATGTTCTTACCACAAGGCCTTTGCATTTGATGTTTCCTCTGCCTAGTAACTTTCTCTCCCCAAATAGCCACATAGCTCTTTCCCTTACCCTCTTCAGATCTCTGCTCAAATATCACTTTCTCATGAAGCCTGCTCTGACCACCCTATTTTAAATCACAACTCCACCCTCACTCCTCACTTTCCCTGCTTTATTTTTCTCCATAACACTTATCGCCATTCAGCATTCTACTTGCCTTTTTCAATGCCTGTCTCTTTGCACCAAGAACAGTGCCTGACAGGTAGTAGCTACTCGATAAATTATTAGAGGAAGGATTATACAAAGGAATGCAGGAAGAATCCAAGTTCAGGAACCAAAGAGAACTGACTCAAACTACTTAGTTTTCCAATCTTGTGAAAACTGAAATTTGAAAGACTTAGAACAGCTCTGGCTGTGACCTGAAATGTGTGCAAAGGATACGACTTTCGATAATGTCTCTCAATATCCTGCAACCATTCCAACATGTCAGCCACAGAGGGGCTCACTGCTGAAGGCTGCAGGACAGCATCAATGCCAACTGTGTCTGCGTGTTGCTCATAGATCTGAAACACTCGCTCCACATGGCTGCTGACCATGTCTCGCACCTTGAGGAGGATGGCTCTGCAAGAAAGAGTCTGACATTAGGCAATATCATGAGACATGTATAAAGGAAGGTTTCTCAATTTTGGCACTACTGATATTTTGGACTACATGATTCTCTGTTGTGAAGGGCTGCCCTGTACATTGTAGGACGTGTAGGAGCATGCCTGGCCCCTACCCACTAAATGACAGGTGTAAACTATACCTATACCCTCCATAAGCCATAACAACCAATAATGCCTCTAGATGATGCCAAATGTCCCCTCATAGAAAAACCATCTCCAATTGAGACCACTGGTCTAAGGAGATTAGTGACAGTGTCTTGGAGGTACGGGTGGCTCAAGAATCAAGAAAGGGGCTGGGTGCAGAGGCTGTTGCCTGTAATCCCAGCTTTGGGAGGCTGAGCGGGGTGGATCACCTGAGGTCAGGAGTTTGAGACCAGCCAATGTCCCAAAACCCCGTCTCTACTAAATATACAAAAATTAGCCAGGTGTGGTGGTGCACACCTGTAGACCCAGCTACTCGGGAGGCACGAGAATCACTTGAACCCAGAGGCAGAGGTTGCAGTGAGCCAAGTTCGCGTCACTGCACTTCAACCTGGGTGACAGAGCGAGACTCCGTCTCAAAAGTGTGTGTGTGTGTGTGTGTGTGTGTGTGTGTGTGTGTGTGTGTGTGTGTGTATAGTTTTTGTTTTTGTTTTTTGTTTTTTTATTGAGATGGAGTTTCGTTCTTGTCGCCCAGGCTGGAGTGCAATGGTGCGATCTTGGCTCACCACAACCTCTGGCTCCCGGGTTCAAGTGATTCTCCTGCCTCAGCCTCCTGAGTAGCTGGGATTACAGGCATGCGCCACCACACCCGGCTAATTTTGTATTTTTTTTTCAGTAGAGACGGGGTTTCTCCATGTTGGTCAGGCTGGTCTCGAACTCCCGACCTCAGGTGATCCACCTACCTCGGCCTCCCAAAGTGTTAGGATTACAGGCATGAGCCACCGTGCCCAGCTAATATATATTTTTTTTTAATTAAAACATTTAAAAAAAAAAACAGGTGCAGTGGCATGCCTGTAATCCCAGTAGTTTGGGAGGGCAAGGCCAGAGGACAGCTTGAAGCCAGGAATTTGAGACCAGCCTGGGCAATATGGCAAGACTATCTCCACAAAAAATTTTAAAAATTAGCTAGGTATGGTGGCATGCTCTTGGAATCCCAGCTACTCAGGAGGCTGGCAGGAGGAGTTAGAGGCTACAGTAAGCTATGATCATACCGCTGCACTTCAGCCTGGGCAACAGGGTGAGACTGTCTCTAAAAATAAAATAAAAATAAATAAAAGACAAAATATTAAGTAAAGCACTCATAGGTACTCACAGCACTCCTGGGTTCAAATGATCCTCTTGTCCTTAGCCTCTCAAAGTGCTGGGATTACAGGAGTGAGGCACCGTACCTGGCCTCATCTTTTTTTTGTTTTGCTTTCCTTTTCATGGAGAATGGGATCTCACTATGTTGCCCAGGCTGGTCTCAAACTTCTAGGCTCAAGCGATCCTCCTGCCTCAGCCTCCCTAAGTGCTGGGATTACAGGCTGAGCTGCCATACCCAGCTGATCTCATCTCTTACCAGGCCTCTGCTCCTGTCATACTTTTCTCTCTTTTTTTGAGACAGAGTCTTGCTCTGTCACCCAGGCTGGAGTGCAGTGGGACAGTCTTGGCTCACTGCAACCTCTGCCTCCCAGGTCCAAGAGATTCTCCTGCCTCAGCCTCCCCTTTAGCTGGGACTACAGGTGTGTGCCACGACAGCCAGTTAACTTTTTTTATTTTTAGTAGAGATGGTGTTTCACCATGTTGGCCAGGCTGGTCTCGAACTCCTGACCTCAAGTGATCTGCCTCCCAAAGTGCTGGGATTACAGCCATAAGCCACCGTGCCGGGCCAGTCATACTATTCTCTATGCACACTACTCATACCCACGTCTTGACTCTGTTTACATCTTTTCAACCATTAGGTTTTTAATATCACTTCCTCCCCAGAAACTTCCCCACTCCACACAAGCCGTACTTATCAATATCTTAGGACATCCCACAATTTAATTCACTGATTGTTTATTTCTTCTACTCAACTAAGAACAGGAACTAAATCTGGTTCATTTTTATATTCTTGGCACCTTGTGCTTGGCATCCCACAAGGTGCCTAATGAACGTATTTTGTACAAATAAATAAAAGGAAAGTCCTCATCTGTGACAGTTTCCTATTAGTCTATGACAGACTCTATATACTGGAACTTTCTTTTGTTCCAGTTCAAGGAAAGGCCACACATGCCCTGTCTCCCCTCTGTCCTCAATAACCTGTAACTCTCAGCCTGGGCAACATAGTGAGACCCTATCTCTACAAAAAATTTTAAAATTAGCTGGGCATGGAAGTGCACGCTTGTTGTCCCAGGTACTTGGGGGGCTGAGGTGGGAGGATCGCTTGAACCAGGGAAATCGAGGCTACAATGAGCTGTGATTGTGCCACTGCACTCCAGCCTGAGTGACAGAGCAAGACCCTGTCTCAAAAAAAAAAAAAAAAAAAAATCTGTAACGCAGGCACTGGGTCTGACAACAAGCATATCAGAACTTGGAGACGTGCTACTCCTGGGCACAGAGACACCAATCTACAGCAGAACAAAGTGGTGATTAAGAGCTCTAGCCTTTGTGTCAGGCACACTTGAGTTAGAATCCCAGCTCTACCCTTTTCTAGCTGCGTCACCATGGGCAATCTGCTTAAGCTTCAGTTTCCTACCTGCATAGAATTAAGTGCAGTTAAGTCACAGATATGTTGAAGAGACTTTATAACGTAATATACATAAACCCCTTAGCTCTAGCACCTACTAAGTTTACACAGCTCCTCACTGCCTTTTACCAAAGAAAACTATAGGGCAGAGCTAATAGGCTTTCTCCGCTCCTTTTCTCTTCTTCTTTTGTGACTTCTACTAAGCCCACCACTGCCATGCCTAGTCTCTGACAAAGAAAATGCCAGAAAATGGCTTTCTGACCGAGGTCCCACTGCCCCAGATGAAGTAAGGAAGGTTGAGATACCTCCACATGCCACGCTTTCAAGGAGAAAAACACCTTCTGGACTGACACTAGCTACATATAAAACACCTCGTTTTAAAATCCTTCCACCAAGAAACAGCACTAGGGAGCTGCTTACAGCCTTTCCCCTAGCTTGTCCAGGACGATGTCACCAGCCACCAGCTGCTTACGCCTCAGCCGCTCTTTTAAATCTGGGAAGGCCCGAAGCGCCGGCACATCCTCAAACCGCAGGTTCTGTGCGGCCTGCAGCTGTTCCGCCAGGTTGCTGAGGGAGGACAGGAGGGGCTGGCAGTCCCGCAGGGCACTCTGCCACAGGCCCTGCTGCTCCTCCACCACGGGGAAGCACTTCTTCAGCGCCTCCTGCACGGCAAGCAGAGGCCGGTCTTGAGTCATCTTCTGCTGAAAAAGATAAAAACAGAAAATAACCACGTTGGGGTGCCAAGTCAGTCGGGGAGGCACTGGGTCGAGGGTGGGCGTCATCTCTGTTATCGTGTTCAGACAGGAGTTGTCTCACCTCCAGAAGCAGGGTTTTTTTTTTGTTTTTTTTTCGAGACGGAGTCTCACTGTCGCCCAGGCTGGAGTGCAGTGGCGCTATCTCGGCTCACTGCAACCTCCGCATCCCGGGTTCAAGCAATTCTCCTGCCTCAGCCTCCCGAGTAGCTGGGAATACAGGTGCCCGCCAACACGCCTGGCTAATTTTTGTATTTTTAGTAGACGGGGTTCCTGACCTCAGGTGATCCGCCCGCCTCGGTCTTCCAAAGTGCTGGGATTACAGGCGTGAGCCACCGCGCCCGGCCTGCCTCAGCTTTCTGAAGGAGACCCTGGTTTCCCCTCGGGAAGGGTAACCTGGATAGGGCAGTCTCCTGCTTCAGAGGATTCCTGGCGTCCAAGCGCCGTCTCTTCTCTGACATACAGTCCTGTCTCCCCTGCCCGAGGCTGCCGGTCGCCTTCCTGAAAAAGCGGAAAAACTTAAAAGTCCAGACAGCCAAAGCGTGAGAACCCTCCAGGGACTGCACCACGCGCCCACAGTCTCTCTGCGCATGCTCACACGCGACCTCCCCACAAAGCTACTCCGCGGGCCTGCCTGGCTACTGAGTCGCGAAAATATATCGTAGTGCCGCAATGACTTCTGGGTACTGTAGTCCAACATGTGGACTGGCCACTCGGCTTGAAGCTTCCTTGGGATTGGATGTTGGGACCGTCCAAACACGGCGACTTCTCATTTGTCAGCCTGCGGCAGTTTAAATTGGGTGGCGGTGGTGGCATGTCCTGTTAGCTGTGGAGTCTTTTCCTCTTATCTTGCGCCTCCGGTTGTGCCTTAATGACACTTTTGACATTGTGTATCACAACCAACTGGCAAAAACTAGTAAATCACGGGCTCCTGACGTGGCAGCTCTGGCTAAAATGCAGGTGGACGTCCTAGGTGCCCAGGGAGTTCGGGCTCACTGGGGAGTAGGGTGAAGGAAACCCTGAAACCGAGAGGCTGGAAGCCCGACTTGCGCAGCATAAAAACACCTGCAGGGGGAAAGCCTACATGAGGTACGGGTTGTCATCCCGTCTCATCTTGGCCATCTGACTGATGGAGATCCTCAGGCACCCAGCAGACTGGGGTGTCACCCCCACTACCCACTGCCCAGGGCTGACCTCGGGCGGAAGAGCGACATTCAAATATTTGTTGCATATGGAGCAACAGACCAGGGTGGAAGAGAGAGAAAGGACTTTCCAGGAAGGTCCAGGCTTGCCAGGACTTCTATGCTTGGACTGCTCTGTCCCCAAGCTCGCTGGTGCCCATCAGGAGCCTGCTTGGCACCTTTGCTTATTTCTTCGATTGTTCCTCAACTCAGAGGGGGAGAGGCAAGATTATCACTCCCATAGCCTATAACATGCACGCTTAAACACAACCCCTCTGACATGGCTTCAGACCGCATCCACAGGTGAAAAGCACCAAATCCAAACAATCAGGCCACAAACCCGTCAAGAGCTCGCCGGTCTGGCCGTCCAGTCGCCGCCCGCCTTGAGACTCAGCCTGAGCTACAGCTTCGAAACTAGCCTCTAGCCTTCTGGGTCTCAGCACAACTCTTGAGCAATCCAACCCTGTGGCCGTGGGCAGATACCAAGATGCACAGTTAGCACCTCCGACAGGACCGCGGCTCGGCGGGGCTCGCCGTCTACACGCCCATTCCCAGGCCCACGGCCACGACACCCAGAGCTGCCTCCTGCCCTGGGCTCCCTGGAGCCTGGTGGCCGCGGCTCATGCTGCAGTCACCGTGTGGCCAGCTGCCAAGCGCCACTACTTGCACCTGAAGTCGCAGCCCCGCGCTGCGCACCCAGTCGAGGCGCCAACACGCGAACTGGGCGGGAGTGGCCGGCCCGCGGGGGAGCGAGGAACGACAGGGTTCCCCCCACTCGCTGCCCAGACTGGCCGCGGGATAGCGCGCCCCCCCCAAAGCCTGCACCCCTGCCCTGCTCCTCTATCATTCCGTCCCCCTTGCTCTGTCAAACCCTGCCGGGGCTGCTCTGTCTCTGCCGACCCGCCACTTGCCCGAAGTTCGGCCTGAGGAGCTTGGGGCCCTGAGGAGCGCCGACGTAGGCAGCCAGCCAGTCAATCAGTCAGAGGGTCACGGCGGCCCCTCGGCTACTCAGTGGCAGCCAGGCCAGAAAGAAGCAGCCGCCAACCCTGGAGCAGAATCCTACAGCCGACCTGACCTAGTAGGCCCCCAGCCCTCCAGAGCTTGGGGTATTGCAGAGCCGCCACAAGGCCTGCCGGGAGTAGTAGTTTGTATAGTTCGCAGCCGGCCAGGGCGGAGCCGGGTGGGTTGGTGGGGAGGGCGGGGAAACAAGCCTGGACCACAACTCCCAGGAGTACCCGCGACGGCGGCGGCCTCGCTGTCGCACTCAGGCTATAGGGGGCGCATTGGGCGGAAGACCCTGGGCCGGCAGGAACTTGCTTGTGATTGGATGTTGTGGGACGGCGGCTTCTCATTCGTCAGCCTGTGACTGTGGAGTTTGAATTGGGTGGCGGTTGACTGTAGAGCCGCTCTCTCTCACTGGCACAGCGAGGTTTTGCTCAGCCCTTGTCTCGGGACCGCAGGTACGTGCCTGGCGACTTCTTCGGGTGGTCCCCGTCCGCCCTCCTCGTCCCTACCCAGTTTCTTGCTTCCCTGCCCCATCTCCGCCGCTCCCCGCAGCCTCCGCCGAGCGCCATGGCTCCTAGGAAGGGCAGTAGTCGGGTGGCCAAGACCAACTCCTTACGGAGGCGGAAGCTCGCCTCCTTTCTGAAAGACTTCGACCGTGAAGGTAAGGGGCCAGGCCGTCGCGGCCTCCTGGGGCGGTCGCGGGATGCTGGCGGGTGGGGACACGAGCTGCACAGATTCGCCCGCCCGTGACCCGTGTCCTGTCGGCTCTGCCCTCCCGCAGTGGAAATACGAATCAAGCAAATTGAGTCAGACAGGCAGAACCTCCTCAAGGAGGTGGATAACCTCTACAACATCGAGATCCTGCGGCTCCCCAAGGCTCTGCGCGAGATGAACTGGCTTGACTACTTCGGTAAGAGCTGGAGAGCTTCCCTGGGCGGAGGCCAGGAGCCCCTTGGGGTTAGGTGACACCCTTCAGAAAGGGCTCGCTCAGATGTCACCTTTTAATGAGATCTGACATGACCACTTATGGAAAATTGCAGACCCTTTCACTCTCTGTCTCACTTCCCTACTTCATTTTTCTCTATGAAAAATGGGGGGGTGGTTGGGGGGCGGCGGGCGGGGCGGTCTCTGTCGGACAACTCAGCTCTGCTGTTTACAGGTCCAAAACAGCTGTAGTGAATGGGCATGGATGGGCTGTATTCCAATAAAATTTTAGTTATGGATACACTGAAATGTGAATTTCACATAATTTTCACACATCAGGAAATTTATTTAATTTTTTTTAAACAGAGTCTCACTCTGTCACCCAGGCTGGAGTGCAGTGCAGTGCAGTGGTGCGATCCCTGCTCACTGCAACCTCCACCTTCTGGGTTCAAGTGATTCTCCTGCCTCAGCCTCTGGAGTGGCTGGGATTACGGTCGCCTGCCACCATGCCCCGCTGATTTTTGTATTTTCAGTAGAGACGGGGTTTCACCATGTTGGCCAGGCTGGTCTCGAACTCCTGACCTCAAGTGATCCACCTACATAGGCCTCCCAAAGTGCTGGGATTACAGGAGTCAGCCACTGCGCCCGGCCAGAAAATAGTATTTTTAAAAATATATGTATATTTTACCCATTTAAAAATGAATGAATAAATGACATGGTTAGTTAACCAGAGCTCAGATAGAAGAATAACCCGAAGCAGCTCCTTCTGCAGCTTATGGAAATTGCTAACCTAAAAATGGGCGCATCAGGCTGGGCGTGGTGGCTCACGCCTGTAATCCCAGCACTTTGGGAGGCTGAGGCGGGCAGATGACCTGAGGTCAGGAGTTCGAGACCAGCCTGACCAACATGGAGAAACCCTGTCTCTACTAAAAATACAAAAAAGTTAGCCGGGCGTGGTGGCGCATACCTCTAATCCCAGCTACTCTGGAGGCTGAGGCAGGACAATCGCTTGAACCTGGGAGGCAGAGGTTGCGGTGAGCTGAGAGCACGCCATTGCACTCCAGCCTGGGCAACAAGAGTGAAACTCCGTCTCAAAAAAAAAGACACATCAGTTTTCCTGGCCAGAGAAAAATCCCAGCCTGTTTCTGCACTCCCTTATTAAATGTCCGGAGAAATGCAGGAGGCTGTACTTTTCTGCTGGGTTGCCCTTTTCTGTTTTCCTTATTATTAACTATCCAGCATGTAGTCTCCTTCCTGGATAGAAATGCATGGTCTGCTCACATATTAGACATTGAATGATCCTTTTGACTTGCCCTTTTATTTATTAAGCCATTCATTTGCTTATTTCTCCAAATACTGAGCATGTGTCAGTCACAGTGCTAGGTGCTAAAGATGCACTAGGGAATAAAACAGACATTGTCTCTGCCTTCAGGAACATACAGATTAGTAGAAAAGAGCTATTAGAAAAATCCACATACAATTATGTAATTAAAAGTATAGGTACTACAAAGGAGATAGAATAGAGTAGTGGTCAGTGAGCATATTGTGCTTTCTATGCCAGATGGGCATTGTACCAAGTGTTTTACATACATTAACTAATTTTTCTTCATAACTAATAATATCCCTATTTTTCAAAATGACAAGATTAAGGCACAGAGAAATTGGACACTTTGCTCAAGGCCTCATAAGCTAGTTAGTGGGATAGTCTGTTTGAACCCAGGTATTCTGGTTTCATAGCCTGAGATCTTAACTGTTTTACAAGATACTATGAGAGTTTCTAGCAGGAGGTTCTAACCTAACTTTTTATTCTACATGTAAATCTCACAAAGACCTTTTCATTCAACACGTTTACTGTACATCTATTGACTGCTAGATTTTTGCCAGAAGCAAAGGATGTCATCTCTGGAATTCAGTCCAAGGCAGGGATGGACATTTAAACAGCTTTGAGTAGTTATTGGGTATAATGAGGGTGAGCAACTAACTCTACACTTTGCAGCAAACTGCTGAGATAGAAAAATAAGCAGGCTGGGCACAGTGGCTCACCTGGAATTCCAGCACTTTGGGAGGCCAAGGCAGGTGGATTACTTGAGCCCAGGAATTTGAGACCAGCCTGGGCAACATAACAAGACCATATCTTTAAGCTTTAAAAAAAATAATTAAAAATAAATTTTTAAAAAAGAAAAATAAGCAGAGGGCAGGGCATAGGGTGGGGATTCATGCCTATAATCCTAGCACTTTGGGAGGCCAAGGCAGGAGTATCACTTGACCCCAGGAGTTCAAAACCAGCCTGGGCAACATAGCAGGAGACCACATCTCTACTTAAAAAAAAAAAAAAAAAAAAAAAAGACAACCTGGACAACTTGGCGAAACCCTATCTCTACAAAAAAACACAAAAATTAGCCGAATGTGGTGGCGCATGCCTGTAGTCCCAGCTACTTGGGAGGCCAAGGTGGGAGGATCAGTTGAGCCCAGGAGACAGCCAAGGAGGCGCCACTCCACTCCAGCTTGGGTGACAGAGCAAGACTCTGTCTCAAAAATAAATAAAATTTAAAATATATTTTTTAAAAAGAAAAATAAGCAGAATTTTTGGGGTGATGTTTGAGCTGAGTTTTGAAGGATGAGTTAGAAATTTGTTAAGTACGGAGGTGAATTTCAGGCAGAGGAAATACAAAGTACCATGGCAACAAGTCATGAGAGTCAGTGGCACATTTGGGATATAACTTGGAGAAAGAATAGATTAGATGGTGAAGGTCCTTGAAGGTTAGACCAAGGGCTGGACCAGTTTTAGAAAGATAAATGGTACTATTAGGCAAGATGATTTATTGTTAAAATGTAATAGTAACTACAACGTTCTTTTTAAAGCCCTTGGAGGAAACAAACAGGCCCTGGAAGAGGCGGCAACAGTAAGTGACCTTTCCTATTTTCCAGCCAGTGGTTACTTAAGTCTAGTCCAGTCCCCAGATCCAACTAATAGATGCTTACTGTGGAAGAGGTTTCATAAAGGGACATCATCTGTTTGTGTCAACTGAAAAATTAGAGTTGGACCAGACACTGTATACATGAGACCCAGATAGTTCTGAGCCCTACAGAAGGTGGCAGTTCTGTTTTTGACCAATTTCTTGCAGTCCTTTGTTCTGAACTCTACAGCGGAAGTAGAAAGCCTCAAGCCCAAGTTCCTTTAAGCGCCTGAGTCATTACACTATGCATTGGCCTGCTAGATGATAAAGGTGTTTCATCATGTCGTACTGTAGAAGCAGTGCTTTTGCTTGGGATGCTCAGTATTCCCCAACCCCTCTCATCTCCTTCCTCCCAGCATCAGTGCCAGGATTGAAGGCAGTAAGATGGGGATGCAAAATAGAGCATTTAAAGCTGCACTGTCCAGTGTAGTAGCCACTGGGCATATGTAGCTATTTCAGTTAATTACAATTAATAAAATTAAAGAATTCATTTCCTCAGACATACTAGCCACATTTTACATGTTCAATACCTACATATGACTAGTAGCTACTCCATCAGAGAGCACAGAAATAGAACATTGCTACTCTTGCAGAAAGTTTTATGAGACAGCATTGGGAACTAGTCCATACATGGGCTTCACAGAGTCCCTAGGCACTCTAAAATAATATACAAACAATGCGTGTGTATGCACGCATTTGTGTATCTTTCTGTTAGTTTATTGTAGCCTTGATCAGATTTACAAAGTAAACCCCAAAATTACATCTTTTGTTGAGTTGATCAGAATCATTTGGAATATCAGGGTTTGAAGGAGTCTGACCACCAAGGGCACATAGCAGATCTCCGCCAGCTTCATTCAGAAGGTAAAGGTAATGAGGAGCCAATTATCAATTTGGAAAAAATTGGAGCATTTGGGAGAGAGGTGGGGATTATTCACCCCCCTACATACACTGAGCTCCAATGTTTTAAAAGAGTTACCTCTGAGATGAATTATGCTTACTAGCTAATGCAGTTCTCTCTTTTTAAATTAGAAATACAGAACTGCAAATGAGAACTTCTAATGTAATATGAGAGAGCCATTGTTACCACACCAAGTTGAGAGAATTCTAGCCTTGACTAATATGATTTAAAACTCCAGAAAGGAACGATAGAAAATCTATAAAAGCTCTTAGTTGGGAAGTGTGTTGGGGCTCCCAAGACCACCTCCAGGTTTGGTGATTCACTAGGAGGATTCATGGGGCTCAGCATACAGTCACACCCATGGCGATGATTTATTACAGTGAAAGTATACAAAGCATTAATCAACAAAGGAGAAAATTGCATAGGACAAAGTCCAGAGGAAACCAGGCTTCTAGGAGTCCACTCCCTGTAGAGTCAAACAGAACATGCTTAATTCAACACATATGAAATGCTGTCTACCAGAAAATCTGATTAGAGAGTCAATGCCCAGAGTTTTAACTGGGGGCTGCTCACATAGGCATCCTCTGCCTAGCACATGTCAAAATCCTAGACTTTCAGGAGGGAAGTAGGTGTTCAGCATGAGCCATATTGTTTGCATAAAGTTTAGGCACAGTGAGGCATCTTGTTAAGGAAAGGTGGGAATCTTTCTGAAATCAAGTTCCCAGATGCCAACCGAGGCCAGGCTTGCAAACAGGCCTTTCTATGTGTATCAGTCTCAGGCCTGCTCTGTTAACTGTCCTGCACAGTAGATGCCCAGTGGCCTGCCACCACTGATGACTCCATAAAATGCCAGTTGTTTCTAGAGATGGCAGAAGGTTGGCAGGAATGCCCCTACTTTCTGTTGCATCAAGCCTGGCAAACATCAGTAACTTATTACAGCCCTATTTCTTGCTAAGCCTAAGACAGCCTCAGAATCCTTCTCTGAGTATGTCAAGCAGTCCCTACCAGAAATGAAACCTGTGCCATTCCAAACCTGTAGTAATTATTCTGATGTTTACATGTGTTCTATAAGGAAAGGACTGTGAATCATGACTGCTCTTTGTAGTGCCCATACTTATTACCATATGAAAAAAAAACGAATTTGAATGGTGACTGGAAGCCTTTTTGAAGGACCCAGGATCATCATAGAAAACCTTATTGAGACCCTGTAGATTTATCGAAAAAATGGTAAGCTTGACACACCACCAAGTGTTGTAGAGGATGTAGATCATTAGGAACTTGTATTGTTTGCAGATGGGCTGTAGTCAAGGGTAACCACTTTGGGAAACAATTTGGCATAATGCGAAGGCTGAATATTTATGTAACCTATAATCCCTGTCATGTCCTATCCAAAGGATAGAGCCAAGGGGAAACTTGGACATGTACCTCAGACACATGTAAGACAGTTCAAGGTAGCAGTGTTTATAATAGCAGGAAACTATTGATGGAAGATGGACAAATCCATTGTGGTATATTCACACAGTGGGATATGATATAGCAATGAAAACAAATTAACTACAACCACAAAGAGTGGTGAAAACAGCCAAAACCAAACAAAATGCTTAAGTACACACTTGTGAAAAAGCACATCTGTGTGTGCACACATGTATACACACATATGCATGTATCTGTGAGCACATACACATGTACCTTTCGATAAAGCAAGTGCAATGATATGGTTACCCCTGGGGAATGAAGGATTAGGAGACTCATCACCTTTGGAAGAAGAGATAAGAAAATGGAACAAGGAATGAATACAGAGCCAGAAGCAAGTTATTGGCAATGTTTTAGGTCTTGGGCTGTGTGGTGGGTTTATGGGAGTTTGCTATATTGTATATTGTATCACTAACATTTAACAGTCTTATGTATTAAATAATAGTTTTAAAAAAGTTTTTATCTTGAAATATTGTTCCTCATATTTTGGTGGAATAAGCCTGGTGCTTTCTGGCTATGTTTGTCATAGGCTGACCTGGATATCACCGAAATAAACAAACTAACAGCAGAAGCTATTCAGACACCCCTGAAATCTGCCAAAAGTGAGTACCTTTCAAAACTCCTTGTTGTACAGAAAGAACTGAGGCTCAGGTTGCTTGGTTGGCTGCTCAGGCAGCGCCTTGTTGGTAGAGCCTCTTCCCTTTAATGTCTGGTTCTTAATCTTGTAAATCCAAAAACTTGCTTTTGGATGGTGCATTTAGTTAATTTTTTTTCCCCCGAACAGCAATTCAAACCAGAAATTTAGTTAATTTTAGGCAGGACTGCTAAAAACCAAACTCAAGACCCGTGTGCGAGCTAAAATGAAAGTGAAAAAAGGGGGGAAAAAAGCTGTGCTAGAAACCAAACATTGTTGCCTGCTTACTTTCTCCTGGGTTAAATAGATGACAAGATTTAGAGAGGTGTTAAAAGACTGGTAACACCAACTGAGACGCTCCCTGATGTAATCAACAAAGTTGAAAGCGAATTGAAAAAGGAATGACTTTCTCTGCATATAATTCAAAATTACTCAATTCAGGCCAGGTGCGGTAGCTCACGCCTGTAATCCCAGCACTTTGGGAGGCCAAGCTGTGAGGATTACTTGAGCCCAGGAGTTCAAGACCAGCCTGGGCAATGTAGTGAGACCTTGTCTCTGAAAAAAAAAAGAAAGAAAGAAAGGAAAGGAAAGGAAAGGAAAGGAAAGGAAAGGAAAAAAAAAGTTACTCAGCTAGGCGTGGTGGCTCACGCCTGTAATCCAAGCACTTTGGGAGGCCGAGGTGGGTGGATCACGAGGTCAGGAGTTCGAGACCATCCTGGCTAATACGGTGAACCCCCGTCTCTACTAAAAAATACAAAAAATTAGCCGGGCGTGGTGGCGGGCGCCTGTAGTCCCAGCTACTTGGGAGGCTGAGACAGGAGAATGGCGTGAACCCGGGAGGTGGAGCTGGCAGTGAGCTGAGATCATGCCACTGCACTCTAGCCTGGGCGATAGAGCGAGACTCTGTCTCAAAAAAAAAAAAAAGTTACTCAATTCCATGATCTATCCACATAAAATCATCTTACATACATGTCCCGCACTCTGAGAAACACTGTCTTATAGGAAAAGTTGTATGGGAAACCAGGTTTTGACTAGTGAGCAAGGAATCGGATCAGGATGAATTGTGACATGGACTTAATGTCACTGTCATTAAGCTATGATAGTTTGATGCATCCAATTCTTATAAGAACATCCTGACCCATGGCCAGGATTTCGGGGCTACACACCAGGGCACGCTCTACAGTAGGCAGGGCAAGCTCAATTATTCAGAATGCTGGGCTGTCCCTACAAAGCATCATATGGGGTCTCTTAACACTCTGGTTAGTTTCCTTTGTCTAAACCCTCTTTCTTAAAAAGTCTTCTTTATTTTTAGTCCATTTCTTCCTTGCAGCTTAAGATTGTGTACATTTTATTCCTATAAGAAATGTGAATGCACAAAACTTTATTTTCATCAGAAATACCACCCTGTTGAAACTGTTTCTTACAGCACGAAAGGTAATACAGGTAGATGAAATGATAGTGGAAGAGGAAGAAGAAGAAGAAAATGAACGTAAGAATCTTCAAACTGCAAGAGTAAGTGGACACTGAGGTTGGAGGCTGGGGGTTATCACAAGACAAGCAAATACAAATGCATAAAATACACTGTTGTACACCAGAGCTCACAGTTTAGTAGAGATGATCCTACTTTACATGGCAATGACAAAAGAGATAATTGACTGGTGTGCAAAGTGTGTAGAACACAGAAGAGGAAGCTAGCAAGCCTCCCCTACCCCACTAGGACATAGACAGGCCTTTCAAGGTGAGTGAGAGTCTACTAGCTAGAGAAGAAAGGGAAGAGGAACAGTATTCAGGATAGATGGGGGAGGCGGAAAACTGAAGATGAGGAAACCAGTTAGAAGCCTATGAATTCTTGAACTGACATGCTGACACTATAGAATGAAGGGATGGTTTTTAGATAGGTTTTAGAAAGAAGTGGCATGGTTGGTGGAGAAAAGGAGGAATCAGAGACAACTGCATGGTTTCTAGCTAAGGCAAATGCTATCCAGTGAGGTGTGGGACCCAGGTGGCAGAGGGTGCTGGACTGGGGGTGGTGGAGCACATGCCAATTGCATGACATGTTGACCATTCATTACTTTTCCAGGACATCTAGGCTAGACAGAAATTTCAGCCTGGAGCTCAGGGAGAAGAGGGAGATTTGAGAGATACACTGCCTCCCAGATCTTTAGGTGTTTGTCCCAGTGTGGGAGTGGAGATGGTTGTGCAGGGAGAGCAGGAAGGGAGGGAGTCAGGGTGGACACTAGAGGGAGGGTAGAGAGAGGAGCTCCTAAGGCAGACTGCCAAGGAAGTTAGAGAAGCAGGAAAGACAGATCCATCACGGAGGACAAGGGAGGAGAGAATATATGGAAGATAAGGAGTGATTCTTGCCAGGGACCTCCCAGGCCCCAGGAAGGGAGCACTGCAGGGTTTGCCTTTGATTGGGCACCTGGGACGCCCTGAGTGACCTTCACAGCAGCCCTTTATGTAAAGTAGTGGGGTACAAGCCAGGCTGCAATCAGTTCAAAAGAGATTTACCTTTAATCTTGGTCAAAATCCTCTATTTTGAAAACCCAGCCAGTGGAAGTCCTTATTCAATTAGTTATGTTCTGAACTTTTTAAGTCATTGAATTCTGAGATACACCTTATTATATTTAGTATTAACTATCCAAAGCTTGTTCTTAATGCTTTAAAAAAAAAAAAAAAACCCTCCTTACCTTCCTCTTTGCTGGGTTTTTTGTAACCTTAGTCTCATTTGATTGTGACTGCAGGTCAAAAGGTGTCCTCCATCCAAGAAGAGAACTCAGTCCATACAAGGAAAAGGAAAAGGGAAAAGGTAGTGGATTTTCTAAAGTTGTGGTGTTTTGGGTTTTATTGGAGAGCCATATATATCATGGCAGAAAGTGAGGGGCAGTGAAAAGGCTCTGGTGGCTAGTGTTTGAAAGCAGCTTAAAATCACTGAATCCTTGAGTATCCAAGCTGGAGGGGTCTCTAGAAATGACCTAAACCAAAACCATCTCCAGTACTTTAATGTACATTCTCTATCCTTCCCCACTTTTTTTTTTTTTTTTTTTTGAGACGGAGTTTCAATCTCGTTGGCCAGGCTGGAGTGCAATGGTGCAATCTTGGCTCACTGCAACTTCTGCCTCGCGGGTTCAAATGATTCTCCTGCCTCAGCCTCCCGAGTAGCTGGGATTATAGGCATGTGCCACCATGCCGGCTAATTTTGTATTTTTAGTAGATGCGGGGTTTCTCCATGTTGGTCAGGCTGGTCTTGAACCCCCGACCTCAGGTGATCCACCCACCTCAGCCCCCACTTTTTTTTTTTAAGTATAGCAAGAACTGCCTGTTATGTTTCAGTTCCTGATAGTCCATATGTAGAGCTACCCCATAGCTCGTCATAGAGTGGCTGTCACTTACCTATAATTGGTTTCTTGAAATGTTTTGTCCAGTCCTGCAAAGTGAAGAACCTCTATGGGCTTGAGTTGATTATACTGGACTCTACCATAAGCCATGTGGGGGAAGGTACAGCAGCTTAGGAGAGTAGTCACCGGGATGCATGTCTGTGGAGGAGCGAACTCATTTCTCTTGAGCAGTGCAGCAGCTGCCTGGCACAAGGACAGAATTCCAGCTGGGGGAGCCTTCGCATGAAGAGGCTGTCTCCTTGATTAAAAAGTCAGATTCTGAGGCTGAGTGTGGTGTCTCACACCTGTAATCCCAGCACTTTGGGAGGCCAAGGCAGGTGGATCACTTGAGGTCAGGAGTTTGAGACCCGCCTGGCCAACATGGTGAAACCCTGTCTCTACTAAAAATACAAAAATTAGCCAGGTGTGGTGGTGCATGCCTGTAGTTCCAGCTACTCGGGAGGCTGAGGCAGGAGAATCGCTTGAACCCAGGAGGTGGAGGTTGCAGTGAGCCAAGATTACGCCATTGCACTCCAGCCTGGGCAACAGAGCAAGACTCCGTCTCAAAAAAAAAAAAAAAAGTCAGATTCTGGAGGCAGACTACTTTGGTTCAAAGTTTTGGCTCCATCCTAATTGGATATGTGATCTTGGGCAAGTTTTTAAAACTTGATGCACCTGAGTTTCTGCATCTGTGTATGAGGATGGCAGCAGTGCTGGCCTCCCGTGTTAGAAGGGTCACGTGAGTCGATGTGTGCGAGGCGCCCGGAGCAGTATCTCACAGTCAGCTCTCCACGTGTCACTCCTCTGCTGCTGCCTTCGTGGAACCTGAGAGTTGGCATACCTGATGGCCATTTCTTACCTGTAGGTCAAGCCGTGCTAACACTGTTACCCCAGCCGTGGGCCGATTGGAGGTGTCCATGGTCAAACCAACTCCAGGCCTGACACCCAGGTTTGACTCAAGGTGAGTATCGAGGGAAACACTTGGATTTGATGGGACTCCAACATTGAGCACTACCCAGAGAAGGAGTGTCTAAGAAAATACTCCTAGGCCAGGCACGGTAGCTCACGCCTGTAATACCAGCACTTTGAGAGGCCGAGGCAGGCGGATCACTTGAGGTCAGGAGTTCAAGACCAGCCTGGCCAAGATGATGAAACGCTGCGTCTACTAAAAATACAAAAATTAGTTGGGTGTGGTGGTGCACGCCTGTAATCCCAGCTACTCAGGAGGCTGAGACAGGAGAATTGCTTGAACCCAGGAGGTGGAGGTTGCAGTGAGCTGCAATTGCACCACTGCACTCCAGCCTGGGCAACAGAGTGAGACTCTGTCTTAAGAAAAGAAAAGAAAATAGTCCCGAGTCCTTGGCCTGGGATGCCTTGTCAGAGGACAGTGGCCAGCTGGGTTTCCTGGTGTATGCCTCTCCCTTAAGTGTAGTTTCACCTATCTTCAGTGGCAAAATGATTCTTTAATGGGAGGGAGGTGAATATTCTGCCTGTGATGACTAGGAGGCCTCTAGGTGACGTTTTTGGCCTTTTCTGATTCAAATCAGAAGGTTTTTATTTTATTTTTAAAATATTTATTTATTATGAGGCAGGGTCTCACTCCAATGCCCAGGCTGGAGAGCAGTGGCACAATCACGGCTCACTGCAACCTTGACTTCCCGGGCTCAAGTGCTTCTCCCACCTTAGCTCCCAAGCATGCCACCATGCCTGGCTAATTTTTTGTTTTTTTGTAGCGATGGGATTTCGCCAGGTTGCCCAGGCTGGTCTCGAACTCCTGAGCTCAAGCAATCTGCCCACCTCGGCCTTCCAATGTACTGGGATTACAAGCATGAGCCATCACACCCGGCCTCAAATCAGTTTTTTAAAGATGAGTAGGCACTCTCCTGTACTCTTGGTAGAAGTAAAAATTGATACTGCTTTTTTGGAGGCTGGCATAAGCGAGGATATTCTTGCAGCATAAGTTAATACCTTCCAAAGAACCTAGTTGACCAAATAGGAGATGCTGTATAGCCATTAAAAAAGACTGGATCTGTGTGTGCTGACAGGGAAAGAGCACCGTGATCACAGAGCATCTCCGAGCAGGTTGCTGAACACTGTGCTGTATGATCCCATTTGGTTTTATATACATACAAAGTTTCTGGAAGGATAGATAAGGAATTCAGAGTGGTTACCCCTGGGGAGGAGAGCAAGAAGTGGTTATCTCTGGTGTGGGGAAGTGTTGAAGATTTATTTTCTACTTTTAATTGCCACTTTTTTTTTTTTTTTTTTTTTTTTTTTTTGAGACGGAGTCTCGCTCTGTCACCCAGGCTGGAGTGCAATGGCACAATCTCGGCTCACTGCAACCTCCACCTCTCAGGTTCAAGCAATTCTCCTGCCTCAGCCTCCTGAGTAGCTGAGATTATAGGTACATGCCACCATGCCCAGCTAAGTTTTGTATTTTTAATAGAGACAGGATTTTGCCATGTTGGCCAGGCTGGTCTCGAACTCCTGACCTCAGGTGATCCACCCCCCTCGGCCTCCCAAAGTGCTGGGATTACAGGTATGAGCCACGGCACTCAGCCAGTTCCCACTTTTCTTTACTGTTTGTTTTCTCACATGAATATGTAACAAAAGGCATTTAGGGAAAACTAGGTAGCAGTATTTTAACTGTCTTGAGAAATTAGTATAATGATGTAATATCTAAATCATCCTCCTTTGCCTCTGAAAAATTCCTCTTGATGGAAGCAGCCACGCCTGGAAACAATTAACCAGCGTATTTCTGGCTTTGTGGATGGATGGATGATGGCACCCATATGGAGCTTTGGACCTAAACTTTATGTGGATAAGAGTTGGCTTTTTGTAAGATGTATGTTCAATAATTACAACCTTCTTTCTCCAGCTGTGTTTAGTCATTACTGCTTTAAAACATTTTTTTTTTCTAAATTTAGAACGTGCTTTCTTAGGAATGTATGACTTAAAAACTGCAACTTGAGGCCAGAGTAAGGTTAAAATGGCCTATAGAGTTTGGTGTCATCCAATTGCCAAGCTATCTTCACAGAGATTTTCCCATTCTAGGGTCTTCAAGACCCCTGGCCTGCGTACTCCAGCAGCAGGAGAGCGGATTTACAACATCTCAGGGAATGGCAGCCCTCTTGCTGACAGCAAAGAGATCTTCCTCACTGTGCCAGTGGGCGGCGGAGAGGTGAAGTATTTCCAAGGGAAGCCAGGCCACAGTGTGCTGCTTAGTCAAGCATTTCTTTTCCCTGGGCCCTCACCCACGCTTCACCCTCAGAGTCCTTTCAGTGCGTGGGTCCTGATCTCCACACTTCTGCGGGACTCAGAACCCAGTTTTCTCTCCCAGGTTAGAGGCCCAGACTGCAAAGATCGTTGCTCAGCTCTGGGTTCTGTTTTTCTGTTTTTTGGTTTTGTTTTTGTTTTTTGTGGGTTTTTTTTTTTTTTTTTTGAGATGGAGTCTTGCTCTGTCACCAGGCGGGAGTGCAGTGGTGCGATCTCGGCTCACTGCAACCTCTGCCTCCTGGGTTCAAGCGATTCTCTTGCCTCAGCCTCCTGAGTAGCTGGGACTACAGGCACACGCCATCATGCCCAGCTAACTTTTGTATTTTTGGTAGAGATGGGGGTTTCACCACGTTGGCCAGGATGGTCTCGATTGCTTGACCTCGTGATCCGCCCTCCTCGGCGTCCCAAAGTGCTGGGATTACAGGCATGAGCCACCGTGCCCACCTTTTTTTTTTTTTTTTTTGAGATGGAGTCTCACTCTGTCGCCCAGCCTGGAGTGCAGTGGCACGATCTCAGCTCACTGCAACCTCTGCCTCCCAGGTTCAAGTGATTCTCCTGCCTCAGCCTCCTGAGTAACTGGGACTACAGGCACATGCCACCACACCCGGCTAATTTTTGTATTTTTAGTAGAGATGGTGTTTCACCATATTGGTCAAGCTGGTCTCAAACTCCTGACCTCAGGTGATCCACACACCTCAGCCTCCCAAGGTGCTGGGATTACAGGTGCAAGCCACCACACCCGGCCTCCATCTGTTCATCAACTAACATTTGCCCATCCGATTGTAGTAGGCCCAAGAAGTAGACATGGGGCCTGCCCTTAGAAAGCAGCTCAGTGGTCAAGATGGGTTTGCAATCATGGTACCTGTGATATGCGCAATAATAGAGATGTTAAAGGGTGGTGCAGAGGAGGGCACCACCGAGGTATGCGCTTAGTCTAGAACCCGGACCATGAGCTGTGCCTTCAGCTTTGTATAACTTAAGGGATTCTGAAGCAAGCTGAGCTCAGTGTCTCTGGGCTGCATGGAGCGAGTTGCTGACCTCAGCCCCTGTGAGGGGAGGACGGTTTGTTTCAGACATACTCTGCAGGGCATTTCTTAGATGATGTGCGTGCCTTTTGTGCCCAGGTAATCCAGCCTCCACCCTAGTGATAGTGCTGATGAAGTCATTGTCTCCTTAGAGCTAATATCCTTCCTGCCTGTCTTGCCACTTCTCCATCCCAGCCATTCCCCACCACTAAGTGCAGGATATCAGGGGAACCTAGGGGTTCCGGCCCTAAGGGCCATGGCCAGTTTAACCCACTCCCCTTTCTATTCAGAGCCTGCGATTATTGGCCAGTGACTTGCAGAGGCACAGTATTGCCCAGCTGGATCCAGAGGCCTTGGGAAACATTAAGAAGCTCTCCGTAAGTCTCATATTCATCTCCACACATAGGATGCCTCCAGTAGCTTTCTTGGGCTACCTTTATTTAGGATTGTCTTTTGGGCCTGGGCTAATACTTTCTACTTAAATTTGTGTTGTCTTCCTTCCCCCAAGAGATTTTGACTCTTACCCTACTTAGATAGCAGCAGTTCTGTTCCTCAGTTGATGTTGAGTTTTGTTCAATCCCAGGGTGCCTGCCACAGAAGTTCCACTGCAAAATCAAAATTCTGCCTCATTCAGGCAGTTAGTGCTAGGGGTATGTTAGGTCACTATTGGCCACCAGAAAGTGAAACCTAGAGTAGCTCAAGAATGAGGGTCGGGGCTTGTTATCAGGAATCTTACAGAATCAAAGAGCGAGCTGAACGGCCAAGCCTCTGGAGTGGTGGGGCCCATCAGCTGGGGCCTGTGTGCTCATTTCTCTCACACATCTTCATTCCTCCCTCAGCAGATAACCTTCTCCACAGGCTCCAGGTTCTGTGCTTACTTAACATTGTTTTGCATGTGGCTTTGAGTAACCACACCTCCAATCCCAACTTTATTGCTCTATTGCCCAATTGTTCAATTTCTTGTCTTGGTTTAAATTCTGAAGAGGGCCAGGCACAGTGGCACACACCTGTAATCCCTGCAGCTCAGGAGGCTCAGGTGAGAGAAATTGTTTGAGCCCATGAGTTCAAGGCTGCAGTGACCCATGATCGTGCTGCTGCACTCCAGCCTGGGTGACAGAGAAAGACCTCAGCTCTAAAAATAAAGTAAATTATCAATTTAATTTAACTGAAGAATGTAATGGCTCCGCCAGGGATGAACCTCCTTGGTCTGGTCAGCCATCATCTTGGGTGGTGGATGAAGCACTTAGTGTAAACATGGCAACCTTACCCTCATCCTTCTGTGGGGTCTGAAGGGTACATCCAAGGAAGGGGACAAGGCGGGGCTGGTTTCCTAAACCTGTCTTTCTGAACATAGGCCCAGTGCTGAGATCCCACACACACCTAGCCACCCAAATCTTGTGACTGTCATCCTCTAGCTAGATCTATTGCAATGTTCTTCTCAAATCTATGATACCTTTACTGTCTCACTTGAGTTGTTATTTTACTCCCTTGTTCAGATGAGAAACAGGTTCAGAAAGGTGAATTCATGTGTGATACAGATAGAGAATGGAGGGGCTCAGGCTGACTGTGGGAGGCCAAGGGGCAAGCCTGCCAAGTGACATCTTCTACAATGACCTCTCTCCTTTTCTTTTTAGAACCGTCTCGCCCAAATCTGCAGCAGCATACGGACCCACAAATGAGACACCAAAGTTGACAGGATGGACTTTTAATGGGCACTTCTGGGACCCTGAAGAGACTTCTTCCCTTCAGGCTTATTGTTTGAGTGTGAAGTTCCAGAGCAAGGAGCCATGTTCCTCTAAGGGAATTCAGGAATTCAGACGTGCTAGTCCCACACCAGTTAGGTAGAGCTGTCTGTTCACCCTCCCATCCCAGCTGATCCCAGTCACTGCTTGCTGGGGCCATGCCATGGAAGCTTCCCATCAGTCTCCCAGCTGAATCCTCCCTGCTCTCTGAGCTGCTGCCTTTTGCCTCCTGCAACTCAACATCCTCTTCACCCTGCCCTGCCTGCAGTTGAGGGGGCGAAGAAGAACCCTGTGTTCTCAGGAAGACTGCCTCCACCACCGCTACCCAGAGAACCTCTGCATCTGGCATTTCTGCTCTCTATGCTTGAGACCGGGAGGTTTAGGCTCAGATAAGTGAGCTCTGGGCCATGAGAGGGTAGGTCCAGAAGGTGGGGGGAACTGTACAGATCAGCAGAGCAGGACAGTTGGCAGCAGTGACCTCAGTAGGGAACATGTCCGTCTACCCTCTCGCACTCATGACACCTCCCCCTACCAGCCCTCCTCTTCCTCCTCCTCCTCCTCCTGTGGGAGGTGGTCAGTGGGACTTAGGGATCTTTCACCTGCTGTGCCCAGTAGTTCTGAAGTCTGCTTGTGGAGCAGTGTTTTATGTTTATCCCTGTTTACTGAAGACCAAATACTGGTTTGGAGACAACTTCCATGTCTTGCTCTTCTACCTCCCTAGTTAGTGGAAATTTGGATAAGGGAACTGTAGGGCCCAGATTCTGGAGGTTTTATGTCATTGGCCACAGAATAACTGTCTCTAAGCTATCCATGGTCCAGTGGTCCCTGCCAAGTCTGTAGACTTCAGAGAGCACTTCTCTCTTATGGGGTTCATGGGAACAGGGGTGGGTGTGACTTGCTTGGTGGCCTCATTCCATGTGTGCCTGTGCCTGGGGCATGGACTTTGTTAAGCAGAGTCAGCAGTGAGGTCCTCATTCTCCAGCCAGCCTCTCTGCCCTGGAGAATCATGTGCTATGTTCTAAGAATTTGAGAACTAGAGTCCTCATCCCCAGGCTTGAAGGCACATGGCTTTCTCATGTAGGGCTCTCTGTGGTATTTGTTATTATTTTGCAACAAGACCATTTTAGTAAAACAGTCCTGTTCAAGTTGTATTCTTTTAAGTTCTTTTATTCTCCTTTCCCTGAGATTTTTGTATATATTGTTCTGAGTAATGGTATCTTTGAGCTGATTGTTCTAATCAGAGCTGGTACCTACTTTCAATAAATTCTGGTTTTGTGTTTTCTTTTGTAATCACTGTTCATCCTGCCTGTCCTCTCCAAGCTGTGCTCTGTGGACTAGGGAGACAGCAATTGTGTGGGAGTCTTTGCACATCTGCTTTTCTCAGATGTGAAAACCTTTGCTTTGGGCAGATTCATTCTGATATCTGAAAGAGGGGCTTACTACAAGATCCAGAGCATCGGTACCTTCAACCCCCAGCAGAGCGCCCCCAACACCTTCATTCCATGAGCTAGAAATTTGTGTCTGGGAGGACAACACCTAGGGTCTCTGTAATTTCCCAGTATAGTAGACTTTTCTTGGCCAGGAACAAAGCGGGGCAAGAGTAATTCGGTGATCATGAGTCTCACTTCCCAAAGTTTCTGAGGCCCTGGCAGATCTGCCTTCCCGGAACTCTCTAGGCTGAAAATGATCAACCTAGAGCTAATGATGCAAGAGGGTTCTGCCTAAAAGAAGACAACCTGGGGGCATACTTAGCCAGGTTATTGGGTATTGACAATTTATAGACTAGGAATCTTCTGGTAGTGACAGCATTTGGAAGAATGGTTACTCAGTGCAAATAAGCAACCCAGACTATATGTCATCAGGCCTAAAGAGCCTGACACCAAGGAAACACTTAGGATCCAACCTGCTTTACCCAGAACCAGGTTCATCCTGTTTCATTCCATCTGCACCACTGCCTAAATCACCTAGTAGGAAATGCATGTTATGTAGCAGGTGCCTAATTAACACCTGGGACTGAGACATGGCAGTTCTTCATTTCATATAAGGGGCTGGCTTGGAAAGTAAAGAGTTCCCCATCCCAGGATTGATTGATTGATTGATTTTTTGAGACAGAGTTTCGCTCTTATTGCCCAGGCTAGAGTGCAGTGGTGAGATCTCGGCTCACTGCAACCTCCACCTCAGGTTCAAGCAATTCTCCTGCCTCAACCTCCCAAGTAGCTGGGATTACAGGTGCACACCACCACGCCTGGCTAAGTTTTGTACTTTTAGTGGAGACAGGGTTTCGCCATGTTGGCCAGGCTGGTCTCCTGACCTCAGGTGATCCACCCACCTCCACCTCCCAAAGTGCTGGGATTACAGGTATGAGCCACTGTGCCCGGCCCCATTCCAGGATTTTTAAAAAAAATTTTGTTTTTTATCATTTGGTATTTTTGTTGATTTATTTTGTAGAACTTATGTCCCCACCATCCCAGGATTTTTAAGTACAGGCTGAACTATGTCACAGGGCTGGGACAAAGACAACCTAAATCTTACTGCCAGCCCCCAGACATACTTTCATACTCGTTGGGTTGGGTTTGGGTTTTTTTTTTTCCCCAAATTAGTTGCTAACCATTTAAATATCGGGCGATTACACAAAGATTGCTAGCCTCTGAAAATAAGATCAGACAGCACGGGCCAACAGTCAGCTGGAGCTCAGTAGCAGCTTTCCTTGGCCCGCAGAGAATCCTCTACCGGTTCAAAGCAATCCTGATGAGATTACTTCTTCCCTTGATGTTACCTGCCTTATCTCTGTAGGCAATTTAGTTTTTACTGTCTGCTGTGGAGAGAAAGCATAGAACAGTAGGGCTGCCCCAGGTTGAAGGGAGAATGGAGGCCTGGAGTCCATCCCCAGGGCCGCTGAGGCAGTTTTAAGGAACCCCAGAGGTCCAGTCAACAGTAGGTTCATTCTTTGTCCTACAGGGCCCCTGTTATTTCCAAAAGCCCTACTTGGGGCTTCCTGTTGAGAAGATTACAAATGTATTATCTTGTGACGAGTTAGATTATATTACTCATATGAAGAGTTAGCTCATGTGCGTGTGTGACAGGACATCACCTAAGCATTTCTCCAAAGCATCAGACATGCCTTTTACCAGGAGGAATTAATATCCCCAGCCTGACCCATGATAATGAGTTCACATACCAATGCAGGGCTTAGCTCCACGATGTATCCCCAAACCTCTGAAAAACAAAGCATGTCTCAGTGCCTACCTGTGTACACACTCTGGTGGGTCCATTTTCTAATTTTACACAGTATCATAGCTGTTGACCCATACCTAAAATTCAGCATGACATATGTACTCAAAACTTTCATAGTAGATACAATTCCTGTGGCTCCAGAAATGGAAGGACTGAGAGACACTCTTCAGAGAGGATTCAATCAGAATTGGGGGCTACACTGGGCTCCCTGCTAAAAGGGGGGTCTGGAATCCAATTTGCTTTGCCTAAGATGCCATCTCCCTTTAAGGGATTAAACATCTCCTCAGCCCTGTATCATCCCTACCTGCATCACCCCACCTGTCAAGCCTCCACCGTCCCCTCCCTGCCAGCTGTAACGTGCACTTCTTGCCTTCTACACTTTGCCATCATCCTTCCCTCAGCTGATATTAGGATCTGCATGGTTCATCTTTCCTGATCCTTGGGTGGTGGATATGGTGGAGGACAAACATACCCTTGGCACCAAGATACCAGCTCCATCTGCAAATTTTCAGTACCCACAAGCACACATACGTCACAATATGCTAAGAACCATCAGGATGGAGACAGGTGACAATCTTCAAGGATACACTCTTCCAATCAAATGCCAAGGTCACCCTGGCAAACCTCCTCCTCTTCACTCTTCATAAGGCCCCAGGTGAGGGTCAAGGAGGAATGCTGGCTGGGAGCAGTGGCTCAAGCCTGTAATCTTAGCACTTTGGAGGGCCGAGGTGGACAGATCACCTGAGGTCAGGGATTCGGGACCAGCCTGGCCAAAACGGCAAAACCCCATCTCTACTAAAAATACAAAAATCAGCCAGGTGTGGTAGAACATGCCTATAATCCCAGCTACTTACTGAGGCAAGAGAATCACTTGGACCCATGAGGCAGAGGGTACAGTGAGCCGAGATCATGCCACTGCACTCCAGCCTGGGTGACAGAGCGAGACTTGTGTCTCAAAAAAAAAAAAAGAAAAAAGAAAAAAGGAATGCTGTGGGGTGGAGGAAGGAAAAGGGGCCCAGGAGAAGCCTAAATGAAAGGGGAGGAAAGGTGCTGCAATGGGGAAACAAGTTTGGTTTTGATTTTTTCATTTTCCTCTTACACTTCTACAAGCAGTCTTGATCAAACATATTCCCTGGAACTAGGCTCGAGATACCCATAATCCGCTCCCAAGATGCTGATAGGCAACATGAGATCATTCATGAGCCCAAACAACTTCTGGCTTCTCTCTGTTGCCCAAAGACCCCAAGGGGCTCAACTAGTAAACTGTGGTGGGAAATATCCTGCAAATAGCAGGATTTTTTCAAGATACTGGCAGACAGTTCCATTTCAATGGCAAAGGGTACAAAGAGATTTAAAGAGAGCTGCAGGTGGTGCAGTGTGAATTTTACTCACATCCTGAGCCGTGGGGCAGAGGTAACGTTAGGAACTGAGATGCCCTCCTGTAAGGTCCAGAACACAGGCTTTGGCTACCAAAGACAGCTAACACACTACCCACTTTCCCCTAGGAGCCCGCTCACACCTCCTCGGGGATGAAGTCAGGCAGAGCCTTCCCCTGAGCCCCAAAACACCTAGAATTCATCCTTATTGCCATGGCGTGGGTACTTTTTACTTAACTGACTCGCCCATTGGGCAGTAAGGCCTTAACTTGCCAGAGCCAGCCATCTAGTATGTGCCTGGTCCATGTGCAGTGAATGAGCAAATACCTTGTCAAGCCAGATCAGCAGGCCCACTGCCTAGAGAAGTTCCATTCCTGACCACATGTTATATGTCTACCTGGTGCCTCACACCAGCTAGGTAATAATAATAACAATAATAATAATAATAGTAATACTAATAACGAGTGGGCATTTCCTGTGTTCTGTGTGCCAGGCACTGTGTTAATGCTGGGGTCCTGCATTCCCTGGCTGCATGCCTCTCCTGGGGCTGACTTCAGTGGAGCAATGCTGCTAACATCTCTAACCCACTCCTCATTCATTCCTCCCCACCAGAGGGTGGCTTCTCAAGTGGAATTGAGGGACAGAAGGAACAACCTGCTTGACTCAGTGCCATCTGGCTTCTGCAGATCTGCTTGCCCACAAGAAAGGTGCACCCTGCTCTGCTCCCATCGTGCAGGCAGGAGCTGAGGGGACAGTTCTGCCCCTGCAGTGGATGTCTGCCCCACCCGGCTCAGCCTGGGACTGGGTGGGTCTAGTTCAGGGGAATGATGGGAAACATACTTTGTCCCTGATGCGCGGCATCTCATTTATTGAAGACGTACATGTTAACATCTCTGAAACTGGGATGCATCTTTCAGTTGGATGGCACAACATAGTTGGCTGTGATGTTTCTTTCTTGGTAGGACATCTTACACTCAATGGCATCTTAGATTCAAAGAAACTTGGTAAGCAACATTCTCCAGTTAGCCTTATCAAAGAGCTGATATTTTGCTCTCCACCTGTCCCAAGGAATTAGTATTTAACTGGCTCTGAGCACAGGCAGTGGGGGAAGGGGTCTTATTTATCACCATCCCCACCATCCTACCCCTTGCCCTAAGCACTTTGCATGTCCTGAACTATGCAGAGGAGGAAGACGCCTTCCGCAGCCTAAAGAACATGAATGGCCCGGGCCAGGGAGAGGAGAAGCACTAGCAAGCCAACTGAGACATGCAAGGACTCATGTGGTCCAAGTGTGTGTGTGCACGTGTGTCCATGAGTACATATGTGTTCACATGCATGCGCACTCAGGCCTTGCCCCTGCAGCCTTTGGCCCACACCTGCAGCCTGTCCTGGTCATTGTCTCAGCCCACTCTTCCTCCTTTTGCTGGACTCCTCAAAGATTCCCAAACTCCACTCCCCAATCCTCTCATCTGGCTTCTGCCCTGACAACAAAGGTCGCTGTTACGGGTTGAATTGTGCCCCCCGCCAGGCCTCTATGTTGAAGTCCTAACTCCCAGTAACTCAGAAGGTGACCATACTTGGAGACAGGCCCTTTAAAGGGGTGATTAAGTTAAAATGAGGATGTTAGGGTGGGCTGGTATGGACCGGTTCAATATGACTGGCATCCATAAAAAGGGGAAATTTGGACTTACAGAGGGAAGATGATGCGAAGAGAGAGTGGGAAGATGGCCACAGGCAAGCCGGGGAGAGAGGCCCAGAGCAGAAGCTCCCCTCACAGCTCTCAGCAGGAAACAACCTTGCGCACATCTTGATCTTGGCTTCCAGCCTCCAGAGCTGTGGGACAGTAAATCCCTGTCGGCAAACCCATGGGTGCTGTGTTACAGTCTGAGGTGCTGTGTTACAGTAGCCCAAGCAAATGAATACACTCACTGATAATAGCCCAGTGCCCACACTGACAGCCACTCCTCCCTCCTCTTTCACTTGATTTCTCTGTTTTTGTTGTTGTTGTTATTTGTTTTTCTGCTCTGTCACCCAGGCTGGAGTATAGTGGCACAATCTCGGCCCACTGCAACCTCCATCTCCTGGGTTCAAGTGATTCTCCTGTGTCATCCTCCTGAGTAGCTGGGATTACAGGCACCCACCACCACACCCAGCTAATTTATGTGTTTTTAGTAGAGATGGGGTTTCACCATGTTGGCCAGGCTGGTCTCAAACTCCTGGCCTCAAGTGATCTACCCACCTCAACCTCTCAAAGTGCTGGGATTACAGGCATGAGCCACCGAACCCGGCCATTTTTCTCTGTATTTAACACCAAAACTTCATCTTCAGCAGCAATGGCACAGCTCCTCCTGGCATCTCCCACTGCTCCCCTTCATCCAGGTGCCTCCCAACACTGACGTCTCCCCTCTCCTGAACATGCTGGCCGGGTGACCTCCTTCTCATCCTGGCTTCTACCCCCATCTGAATGCTGATGACCCCAAAGCTCTGTCTCTAACTTACATCTGTGCTCCGAGGTTCAGACCAGATATCCACCTGCCTCCTAGACATCTCTGCCGCACATCCCACAGGCATCTCAAACACATATCCAAAACTGAGCACTGAGCACCTTTCCTGGTCTCTGCCCTCCCTGGTACTGTCTATCCCAGCAAAGGACACCACCATGTCTCAGACACCTCCCTGGTTCTACTGCTCCTGAGACTGGGTAACAGACTTCTCTACATACCCAGGGCACCCAGTTCCCCTCGGTACCCTGGGTCACACCGTCCTGCCATGGATCCTGGGACATCTTTCACGGCAGGAGCAGTGTTGGACTCACCTCTATGCAGAGAGATCTCAGACGCAGATTCTGGACACCCCTGTCCTCGAGGAAGGGGGCAGAAGCCCTTCCACACCAGCTATACAATGATCAAGCAACTGCCACTCAAAGAGGCACCATATCACAGACAAGTTTTTATTATCCTGCATAGAGAACCCAAGAAATATAAAAACATCTCCAGAAGGAACCCCCTCCGACTGGCCCCCTCCCTCCCAGGGTGAGCTCAGACCAGGGTAATGGGGGCTTGCAGGCCACCTCTGTCCAGTGAACAAGTTCCATATAAAAATAGATCTGTAGAGGGTTCCCAGAGAGCCATCGCCCCACATCACATCTGTGCAGGGCTGAGGCCTGGGACCCAACAGGATTCTGGGACCTCACTCCTCAGTGGAGGGGAGATCTACCCTGGACACCGAAGTCCTGCCAACACAGCCAGGGGCCCTTCTGCAGAAACAGCTGGGGTAGGGGGAGGAGATTTTGCCCTGCAGAGAATGACTGATGTAGCTGGAGATGAGGACGAGGCTCCATCCACCCAAGAAGGGATGCTGGTCCAGGCTTCCCAGGAGGGGTGGGGAAGGCGGATCCTGGAGGGCACCTGGCCGGGGGCTCCCCCAACCCTGACTAAGGTGGTAGCAACATCTTGGTCTCCCCAGTACCCCCAGAGTCACTGAGCTGGGGCAGGTGCTCAGGAGACAGGGAGGCAGGGGGCTGGGGGGAGATTCCAAGAGCAGGGGAGCTGCTGCTGGCAGGGTAAGGCCAAAGGCACCTCTGTGAGTCACTGTCCCCCACCTCTGGGTGCTCTGCAAAGAGGCACTGCACCTTCCCGCCTCTGGGCTCTTTCTCATGCTAGCCTCTCTGCATGGACTCCTTTTGTCCGAGGCCTGCCATCTTGCCTGCCGAAAACTCCACCCACCCCAAGGAAAGAACCTTCCCTTTCCCACCTGCAAGGCCCTGTTCAACTTACATCTCAACTTCACACATTAAGAGAGTGGCTATCTCCCCCTCCAGCCCACCTACCCACTGACCCAGAGGGCTCCTGGGGGGCCCTGGGCACTGTGGATGGTGCCCTGGAATTACTTCTTGGTACCTGAGCTCTTCTCCTGGTCTAGTCTGAGCCCCCCAAGGGCAGGCTGTGTGTCTTTTTCATCTTTACCTCTTGTCTCCTCTTTCCCGCCCCATCCCACCCCACCAACACACAGCCAAGCAGAGCAGACAAGTGTCACGGGCGGCCTAAACAAACTCAGTCCCTGTGGCCCTGCTGAGATCCAGCTGCCTTCCTGCCACCCTACGAAAGCTCTGGCATACTGGGCCCCACCATTCCCGGGGGCCCTTGTGGATAAGGAACTCCACGGTGGGCTCAGCACAACCACTTCTGCCAGGGCTCTTCAAAGTCAGAGCAGGGAGGGGCTCCATGGAAGGCTGGGTAGTGCCCAAGGCACGGAGCTGGCTGGAGGGGAGTCGCCTCTAGAGTCCCCAAGGGCTGTACAGGGAAGTGGTGGTGCCATAGGGCAGGACCAAGGACTCTCTCCCCAGAGCCAGCCTTACCCCTGGATTGGGTTCTGACCTCAGCTCTGCTCCTGACTCCTCACTTGGCCTCAGTTTCCCCCATCTGTACACTGGGGGTTAGACCAGCCTGTTTGAGAGAGAGGACCCATCTCTGAGTCTCCTCTTCACCCTCCCCATGGCTGGAGAGAAAAGCTCTTGGGTCCCTGGGGAGATAACATGGCCCTTTATGCTTTTCCCAGATGTCCTGGCCACTAAGTTCATAAAAGGAATGCACACGAGGGCCTCATGGGGCCCCAGGGAGCACCAGGGCCTCTCATGGCCCGGCCTGGCCAGGACTTTTGGCCTCACCCTGAACTGTCAGCCCAAGGCAGGGGGACACAGAAACCAGATCCTGAGTCTAGGGCTCTTGGGTATCAGCCCCTGAGCTCAGCACCATCTTTGCCTGCCTGAGCCTTGGCCAGTGTCCAGTCAGCCCCTGCCAAGGCACAGGGAGCTGAGGTGGATGCACCTCTGGCCCAGCCCCCGACGCCTGAGCCACCAGGCAGCTGCAGTCACTGCCAGGTAGAAGAAGACCCCCCCAGGACCCACGCTGTCTGACTGGTCAATGGGTCTGTGGGAAAAGGGAACACCCCACGGGGTAGGCCCCAGCCCCCAGTGGGTACAAATGGCAGTAGGGCATGAGCCAGGGCAATCTCAACCCACTGTCTTCCCTCCCATCCCTGCCCCAGCTTTTCTCTGAGACCCCGAATTTCCTCCTGCTGTTATCTCAGGGGTCCTCCCTAGGGATTTGAACCTCTTTTCAGGGGCACTGAGTTAGCCAAGGCGTTCAGACTCGTGAAAATGGGAGGGGCAGGCAGTGAAAGCGGGGAAGCTGTGGCCCCACCAGATCTGGGCCCAAGCAGAGGAAGAGAGCGCTCCCTCCCACACTGCTGGAGCGCAGCTTGCCACGGTCCTTGGGCAGGGCTGGGGGACTGGACCCCCACCGGAGTCCTGCCTTGGAAGAATGGGGTCCACTCACACCTGCACCCCCTGGCCCTGCAGCTGGAGCACTCGTGCCTGCAGGGCGCTGATCCCGCTGAGGAGGGCCTCTCGATGTTCAGCCAAAGAGATGCCTAGGCTCACCAGGTCCCTGAAACAAAGGCTGGTCACACTCGGCTGGCTTGTCCCCAACTTCTGCTCCTCCCATGAAGGCCCTCCACTCTCCCTCCGCTTCTCTGGACAGGTTGGGACTCCCCAGTATAGGCAGGGGCAGGGCCTGTGGAATCCCCCAGCCCCGGCCTTGACCTTGGTGCCTTGGACTCACTGGGCAGTCATCTCGGCCACGGCCTCCAGGCTCCCATAGCCAGCAGCCGCGAAGCTGTCCTTGTAGCGGCACAGGTCCAGGGCCTCCAGCCACGCGCCCACAGAGCCAAAGGAGGGGAAGGTGGAGAAGGCACGGTCCGCTAGTGGGGTGGGAGGCCTGCGGGTCAGAGGAGCTGTGCTCAACCGACAGCTGGGATCTGGGCCCACACCTGGTGGTCTCCCGGGGAGAGGCCAGCTGAGGATGGACAGGAGAAGGGGAGGGTAACCGGGCCCCAGGGCTGGATCTGGCTCACATGAGCACTGTGCATTCGTGAAGAAGCGAGGGCTTCAGGTTCTTCAGGCAGGTGGAGGCAGAGCCAGCGCCAGCTAAAGGTATTGGCGTATCCGGAACAGTCTGGGGTAGGACACGCCTAGGACTGGTTGGTGACTCATATTGGGAACAACGAATATTAATTTCACATATTTGATTCATTGGAACTACAAATGTGTTAGGGCTATTACCACATCTATTTCTCCAGTCAAAGGTCATTGTACCCGGGGATGTGGGCAAAATCCAGGAGAAGCAGAAGTGACCAGGAGGATGTGCAGTGAGGTGGGCCTGGGCAGGCAGGCAGGCTACAGCCCTCTGGGGCAATGGGGTGAACAATTGCTCTTGGACAGGTGGGGTGGTGGAGGCGGTGGGTTTGCACTTGCAACATGCAGGGAGGCCCTCCACGGACAGGTGAGAGGCTGGCTGTCCCATGTGGGAACGTACCTGGGACAGGTAGTCAGGGCACACTTGGGGGGCTCTGGGTCCTGCACCATCTTGCTCAGGATGCTGTGGATCTGGGAGAACCTGGGCCGCTCACCTGGGTCCTTCTGCCAGCAGTCGAGCATTAGTCGGTGCAGAAGGTTAGGACAGTTCCTGGGGGGTGGCAGCCGGAAGCCATCCTCCACAGCCTTGATCACCTGGGCCACAGGGGTGGGGAGCAGAGAGGAGGCTCTGGGTTTCCCCAGCATATGGTGTGTGCACACACACATGCACACACACAGACACAGACACACACACACACATGCGCACACACAGACACAGACACACACACACACACCCAAGGAAGCCTGGGGCAGTGGCCAGGCAGAACCAGAAGCAAGCAGACAGAGAAGAGGGGCCTGAGGCAGGAAGATTGAGGGCCAACGGGCAGAGGTCAGGAAGCTGGGGCCTGAGCTGAGAGGGTCAGAAGGCATGCAGCTGGAGCCACGGGTTACTCACGTCTTGGCCAGACATGTCCCAGTAAGGCCGCTCCCCAAAGGCCATCACCTCCCACATGATGATGCCGAAGCTCCACACGTCACTGGCAGAGCTGAAGTGGCCAAACTGAAGTGTCTCGGGAGCGGCCCATAGCGCTGGGCTCCGGCCACTCTGTAGGGGCAGGCAGGTCAGGGGCAAGGAGGAACTGGGTGACACGCAGGTTTCCCCACCCCACTGAGCCCCAGATCCAGCCTGCATGTCATCCTCCCAGGCAACCCCCAACTCCAGCTTCACATCTGGGAAAGACAGAAAAGCTGACCTCAAGGTGGGGTTCACTCGCATTTATGCCAAGACCAACTGGGTGGAGGGGCAGGGAAAGGAGTAGAAGTGGGGAGTTAAGGGCTCCAGGGCAGCTTGGTGGGAACCAGAAGGCACAGGCAGGCTTGGCTGGGGGCGCCCTCACCATAGTGGTGTAGACAGCCTCTGATCGGTCCCGGGGGCCCCGCCCGAAGCCAGAGATCTTGCAGACAAGGTCGCTGCTGACCAGCACATGGCGAGCTGCCAGGCCCCGGTGAACGTAGCCCATCTCTGACAGATACTTCATGGCTGATGCCAGCCCAGGCAGCAACCCCATCAGTTGCCCAGCCACCAGCTGCCCCTCGTGCCGCTGTGGAGGGAGAAGACTGAGGCCAGGGCTGTGCGCTTGGATCCCCTGGTGTTGTGTGACACCAGGGCGGTCACCTAGCTCTCGCCAGGCTTTAGTTCACCCTGTGACCACAGGTCAGCCCGGCCAGTGGGGATGATGCCAATTCCAAGCCCTACCAAAGAGAAAAGTGAGGGACCCCTGCCCGCTTTACAGAATAAAGTGGTCATTGGCAGCCCCAGGGCCACTCACCCTGAGGAAGCCGTCCAGGGCCCCATGGCTCATGTACTCGGTGACAATCATCAAGGTGCTTCCTGTGCCCAGGGATGGGAACACACATGCTAAGTTGTCCACTCCACTCCGCACGCACACAAGTTTCCCCCCCAGGGTCCCAGACTGGGCCTCGAGAGCCAGAACCAGCACCAAGCTCCCTAATCTCGCCATCCTCCTGCCCAGCCCAGGGTCCTCTATGCCAAGGAACAAAAGAGGAGACATCTGTAGGTGAACAAAGTCCAAGGTCATGAGCTGCAACAAGCTTGCTAAGAAAGATCACTCTTTCTAGGAGTGATATTCTAGGGGACCTATCACAGGTCAGAAAGGTCATCCTGGCCAGGCGCGGTGGTTCACGCCTGTAATCCCAGCACTTTGGGAGGCCGAGGCAGGTGGATCACGAGGTCAGGAGATCAAGACCATCCTGGCTAACATGGTGAAACCCCGTCTCTACTAAAAAAAAAAAAAAACAAAAAAATTAGCCGGGCCTGGTGGCAGGCACCTGTAGTCCCAGCTGCTCGGGAGGCTGAGGCAGGAGAATGGCATGATCCCAGGAGGCAGAGCTTGCAGTGAGCCGAGATCTCACCACTGCACTCTAGCCTGGGCAACAGAGCGAGACTCCATCTCAAAAAAAAAAAAAAAGAAAGAAAGAAAGAAAAGAAAGGTCATTCTGAGCCAGAGTGGCCGCTCCAGGAGAAGGGCCGCCTTGAGTCAGTGAAAGCTGAGGTCCCTGGCTGAAGCTCCCTCCCATAGCTGAGGGAAGGACCTGGAGAGGCAGGGGCACTCCAAACTCCCACACCATCATTTCCACCCCCCATACCCGTGGGCTGGGCAGCAGGAAGGGAGCACCGGGCCCTACCTCGGGTAACAACGCCCTCCAGCCGCACGATGTGGCTATGGTCAAACTGGCCCAGCGTGAGGGCCTCGGCCAGGAAGCCGAGCCTCTGTGAGTCGGAGGCGCTGTCCCTCAGCATATGCACGGCTACGAGCAGCTCCTGGCGACCGGGGAGCTGCAAGCAGCCACAGCACAGCTCCCCAAACCGCCCTGTGGGGAAACAGCACCTCAGATACCGCCAGAGGCCACTGCCCTGGCTGAGCTGGGCAGGCTGAGCCGAGGAGAAAGTGACTCTGACCAGCCTGGCCAACATGGCGAAACCCAGTCTCTACTAAAAATACAAAAATTAACCAGACAAGGTGGCACATGCCTGTAATCCCAGCTACTTGAGAAGCTGAGGCAGGAAAATCACTTGAACCCAGGAGGCAGAGGTTTCAGTGAGCTGAGATTGTGCCACTGCACTTCAGACTGGGTGACAGAGCAAGACTCGGTCTCAAAAAAAAAAGTGACTCCAGATCATGGACTGTTTCCAGCTTAAATCCTGGTAAACTGAGTACCAGCAGTGTGACCTCGAATTCCATCTCTTTCCTTTTCTTGGCCTGTCTCCTCTGTGAAATGGGGATTCCTCTCTGCCTTCCTCAGTGGGGGGAGGTTTCCAAGCCTTAAAGAAAGGACAGGGCATATGCCAGCACGCCGACTGCCATCAAACCCCATGTGACCCAGGATGGATGACAATGACATCTATTCTTCCACCCTGCCCCTTTCCGGCTTCTGTCCAGCGGGTCTGGAGACAGTGTCAGGGGATAATGTCAGGCTCCCAGTGAAAGCAGCTACCGTCTCTGAGCACAGGAGGCTGAGGATTTGTAGTCAGGAAGAAAGGCTAGCAGAAGACTGGCCCTTAGAGAGCAAGCGCCGACAGCCAGGCCCTGTGAGGAGTGCTGGGAGTTCCCCACATTAGCCCCCAGAAGGCAGATATCATGCCCATTTCTCAGATGAGAAACTGAGGCTCTGAGCAAAACAGGGCCATGACCCTGATCATGCAGCGGGTCAGTGGGAGAGCCAGGACTAGAACTCAGTTATGTCTGGCCCCTAAGCTTGCAAAGGCCCCTCCCCACTGCCCCATGAAGGCCTGGGACTAAACTGCCAGTGGCAGTGTGCAGAGGTCTGACCTTGAGGACCAGGAGAGGGTCACAGACCCTTCTGCCATCCTCTTCCCTATAATCAGGCAAGCCAGGGACTTTCTGGGTGGAGGGTGGGCTTGGTGTGGAGGCAGGGCTTCCAGACACGAGCAGAGACCTGGGTGGAGGTGGGCTTCAGGATAGAGGTGTGGACAGAGTAGGGGCGGGGCCTATAGAGTGGGTGAGGCTTCCAGATGGGGACAAGGCTTCCTGGGCGCCCAGCTTGCCTCCTCCAAGGCTCCTCTCCAGCGTGACGCTTTTCGCATCCAGTTCCTTGGCGAACAGATGCACAGCCTGCAGCAGGTCCCCACAGCTCTGGGGGTCCAGGAATGTGCGACGTGTTGGGACTTTGACTGGGAGAGAAAGAGATGAGCCTGAGGAATGGGGCCTCCACCACTGGGGCTGACAAGCGGGCTCATGCAGTGTAGCAAGGCAGAGGGCTGAGGAGTGAGGCAGGGTGGAGCCCGCCCCTCCCCAGCCAGGCCCAGCCAACTCACAGTGGAAATACAGCTCCTCTTCATCATGGGCATCCCCTCCTCCTTTGCCATAGCTGCAGGGCCTGGCAGGGAGTTCAGGGTCATTCTTTCAGCCAGGCCACCCCGGCCCTTCCCATTACAGAGCACTGAGGGCAGCACCTCTTTGTCCCTTCAAAAGACAAGGCCTGTGCCCTGGGGGAGGGAACTTCTTGTCCAGCTGGTTTAAAAGCTTCTCTGTGGTTTGACGACCTCCCCATGGCACAGATACAACCGTAGCCCTAGACCAAACCGTCACCACCACCACCATCCCTAGCTACTTTCACATGGTGAAAATTATTGCAACTCCAGAGGCACCCAATCCACATCCTGGCTGCAGGCCCCCAGCTGCCCCCGCATGCGGTTTTGTGAAAGTGTGAATAAGGCAAGCGGATCCAGCACTCGGGGGCAGCTTCTGGTCTGGTCAGGAAAACAAACATGGAGAGTTAGCCACAAGCCCACTCACCAGTGCTGGCAAAGGAGAAAGGTGCTGTACTGTTGGGACACGGGACAGACAGGCCTGACCTGATCCAAGGTCATTGTGGAGGGCTTCCTGAGACAGAGGCAGCCACGGGCCAAAGGACTGCATCACAGTCAACAAAGCCACAGGCCGGTACTTGGGGCCCCTAGGGGCAGGGCCTTGCTGGCCAAGATAAAGACTTTGGCTTTTATTCTGGGAGCAGAGGAGAGCCCCTGTGGGGTTGAAGCAGAGGAGTGCAATGATTTGATTTCTACTTTAGAAAGAGCTCCAGTTGCAGAGTGGAAGCTGCCACGGGTGTCACCACAGGAGAGGAGCTGGCAGTGGTTCTAGCTATGGGGTCAACATGGGCATGGAGAGAGGCAGAGGACTCGAGTGACATGAAGGTGACAGGGGCCACAGGGCTGAGAGGTTGTTGGATGGCAGAAAGGAAGAGGGAGAAGTTGCCCACAGTTTATGGTGGTGCCATTTACTGGGATGAGGAGACAAAAAGTTCACATTTAGACATCTGAGTTTGCAGGCCTGGGGGATAAGCAGGGAAGATAAGACGGGCGTTCGACGTGTGTGTGTGTGTCTGGAGCTTGGAAGAGAGGCCTGCTCTGCAGATACAAATCAGGAGCAATGAGCATGGCCCAGGGAGAGGATGGAGTCTGAGAAGAGGGACTAGGAATAAGTCTGAGAAACCCCAACATCTAGGCTAGCGGAAGGAAGCACCAAGGACAGTACAAAAGAATCGCCAGAGGAACAGAAGGAGAGCAGAGGGAAACTGGGGCAGGGTATCACAGGGACCAAGGACAGAGAAAGTAGAGGGGATGGTAGAGAGAAATCACATAAAGGTACAAGGATGAGAGACCAAGGGAGGAGTTTCCGAAGTTTTCACAACAGAGATGATCACATGTAGATACAGATGGGAAGGAGGAGCTAGGCTGTCACACAGGGGGAAGCGGCCACCGCAGGGTGTTGACAGCCTGGGCTCGGAACCTGACTGCAGGGACCTGCTTCCCAGCATCTCCGCTCGGTAGCTGTGGGACTGGGTGGCTCCATTTTCTCTTTAATAAAATCAGGATAAAGATAGGCCTGCCAGACAGCAGCATGTCAGCTTACCAAGCCTCCACACATGTTCACTGTTATGGGGGGCAGAGGGGAACATTAGGAGTAATAGTGGGCTCCCAAGATGGCAAAAGGGTGGGGTTCAGCCATAGGTGGAAGGACTGATCCTGGCTGGGAGGATCACCTCCTCTAGAGAAAAGGGGGTGAGGATGGGTGCAGAAGCAGGCAGGTTTGTAGGTTTGGTGGTGAGTAGTCCAGGGGCCAGTGATGAGGCTAAAGAACAGGTGTGACTGGTGTGGCCAAGACAGCAAGCTGCAAAGACAGGGTGTCTGCAGACCAAGAAGGGAACTGGATTAAGTATTGGGGTGAGGCCAGGCATGGTGGCTCATACCTGTAATCCCAGCACTTTGGGAGGCTGAGGTGGGTAGATCACCTGAGGTCAGGAGTTTGAGACCAGCCTGGCCAAAATGGCAAAACCCCGTCTCTACTAAAAATACAAAAAATTAGCTGGATATGGTGGCACGGGCCTGTAGTCCCAGTTACTCAGGAGGCCGAGGCAAAAGAATCAGTTGAACCGGGGAGGCAGAGGCTGCACTGAGCTGAGATCATGCCACTGCACCTCAGTCTGGGTGACAAGAGCAAGGCTCCATCTCAAAAAAAAAAAAAAAAAAAAAAAAGAAGTAACGAGGTGAAGCATTCTAGGAGGATGGCCAGGAGGAACAGAAGAGATGATCCTTGGGAATGAGAAGTCCAAGAACCGAGGGGCAAGGGATGGGACAGGCTGTCTGGCAGCTACTGAAGTCACCCAGGGTGGTGACAGGACTTCCACGAATGAGGAGCAACATCCAGGAGAGATGGGTGGAGATGAAGGGGGGAAGGCTGAGTGGATGGAGGAGCGAAAGAGGGTGCGTGGTGAGGAGAGGAGAGAGGCTTCCACTGGACCACACGGTCTGGTGAGAAGTGGGCAAGCTAGGGTGGACTGGAGAGGAGGGAAATTGGAGGTGAGGGACCATGGCGCAGAGCAGGTACTACACCCAGGACGGTGTGAGAGGTGCTGCAGACAGCCCACCAGGCTGGGACATGCATGCTGGAGGAGAACACCTCTCTACCCCTCCACACTAGACTGGGCTCACTCTCCCCATTTCAGAGCAGCTGGATTTGGAATCCCGCGCTGGCTTGCTCCGCCTCTGTAGTGCACCTGTCCCTGGGGCGCTCCTGTCCTGCAGAGCCTCTGCCCGGAAGAGGGGCTCTTGGCTTGCTTGTCTCCCTTTCCTCCTTCTGCCTCTCAGAGCCTCTCAGTGCAAAGCCAGGATGAGATGCTCTCGGCATCTGTCCATCTCTGCTTTTCCAACGGGTCCAGCACATGGACCCTTCATGCTCCACGAGCAAGGAACTCCCTACTCTTGTCCTGCCCTCCTGATTTGCCTGGTCCAGGCAGAGCTGGCTCCTAGACTAGCGAGACAGTGTTCTCTCCCACTCAGTCACTTTCAGTGCCTCATTCAAGGCCAAGCAAATTAGCCAGTGCCAAATGAATGCCCATTGTCGTTCCAGCTGCCAGGCAGTTTCAGGATGCTGAGATGTGGCTCCCCAGCCCGCCCAGCCTGGGACCCATCTGGGCGACTCTGCCTGCAGCAGAGTGTGGCCCTGGGGAGAAGGGGAGGATACATGGCAGAAGGCCTCTGCTGCCTGCAAAAGGACTAGAATCTTCTCTGAACCATACTCAAGCTCTATGTCTTCCTCCTATCCCCTTTCTCTGCTCACCCTCCTGCAAGCTTCTTTCTGCTGGGGGTGGGAGGTTTCTGCTTTATGAAATGCCCTCCCTGTCCTGCCCCTCCCACACACATACATACACAAGATTTCTGTCTTTTCCCCCTTTTCCTGTGTTCGAGGGCCTCAAGAGGCCCGGGGACAGGGGCTGGGGGCCTCTGAGCTCCTCCGGAGAATTCTAATCACACTGGAGCAGCCGGAGCTTGATTCCTTCCTCAGTGATGCCTTCTGACATTTAATGAGTTAAGGCGCTAAATCCCCTTCATCCCAGAGCAGCTGAGCTAGCTGCAGTGCTGGCTGCCACATGAACAGTGAGCTGGGGGGAGGGGCCGGGATGATGCATGCCTACATTTGTACAGCAGTGTGCTTGCAGGTGCAAATCTGCGTGTGTGCAAAGTGGGCAGAGATGCCTGTGAGCACACATTAATGTGCACGGGACATGACCCACCAGGAGTCACCTAGGCTGGGGCCAGCCACCTACCTCCTCCAAATGGCCAGCACACTCATCACGGAGCCCAGGACGAGGAGGGCCGAGATGGTCACTACGGTGACGACAATGGCGGGGCTCTGGTCCCTGGACCCTGAGGCAGCTGGGAGGAAAATCACGAGGTTGAGGCAGGCAGAGGACCAGGCTCCTAGGCAAGCCCCAGGGCAGACTCCTGTCCTCACCCTGTAGCAGGATTCCCATAGCACCTCTGCACTTGGCACTGCCTCCCAGCCACAGAGGCGCCAAGGCAGTCCCACTGACCACAGTGGCACCTGGAGTCCCAAGAGCTTCCTCTGCTCTCAGGGCAGAACACCTCCACAGCAGCCCAGCTCCTGCTCAGAGAGGCAGGAGTCCAGACAGGCAGGGCCAGGCCTCCCTCTATGCCTTTCAGATGAGCAGTGAGGGACTCAAAGTTGCTCTGCAGGAGGAATGGCCTCTGCTCTGAGCTCCCTACCCCCAGTCCAGACCATCCACCAACAATAATAAAAAGGGCTAACGGTAACTGCACCTTACTCCATTCAAGACACTGGGCCATGTGCCTACACTATACTGTCTTGTTTCATCTTCACAATAATCCAGGAAGGTATTACCATCTTCATCTTACAGCTGAGGAAACTGAGGTTGAGAAATTACATAATTTGCCCAAGATCACATGGCTAAAAAGTGGTGAACCTAAGATTTGAGCATCACTCCAAAAGTCTCTGCCTGATTCCAAAGCTTCTGCTTTGAACTATTTCTCCAAGAGATCAGCCTAGAGGACCCTCGCTCTCAGCCCTATTCATCGATCTATCCAATCAACCCATCCATCCATCCAACCTATGTGCCTGGTTTGCATTAGTACTGAGGAGAGAGGGGTGAATGGGCCTACGGGTGAGACAGAAACAAAAATCTTAACTGTAGAATGAAAAAAGAAACAGAAATGAGCAGAGCTGAGCAGAGGCACAATAATTTCTTCCTAAAGCCAATGAGGAAGGCTTCACAAAAAAAGGTGCCATCTGAACTGGACCTGGAGACTGGAAGGATTTTTGATGGTGCTTTGATGCACACACTGGGTCTGAAAATGGCAAGTCGTCCCCTGTGTCTGGGAAACAGACTGCATGAAGGCGGAGAGTGGCAAATAGGAAGCTGGAGGGTGGGAAGATGGAGGGAACTGGGGGAGCCAGAACCTGGAGGGCCTTGAACGCTAAGCTAAGGAGTATAAACTTTCTCCTGTGGGTGACAGGGAGCAGTGGAGAGAGTTCCTGCCTAAGAAGAAAAGGAATGAGGGTGTCTGCTGAGGTGGGAGTGAGGATGGAGAAGAGGTGCTTGAGAGAGGTGAAGGTTTGGCATAACTATTAGGAATGGGAAAAGTACTAAGTGGCCCTGAAGACTGAACTGAGATTGGAAAGTACACCTCTTTAGGCAGCTTCCGCGTGGGACACAGGGAGGAGAAAGGTCCAAGTCTGGGGACTAGCAGGTGGGTGCAGCAAGGTGCCCAGGGAATGAGGGTTGGCAGAGTTGGGGAGTATTTCTGATGAGATCATCTGCAGGGGCTGGATAGAGATGGGTGTGGGGCCAGGAGGAGCTAAAAGTCTGGGAGATGAGGTAGGATCCAGTGAGCAGTCTTTCGGATGTCACAGAGCAAGTGAGGAGGAACAGAAGACGAGAGTTAGAAGCCAAAAATGCTAGAGTCAGAGAGGGCATTTCAGAGCCCAGGGTTCCAGAGGCAAAGAGGGCTGAGGGTCTGGGTGGGGATAGAGGGGAATAGAGTTGCCAAGAACTGTTTGAAATGAGGCAACCATGTGGACACAGAAACGGAGAAAGATGCCAGCAGTGGGCAGTCTCTGAGATGGCATCCCTACCTCCTGGTATCCATTCCCCATGAGCACAGGCTGGACTCATTTCTAATGAACAGAATATGGCAAGAGTATTGGGATGTCATTCCCAAGATCAGGAAACAAGATGAATGGCTTCTGTCTTGGGTGCCCTCTCCCTGGCTCACAGTCTCTGGAAGAATCCAGTGGTTGTGGTGAGCAGCTCTAAGGAGAGGCCCATGGGACAAGGAACAGCATGCCTCAGCAGCAGCCAGCAAGACCCTGAGCAGGGAGGTGAACTCTCCCCCAGCTAAGCCCCGAGATGATCACAGCCCCTGAGGACAACTTGACGGCAGCCTTGGAAGAGACCCTAAGTCACTGGCACCTAGCTGAGAGGCACCTATATTACCAATCCATGGAAACATAAGATTATAAATATTTGTTGTTTTCACCTGCTAGATGTTGGGGCAACTCATTACATAGCAATAGGTAACTAGCACAGTGGTGACGCATAAGCGTTCACCAAGACCTTGATTTGGGGCTGGGCATGGTGGCTCACACCTGTAATCCTAACACTTTGGGAGGCCAAGACAGGAGAATTGCTTTGAGCCCAGGAGTTCGAGACCAGCCTGAGCAACATAGCAAGATTCCATCGCTCTTTTTAAAAAAAGAAAAAAGAAAAAGATCCTGCTTTGGAAGGCGGGGGGCAGTGGCTCAAACCTGTGATCCCAGCACTTTGGCAGGCCGAGTGGAGGGATCACCTGAGCCCAGGAGTTCGAAACCAGCCTGAGCAACATAGTGAGACCCCCAAAAAGTAAAAATATTAGCTGGTCATGGTGGCAAGCGCCTGTGGTCTCAGCTACTTGGGAAGCTGAGGTGGGAGGACCACTTAAGCCTGGAAAGTTGAGGCTGCAGGGAGCTGTGATTGTGCCACTACACTCCAGCCTGGGTGACACAGTAAGACCCTACCTCAAAAAAAAAAAAAAATCTCAATTTGGAGACACAGCTCATGGGAAACCACACTCTGCAGATTGGGAGAACCATAGCCAGGGCCACAAGAAGGGAGACTGGGGATCTCAGCAGTCTCTACTATCTGAGAGGTACCCAATGAATGGAGACCATCAGCCCTTCTCCACTGACGGTCCCCAGCTCCTGCCCCCACTACGCCCACTCCAGCCAAACCTGCCCGCCTTTGTTCAGATAGCTTCCTCTCCCCAGAATGCCTCCCTGCCCATCTGTACACATTCAAATGATCCCCAGCTATAATCTTCTCTTTCCAGCACCTGGCCGAGGTCTGACACTTTTTGCATTCAGGCGAGAAGTGTGGTCTTCCTTCCCAGAACTCAGACCCCTTCAGCATTTTATCTTCACTTCCCTTTGGACTCAGAGCTCTTCCTATCTTGGATTAGAGTCATGTAGCAGGTTGGAAAGAATTATTATCTTGACAGCTGGTGCCAGAATGCCTCTTAGGGGGAACTGCCTTTGTTCAGGAAAATATTTTCATGAGCTGCTCAGGGCAGATAGAGGTGAGATCCTGAGGACCAGGTTAGCAGCAGGCAAAGCAACAAGACAGCTAAACTGCTGTGCACACATCAGGGAATTGGGCAGTGGGTGGGGAGAAGAGGAACCAGGGGAGGGAAGTAAAGGAGGAGGGAGGAAAGCACAATATTGCGGAGAAGCCGGAGATGTTTTCAGATGAGGATATTCAATTTCCAGTTTTTGTTTGGTTTTGGTAACAGCTTTATTGAGATATCGTTCGCATACCATGTGATTTACCCACTTAAGTTACACAATCCTTCTTTTTTTTTTGAGACAGAGTCTCACTCTGTGACCTAGGCTGGAACGTAGTGGCATAATCTTGGCTCACTGCAACCTCTGCCTCCCGGTTTTAAGTGATTCTTGTGCCTCAGCCTCCCGAGTAGCTGGGATTACAGGTGCCCGCCACCACGCCCGGCTGATTTTTGTATTTTTAGTAGAGAAGGAGTTTCACCATGTTGGCCAGGCTGGTCTCGAACTCCTGACCTCAGGTGATCCACCTGCCTCAGCCTCCCAAAGTGCTGGGATTACAGGTGTGAGCCATCGCGCCTGGCCGCAATCCTTATTTTTGTGTTTATCACTGCAATGCAACCCCTTCATGTCCATCAACCTTCAGTGAAGTCAGCATCACGCTCTAAGGCCTAGTGGGGAAAGGGACAGTGTCCCATGTTTGGGTCTCTATCCAAACTGAGTCTCTATCCAGCTGAGACATGGGTTATAGCTGTTCACAAATCCCTCTCCTGTGAGCTCCTCCAGGACAGTTTCCCAATCTAATTCACGTCGGTGAACAGGCATTAGTCAGTGGATTTCAAAGTCATTAATTAATTAGGCTGTAATTAATTAAACTGTTCTGCAGGCTCCCTTCATTGCACAGATAACTCCAGATAACTCTCCCCCTCTATTTGTCTCCCTACCTCAGCCCCGTGCAGGGTTCTCTCTGTCTAGGTCCCTGTCCACTCACACACACTACTTACCCTCCCCCAGGGTCTGTACTTCAATGCTGGGGTTAAAACTCTGGGCCTCCCAGGATGGCCCCGGGGAAGCGGCCCGGATCTGAAAGACGTAGCGGGTAGCCGGCTTCAGGTTGGTGACGGTGACTGTGGGCGCCCCTGTCTTCACCATGGAGTAAGTCTGCTCACTCTGACCCTGGAGAGAGATCAAGAAGTGAAGCCCACCAGCGCCAGATCCACTGTTCTAGGAGAACAAAGGGTGAACAGGAACAGGGAGGCAGGAGAAGCGCCCTTACGTGAATGTGGGCTGAGTGCGAAAACCCAACCTCAATCATCTTGGGGTTTCCCAGGGATCTTTTCCTTGGATCCTTAGCCCCTGTCTTCACCACAAGCACCCACCCACACTCGGTGGCACTTGTAGCTGAGAATAGCACCACCTCTGCATAAGAGAAATTTTAGAGAAGACACCAGATCCTCCTTCCGGGGGATGATAGGATGAGGGCCACCAGGGCCTGTCCATCCAGGCTAAGCTGAGCCAGTGCCCTAGGCAGGCCTGAAGCCTCAAAGGACAGAATGAGAGAATGAGCCCTGACACATGAAAGCCCCCAATGGCCCACAAGGCTTTTCCTTTCCTCGATGTCTGATTTTTCACAACTGTCCTGCAAGGCTCAGAGGACAGAAAGTATTATCTTGTTTGTTTGTTTCACAGATAAGGAAACCCAGTTCAGAGGGGTAAAGACTCCCCCAAGGCCCCAGCTGGAGCCATCACTGATGAGCGCCTACTCAGTGCCAGCTTCTGCATGAGACCCTTTGCCTCCTGTGAGCCTCACAACAGCCCTGTGGAGTCAGCATTTCCATCTCCTTTTTAGGTGAGGTTCACATCAAGGAAGGGGCTGGTGCACCCTCTGAATCCCTGCAGAGCCCGTGTTTTTTGCTCGACATCATGCTGCCCCCCGCTCCACCCCAACACACCTGACAATGGCATACTAGAGATGCTCCTCCCGTCGTTTCGTCCCTGCCCACACCTTATTAGAGGCCCTGCCATATCCACAGCCCCAGAAAGTTATTCTCCCCACTGATATTCGGTGGCTCCAGCTTTCTGACCATAGCATTCAGGAACTGGGACGGACTTTGACCCAAGCTGGGCCAATCAGAATCTCTCTTCCAGGCATCTCAACAATCCATTGAAAGACAGAGAAGCAGTGGCTTCAGGACCCACAAGGTAGGGCAGGCTAGGGGCAGAGAGGAGGAAGGAGCAAGGCTGCCTACCTGGGCATTGGCAACGTGCCGTAAGCAAGCCCCTCTGCATCATGGGCTGGACTGGTGTGCAGAGAGAGGTTGAGATGAGCAGCACTGTGGCTCCAGAGGGGAGCTGCCAGACACCCGCCCAGGTCCAGTGGCCCAGCAAGGCTTCTACTCAGCAGGCTCCATGAGAGTACACTGAAGCCTTTCAAATATAGCCCTTTTATACTTGTTCTTTTTTTTTTTTTTTTTTTTTTTTTTTTTTTTTTTTTTTTTTTTGAGGCAGAGTCTTGCTGTGTCACCTAGGCTGGAATGCAGTGTGGTGCAATCTCGGCTCACTGCAACCTCCACCTCCTGGGTTCAAGCAATTCTCCCTGCCTCAGCCTCCTGAGTAGCTGGGATTACAGGCACCCACCACCATGTCTGGCTAATTTTTGTTTTTTTAATAGAGACTGGGTTTCGCCATGTTAGCCAGGCTGGTCTCGAACTCCTGACCTCAGGTGATCCACCTGCCTTGGCCTCTCGAAGTGCTGGGATTACAGGCGTGCACCACCACGCCCGGACTTGTTCCTTCTTTTTTGTTGTTTTTGGGGGTTTTGGTGGGTTTTTTTGAGACAGGGTCTCGCTCTGTTGCCCAGGCTGGAGTGCAGTGGTGCAACCACTGCTCACTGCAGCCTCGACTTCCCGGGCTCAAGCGATCTTCCTGCTTCAGCATCCCAAGTTGCTGGGACCACAGGCGCACACCACCATGCCTGGCTAATTTCTTTTTTGTAGAGGTGGCGGTCTCACTTTGTTGCCCAGGCTGGTCTTGAACTCCTGGCCTCAAGCCGTCCTCCCGTCTCAGCTTCCCAAAGTGCTGGAATCACAGGTGGTAGCCACTGAGCCTGGCCCTTGCTCCTCTTTTTGAGGGTTTTCATGCCCAACAACCTGGGAGCATCCACCCAGCTCAACCTTGGGGCTCTTGTCTATACCCTGATCCTCAAAGTCCATTCAGTGAGTCCTTTCTAAGCACCTGCTTCCCAGTGTCCTTTGCTGCTCTCCCTAAACATCAGCATTCCTCAGGGCTCTGTCCTGGCCACTCTTCTCAGACACATTCCCCTTCTCATTCCTCTCCCCCAATTTCTCCCCTGGCAGCAGCTACTGTCTCTATGCTGAGAGCCCCCAACACTCTCACTCTCTCTCTCTCTCTTTCTCTCCCTTTCCAAGCCAGGCCTCTCCCTTAAGCTTCAGACCTGCAAGTCTACCTGGGTGTCCCAGAGGCCCCCTGAATGCTAGATGAGCAAAACCAGGTTCATCACCTTGCTCCAAGCCTGCCCTTCCACCTCAGTGCTTCTCCATCTCAGTCAGTGGTACCTCAGACTCTGGGTTACCCAGGTCAGACACCCAGCAGTGACTCAGGACTCTCTCCTCCTTCCCACTCATCCCCAACACTCACAGGTCTCAACAGACTTCCAGTATTCAAAAACTATTTTCAGCAAAGGAGTCCCTCATGTCATTGAGGAGTGAGTGAAGTTCTGACACATGTAGAAGCTGAAAGAGGTTTCACTTCAGTGAATATAATTTGCACCAAGGTGAGAAACAGTTTAACAGTAGTTTGCATATCAGATTTAAAGATAATAAATTGGCCAGGTGCAGTGGCTCACACCAGTAATCCCAGCACTTTGGGAGGCTAAGGCGGGTGGATCACCTGAGGTCAGGAGATATAGACCAGCCTGGCCAACACGATGAAACCTCGTCTCTACTAAAAATACAAAAATGAGCTGTGTGTAGTTGTGCATGCCTGTAATCCCAGCTACTTGGGAGGCTGAAGCAGGAGAATCACTTGAACCTGGGAGACGGAGGTTGCAGTGAGCCGAGATCATGTCACTGCACTCCAGCCTGGGTGACAAGAATGAAACTCTGTCTCAAAATAAATAAATAAATAAATAAATAATAAAGGTAATAAACTTACGGGGAAAAGAGCAGATTGGGATGTGACTCCATTTGTTACATCACAGCTAAGCTGCAACCACAGATTGACAATGGATACAAGAGGTCAGCAAAAATCAGCACAAGTATCCTATGGGGATCAATTGGCCATATGGAGTTCACAATCAAGAGTTCTGAACATATTTTATTATCACTGTAAATGCTGTGCTACACTTTTTTATATGACTGGAATTATAATAACTCATACATTTATTGTTCTGGAAAGCTGGCTGTTAAATATCTACCAGCACACCACCACACCCAGCAATGTGCTCCATGGTCAGGCACTTTTGTAAAATTAGAAATGATATGATCTTTCTGTGTCCTTTTTCTTTAAAAGGGCTCTACAAATGATACGTATAAGATTCAGCCACACAAAATCTGGACCGGGCCCCAGAGAAAGCTCTTTGTCAACCGAAACACTAGGTGACATGGGGACAATGGAGATGGTTGGTGTTGGAGATAGACCTGAGCGGAGGGAGGAAGAGCAGGAGTCCGGGGGAGGAGGGGGAGACTCGAGCCTGGGGCCCCTAGGAGACGGGTGGTTATGTTTACAAAGGGAGTAACGAGGGCTTTTGCTGGGAGGATGGCCTGAAGAACCAGAAGCCCTGCGGGACAGGTGCGGGGCAGGCTCCAGGTCCCTCCCAGACACGCACTCACCTTCTCGTAGTATCGGATCTCGTACTCCGTGTCATTGGCCCCAGGGGCTCCGGCAGGGATGGGCTCCCGCCACGACAGGGACACGCTCTGGGGTTCCACTCGGTCCCTGCGGATCTCATCCTCCTCCCAGGGCGCTGAAAGTAAGTTACGTGGGATTCTCCACCTTGACCCACCTCACGGCAGGGCTGGGGGTGCGGGGAAGAGGGTGCGGCGTGCGGGGCTGTGGGACCGGACTAGAGAGGCCTGGGGCGTGGTCTAACGGGCTGTGGGCGGGGCTAGGGAACTGACTGAGAGGCATGGCCAAAGGAGAGGAGTCTGTGGGACCAGAGGAAAGAAGCACCTCTGCCCCCACAGCCCTTTTCTTCATTGTCCCATAGAGGGAAAAGCATTAGGCCTTCTGCTGCTTGCCCACCCCTTACAGCCCAGCTTCTCTCATGGTGGTCGGCTCTAATCCTCCAGGCTCTTTCTATACTTGCTGCAGCTTGGAGACATAAGAGAGCATTTAGAGGCAGAAGGACCTGCTTCTTAACGATTCCAATGGTCTGGTCAAGAGGTAATACACTCAACAAACTAGAAATAGAAGGAAATTATCCCAAAAGAATAAAGGCCATATATGAAAAGCCTACAGTGAGCATCATACCCAATGGTGAAAGACTGGAAGCCTTCCCTCCAACATCAGGAAAAAGGTAAGATGTCTGCTGTCATCACTTTTATTCATCATAATACCAGAAGTTCTAGCCAGAGCAGTTAGGCAAGAAAAAGAAATAAAAGGCATCCAAACTGGAAAAGAAGCAGGAAATTTATCTCTGTTTACAGATGACATGATCTTATATGTAGAAAACCCTAAAGATTCCACACACAAAATTGTTAGGCCAGGCGTGGTGGCTCACGCCTATAATCCCAGCACATTCGGAGGCTGAGGCAGGTGGTTCATGAGGTCAAGAGATCAAGACCAGCCGGGCAGGTGGATCACTTGACGTCAGGTCGAGGCAGGTGGACCACTTGAGGCCAGGAGTTCGAGACCAGCCTGATCAAATGGTGAAACCCTGTCTCTGCTAAAGAAATGCAAAATTAGCCAGGCATGGTGGTACATGCCTGTAATCCCAGCTACTTGGGAGGCTGAGGAAGAAGATCAGTTGAACCCGGGAGGTGGAGGTTGCAGTGAGCTGAGGTCGTGCCATTGCACTCCAGCCTGGGCAACAAAAGCAAAATTCTGTCTCAAAAAAAAAAAAAAAAAAAAAAAGAGATTGAGACCATCCTGGCCAACATGGTGAAACCCCGTCTCTACTAAAAATACAAAAATGAGTTGGGCATGGTGGTGCGCGCCTGTAGTCCCAGCTACTTGGGAGGCTGAGGCAGGGGAATCACTTGAACCTGGGAGGCAGAGGTTACAGTGAGCCGAGATCGCGCCACTGCACTCCAACCTGGGCAACAGAGCAAGACTCCATCTCAAAAAAATAAAATAAAATTTAGAATTAATAAACAAAATACAGCAAAGTTGCAAAATACAAAACCAATGCACAAAAATTTGTTGTGTTCTTATACACAATGAACAATTCAAAAAGGAAATTAGGAAAACAATCCCACTTACGATAGCATCAAAAATAATAAAATACTTAGACATAAACTTAACCAAAGGGATGAAAGACTTTTATACAGAAAACTATAAAATATTGCTGAAAGAAATGAAATAAAACACAAATAATTGGAAAGGCATCCTGTGTTCATGGAATAGAACACTTAATACTGTTAAAATGTCTCTACTACCAAAAGTGATCTACAGATTTAATGCAATCCTATCAAAATCCCAGGCATTTTTTGCAGAAATAGAAAAAACATCCTAAAATTCATATGGAATCTAAAAGGACCATGAATAGTCAACACAATCATGGGAAGGAAAAATAAAGGTGGGCCAGAGGCAGTGGCTCACACCTGTAATCCCAGCACTTTGAGAGGCCAAGGTGAGAGAATCACTTGAGGCCAGCATTTTGAGACCAGCCTGGGCAACACAGTGAGACTCCATCATTTACAAAAACCAACCAACAACAAAACCTACACACACACACACTCACACACAAAAGGTAGAGTCCTCACACTTCCTTACTTCAAAACATATTTCAAAGCTACAGTAATCAAAGCAATATGGTACAGACATATAGACCAATGAAACAGAATACAGAGCCCAGAAATAACTCCTCTCCATGTATGGTCAAATGATCTCCCACAAGGGTACCAAGGTTATGCTATGCAGAAAGGATAGTCTCTTCACCAAATGGCACTGAGAAAAGTGGATATCCACCTGCAAATGAATGAAGTTGGACCCTCACCTAAAATCATATGCAAAAAATGAACTCAAAGTGGATTAAAGACCTAAATGTAGGATCTGAAATGATAAAACTCCTAGAAGAAAACACAGGGGAAAAGATTCATGACACTGGATTCAGCAATGATTTCTTGGATATGACACCAAAAGCACAGGCAGCAAAAACGAAAATAGACAAATGAGACTACATCAAACTTTAAAACTTCTGCAGGGCAAAGGCAACAATAATCAGAGTGAAAAAGCAGTCTTTGAAATGGGAGAAAATGCTTGCTAACCATTTATCTAAGGGGTTAATATCCAGAATGTATAAAGAATGTCTAGAACTCAACAACAAAGACCAAATAACTGTAGGCTTTTTTTTTTTTTTTTTTTTTTTTTTTGCTATCAAGCGAGGCAGTGGGAGTGGAGATGAACAAAGAAATCTATAACTGGTTGTGATCAGTTAGTTGTAAACAATACTGCACTCAGACCAGCTTGAGTAGACATTTCTTCAAAAAAGATATATAGGCTGAGCGCGGTGGCTCTTGCCTGTAATCCCAGCACTTGGAGAGGCCGAGGGGGCAGATCACCTGAAGTCAAGAGATTGAGACCAGCCTGGCCAACATGGTGAAGCCCCGTCTGTACTAAAAATACAAAAGTTAGCTGGGCGTGGTGGCATGCATCTGTAATCCCAGCTACTCCAGAGGCTGAGGCACAAGAATTGTTTGAACCTGGGAGGCAGAGGTTGCAGTGAGCTGAGATCGCACCACTGCACTCCAGCGTGGGCAACAGAGTGAGACTCTGTCTCAAAAAAAAAGATATACAAAAGGCCAAGAAGCACATGAAAAGATGCTTAATATCATTAATCATCAGGGAAATCAAAATCAAAATCACAATGAGATATCACCTCACACCCTTTAGGATGACCACTACCAAAAATATGGGACATAACAAGTGTTGGCAAGGACATGAAAAAATTGGAACCCTTGTACACCATTGTGTAGGAATGTAAATTGGTGCAGCTGCTATGGAAAACAATATGGAGGTTCCTTAAAAAATTATAATTACTATATGATCCAGCAATCCTGTTTCTGGGCATATATCCAAAGGAACTGAAATCAGGTCTTGAAGAGATACTGCTCACCCATGTTCATTGCAGCATTATTCACAACAGCCAAGAGGTGGAAGCAACCTAAATGTCCATAAGTGGATAAATGGATAAAGAAAATATGGTGTATACTCCATGGAATACTATGCAGCCATAAAAAAAGGATGAGTTCATGTCCTTTGCAGGGACATGGATGAAGCTGGAAACCATCATTCTAAGCAAACTGTCACAAGGACAGAAAACCAAACACCGCATGTTCTCACTCATAGGTGGGAGTTTTACAATGAGATCACTTGGACACAGGGCAGGGAACATCACACACCGGGGCCTGTCGCGGGGTGGAGGGTAGGGGGAGGGATAGCAGTAGGAGAAATACCTAATGTAAACGACGAGTTGATGGGTGCAACAAACCAACATGGCACTTGTATACCTATGTAACAAACCTGCACGCTGTGTACATGTACCCTAGAACTTAAAGTATAATAATAAAAAAGAGTTAAAAAAAAGAAAAGAAAAAAGAATATATGGTGTAAACATACAACAGGATATTAGTCCTTAAAAAGAAGAAAATTCTGTTATATGCTACAATATGAATGAACCTCGAAGACACTATGCTAAGTGAAACAATTCGTCACAAAAAGACAAATACTGCATGATTCCACTTATGTGAGGTATCTAAAGTAGTCAAACTCTTTGAAACAGAAAGTAGAATAGTAGGCCAGGTGCAGTGACTCATGCTTATAATCTCAGTGACTCACACCTGTAAACCCAGTACACTTTGGTAGGCCAAGGCCAGTAGATCACTTGAGGCCAGGAATTCAAGACCAGCCTGGCTAATGTAGTGAAACCCTGTCTCTACTAAAATTACAGAAATTAACCAGGCCTGGTGGTGTGTGCCTATAATCTCAGCTACTTGGGAGGCTGAGGCAGGAGAATCACTTGAACCCAGGAAGTGGAGGTTGCAGTGAGCCAAGATTACACCAGTGCCCTCTAGCCTGGTTGATAGAGTGAGACCCTGTCTCAAAAAAAAAAAAAAAAAAAAAAAGGAAGTAGAATGGTAGTTGCCAGGGGAGGGTGGTGGGGGTAAAGGGGAGTTGTTGACTGGATACAGAATTTCAGCTTTGCAAGATGAAAAAGTTCTACACCCCAGGTATTGGAGTTCATGCCTGTAATCTCAGCACTTTGGGAGGGCCAGGGTGGGAGGATCGCTTGAGCCCAGGAGTTCAACACCAGCCTGGACAACAAAGTGAGACCCTGTCTCTACAAAAAATCAAACAATTAGCTGGGCATGGTGTCACACACCTGTGGTCCCAGACACGTGGGAGGCTGAGACAGGAGGCTTGCCCAAGACCAGAAGGTCAAGGCTGCCACTGCACTCCAGCCTAAGCAATACAGCAAGACCCAGTCTCAAAAAAAATAAATAAATAAAAATAAAGGAAAAAAATTATATCCTTTGGACAACGTATCTAGTTAACATTACTGTACTATACATGTGAAATGGGTTAAGATGATACATTTTATGTGTTTTTTACAGTAAAAAAAATGTTGCCCAGGTCACAACCCAGAGCAAACAAATCATCATCTCTGTAGGCTGGAGCTCAGGGATTAGTTGCTTTTATTTTATTTTATTATTTATTTATTTATTTGTTTATTTTTTGAGACAGAGTCTCACTCTGTCACCCAGGCTGGAGAGCAGGGGCGGGATCTCGGCTCACTGCAAGCTCCACTTCCCAGGTTCACGCCATTCTCCTGCCTCAGCCTCCCGAGTAGCTGGGACTACAGGTGCCCGCCACCACGCCCAGCTAATTTTTTGTATTTTTAGTAGAGACGGGGTTTCACCATGTTAGCCAGGATGGTCTCCATCTCCTGACCTCATGATCCGCCCACCCCGGCCTCCCAAAGTGCTGGGATTACGGGCGTGAGCCACCGTGCCCAGCCAGTTGCTTTATTTTTTAAGTTTCTTGGTGATTCCAGCGTGCAGACAAGTTTGAGAACCGCCAGTCTGGATGATGTCAGATGAACAGCAGCATACACACACATACACACATATACGGGAGATAATAAGGCCTGGGGTTAGTGTTCGGCAAAGGGGTTTCCAAGAGAAGATGCCAGGAGGGCAGTGGGAGAAATGGTTCCAGGGCTCAGAAAAGGTGTCTGGGAGAAAAATGGAGATGCAGGAGCCATGATAAGGTGAAGGGATGAAACTGTCCAGGGAAAACGCATAAAAAGAGAAGAGGAAAAGCTTTTAGGGAATAAGCCTGAGACACGCCAACAATTAAGAAACAGGCAAAGGAAGAGAAGCTTGACAAGGAGGAGCCAGAGAGGCAGGAGGAAGACCAAGGGTGGGCAAGGTGATGGAAGCCCAGGGAAGAGAACATTTAGGAAGGTTCCCTCCTGACTTTTCCAGTGGTTAGCCCACTATTGGTCCACAAGCAAGTGATCTTACTCCCTGAGCCTCAGTTTCCCCGTGTGTAAAATGAGAACAATGATGACACCTCCTAGGCTTGCTGTGGGAATTTTATGAAGTAATGTGTTATGAGGGACTGAGCGAGTGCTCAGCACCAGCATTCCAGCAAGAGGAGCTGGCGCTGGGCCATGTCTTACGCTGAGAGGAGACAACAGAGTAAGATGATGATTCAAACTTCCCACTGGCTTTCATAAAGTGGACGTTCCCGGTGCCTTCAGGGGATTGAGGAAAGTACCGATCAGATAGTAATAAAGCAAGAAAGTGGAAACGGAGTAGGTGGCTCAGGCTCTGACAAGTGCGTGGATGTGGCTTCTAGTCTTAAATGGTATATATATCTAGCAGCCTCCACTCCATGTCTTTCCCAAATTCCAATTAAAACATAAAGACACAGTAAGAGTTGAAAACCTACACCATCACCATAAACTAGTCTTGACAGCTGATCGCCAGAATGGGGGCTGGAGAGTAGAGTGGCACATTTCTACTTATGATCAAGGCAGTGGGACTAGATCAAAAAGTGCAATTGTAATGAACCCCTAGGCTACACTGCCCACAGAGTGGCATTGCCTCCCATTCTAAAAATAACTCAAAAAAATCCTTTATTCCTCCCTTCAGTGTCTGACCCTTTAAAAAAAAAAAAAAGCCAAGTCTTTGTCAAGTGGACAATGCACAGCCAGCACTCTACTGCAGAGCTGCTTTCGAGGAAGAGTGCTCTTCCCTATCCCCCGGGGGCGCTTCTCAGCCAAAATTCACTTTGAGACGGCAGCTCCCAGAAAAGGCCTGAGCACAAAGGCGAGAGGAGTGATGAAGCATTCTAGGAGGTGGCAAAGTTCCTTGCGAATACAGATGGGGCAGAGATGGAAAAGGAGGCTAGAAATGTCCATTTTTGAGCTACATTTGTGGAAAGCATCAGATGGCCAGGATAGAGAGGTAGAAGATGGTTCCATCTCAGCTCCGAAGAGATAATTAGATGAAAGCCTGATAAATCCTGCTAGTGGAGCTAAAAACTAACACCAAGCACCGGCTCTCCAGCTGTAGATTTGGGATGGGAATCAGCCAGCACCCAAGTGGGGCCAAAGTTACAGCAGATAGTACTGGAAACCTAGTCAACAGCCTTGTCCCCCTTTCCTGCTAGCTGAGCTGAATTTTTGGTTCATAGTCTACTGTCTCCCCATAGGTGACTTGGGTAACTTCTGGCTGTTCTAAGACATTTGTGTGCACTCATTCCCTTTGCCAGTGAATGGTTTAGGGTTGGGCTTACAATCCAGTTCTGGCCAACAAAAGAAGTTAGCTGGGGACAGGGGATTCAGAGAAAAGTTTCTTGCTTTTAAAAAGATACCTGCAAGGAAGAAACAGTTCTTTTTCTGCCTCTGAATGGTAAGGATGTGATGTCTGGAGCTGCTGCAGCCACCTTGCTACCATGAGGGAACCAGCCTATGTGATGAGAATGGCAGAGTGGACAGACAGAAAAAACCTAGGTCCTTGAGGACACTTTTGAGCTGCTGAATGAACCAAGCTTTAACTCTAGCCCTCTTATGTGAGCTAAGAAATCATTTAAGTTAAAGTCAGTTAGGGCCCAGCACTGTGGCTCATGCCTATAATCCCAGAGCTTTGAGAGGCATAGATGGGGGTCTTGCTTGAGGCCAGGAGTTAGAGACCAGCCTGGGCAACATAGCAATACTCCGTCTCTACAAAACAATTTAAAAAGAAAAAAAAGTTAGCTAGGCATGTTGGCATGCCTGCAGTCCTAGCCACTTGGGAGGCTCAGGCGGGAGGATCACCTGACCCCAGGAATTTGAGGTTACAGTGAGCCTATGATCATGCCACTGCACTCCAGCCTGAGTGACAGAGTAAGACCTTGTCTCTAATAATAATAATATAATAATAATAATAAAATAAAATCAGTTAGACTGAGATTTATTGTTACTTGCAGCTGAAAACCTCATAACTAATTCAAAGGGCAATTCACGCATCTTTTTTGTTGTTGTTGACAAACACCAGCTATTTCCTTACTCAAGAACAAGTAAACAGAAAATACCAGAAATTGGGTATATGAAAAAATATTTCAGAATAAGAGAATAGGAACATTATTCTGAAGACTCAGGAGAAGTAGATCTTGAAAAGTGATTTAATATGATAGAGAGTAAGTAAAACGCTCTGGCACTTTAAGAAGAAAGAAAACACAGCCTCCACCAACTATGTACAGAAGGTCATAAGGAGAAAACAGGTGGAGAAGAAAAAGAAACGAGATGAGATAAAAATGGAGAAACTGAGAAGGGCTGGGTGAAGAAACTAAAAGTGCATCAGCAAAATTGAAATATTTAAAATAAAATTCATTACAAATACAAGGAATTTTAACAAAATCACAAACAGAATGCAAAATGAACCCCTCTCAGTCTTTGGAACATCAAGTAAAAAATAAGAAGGAACCACAACTGAATAATAACTCGTGATGGTTTAACTGATGATTGTTTTACCATGGTGTAAAAGCAATACAACCATTCTATTTTTGCACTTTCAGTACAGTGTTCAATAAATTACATGATACTCAGTGTAAAATACTCATTGTAAAATAGGTGATTTCGCCCACCTGTAGGCTAATGTAAGTGTTCTGGGCATGTTTAAAGTAGGCTAGGCTAAGGTATGATATCTGGCAGGCTAGGTGCATTAAATGCATTTTTGACTTATAATATTTTCAACTTATAATAAGCCCAATGGGACATAAGCCCGTCATTAAGTTGAGGAACATCTGTGTATATATAGATAGATATAGATATATAAAGACAGAGAGAGAAAGAACTACACCATAAAATAGTGCACATTGTTTTAAAGTAGCCATGAAATAGTTTAAAAATTTTTACCACGTACAAACCTCCATGAAGCACTACAATCAGCAACGTAAAGACAAACAAAATAAAAGCAAGTCATCTGGAAATAAAAGCACATCCTCTAAAATAATTTGATTCAAAACTACAACACTAAAAGAAAACACAGAAATGTTAACCTTGGACTAAGCAATGGTTTCTTAGCGATGACACCAAAAGCACAAGCAACCAAAGAAGAAATAAATAAATTTGACTTCATCAAAATTAAAAGCTTTTGGCCGGGCACAGTGGTTCACTCCTGTAATCCCAGCCCTTTGGGAGGCTGAGGCGGGTGGATCACGAGGTCAGGAGTTCGAGACCAGCCTGGCCAACATGGTAAAACTGTCTCAACTAAAAATACAAAAAAAAAAAAAAATTAGCTGGGTGCGTCAGTGTGTGCCTGTAATCCCAGCTACTCGGGAGGCTGAGGCAGGAGAACCATTTGAACCCAGGAGGCACAGGTTGCAGTGAGCAGAGATCATGCCACTGCACTCCAGCCCATCTAAAAAAAAAAAAATAGCTGGATGTGGTGGTGTGCACCTGTAGTCCCAGCTACTCTGGAGGCTGAGGCAGGAGAATCGCTTGAACCCAGGAGGTAGAGGTTGCAGTGAGCCAAGATTGCACCACTGTACGCCACCCTGGGCAACAGAGCAAGACTCCATCTTGGGGAAAAAAAAAAAGAAACTAAAAGCTTTTGTGATTGAAAGGCTATTCTCAATAAAGTGAAAGCCAAACCACAGAGTGGGAGAAAATATTCACAAATCATGTATCTGACAAGGTTTGTATGGGTTAAATTGTGTCTCCAAAAAAGATATGTTGAAGTCCCAACCACCACTTCCCATCTCAGAATGTGATCTTATTTTTACAGAGGTAATCAAGTTAAAATGAGGTCATTAGTGTGGGCCCTAATCCAATATGACTGGCATCTTCATGAAAAGAAGAATTTGAACACAGAGAAAAACACCTAGAGAGATGATGATGTGAAGACACAGGGAGAAGACAGCCATGTGACTAGAGTGATGCGTCTGCGAGCCAAGGAACACCAAGGATTGCCAGGAAACATAAGAAGCTGAAAGGCAGGGAAGGGTCCTCCTCTAGAATCATCAGAGGCAGCGTGGCTCTGACGACACCTTGATTTTGCAATACATTTGTTTTAGGCCAGCCAGTTTTTTGGCACCTTGTTAGAGCAACCCTGGGAAATGAACACAAGGGTCTAGTGTCTGTAATACATATCTATAGTTATAATATAACTTAATGACAAAAAGAAAACCCTGCACAGGAAAAGATGTTCAATATCATTAGTTATTAGGGAAATGCAAATCAAAGCCACAATGAGATATTACCTCACATCTGCTAGGATGGCTACTGTTTAAAAGACAAACAATAACAAGTATTGGTGAGGAGGCAGAGAAACTTGGACCCTTGTACTTTGCAGGTAGGAATGCAAAATGGTAGAGCTGCTTTGAAAAAGTTGGTAATTCCTCAAAAAGTTAAAAAGTTATTATATGTATTAGTCAGCTCAGGTTACCATAAAAAGAAACCACAGACCTTTAATAACAAAGGTGGCTTTCAAGCCAGGCATGGTGGCTCATACCTGTAATCTCAGCATTTTGGGTGGCCAAGGTAGGTGGATCACCTGAGGCCAGGAGTTTGAAACCAACCTGGCCAATATGGGGAAACCCTGTCTCTGCTAAAAAATACAAATATTAGCCAGGCGTGGTGGCACGCACCTATAATCCCAGCTACTTGGCAAGCTGAGGCTTGAGAATTGCTTGAACCTGGGAAGCGGAGGTTGCAGTGAGCTGAGATCGCACCACTGCACTCCAGCCTGGGTGACAGAGGAAGACTGTCTCAAAAAATACATAAATAAATAACAAAGGTGGCTTTCCTAACAAAAGCCACCTTTGGCTTTCATAACAAAAATTTATTTTCTCACACTTCTGGAGGCTAGAAGTCCCAGGTCAAGAGGTCAGCAGATCTGTAATCCGGTAAGAGCTGTTTTCCTGACCAGCCACCTTCCCACTGTATTCTCACGTGGCCTTTCCTCTGTGCACATATGGACAAAGAGTGAGTGAGCTGTGGTGTCTCTCCCTTTTCTTTTCTTTTCTTTTTTTTTTTTTTTTGAGATGGAGTTTCGCTCTTGTTGCCCATGTTGGAACGCAATGGCACGACCTCGGTTTACCGCAACCTCCACCTCCCAGGTTCAAGCAATTCTCCTACCTCAGCCTCCCGAGTAGCTGGGATTACAGGCATGCACCACCATGCCCAGCTAATCTTGTATTTTTAGTAGAGATGGGGTTTCTCCATGTTGAGGCTGGTCTCGAACTCCTGACCTCAGGTGATCCACCCACTTCGGCCTCCCAAAGTCCTGGGATTACAGGCGTGAGCCACCACACCGGGTAGTGTCTCTCCCTTTTCTTATAGAGATACCAGTCCTAATGGATTAGGGCCCACCCTTATATCTCATTTAACCTTAATTACCTCCTTAAAGAGACTCTCTCCAAATATAGTCACATTGGGGTTTAGGGTTTTAACACATGAATCTGGAGGTAACATAATTCAGTCCATAACCATATGACTTAGCAATTCTACTCCTAGGTATATAGCCATGAAAACTGAAAATATATGTTTATGCAAAAACATATATTCATTAATGTATTATGAATACATTAATATTCATAATAGTATTATTCATAATAGCCAAAATGTGGAAACAGCCCAATGTCTATCAACTGATGAATGGATAAGCAAAATTGTGGTCTATCCATGCAATGGAATGTCATTCAGCCATAAAAAGGAATGAAGTACTGATACGTGCTACAATATGGATGAAACTTGAAGCCATTATGCTAAGTGAGAGAAGCCAGACATGCAAGTTCACATATTGTATAATTCCATGTATTGAGATGCCAAGAAGAGGCAAATCCATAGAAACAGAAAGACCTAGTTGTTACCAAGAGCTAGAGGAGGTGGATGGAATGGTGAGTGACTAATGGGTTTCCTTTCAGGGTGATGAAATGTTTTAGAATTAGATAGCACTTGTTGCACAACTATGCGGATATATGAAAAATCACTGAACCGTATACTTCAAAAGGGTGAATTTTATGTTACATGAATTATACCTAAAAAAACCTTATAATACTAACAATGTGATAATATCATGTATCAAATGTATTGGAAGTGACAAAGCTATATTCAGAGGAAAACTCATAGCTTTAAAAAATTTAAACAAAAAATAACTAAGCACTGAACTTGCCTAGAAAAAGACTTCAGAGGTTGGGTGGGGTGGCTCACACCTGTAATCCCAAAACTTTGGGAGGCCAAGGCAGGTAGATTGCTTGAGTCCAGGAGTTCAAGACAAGTTTGGGCAACATAGTGAGACCCCCATCTCTACAAAAAACACAACATTAGCCAGGCGTAGTGGTGTGCACCTGTAATCTCAGCTACTTGGGAGGCTGAGGCAGGAGAATCGCTTGAACTCAGGAGGCAGAGGTTGCAGTGAGCCAAGATCATGCCACTGCACTCCAGCATGTGTGACAGGCAGAGTGAAACTGTCTCAAAAAAAAAAAAAAAAAACTTCAGGAAAGCAGGAGAGTGGTATTAATAAAGATAAAATCATAAAATATAGCCGGGCATGCTGACGTGCACCTGTAATCACAGCTACTTGGGAGGCTGAGGCAGCAGAATCACTGGAACCTGGGAGCCAGAGGTTGCAATGAGCTGAGATGGTGCCACTGCACTCCAGCCTGGGCAACAGAGTGAGACTCCATCTCAAAAATAATAATAATAATAAATCATAAAATAAGTGACGAAAGTAAAGAACAATGGAATTGATAGGTTCAAGAGCTGATTCTGTGTCATAACCAGTAAAATTAACTTCTGGCAAGGATAATTAAGAAAAAAGACAGAAATCACAAGCATACAACAGGAAGAAAGAGAAAGTGAAGTTAACTCCAGGTACTGAGGAAATGTATATACATTTCTAATAATAAATTAGAAAAAGAACACCAAAATATTTTCTAGGAAAGCACAAATTTATAAAACTGATCAAGACGTTACAGTAAAGATTAAAAATATCAAACCACCAGGTGCAGTGCCTCACGCCTGTAATCCCAGCACTTTGGGAAGCCAAGGCAGGCAGATCATCTGAGGTCAGGAGTTCAAGACCAGCCTGATCAACGTGGTGAAATCCCATGTTTACTAAAAATACAAAAATTAGCTGGGCGTGGTGGTGGTTGCCTATAATCCCAGTTACTTGGGAGGCTGAGGCAGCAGAATCACTGGAACCTGGGAGGTAGAGGTTGCAGTGAGCTGAGATGGTGCCATTGCATTCCAGCCTGGGCGACAGAGACTCCATCTCAAATAAATAAATAAACAAATAAATAAAACTTTCTCTCCAAAAATGGCATAGAACCCAGAAAGTTTCCCAGGCAGTTTTTTATGCCTTCAAAGAATATGTAAATGTGTTGTTAAAACTGTCCCAGAGCAGAGAAAAAGAAGAAATTTTTCCAGATACCTTTACCAAAGCCAGCATCCCCATAGTGCCAAAACTTGACAAAGAACACATTACAAAACACTAATCTCTCTTAGAAATGTAGATGGGAAAAATCTTAAAATATAAGCAAATGAACTCAGCAAAACATCCAAAGAATAATATATCTAGTAGGGTATAATCCAGGAGTGCAGAGAGTTCACACTGAAATATCCATTAATAGAATTCATCATACCGACAGGTCAAAAAGGAAAAAATTTGGTCATATTGAAAATGCTTAATAAGCATTTTATAAAATTAACATCCATTTCTGATTTTTAGAAAAAGTTCAATGAAGCATTATATGGCCTAGGGATTAAAGGCACAGGGCTTTGAGGTCAGACAGACCTGGGTTCCAAAACCAATCTAAGATGAGTTTCCTTTCTTTTCATCTTTTTTTTTTTTTTTTTTTTTTGAGGTGGAGTCTTGCTCTGTCACCCAGGCTGGAGTGCAGTGGCACGATCTCAGCTCACTGCAACCTCCACCTCCAGGGTTCAAGAGATTCTCCTGCCTCAGCCTCCCCAGTAGCTAGGATTACAGGTGTGCACCACCACGCCTGGCTAATTTTTTTTATTTTTAGTAGAGACGGGGTTTCACCATGTTGGCCAGGCTGGCTCAAACTCCTGACCTCAAACGATCCACCTGCCTCGGCCTCCCAAAGTGCTGGGATTACAGGCGTGAGCCACTGTGCCCAGCCCCGTTTCAATGAATTAATGTAGAAAATCATATTGCACAGTGCCAAATACAGCAGCACTAGATCAGTGGAAGCTTAGTATTTTTATTGAGAAAATGGAAATAGAAGAGTATTTCCTTAACATGGCTTCTAAATCTATCTGTGTCAAAACAGTTAAGATTGTTAACATAAGGCCGTGCACGGTGGCTCACGCCTGTAATCCCAGCACTTTGGGAGGCTGAGGCGGGTGGATCACCTGACGTCAAGAGTTCGAGACCAGCCTGGCCAACATGGCGAAACCCTGTCTCTACTAAAAATACAAAAATTAGCCGGTTGTGGTGGTGTGTGCCTGTAATACCAGCTACTCAGGAGGCTGAGGCAGGAGAGTCGCTTCAACCCAGGAGGCGGAGGTTGCAGTGAGCCAAGACTGAGCCATTGCATTCCAGCCTGGGTGATAGAGCAAGACTCCGTCTCAAAAAAAAAAAAAAGATTGTTAATGTAAAATGCCAGATAAAAGTTAGTATTACATATACCATCATGCATTGCTAAATGATGGGAAGATGTTCTCAGAAATGCGTTGTTAGGTGATTTCATTGTTATACAAACATCAGAGTGTACTTACACAAACCTAGACAGCATAGCCTATGACACGCCTAGGCTACAACCTGTACAGCCTGGGTGACAGCATGTGACTGTACTGAATACTACAGGCAACTGTAACAGAAAGTACTAAGTGACAGGAGTCTTTCAGCTCCGTTATAATCTTACAGGATCACCATCATATATGCCATCCATTGTTGACCAAAATGTCTTTATATGGTGCATGACTGTATTAAAACAAAAGGGATTTTATAGGTAGATAGTTACAAATATGAATACAGAGATCAAGATAGACAGGAAAAATTTTCTGGACGTATATACTCTAAGATATTAATAGTTGTTTTTATCTATGTAATAAGATTATGGGTTTTTTCTTCTTCTATACTGAATTTTTAAAAATGTGATCCTTTTGTAGTTTGCAAGTGTGATGATTGGGGATTCACACTCGTATGTGAGATGTGTCACCCCCGAACCTTTTCACGTTGGCAAAATACCCATCTGACATGAAAGAAAGATGGAAAAAAAGAATTTTTAAAGATGTAAATGCAATAGCAAATGTTAAATCACAATAGAGACAATAAAAAACAGTACTGTTCCAGAAACCCAGACAAGCTGGAAAATCTCCAAAAGGCAGTGGAAATGGATTAAGAGCTCAAAAGGATAAGGGAAGTGACAAGATTTGAGAATCAGAAAATGAATGTAAAACCTAAGGCTTAGAGATATTTTTAAGAGATATATTTGAGCTATCAGAAGTTCTAGTCAAAGCAGTGGCTGAATAAAACTTTTTTTTTTTTTTTAAGAGACATAGTCTGGCTCTGTCACCCAGGCTGGAGTGCAGTGGCACAATTATCACTCGCTGCAGCCTCAAACTCCTGGGCTCAACTGATCCTCCTCCTTCACCCTCCTGAGCACCTGGTACTACAGGCACACATCACCATGCCTGGCTAATTTTTAAAATTTTTTGTAGAGACAGGGTCTCACTATATTGCTCCTGGCCTCAGGCTCCCAAAGTGCTCAGACTAAGGGCATGAGCCACTGTTCCCGGCCTGAAGAAAACTTTTCCCGGGAAAAAAAAAAGTTGTGCAAATCAAAAGGTTTACTCAATCAAAAGAAATCCATATTGGTAGCCGGGCGCAGTGGCTCACGCCTGTAATCCCAGCACTTTGGGAGGCCAAGGAGGACAGATCACGAGCTCAGGAGATCGAGACCATCCTGGCTAACATGGTGAAACCCTGTCTCTACTAAAAATACAAAAAATTAGCCGGGTGTGGCTGCATGCCCCTGTAGTCCCAGTTACTCAGGAGGCTGAGGCAGGAGAATGGCGTGAACCCCAGACGCGGAGCTTGTAGTGAGCCAAGATCGCCACTGCACTCCAGCCTGGGCAACAGAGCGAGACTCCTCTCAAAAAAAAAAAAAAAAGAAAGAAAGAAAGAAAAAGAAAAAGAAAAAAAAAAAAGAAATCCATATTGGTTAAATGATTATTTTCAGCCTGGCATGAGGTGGCTCATGCCTGTAATCCCAGCACTTTGGGAGGCCAAGGCGGGTAGATGACTTGAGGTCAGGAGTTTGACACCAGCCTGGCCAATATGGTGAGACCCCATCTCTACTAAAAATACAAAACTTAGCTGGGTGTGGTGGTGCGCACCTGTAATCCCAGCTACTCGGGAGGCTGAGGCAGGAGAATCACTTGAACCCAGGAGGCAGAGGTTGCCATGAACTGTGATCACACCACCACACTCCAGCCTGGGTGACGAGCAAAACTCCATTTCAAAAAAAAAAAAAAGAAAGTCTGGCTAGGCGCGCAGTGGCTCACGTCTGTAATCCCAGCACTTTGGAAGCCTGAGGCCAGCAGATCATGAGGTTGAGAGTTGGAGACCATCCTGGCCAACATGGTGAAACCCCGTCTCTACTAAAAAATACAAAAATTAGCTGGGCGTGGTGGCATGCACCTGTAGTCCCAGCTACTCGGGAGGCTAAGGCAGGAGAATCACTTGAACTCGGGAGGCAGAGGTTGCAGTGAATCAAGATCGCGCCACTGCACTCCAGCCTGGTGACAGAGCAAGACTCTGTCTCAAAAAAAAAAAAAATTATTATCAACAGTAGGTTAAGCAGGTTAAAGAATTATTCTAACATCCGTGTGCATACGTGTACATGTCATATGTCCAAGTTAAGTAGAAAAGAATGAAAATAACCCTAGCCTCAGACTTCTTGGCAACACCACTGCCAAAGACAGAAGCGGGATCACAGAAAGCAGGGATGCAGGGTGACAGGCCGACCCTATAGGCTCGATTAGGAAGGGAGTCAGAAACCATACCACTCGCTTATCTTTCTTGCAAAGAATACAAGCATTACTTGAAGGTCCACCCCAGCTGAGAAGCGAATCAAAAGAAACTCTCAGGAATGAAGGTGTGGTGTGAAAAGGTTGTAGGTCTTCACTTATTCACCTCATGTCCAGACTCAGAGATGTATTGGCTGGTGTGTTCCATCGCCCCTACAGCCTAACTCTACAAGCTTCCTTGCCCTTTCCCGGGACCAGGAAAGGAGGTGGCCAGATGCAGCAAAACCATGCAGAGGCCGAGGGTTGGAGGTAAGGGACACAGGGCCGGATCCGGCTTCCCGAGACAGAGGGAAGGAAGTAAATTCGGATTCCTACTGACATTTTTTTAAAGGGAAGGTAAGAGATTAAGGGACTTTCCACCTCTTTTTCCCTGAGAAATCAGCGGCGAGGCCAACTGCAGAGCCGTGAGCGGGACAGAGGCTTTGTGCAAGGAGTCCAGGAGAAAAGCGAGCACACAGGTGCTTCCCGCAGACGCAACAGAACCGCGCGCCTCCCCTCTGGCCCAGTAGTAAGGGGACGCCTGCATCCTCAGTCCCTCTCGCACACTCGGGAGGGCGACTGACGCTGGGGCGTCCGGGGGGGTGACTTTGTGTCCCGGAGAGGGGCGGGGTGCGTGTACAGAGGATGGCTTCTCTGGGGTGGGTGGGTGGGGCTCCCGCAGGACCGACGGGGCGGCCCCAAGAGGGCGCAGGGGCGGCAGGCGCGGTGGCCTCGGGGTGGGGGGCGCGGACGGCCTTACCCCCGGGCCCGGTGGAGACGGTGACCTGCGCGTAGGTGGTTCCCGCGGCGGCCGCCGGGCCCGAGACGCCGTTGAGCGCGGCCACGCGCACGGTGTAGCGCGCGCCGGGCCGCAGGTGCAGCAGCGTGGCGGCTCGCTCCCGCAGCCCTGCCTGGCGCGGTAGGAAGGCCACGCGCGGCCCGCACGGCTCGCAGGCGCCCGCCGGGCCCTCGCGGCCGCAGCGCAGGCACAGCAGCGAGTAGGTGACGTCCGAGCGGCCTCCCGAGTCGGCCGGCGGCAGCCAGCGCAGTCGCAGCACCAGCGGCGAGCGGCTCAGGCTGTACTGCAGGTCCCGCGGCGCCGACGGCGGCCCTGAGGCGGCACAGGGGCGGGGCGGTCAGGGCGGGGCGTGGGTGCCCGTGAGAGGGGCGGGATGCACGAGGGGGGGGCGGGGTCTTGTCCACCCCCAGTGAGGCAGGAGAAGCAGGGGCGCGAGGGTCAGTCGGGGAGGAGGGAACCAGGGCGTTCATCAAGGGACTTGGTGGATGAGGGGGGACGGGGGACAGGAGAGACAGTGGCATGGGGTCAGTCAGGGAGGAAGGTAGAAGGGACGACCGGTGAAGGAACAGGGATGGATGAGCGGGAATGGGCCGTGGGAGCCAGTGGGCATGGGGGATAGGAAGGTGTGAGGGGTCTGGGGTGGGAGGAATGGGGGCGTGGGGTTCAGTCAGGGAGATTGGTACAGAGATGGTCAGTCAGTGAGGGGTCGAGGGCGGATGAGCCCGGGGCAAGCGGGAGCAGGGGCGAGCGGGAGCAGGGGTGAGTGGGAGCAGGGGCGAGCGGGAGCAGGGGTGAGTGGGAGCAGGGGCGAGCGGGAGGAGGGGCTTGCCCCGGGAAGGGTCAGAGACGGGGGCGTGGGGGCCCTTGGGAGGTCGGAATGTGAGAGTGGCGGGGCAGTTGGTGAGGATTTGGGAGGAGGTTAGTGAGGAACCGAGGATGGCAGCATGGGGACCGAACCGATGGTGCGAAGGTCGGGAGCCCCCCTTTCGGCTGGAGGGTAGGCAGGGTGAGGAGAGGGCAGCGGAGGGGCGCTCTCCTCAGTGATCTGCCAGGCATCCTAACCCCATCCTCCGTCTGGACTCTCGCAGTTGTCCTGGTTCTTCTCATCAAAGGCCCCGGCCCCCAGGGCGCGTCCAGGCTCCGCTCCCCCGTACGCCGCCTTCCGGGGCGCTGGCCCCCATATCCGCCCACGTGCGCCCCAGTGCGGAGACCCTGCCCTCACCACCACCTGGATCAGGCCTTCCTTCTTGGCCACTCCCACCCCCCACCCTCCGCAGTGCAGCCTGGAGGGGGGACTCACGGGTGCAGGAAGCCGAGGGCGGGTCGGTGGGTGAGCGCGCATAGCTGTCCTGGCACACGCAGAAGGTGGAGGCGTTTTCCAGGGCCCGGCTGTGCTCTGGGCACGGTGAGCAGAGGGGCCGCCGCGGGGACACCTTGTAAAACCCTGGGGGACAGGCTGCAGGGCATGGCTGGTGAGAAGAGGGGGCTCCTCCAGTTTCTCCCCGCTTTCCTGACTGGCCTGGTTAGGGCAGCGTTTATCTCCTCCAATTGCGATAGAAAAACAGTCAGGGGACTCAGCCACTCCAGTCAGCACTGCCCCGTGGAGTGACTCCTGAACAACCCATTACCTACCCTTAGAAAACGCTGTGTGTTCGGAAAACTTTGAAACATTTTACTTTCAGCCGGGCGCGGTGGCTCATGCCTGTAATCCCAGCACTTTGGAAGGCCAAAGCTGGAGATCACTTGAGCCCAGGAGTTGGAGACCAGCCTGGACAACATGGCCAAACCCCGTCTCTATTTATTATTTTTTAAATTACGTCTATTAATTCATTGAATCCTCACAACCACCTGTGAGGTTATATACTTTATCCTCTTTTTATTTTATTTATTTTTTCTTTTTTCTTTTCGAGTCTCCTTCTATCACCCAGGCTGGAGTGCAGTGGCGGGATCTCCACTCACTGCAACCCCCACCTCCCAGGTTTAAGCGATTCTCCTGCCTCAGCCTCCTGAGTAGCTGGGATTACAAGTGTGCACCACCATGCCCAGTTACTTTTTTTGTATTTTTAGTAGAGATGGAGTTTCACCATGCTGACCAGGCTGGTCTCGAACTCCTGGCCTCAAGTGATCTGCCCAGCTTGGTCTCCCAAAGTGCCAAAATTGCAGGCGTGAGCCACTGTGCCCGACCCTTTATCCTCTTTAAAATGAGGGAGCTAAGGCTAGGAGAGGTGAAGTTGCCTACAGCTACTCTCCCGCAGCCTGTGGGATCCCAACCCAAGCCCACATCACACCACCCTCAGGACCACTGGAAGAAAATAAGTCAAACTCTGCAGTGCTGGTGTGAGAAAGAGAGGGGAGGAGAGGTGCCCCAAGAGCTGTTCCACAGTTACGCAGGGACAGACACACAAGCATACATGCACACACACACACACACCCTCCCACCACCACCATCATGTGAGTGAGTGTGTCATAAATTCCCAACTGGAAGTAAAGCCAGCCAGGTGGAGGGGGGTGGGTGGAGAGAAAAGGGCCAGTAAAAGTTCCCTGGACCATGAGTCAGACCTGGTTCCAGTCTTGACACCTACTCAGTTTGCTTCTCTCACTTCTCAGAACACAGGTTGTTAAGATCACAAGTGTTTCTATCTGAACAACCTGGGTTTGTAGCTGAGTCACCCCACTTATTTGCTGTGTGGCCTTGAGCACATCAGTTGACCCCTCTGAGCCTTGTGTTGAATACCTACCTCAAAAAGGTTGTTGGAGGATTGAGATAAAACATGTAAACCACCTAGCCCAGTACCAACCACATTTTCACAATAATGATAGTAATTACTGTTCCTCCCCCACAGGCCTTAAGTGGTAACTGCTAAACACCCACTTTAAAAAAATTTCTCACCAGCTGGGCCAGTTGGTTCCTGGCCCTACCTCTCAGAACTTGGGTGGTCCTCACCTTGTTCCCTGGCCCTCTCCTCTAGTTTAGCTGGCTGCTCTCCAGCTCCAAGAAGACGCAGTACAACAGAAAGGGTGCAGACTAGCCCTCAGGAGGAACTTTCAGCCTGTGTGGCAGAAGAGGGGAGGGGACTAGGATTTCCACTGTCTGGAAGGCATAGGTTTGAGAGGGTCCATCTTGCCCAGAGTTCTGGGCAGCACAACTCTGGGGAGGGGCTCGGCAGCCCAGGAGCCTTCAGAAGTCTCCTCTGCCTGCAGAACAGAGCATGGGCCAACTATCCCCGTGGTCTGGTGGGCAGCAGAGACCCAGGCTGGGACTTGGAAAGCTTGGGTTCTAGTGTTGGCTGGGCCACTCCTTGTGCCTCTCTGGCCTCAAAAAAAGCATTGGTCAAATAGGAATAACAACCATGCCCTGCCCACCACTGTTGTGAAATAGGAGAGCAAGTGAGAGCCCAGATAAATGATCTGTTCGCAGGGTTTCACAAAAATAGGGGAAGAATGCTGGAGGCTCCCTCCCCACAAGTGTATGAGGGTGGCTGCTGTCCTAGAGGTGGGTGGGCCCATCAGCGACCACAGTGGTATCTCTGCTGTAAGAGGCTCTGCTTAGAAGGAGTTTGTGCTGAAGAGCAGATTCAGGGATTCCTGACTGCCAGCCCCTCCCTCTCTTCAAGGTCAGACCTTCAGAGATAATCTAGCTCAGCTCCCACTGGCCTGGTCCTCCGGCAGCTTCCCCAGCAGTAGCCACAGTCTTTGTCACATACTTTATCATGAGGCATTCACCCGCTTCTGAGGCTGCCTTTGTTGAACAATGCTGGCAGAAAGTGCTTCTTAGGATGAGCCCCCATTAGCTTCGCTGTCTGTAATGCCCCTTGTGCCACCCCATCACAGGGGCTCATTGTGCCCTATGGAGCCTCAGAGAACATATCTGCTTGGGTCCCTTGGCTCCAAGGCAATCCCACTGAGTTGTTTTGTTTGTTTGTTTCTTTGTGACAGGGTCTTGCTCTGTTGCCCAGGCTGGAGTGCAGTGGCACAATCATAGCTCACTACAGCCCCTGCCTCCTGGGGCCAAGCAATCCTCCCACCTCAGCCCTCCCAAGTAGCTGGAACCACAGGCATGCTGTGCAACCATGCCTGGCTAATTTTTTGTGTGTGGAGAGATGGGATCTCCCTGTGTTGCCCAGGCTGATCTTGAACTCCTGGCTCAAGCAATCCTCCTGCCTTAGCCTCCCAAATTGCTGGGATTACAGGTGTGAGCCACTGCACCTGGCCCTAGCAGAGAATTAAAGCTACTTGTTATATGCCCTGATTTTTTCCCCCAAAGGAAACCCCAGCTCTTTTACTAATTTCTCTAGTGGCTAACCGAGGGAGAACAAAAGTCAAGGTCACTAAAGAGAAACAAAAAGGGGAAAAGAACATATTCGTTCTATTCCCCCACTTATCCATCTACTTTTAGAGGGAAGCTTGTGTTAGCTGCAGAAGGCACTTGGAAGGCCTTAACTTTCTAAATGCAAATCCAATCATTTCCCTTCCCTTCCTAATGTCCTCCAACAGCTCCCCACTGCCAGCCACTCTAACCATGGTACACTGAGCTCATCCTTTCACACCTCTGGGTCTTGTTCTGTAATTCCTTATATCCTTTTTCTCCTGGCAAACTTCTATACTTCTCCAAACCCCAGTTCAAATAACATCTCCCTTGTGAAGCTTTCCTTGGCATTGTCCCCAGCTCCCCACTCCCCAAGGCAGAGCTGAGGCCATTACAAATGGCCTTTTTCTGTTCTCATCAGACATGGTTTGGGTTCCTGAGTCTCTTTCTCTCTCTCTCTCTTTCTCCCTCATTTCCCAGAGAAACCTCCTCCTCTCACTCCTGATCCATTCATTCAGCAAATATTTTTTGGCATCTACTAGGTAGGCTCTATAGATACACAACAATGAATAAAACAGACAAGGACCTTACTGTCCATTTGTACAGATGCCCTCCCTCCCACCTTATAGGGAGAAGGGAAGCCATCAGTTGATAATTCCCTCAACATCTGCCCATCAGAATACACAAATGCCCCCATCCACAACCATCTCCCCTCTCCTCCTCCCTTCCAGTCCTAGAGGAGGGAATGAGCCACCTCCTGTTGAAGGCCAGCCCCTCTGTCTCCACCCTGGATCTCTCCCTTTAACCTCATCAAATACTACATTCCATCAGTCATCTCCCTTCTTGGTAGTGAAGCAGTAAAAAGTGGCCCATTTTGGGTGCAGGCAATAAGGGCACAAACTATAGAGTATGTAAAAACAATAATAAAACTGACTAAAATCTGGCCTGCTTTTTTATTAGCAAAATGCATCAGCAATTCTAGCCCACATCAGTAATAAAATACTCCTGCCTCCTGGGACCGGGATGGGGATCCCCCCCATATACACACTTGGTATCCCAGTGGCTCTTTGTCCTTCCGCATACAAACAAGTCTCTCCCATCTATAATAAAAATCCTCTCTCAATCCAATGTCCTCCTCGAGATACCTCCTCTTCTAATTCAAATCCAGGCTTCTAGATTCCCTGACTCAAGCTCTTCAACTTCCTTTATCCCTCAATCTACTGCAACCTGTTCTCTGTGTCCATCACTCAGCTGCAATTGCTCTCACCAAGGCCACCAACTGGGCACTTTCTAACCCTTGACTTACCTGACTGCTTCCCAACTCTGTAGGGCATTCCTTCCTGGACACCTTCAATCTCTCTTGGCTGTCATAATATCACACTCTCCTAGTTCTCCTCCATACTCTGATCACTCCCTCTCAGCCTTTTTAATGGGCTCTGTATTTTCTACTTGTCCTTAAGTATTGCTATTCTATGAGTCTTCATTGTTGGCCCTCTTGGCTTCTTACCCCACACGTTCTCCTGGTCTGTCCCAACCACACCCACAGGTTCAAGTACTGTCTCTGTCTTTCAGAGCTCCAGACCCACTTTCTAGCTACCTCCACTGGAATGCACCGTGGACATCATAAATATGTGTCTATCCAGGTCCTGTGTTCTGTACCCTAGTGAATGATCCCTCTGTCCATTCAATCCCCAGTAGCATGTAAGTCAAAGGGGACTCCTTTCTCCTCCTGTATCACATGGTCACTAAGTGCTGTGGATGCTAACTCATGATCCCATCTATCCTCATCTCTCAATGATCTCTGCCACTACCTTAGTTCAGCCCTTGTGCTCTTTCTCCTGCACTATTGCACCATCTTCCTTCTTCATCTTCTGGCTCCTAATCCTTCCCTCTTCAATCCTTTCTTTGCAATTGCAGCTTGAGTGATATTTTGAAAATACAAATCTGAGCATGTCAGATCCCTGCTTCAGATCCTCCCCATTGGCCTAAAGCATAAAGTCTAAGCTCTTTATCCCAACATTCAAGGCCTTTCATGATTTCCACCTGCTCCTCTCCAACCCCATCACTTCACTCCCACACCCCCACATGCCCTCTGCTCCAACCACATTTAGTTACATAGGCCCAGCCATGCTATGTTCCTTCTGCCTCCATCCTTCTGCATGCAATTCCTAAGCTTAGAATGCTCTAAGCTGCCTGGGAAAAAAAAACCTTCTCACCTTCTCTGGGAAGCCTTCTCCATGCTTAGAATTAGGTTCTCCCTTCCATGCTTCCTTAGCTCTCTGTTTATGTTTCACACCCTATAGTAACCACTTTTTCACCCAATGCATTTTCACTGAACACCTACCGTATGCCTTATCCTGTTATGAATGCTGGGGCTGCTGACACTAGTAACACCCAGTGCCTGAGCTCAAGAAGTTCCTAATCTAGGGTGTGGTCCCTATAGTCCCACCTACTCAGGAGGCTGAGGCAGAAGGAATGCTTGAAACCAAGAACTCCAGGCTGTAATGCACTATGATCATACCTATGAATAGCTGCTACACGCAAGCCCAGGCAACATAGACAAACCCCCATTTCTAAAAAAAAAAAAAGAAGTTCTTAATCTAGTGGTGAAAACACACATAAGTAGATCAGTGCATACCATGGGGTAAGTACAGAAATAGGTTTCAATGAATGCTGGAGAGCACCGAGGTGGATCCTAACTATATCTGGAGAGCTCAGGAAGGTTCATGCCTCCCAGTCTTTCTCTAAATTACAATTTCCGCAGGGAGGAGATGGTGGCATTCATCTATATACATATAATAAGCCCTCAATAAATGCAGCTGGCACATCCTCAATTCATATTGGATGGATGATTGAACAAAGGAATGAGAGCAAATTTAGTCACTTCCTCCCCTGTCCTCCCACCACTCTGTGTATCCCTCTGTTATAGCATATATTACCCTCTTGTGATTTTTAAATTTTTGCATCTCTCCATCTAGACTGTGAGCTTCTTGAGAGCTAGGACTATGTCTGACTCATTTCTGTTGCCCTGGCACCCAGAAAAGGACATGGTTTAGAAAAAGCATACCTTGATCTTTCTATATTAAGTACACACATTAATAACCCCATCATCACCCTCTGTATCCAAAGCCACAGGCAAGAGAGAGAATGAGAGGTCTGTTCCTAATGCCCCCACTAGCCTGAGAACCCAGCAAAACCCTCAACATGAAGGATCTCCCCCAGGGAGCACAGTGATTGTAGTTCAGAGAGTGGGATGTGATCTTCGTAATCATCTAGTGCAACTTCCCAATCCCTCTCTCCAGCATAAAAATCCCCCCTGCCAGCCTCTAACTTGCAAGTATTTGGTCCGTGACTGGGAGATTCCTCTCTGTAATGCAACCAATCCCACTAGCCTGAAGATTGGGCTGCTGTAGAGTTCTTCCTTATGCACTGAGGAGACCTCATGATGTCATAGAATGTGAGTTGGGCAAGCCTGAATTCAAATCCTAGCTCCCCATTTCCTAACTTTGCAAGTGAGGTACTAATCTCTCTGAGGCTCTGTTTCTTCATCTGTGAAATAGAGATAAGAATGACTTCCTTTAGGCCAGGCACGGTGGCTCACGCCTATAATCCCAGCACTCTGGAAGGCCTAGGTAGGTGGATCACTTGAGGTCAGGAGTTTGAGACCAGCCTGGCCAACATGGTGAAACCCCGTCTCTACTAAAAATACAAAAATTAGCTGGGCATGGTGGTGCACGCCTATAATCCCAGCTACTCAGGAGGCTGAGGCAGGAGAATTGCTTGAACCCAGGAGGTGGAAGTTGCAGTTAGCCAAGATCAAGCCAGTGCACTCCAGCCTGGGCAACAGAGCAAGAGAGACTCCTTATTTTAAAAAAAAAAAAAAACAATGACTTCCTTTATTGCCATGAAAATAAATAAACGAGAAGGCCTGTGCAAGGTGCCTAAGATATAGATCCCTAATGCCTCCTTAGCCAGTCAATTTCATCTAGTAAGTTCACTCATTGGCCCTGACTGGACTCACTGGAAACTCCACAAGACTTCAGGGCTCTCCTTGGGCTCCAGAGTCCAAGGCTTCTCCACCGCCCCCCGACCCCACACCCGCCTCTTTCCTCTAGGGCACACTCTCTCTCAATTGCCACCTACGCTCTACACTCCCACCCCACGGCCCCCAGCCAACTGGATACCTTCGCAGAAGTCACCACGCTCCTGGAATCCCGCGCTGCAGCTGCAGCGGCCCACAGGCACCAGCCACTCGCCGTCGGCGCCGCAGTGCATGCGTGGGGGGCTGCCAGGCTCCCCTTCCGAGTGCGCCACGCACGTTCCGGCCACTTCCACCAGTGTGGAGAAGGCGCTCTCGGCTGCGGTGGCTGGGAACGTGGCCAGGCCCCGCACGGTGGCGCGGCACTGCTTGTAGTAGACGCGCACCGAGACAAGCGCCACGCATGCGCCCACGTCCTGAAAGGCCAGGTGGAAACCCCGCCGGCTGAGCGGTCCGATCTCGCGCACCTCTGTGTTCAGCTTCATCTTGCGCTCACCCAGGTCGCCCTGCGTGAAGCTCTCGTCCGCCGCGATCGTGTCGATTTTGCGGGGCCGGCTGCCGCCTAGGCGGGGACGCCCACGGCCCAGGTCGGCCTCAGTTTCCAGGTAGTAGACGTTGAAGGTCTCCTTGCAGGTACCCGCGGCGCCAGGGATGCTGCTGCAGTCACGGAGTGTGAACTGCAGTTCCACGAAGATGCGCTGCCCGCGGCCACGGCTTATCCAGCCAGTCTGCAGCCAGTTGTCCTGGTTGGGCTCCAGCACATTGCACACTTGGTACGTGCGGATGGGACGGTCGTGTTCATCCACGCCGCTGATCTCCTCCCACTGGGGACAAGAGTAAAGGGGTGGGCAGCCCAGAGCCAAAGTGCTTCCAGGAGGTGGAGCGCTAGCAGTGACTCCTGCTTTCTCTCTCATGCACCATGCACACCCCGGAAATTGTAAGATGCAGCGCTGGGAGAAACTTTGGAAACAAATGATCCCAATCCTTATTTTTATAGATGGGGAAACTGAGGCTCCAGAGGGAGAGCGATCTGACCAGGTATGCACATCAAGTTAGTGGTGGAGCTAGGAATGGTGCCTGTAGTTTCCTGACTCTCTGACCAGTGCCCTTTGCACTCCACCAAGCTGCTGTTACAGCCCACATCATCCTCCCCTACCCCAAGTCTCCAAGCCTCTTTTAGGACTCCCAGTCTTGCTTGCTGTGTCAATCAATCAACAACATTGCTTGGAGGATCTACTACTATGTGCAAGCCACTGTCCTGTATTAGCTCCATCCAGATGCCACATTTCTGTTCCTAGACAGCCAGTTCTCTCCTCACTTATTCACTTTTTTTTTTTTTTTTGACTGTCTAACTGGCTGAAGACTCAATGTTTTCTAACAGGCCACTCTGGCTTGAAGCCAGGGCTGCTGGAGACCACACACTCTGAGGAGCACTTTTGTCTGATGTAAACATGAGGAGCTGAGGAGACTGTGTCCTGGACCACCAGAGGATCCCTGGGACAGGGAGGGACACTTGTGCACTTACCCCATTACTTGGCAGTGCAGTCCAGCCCAGCTCGGCCTGGGAGGCTTTGGAATCCAGGAGGATAACTAAGGAGAGGGGAAGACAGAAATATCAGAAATCGAGAAGGTCAGTTTAGCAAGAGAGTGGAATCCTTTGGTGAAGTCCCTGTAAATTTGCTGAGAGAATGCAATATGTGACAAATGATATGGGCAAGTTTTTCCCACTCCATACATCCCCAGGAGGGGTGTGAATAGCTCAAATCCAGAGAGAGGTAGCCACAGTCAGTAGGGAAGGAGCTTGTATTCAGTTCCTGGGGCTGCTGTAACATATTACCACAAATTTAGTGGCTTAAAACAACACAATATTTTTCTGTTACAGTTCTGGAGGTCAGAAGCCCAAAGCCACTTTCACTGGTCTAGAGTCAAGGTGTCAGCAGGACTGTTTTCTTTTGGAGGCTCTGAGGGGAGAACTCATGTCCTTACCATCTTCAGCGTCTGGTGGCCGCCTGTAGTCCCTAGCTTGTGGTCCCCTCCTCCATCTTCAAATCACATCACTTTAATCTCTGCCTCAGTCATCACACTGCCTCCTCCTCTGACTCTGGCTCCTCCTGCACCCCTCATACAAGGACCATTGTGATTATTGGGCCCATCCAGATAATCTAAAACAACCTCTCCATCTCAAAAGATCACTAATCACATATGCAAAGTCCTTTTTGTCAATTAAGCTAACATTCACGGTTCTAGGGATTAGGACATTGACATATTGGGGGTGGGGGTCATCATTCAGCCTTCTACAGGGTCCATGGCAAATACTCTAAGGTTGGCTCTCAGATTGGGGGTGGGAGTCAGTGACTCTCCCCAGCCTTCTTAGGTTCCCAAAATTATAGCTAAGAGTCAATTAGAGAGAGAGAGAGAGAGAAAGTGAGTAGTGAATGTATCAGGGGATTCCTGTATATACCCCCCAATCCACTCCTACTCAGGGGCTTTTCTGAGGTCGGTGGTCCCCAGGCATGAAGACTTGAACATTTTTAGACTGACTCCCGGGCCTCTGAGAAAACAATGTGGAGAGATACTGCTAACAACTGGAGAAATAAAATCTCTCTTCTCCTCAGCCAGCCCTTTTCCCAGGGGCTGTCACTTCCACTGCTTTTGAAAGAATGTCTGGGGTTCTTTTATGTATACATCTATGACCCTTCCTACCAGAGAAGCTTGAAGTCCCTTTATTCCCCCAGGAGGCATCGGATCAGCAGCCTGCAACCTCTCAGCATGGATCACAGAAAATGGTTTGGACAGCAGAGTCCGCAGACCAGAGACAGGAGGTCAGGACACCCCGGAGTCTTGGGAGATTACCCTCTGGAGCTTAAACCAGGGGGTGGGCCACCAAGGTGAGGGCCTCTCCAGAGGCGTCAGCGACTGTGGGCAGGACCGCCGACGGCTTTCCGAGATCCGCGCAACTGACAGCACATCGGAATCGCGAACTGGAAGGCATCAGCCATCCAGGGCCCAGACCAACCCCGCGGTCAACGCCTCAGATTCCAGCTCCTCCGGATTCTGCACCTAGATATGACGCCTCTGGATTCAACTGAGCGTATAGCTCCCCTAAATGCACAATCAGAGGCAAGACGCGGGCTCCAGTATCGCCGACAGCCTCAAACCCGGCAACGCGGAGCGCGCCCGGCAGACTACGCTCAGAATTCAGCACTGCGGACAGTTCCATGATCAGCACGTCGGGCAGCGCCCGGATCCAGCCCCCTCGACCAGCATTCCACCTTCTGTTGGCCACACTGTGGTCTCCTAGCCCCTGTAGTCCGGGCTCCATCCCGTCTCCCCATATTCCGAGCTCACCTCCGCATCTCCCTGTCTCCACTCTTCATCTCCCCGCCCCCGCACCTCCCACCTCCAATCACTCAGCTTGTCCGTCTCACCGGCCGCTGGACCGCCGCCTCTGGCTCCCGCGGTTCCTGGCCTCTTTCTTTCCCAACCTCCCGGGTCTCCAGCCCCCAAGCTCCTCAGCGCCCCTCTCTTCGCTACTGCTTGATCACATTTTTCTCTGTCTCTCCAGTTCTTTGCTGCCTGCTTGCTTCAAGCCCCAATACAGACTCTAGTCTCTCCAATGACTCCTTCCCCCAGAACCCCCATCGCCAGCCCCCTATCTTTTGGTATGCCACGCTCCGAGCAGAGCTCACCAGTCTTCTCACCTTCCTCGGCGGTCCCAGGCCGCCAGGGTCCCAAAAGCAGCGCGAGACAGAGCTGCATCCGGCAGAGGAAGAGGCGCAGCGGGTGTGGACCGGCGCAGGTCTCCATGGTCCGCAGACCGAGCTGTCAGTCCGGCGGCGGCTCAAGCCGCGCCAGCCTAGCACCGCTGAGCAATGCCCCCAGACCCCAGAGCCAGCGGGGGGCGGAGTCTCACCGCTCACCATCATCCATGGGAACCAATCACTAGGCACCGCCGCGGGATGCCAACCAATCCCCGCCAGCAGAGGGTGGGAAGGTGGAGTTTCATAGGCCAGGGGCGGAACACCCAACTGGTGGGGAAAGGAAGGGGTCCTGCAGATCTCCAAACCGTGGGGGGTGGGGCAGCTGTGGGAGCTGGCAGGGCTTCTGCGAGAGGGGAATGAGCTGGCATCGGTGGCCCAGAGCGCTAAACCTTAGCTCCTCATTCCTGAGAAGTAGGCAGGCAAGGTGGGCTTGGCTTAAGGAGGGGCGACCCTCGGGGAGGCAGCAACACTTGCAGCCTCTGAGCTAGTCTGAAAGCTCCCTTGTTCCCAGGACTTGCGGGGTTTTGAAGCTTTATGTCCTGACCCCAAGCTCTGGGGAGCTCTCCTGTCTCCCTGCCCTAGGTCTGTTCCTGTGTCTGAGGCTCCCGGTGTCTCCTAGCTCATCCCCCCCTTTCTCTTCCCGCCCTCATCACACACACACACACACACACACACACACACACACACACACACACACAGCGGCAGGAAGGAGGGGCCGAACGATCCCGGGAGCTGCTCGGGAAAGGAGAGCAAAGTGAGGGACGGGGTCCTGCCCTACCAACGCGCTTCCGAGGCTGGGAAACCATGTGGACGCTGGGATGGGGGCGGTGGCGGTTTTGCATGAACGATCGGTTCCTCAGGTTCTTGCTCCTGCTGTCAAGATACAAGCAGCACACCTCACAACCACCCATGCCCTCAGTCTGCTCAGAGTCGGGGGTTCCCCTCTTTGATCACCCCACTCCGCCCACCCCAGGGGACTGGTGAACAGCACAGAGGCCAGGAATCGGAGACATCTGCGAGAGAGGCGGAGCAATCCTGGCAGAGTTCAGCCGGCGCTGAAGAAGCCGCAAGAAAACGTGGAACAAGACCTCTGTCTAGTGAAGGTCATTTATGTGCAAGCTGAGGGTTTAACACTTTGGTGGTGGGAAGGGTTGGGGCCCTCCAGGACGAGGGAGGCGGCTACTGAGCGCCACCATCTGGGCTGAACTTGAGGGGAGAAAGCTCCACCCACCTCGTGGCTTTTCCGAGCTCTTTTCTTGGGGGACCCACCCCCTCTCTATTTGGAAGCGAATATAGCCTGAGAAACCTCGAGAGTGAGTGTGAGTCCTGTGACTACTTGGCCCCTGCGGTCTGAGTGTCTGTGCTTTTGCATATATGTATCCCTCACCCCTCTACCCAGCCCTCACTGGGCGCCATGCTCTGTGCTGCGGATGCCCTGGTGAACCACGCTGTCTCTGCCAGAGTCCATACCTCTTTGAACGCCGAGTGTAAGGAGGATTCCTGGCATCGTAGATCACTGGCCATTTACAACCCGCTTTCATGTGCCATTTCTGCGTGTGTGCTTGTGTATATGTGCGAGTAAATGCACACGTGCCCACTCAGACATACTTGCTGGACAGTAGCAATAGGAGGAGTAGGTGGGAGGAATTGGTCTTCTTTACCTGCAGAAAGAAAGGTCATCAGGAGAGGCTGTGGCTTGGACACCACAGGAGACAAGCCCCCTGAGGAAGCAGAAGGAGGTGTGGCATCCCTCCAGTCCTTGGATGCAGGCGGGACTTCTAAAACCAGACCTACCTGAGGAAGGGTTCTCACACTGCCACCTCCTTTCCATCTTCATTCTCCTCACGCTCGATTTCTCCCCTCCCCCTGCCTCCACCTCTGGGAGATGGTATTTTTAGAAGCTGCTTAGAGACCCAGGACTCCTTTCATTTCAAAATGAGTCCTCACTCCACCACCCCTCACTCCTCTTTAAAACCGGGTTCCATCCCCTTAGCAGGCTCTAAGGCACCAATCATGGCTTCTTACTGAAGCTCCAGGGACTTCAGCCCAGAGGTTCTGACCCTCGGTGCTAAAACAAAATACAGACTTCCTCTGAACCTGACAAGGATCTTTCAGAAACCAAACAGATGGGGGAAATTATCTGGGGAAATCTACATAGGATGCTCTGGCAAATACCTGACTGTTGGAGTCTGGTTTCTACCCTCTTCCACCACACACACCTTCACGCATCTGGGGGAAATTTCCAGACAGAGACCCTAGGAATAGGGGGAAAGAAGAGGAAAAAAAAGGAGTGAAATAATCCTTCCCTTTCTTCCTCTGAGCAATTCATTTACAATAAAACCAGAATGGAGAAGCCCCAGTGAATGCAGATATATGCAAATCAGCTGGATGTTAATAAGAGTTGCTCTAAGGCGGACCCCACTCTACCAGGAAGCCGCAGAACTGAAAGCTCAGTAAAGAAATTCCGGAGGGCCTTAGAAGGAAACCAACCCATTGTTTATCTCGACCTTTAAGTGCTGGGGGCCAGTTAACTAATGGAAGGGGTTAGGTTCCTCCCAGGAATAGCAATGGGGACTAGTGAAATTGGGGGTGGGGACAGAGAAGGGGTATCTGTCTATGGCATTCAACCCTCAGCCCTCAGCAGCTTTGGGCTGCTTTCTGTCTATGGTGCTGAATCCAACAGAGTCTGGACATTCAGTTAGACCTCGGACTTCTCTGCTGCCATGTTCTGATCCTTGGCAGGATCATAAAGAGTAAGTAGTTTTGCTTCATAATCTTAAAGATTTTCTCTGCTTAATTTTCAAAATTAGTAAATTAAATGCTTTATATTTCCTTTACCTAAGAAAATACAGTGGTTGCATCTGCTCCTCCGGCCTATAACCAAAATCCATCAATTCATGTCTTCAGGAGATAAGCACCCTTCACTCCCTTGCAGAAGGGTGGAGGGGCCTGGAACCCACCCAGAAACATCTTGTTTTCTCTTTTGCTCCTCTCAGAACTCTACTGAAGCAGGCTGGAAGGGATACTCCTCTCTACTTCTACCTCACTATCTTCTAGGATCATGGGGAGGACACTTGATGAGGCCGAGCAACTTAATTAAACACCCAAAATAATAAAAAGTGACCTTCCAGGGAGCAGATTTAATGTTACCACAACCTCCATCTCCAAGTTACTGAAAGTTACAAATCTAGGTGCTGAAGATTTGACCTCTTCCTTTTGCACAGATACAGAAAGTATGTTGAGCCTGACTGGACAGAGAAGGTTATCTCCTCCATAAAGAAGTTTAAGTTTGTGTCAGAGGAATCAGGGTCAAGTCCCACTCTCAGGAAGAAGGATGGGGAGAGGCAAAGAGCAGTGAGAGCTTTATTGTTCAAAGGGTCATCTTTTTTTTTTTTTTGAGACAGTGTCTCACTCTGTTGCCCAGGCTGGAGTGCAGTGGCCTGATTTCAGTCCACTGCAACCTCTGCTTCCCAGGTTCAAGCGATTCTCCTGCCTCAGCCTCCCAAGTAGCTGGGACTACAAGTGCACACCACCACAGCTGGCTAATTTTGTATTTTTAGTCGAGATGGGGTTTCGCCATGTTGGCCAGGCTGGTCTCAAACTCCTGACCTCAAGTGATCCACCCACCTCAGCCTCCCAAAGTGCTGGGATTATAGGCATGAGCCACCATGCCTGGCCTAAACTGTATTTTCTTAGATAAAGGAAGCACAAAGCATTTAATTTACTAATTTTGAAAATTCAGCAGAGAAAACCTTTAAGATTATGAAACACAACCACTTACCCTTTATGAGCCTCCACTTCTTTCTTTGTAAAATAGGAACAAAAACAGTTTTCAGAGTTATTGTGAGGTCAGAATATAATTTTTACATGTGACCCAGCTCTGTGCTTGGCACATAGCTCTGGTATATATTATTTTTCAACTCCATGGTTAATTAAGGTAAACAACAACAACAACAAACAAACAAACAAAAAACAGAAGAAAAAAGGAAAAGAAGTCTGGGCACGGTGGCTTACACCTGTAACCACAGCACTTTGGGAGGCTGAGGCGAATGGATTACCTGAGGTCAGGAGTTCGAGACCAGTCTGGCCAACATGGTGAAACTCCATCTCTACTAAAAGTACAAAATAGCTGGACATAGTGGTGTGCACCTGTAGTCCCAGCTACTCAGGAGGCTGAGGCAGGAGAATTGCTTGAACTCGGGAGGCAGAGGTTGCAGTGAGCCGAAATTATGCCATTGCACTCCAGCCAGAGCAAAAAAGAGAGAAATTCCGTCAAATAAAAAAAAAAAAGATAAAGGAAGATTAAGTGGTGAAGTAGGAAGAGAGAAAGATATATATAATTAGAGAGAGAGAGTCATAGAGGAAAAGACAGAATGAGGGATAAAGAAAGAGACAGCTGATTGAGATGAATGTGGCTAGGAAGCACAGGAGTCTGAAAGAAATGTGCTTGAAGAGACAGGAGTGTCATCAGGGCAGGCTGGCTGGCCAGCTGACAAGTGGCATCAGAGGTGACTTTTACCTTGGTAAATTCATCATGGTCCAGGCTTATGAACTTGACTTTAACAGCATTAAGAGAGAACCTATCTATTGGGGAATGGAAAGTAGATCCTACTAACCCAGCTCCTATCCTGCTATCTGAGCCAGAGAAGCAATGTATTAATTTATGATGAGAAATAGAACTGCCAAGGGGACCAGAATGCTCACAATGCCATGTCCAGCACATTCTTTCCCCGTAGGAAAATATGCACAGGAAGCCAATTTATGATGTGAAGACAGCTTTGAGAGTGGGACGGGAGGGAGGTGAATGGTTTAAATATTTGATGGCATCAGGCTCGGATAGCTTTGTGCCTCCAAATCCCCAGAAGGAATAAACCTGCTACTGGCACCTGAGTAACTGTGTAGGGGCCAGGACTGGGATGGAATATACAAATATGTGCTTCTCTGACTCTCTCTCTCTCTCTCTCTCTCTCTCCCTAATACATATATACATACACACACACATACACACACACACACACACACACACACACACATATATATATATATACACATACATATATTTATGTATGTATTAGAGACAAGCACTCTGTTGCCCAGGCTGGAGTGCAGTGGTGCAATCATAGCTCACTGCAGCCTCAACCTCCTGGGTTCAAGCAATCCTCCAACCTCCTGGGTAGCTAGGACTACAGGCACACACCACCATGCTCATAATTCTTTTTATTTTTTCTTTTGTAGAGACAGGGTATCACTATGTTCCCCAGGCTGGTCTCAAAGTCTGGCCTAAAGTGATCCTCCTGCCTCGACCTCCCAAAGCATTGGGATTACAGGTGTGGACCACCATATCCAGCCTTCTGACTCTATATTTTTGTTCTAGCTCTACTTCTGAGCAGCCCATTTTTAGATTGAAGTTCTTTTAAATTTAAATCACCAAAGTAATATAAACTAATGAAAATTGTATAAGTAAAAATATCCATCCTTTCCACTCCAGATAGTCCCCCTCCCAAATTTAAATTCTGCTAAAGATTGATATGTACAATTCCTGATATTTTCTACCCACACACACAACTTTACAGAAAATTAATACATCTATTAGTGTCATAAACACTGTTGATTATTTACCCAATAGCTTTCCCCTTTCATATTTTATATTGCTGGCAGAGTCCCAGTTTTATTTGGATGTTCTTCTACTGTAGTTGTTTGCTAGTGAAAGATGATCCTCTCCCCAAGTTCAGGGATAAGTAAAGATTGCTGTTTGGTAATCATTCCCATCCCATTCCATGTAGTGTGTGATTACAACCCTGGCCTTCTGAATTAGAAATTATAGAAAAGATTTTCACTCCTAATAAACAGAGATGGATGACAGGCAGCATTCCACTTCTTCTCTGGATGTCATGTCTGCATTTGACACCTGGAGCTGCTGCAGCCATTATTACAACATCATGAAGGGGGATATCTCCACATTGGCAGTTAAGATTTTTCAGTCGTGTTTAACAGGAAACCAAATAAAACTGGCTTAAACAAAAATGAGATTGTATTGGTTGATATAATTGGATAGGAGTAGATCTGTATAGAACAGTAAGATTTTGCATTGGAATTCTGGTAGAGTGCAAAATCACCAAACCTGGATACTCTAAAAAAGAATGCAATTGAAATCCTAGAACTGAAAAATATAATAATTGAATTTAACATAGTAGATGGAGCTGATAGCAGGTTAGACACAGCTAATTCTAGGATTAATGATGTGAAATATAGTTTCAGCATAAAATATCTAGTATCAGAAGAGAGAAAAGAATTGAAAATAGGCATGGGCAAGGACTTCATGTCTAAAACACAAAAAGCAATGGCAACAAAAGCCAAAATTGACAAATAGGATCTAATTAAACTAAAGAGCTTCTGCACAGCAAAAGAAACTACCATCAGAGTGAACAGGCAACCTACAGAATGGGAGAAAATTTTTGCAATCTGCTCATCTGACAAAGGGCTAATATCCAGAATCTACAATGAACTCAAACAAATCTACAAGAAAAAAACAAACAACCCCATCAACAAGTGGGCAAAGGATATGAACAGACACTTCTCAAAAGAAGACATTTATGCAGCCAAAAGACAGATGAAAAAGTGCTCATCATCACTGGCCATCAGAGAAATGCAAATCAAAACCACAATAAGATACCATCTCACACCAGTTAGAATGGCAATCATTAAAAAGTCAGGAAACAACAGGTGCTGGAAAGGATGTGGAGAAATAGGAACACTTTTACACTGTTGGTGGGACTGTAAACTAGTTCAACCCTTGTGGAAGTCAGTGTGGCCATTCTTCAGGGATCTAGAACTAGAAATACCATTTGACCCAGCAATCCCATTACTGGGTATATACCCAAAGGATTATAAATCATGCTGCTATAAAGACACATGCACATATATGTTTATTGTGGCACTATTCACAATAGCAAAGACTTGGAACCAAGCCAAATGTCCAACAATGATAGACTGGATTAAGAAAATGTGGCACATATACACCATGGAATACTATGCAGCCATAAAAAATGATGAGTTCATGTCCTTTGTAGGGACATGGATGAAGCTGGAAACCATCATTCTCAGCAAACTATCACAAGGACAAAAAACCAAACACTGCATATTCTCACTTATAGGTGGGAATTGAACAATGAGAACACATGGACACAGGAAGGGCAGGCAACATCACACACCGGGACCTGTTGTGGGGTGGGGGGAGGGGGGAGGGATAGCATTAGGAGATATACCTAATGTTAAATGATGAGTTAATGGGTGCAGCACACCAACATGGCACATGTATACATATGTAACTAACCTGCACGTTGCGCACATGTACCCTAAAACTTAAAGTATAATAAAAAATATATATATAGGTAAGAGAGAAAGAGACATATGGGACATGGCAAAAAGGCCTAAATACATGGAATTAGAGTCCTAGAAAGAGGAAACAGGAAAGAAGTACTATTTGAAAAGAGAGTAGTTGAAAATTTTCCAAAATTGATGAAAGATATCAAGACACATACTCAAGAAGCACTATCAATCCCAAGCAGGATAAATGCAAAGAAAACTACACTTTTTTTTTTTGAGACAGCGTCTCACTCTGTCACCCACGCTGGAGTGCAGTGGTGTCATGTCGGCTCACTGCAACCCTCTGCCTCCCGGGTTCGAGCAATCCTCCTGCCTCAGCCTCCCGAGTAGCTGAGGCACGTGCCACCATGCCCAGCTAATTTTTGTATTTTTATTAGAGACAGGGTTTTGCCATGTTGGCCAGGCTTGTCTCAAACTCCCTACCTCAAGTGATCTGCCCACCTCGGCCTCCCAAAGTGCTGAGATTATAAGCATGAGCCACCACAGTTGGCCGAAAACTGTATTTAAGCATTTCATAATAAAACTGCTGAAAACCAAAGACAAAGAAAAAATATTAAAAGCAATTAGAGAGGGAGAGACACATTACCTTCAAAGGAACAACATTAAGACTGACAATGGTGGAGTGTGGTGGCTCATGCCTGTAATACCAGCACTTTGGGAGGCCGAGGCAGGCGGATCACCTGAGGTCAGGAGTTCAAGACCAGCCTGGCCAACATGGTGAAACCCCATCTCTACTAAAAATACAAAAATTAACCAGGCATGGTGGCACGCTCCCATAGTCCCAGCTACTGGGGAGGCTGAGGCAGGAGGATTGCTTGAACCTGGGAAGTGGAGGTTGCAGTGAGCCAAGATTGCACCACTGCACTCCAGCTTGGGCGATAGAGTGAGACTCTGTCTCAAAACAAACAAACAAACAAAACACACACACACACACGTACACACACACACACACATGAACAACTTTGGTTAGGCATGGTTGCTCATGCCTGTAACCCCAGCACTTTGGAAGGCCAAGGAAGAAGGATCACTTGAGGCCAGGAGTTCAATATCAGCCTAGGCAACACAGCGAGACTCCATCTGTACAAAAAAAAATACAAGAATTAGCCAGACATGATGGTGTGCACCTGTAGTCCCAGCTACTCAGGAGGTTGTAGTGGGGGATCACTTGACCCAGCAGGTTGAGGCTACAGTGAGCTAGGATCACACCACTGCACTCCAGCCTGGGCAACAGAACAAGACTGTCTCAATTTTTTGAAAAAAGGGCTGAGGCCAGGCACAGTGGCTCATGCTTGTAATCTCAGCACTTTGGGAGGCTGAGACAGGAGGATCACTTGAGCCCAGCAGTTTGAGACCAGCCTGGGCAACGTGGTGAAATCCCATCTCCACTAAAAATAGAAAAATTATCCAGGCATAGCGGCATGCCCCTGTTGTCCTAGCTACTCAGAAGGCTGAGATGGGAAGAGAATCATTTGAGCCTGGGAGGTCAAGTCTGCAGTGAGCTGTGTTTATGCTACTGTACTCCAAACTGGGAGACAGAGCGAGACCTGTCTCGAAAATAAAATAAAATAAAAAGACTGACAACTGACTCTTTCATAGAAATGATAAAATCCAGAAGATGATGGAATGGCATCTATAAAGTGCTAAAAGAAAATATCAATCTAAAATGCTATACTCAGTGAAAATATTCTTCAAAAATGAAGGTAAAATAAATATGTTTTCCCACAGTCAAAATTCTTCACAGATCCACACTAAAAACATATTAAAGGGAATTTTTTTAAAAAACTCAAAAGGAATTATGAACATCCAGGAAAAAAATAAGGTCAAAAGAAAGTAAATATGTGGGTAAAAATAAATGAACAATAACTGTATAAAGTGATAATGTCATGTGAAGTTCTAAATGCACATAGAATTAAAACATCACAAAAATAGCACAGAGTGTGGGAGCAGATAAATGGAGTTAAAGTATTTTAAGGTACTTGCATTGTCTATGAAGTGGTAAAAGAATTAATTTATATTAAACTTTAGCAAGTCAAGGATGCATGCTGTAATTACCATGGTAATCATGGAAAAATAGTAATAAAAATATGTTACTAACAAGCTAATGTAGAAACATTTGGAATAATAAAAATAATCAAAAAAGATTTAGAAGAGAGGAAAAAAGGAACATCGAACATGTGGGATAGATAGAATACAAATACTAGGATATCTTGAAACTCAGATGCATAAATAACTATTTTAAATATAAATGGACTAAATATTCCTATTTTAAAACAAAGATTGGGCCGGGTGCTGTGGCTCATGCCTGTAATCCCAGCACTCTGGGAGGCTCAGGCAGGAGGGTCACTTGAGCCCAGGAGGTAGAGACCAGCCTGGACAATATGGTAAAACCCCGTCTCTGTGAAGGAATACAAAAAGTAGCTGGGCATGGTGATGCACACCTGTGGCCCCAGCTACTTGAGAGGCTGAGGTGGGAAGATCACTTGAGCCTGGGAGGTTGAGGCTGCAGTGAGCCATGATTGTGACACTGCACTCCAGCCTGGGTGAGAGTGAGACCCTGTCTCAAAAACTAAAACCAAACAAAATAAAATAAAATAAAAACAAAGATAGTCAGATTGAGTTTCTAATTTACTTATTATTTTTATTTTTTAGTATTAAAAAAATTTCTTAGAGACAGGATCTTGTTCTGTTGCCCAGGCTGGAGTGCAGTGGTGCAATCATAGTTCACTGCAGCCTCAACCTCTTGGGCTCAAGCAATCCTCCCACCTTAGCCTCTAAAATAGCTAGGACTACAGGCATGTGCCACTGTACCTGGCTAATTTTTTTAAAAAATTTTGTAGAGTCAGGGTCTTGCTATGTTGTCCAGGCTGCTCTCGAATTGCTGGCCTCAAGAAATCCTTCTGCCTCAGCCTCCCAGAGCACTGGGATTATAGGGGAGAACCACCATGGCCAGCCCAGATTGGATTTTTGTTTTGGGGTTTTTTTTAATTTTTTTAAATTTTTTATTTTTTATTTTTTGAGACAAGGTCTCATTCCGTCACCCAGGCTGGAGTTCAGTGGCATGATCACAGCTCACTGCAACCTCTGCCTCCTGGACTTGAGTGATCTTCACACCTCAATCTCCTAAGTAGCTGGGACTCCAGGCGGATGCCATCATGCCCAGCTAATTTTAGTACTTTTCTTTTTTTGGTGGAGATGAGGTTTCACCATGTTGCGAAGGCTGGTCTTGAGCTCCTGAGCTCAAGTGATCCATTTGCCTCAGCCTCCCAAAGTGCTGGGATTATGGGCATGGGCCACCACACCTGGCCCAGATTGGGTTTTAAACAGCAACTTTATACTGCTTTAAAAAACTTCCACATAGCCAGGCACAGTGGTTCATGCCTGTAATCCCAGCACTTTGGGAAGCCAACGTGGGCAGATCACCTGAGGTCGGGAGTTTAAGACCAGCTTGACCAACATGGAGAAACCCCATCTCTACTAAAAATACAAAATTAGCCAACCATGGTGGCGCATGCCTGTAATCCCAGCTACTTGGGAGGCTGAGGCAGAAGAATCGCTTGAGCCCGGGGGGTCGTGGTGAGCCAAGATCGCGCCATTGCACTCCAGCCTGGGCAACAAGAGCGAAACTCCATCTCAAAAAAAAGAAAGAAAGAAAAGAAATTTCCACATAAGGATACAGATATGTTAAAGCAAAGGTTGTAAACAAACAAACATACAAACAGGATAGTATGTGCAAACGGTACATAATACAAACAGTAACTAAAAGAAAATCAATATCGCTAAACTAACATTGTAATTTTTTTTTTTTTAGACGAAGTCTTACTCGTCTCTCAGGCTGGAGCGCAATGTTGCAACCTCAGTTCACTGCAACATCCGCCTCCTGGATTCAAGTGATTCTCCTGCCTCAGCCTCCCAAGTAGCTGGGATTACAGGCAAGCGCCACCACACCTGGCTAATTTTGTATTTTTAGTAGAGATGGGGTTTCATCATGTTGGTCAGGCTGGTCTCGAACTCCTGACCTCAGGTTATCCACCTGCCTCAGCCTCCCAAAGTGTTGGGATTACAGGTATGAGCCACTGCACCCGGCCTTTTTTTTTTGAGACAGTCTCACTCTGTCGCACAGACTGGAGTGCAATGGCCTGATCTCGCCTCACTGCAACCTCCACCTCCTGAGTTCAAGTGATTCTCCTGTCTCAGCCTCCCAAGTAACTGGGATTACAGGCATGTGCTACCACGCCTGGCTAATTTTTTGTATTTTTAGTAGCAACTGCCACCAACCAGAACCGCAAAATGTTGGCTGTCTACCAGGGGCATGAGCAGTTGATGGAAAATTACAAGAGGCTGGCCAGTGATCTCCTGGAGTGGATTCAGCAAAACAGCCCCCCTGACTGGAGAACCCCATACCCCAAAAGACCTTCCAGGAGATGTAGCAGAAGTCTTTCATGACTACTGGTGCATCCACAAGCTGTCCAAAGTGCAGGAGAGAGGCCAGCTGGAGCTCACCTTCAACACGCTGCAGACCAAGCTGCACCTAAGCAACCAGCCTGCCTTCATGGGCTCTGAGGGTAAGATGGTCTTGAACATCAACAACAGTGGGCAGCACCTGGAGTAGGCCAAGAATTGACATGAGGAGTTGCTGCTGAATGATATTCACAGGCTGGAGCAGCTCAACCACCTGGCAGAGAAGTTCCAGAAGACCTCCATCCATGAGGCCTGGACCGATGAGAAGGAAGCCAGGCTTAAGCAGCGGGACTATGAGACAGCCACCCTATCAGACATCAAAGCCCTTATCCACAACCATGAAGCCTTCGAGAGTGATCTGGCCATACACCAGGACTTTGTGGAGCTGATCAAGGCTCTGAGAGTGGAAAAAACTCAAACTACTTTTCCTCTGCTCTCACACAACCCAGAATGCTTCTGTGACCAAATGTGTGTGGGGTTTTCCCCACCCACGGAACAAGCAATCAAATCTGCAGCAGACACAAGCTGGTTGTCCTCCAGTTCAATTCAATTCTGACTTTATCTACCTGGAGATAGTGTCAGATCCCACAGGGAAAGGGCTCAGTCCTGCAATACTGCCTCCACTTCAGATGCTAATCACAAGCCCAATTATTTTTGCCTGTGCTTCAGACCAACTCGCTATAAATTGGGGATCCTGCTACCCGCTACTTGGGTTCCATTAATTTGCTAGAGCAGCTCACAGAACTCAGAAAAACGCTTTACTTACTTTGGCTTGTTTATTACACAGGATATTACAAAGGATACAGATGAAGAGACACATAGGGCAAGGTGTGGGAAAGGGGACTTGGGACTTCCATGCCCTCTCTGGGGATGCCACTCTTCAGGAACCTCCATGTGTTCAGCTCTCCAGAAGCTCTGTGAACCCTGTCTTTTCAGGGTTTTATGGAGGCTTCATTATATAGGCATGATTGATTAAATCACTGGCTATTGCTGATCAACTTAATCTTCAGCCCCTCTTCCCTCCTCAGGGGTTGGGCAGTGGGGCTGAAAGTCCCAACCCTCTACTTATCCCTTGGTTTTTCTGGTGACCAGCCTCCATCCTGAAGCTCCCTAGGGGCTGCCAGCCATCCATCAACTCATCAGCATACAAAAAAAAGACATTGTTTTGGAAATTCTAATTATTTTTTAGTCATTGTATGCCAGGAAGCAGGATCAAAGACCAAATACATTATTTCACAATATCATAGAGGACACTGCCCAGGAACTCAACGAGCTGGATTACTGTGACTCCCACAGTTGTCAATGCCCAGTGCCAGAAGATTTACAAGGAGTGGGAAACCCTGTACTCTCTGACCCACAGTCACAGGGAAGCCCTGGAGAAAATGAAGAAGCAGCTGGAGGCCACTGATCATCTGTACCTGGAGTATGCCAAGTGGGCAGAGCCTTCTACAACTGGATGGAGAGTGCCGTGGAGGAGCTCCAGGACATGTTCCTCATCTACAATACTGAGAAGATTGAGGGCCTGATCTCAGCCCACAGCCAAAAGTTGACCCTGCCAGATAATGATAGGGAGAAAGAGGCTATCCTGGCCACCCACAAGGAAGCCCAGAGGATCACAGATAGCAAACATACCAAGCTGTCAGGCAGCAACCCCTACACCACTGTCACCTCCCCCGACCCCACACAGTTCATCCACTCCCAGTGGGCAAAGGTGCAGCAGTTGGTGTCAAAGCAGGATTATGCACTTCTGGAGGAGCAGAGCAAGCAGCAGTCCAACGAGCACCTCCACCACCAGTTCTCCAGCCAGGCCAATGTCATGGGGCCCTGGATCCAGACCAAGATGGAGGAAAGTGGGTGCAGCTCCATCAAAATGAAGGGGAACCCAGAGGACCAGCTAAACCTGAAGCAATATGAGCAAAACATCATGGACCACAAGCTGAACCTGGACCTGCTGACGCAGAGCACCAGCTCCTCCAGGAGGTCTTCATCTTCAACAACAAGCATATCAGCTACATGGTGGAACACATCCGCACGGCTGGGAGCAGCTGCTCACCACCATTGGCTGCACCATCAGTGAGGTCAAGAACCAGATCCTCACCTGCAATACCCAGGGCATTGGCCAGGAGCAGATGCAAGAGTTTCAGGTGTCCTTCAGCCACACTGACAAGAGCCATGGCAGGGTGCTGGGGCTGAAGGAGTTCAAGGCCTGCTTCATCAGCTTGGGCTACAATGTGGAGGATAACAGCAGAGCAATGCTGAGTTCAACTGCACCGGGAGTGTGGTTGACCCCAACCATAGCAGCCTTGTGGCCTCCCAAGCCTTCATCAACTTCAGGTCTTGGGAGACAACCAACGTAGACACAGCCAGGTCGTTACCTCCTTCAAGGTCATGGCAGGGGACAAGAACTTCATCACAGCCGAGGAGCTGCAGGGAGAGGTGTCTCTGACCAGGTCAAGTACTGCATTGCCCACCTGACCCCACAACAGGTCCCCAGTGCCATGCCTGGTGCCCTTGTCTACAAATCCTTCTCTATAGCTCCATACAACAAGAGTGACTATGAGGCTCCTGGTGAGACTCGTATCAAACACCCTTCCTCGTGGCCTCTGGTAGGGGCTGGGAGAGCCCTTTGCCCCCTTCCCATGGTGTAGGCCTCTACAGTCCCCATTCCTCTGTCTCTGTTAAAAGAAAGAAAAGGAAGGAAGATAGAAAAAGACTGGAGGACACAGAAGGGACAGGGGAGGGTGTAGCATTTTTCTGCTTTGGTGGAGACCATAATGATCTCTTATTATCATAGCCTTTTTTTTTTTTTTTTTTTTTTTTTTGAGACAGAGTCTCGCTCTGTCACCCAGGCTGGAGTGCAGTGGTGCGATCTCGGCTCACTGCAAGCTCCGCCTCCCAGGTTCACGCCATTCTCCTGCCTCAGCCTCCCAAGTAGCTAGGACTACAGGCACCCGCCACCATGCCTGGCTAATTTTTTTTGTATTTTTAGTAGAGATGAGGTTTCACTGTGTTAGCCAGGATGGTCTCGATCTCCTGACCTCGTGATCCACCCGCCTCGGCCTCCCAAAGTGCTGGGATTACAAGTGTGAGCCACCACGCCTGGCCTATCATAGCCTATTCTTATAATGACATCTCTCAGGTCTAATGAGCCCATGATGAACCTTAATCCTATGTTCTGCTTCATGTTATAATTCTTGCTGCTGGTTCTAGGCCAAACATTGTGTAAGTGCCTTGTTTGTTCAATCCTTACTGCAAATATATAAGGCAGTTATTGCCCTGTATTTCCTTCTCTTCATATCCAAAGTTCTAAAGGGTAGTCCACTAGTCCCCACTTCCCTATTTAATTTGTTTAAATACACTTTCACTTTTAATCAAAGTAACATTGTACATAGTATTAAAAGTCAAACAGTACTACAAGGCTTATAATTGAAATAGAAATCCTCTGCTTCCTCCTCCCATCCCTGAGTTTCAACCACTTTTGCACCTTTGGTTTTATCTCCTGTCATTTCCCCATACTTACTGAACATGGTGCTGAATCTCACACAGGGTGGGCCCTTTGTAAGTGGAGGTTTTTCCTGCTCTCATTCTGTTCCGCAAGCCTCACAACATGGTCAGTTGGGGGTGATGAGACCCCAATATATATGAAACAGCTCATGAACAACTCAGCTGACATCTACAAACACTGTGCGCCAGGTTCAAGAGAGAGTATTTACTGTGCAACGATTAAGAGCACAGGCAGATGTGGGCTCAGATCCTACCCCAGCCTCTCCCTACCTCTCTGAGCCTTTGTTTCTTCACCTGTAAAATGGGGAATGACCTTACCCATGACACAAGATTGCTGTGAGGATGGTGTGTGTGTGAGAGCAATCAAGCATCCTAAAACACAGCTAACACGGCTAACATGGTTTCTGCTCCACTCCACAGGGAACCAACCATAGAGAAACCATGGTGGGGAGACGTCTCGAGGGATGGGCGAAATCTGAATAGGAAGGAAAAAGAAAAGTTATTACAAGGGAGAATCAGGCTGAGTGCAGTGGCTCACACCTGTAATCACAACACTTTGGAAGGCAAAGGTGGGAGGATCTCTTGAGCCCAAGAATTCAAGACCAGCCTGGAGAGCATGATGAGACCCCATCTTTAAAACAATAAAATAAAACAGAACTGAAGCACAGACATAAAGGCAGAAATAAACATGGCATGTTTGAGAGACAGTGAAAGGAGACCAATGTAACTTGAATGTCAGGTTCTTTTTTTTTTTTCAGGGTCTCAAAAACAATGTTTATTTTAACACATAAAATATACCATCTAGCACCAATGCCTGTAAATACCAGACTTCCATCCGGTTACTACTCTTTGGAACAGGTATGAATAAAGTCCTTGACAGATTATTGTATATGAGCAAATGGCTTCATTATAACATAAAACAGAGAGACACAGAATAAAAATTCATTTGGTATATACATATAGAACTAAATTTGTAGTTATTCAAAAACCTTTCAGTGTTTCAGGTAAACAAGTTAATACCAGTATTTTTAAGCCAGATTTTCCTGGAACATATATATAAAGAAAAGTGCATGAGCCACCTATGTGCTTAAGCCTGAAACTGGTCTTTCTATTCTCACTCCATTCTCAAATGAAAAATCTGTAAAGATATCTTTTGTTCCTCCAATCTTCTGATTTGTCTTCTTAGCAACTCATTACAGTGTAATTTACTGATTAAATCACATAGATGTATGGTAGAGGAAAAGAATACAACTTTGGCCAATGTAAGTATACAAGACAATATCTCAGTTCTTTTTAAAATTAAAAGAACATTTAAGTATTAAAGATATTTTAAGAGAAATGAAGTGGCAGATAAACATGATAAACACTGCATAATTATGTACAAAATGAAAACCTTTTAAATTTTGAAGACAAACTAAAATTTACTGGTTTGAATTTAAAACATTATTGTATAATAGTAGATAGTTCTCTTTAGAAATTTATCTCTAGTTTCCTATAAAAGGTCATGCTGGTTCACTGTTTTTTTTTGGCAGATTTGGGCCTCACCTCAATACCAATTTTTATTTGAATAACTGATTCCCAACATTTCTTGTAAGCAGGACTTGATGCTGAACTAAGTAACCTAAGCTGGATTCAGGGCCATTGGCCGGCAGGCAGGCAGGCAAGCAGGCAGGCATTTTTTGTACTACAGGCAGCCCATGGTGGTTGTCATCTATACATCGGATCTCTAAAGACGTGCCGGAAAAAAATCTGTGGACACAATCTTCCCATGCTGTATTCACATGCTCGGTTCACATCTTTAGTTTACCAGGTTGTCAGAGGCTTGGGTAAGATGACTAAAGGCTTCATGATGAAAATTTCCATTTTTTCTTTCTGATGTATATAATATGAATATCTTCACTTTGGTACTCTTCATCATGTTTTTCCAAAGGAATTTTTTCAAAGTCAAAGTCTAGCTGAAGGAGCTCAAAATATTTTTTCTCAATATCTGGACTTTTTCCCATTCTTCGTTGTTCATAACAACATATAATACAAGTCTCAAATCCACTGATATCTTTTAGAGTTTTCAGCAATGGCTCCAAAGACTCTTCATAGTATATGCAGTCGGCCATCAGTATGTAGACGAGTGGAGGAGGAAAGTCTTCTATTTCTTCCCCCCATTTCAGTACCTTGGCTTGAACAGAACCAGTGACAAGGTGCTTGCTCATGTAAGTCTTGCAATTCCTCAAGATCAGTGACTACAACATTAGCCCTGAGGGTAGCGGCCATGCACCCCACGGCCCCGGTGCCCGAACCCAGCTCCAGCACCAACCGCCGGCTCAGCGTGTGGGCCCAGTCGCCAGAAAACTCAGGCGTTTCCAGGTATTTAGAAAGGACATATGCAGCGTCCCAAACGATGCAACCCATGCCGCCAGAGCCATACTGCTGTAGTGGTAGCACCGTACCATCCCACTTCTCCAAAACTTGCACAAAGCTCCGCACTGGGTCCTCCAGTGAAGACTCTGGCGTAGTCGCCATCACTGCCCAGCAACAATAGCTTTTTTTTTTATATATATTATTATTATTTTTTTGAGATAGGATCTTACTCTGTTGCCCTCAAACTCCCGGGCTCAAGTGATCCTCCTACCTCAGCCTCCTGAGTAGCTGAGAACTACAGACACGTGTAACCATACCTAGCTAATTTTTAAATTTTTTGTAGAGGCAGGCTCTCAATATATTGCCTAGGCTGGCCTTGAACTCCTGGCCTCAAGCGATCCTCCCACCTTGGCCTCCAAAAGTGCTGGGATTACAGGCATAAGCTACCATGCCCAGGCTCATTTTAAATGTAGGAGGTCATGTTGGATCAGCAGCTGAGAAAGCCCTGCCAAGGTAGCCAGTGGGGTACTACTGTAGGGCGGGTGGGGGAAGAATAGGACAGTGGGCAGGGAGCACTCATTTGTGAGCAGCAGGCAGAACAGATTGAATTTGGGCCTGGGGAAACCCAGGTGTGGTATGATTAAGCTTTGTCTGGTACTCTGGAGACATAGCTGAAAGGTCACAGAGAAGTAGCCTTAGTAAGATGGAATTATACTAGATGGTTTCTAAGAGCACTGATAGCCTAATATTCTATAATTATATCATTATAGGACTGATATGGTGACAGTGGAAATATACAAAAAGAGAAAGAATGAAAATATTTTGCAAGCATTATCAATATGACTTGGTTACCATTTGCATACTGGGAATTAAAAAGTGCATTGCTGGCTGGGCATGGTGGCTCATGCTTATAATCCCAGCACTTTGGGAGGCCGAGGTGGGCAATCACAAGGTCAGAAGTTCGAGGCCAGCCTGGCCAACACAGTGAAACCCTGTCTCTACTAAAAATACAAAAATTAGCCAGGCATGGTGGCAGGGACCTGTAGTCCCAGCTACTTGGGAGGCTGAGGCAGGAGAATCGCTTGAACCCGGGAGGTGGAGGTTGCAGTGAACCGAGATCGCGCCACTCCACTCCAGCTTGGGCAACAAAGTGAGACTCTGTCTCAAAAAGAAAAAAAAAAGTGCATTGCTGGACATGGTGGTGTGCACCTGTAATCTCAGCTACTTGGAAGGCTGAGGTGAGAAGATCACTTGAGGCTAGGAGTTTGAGACCCCAACTAATTAAACAATTTTAAATTAGCCAGGCATAGTAGCACCACCTGTGATCCCACCTACTGGGGAGGGTGAGGCAGAAGGAATGCTTGAGTCCAGGTGTTCAAGGCTGCAGTGAGCTACGATCCTGCCACAGCACTTCAGCCTGGGCAACACAGCACGTCTCTCAAACATGCCATGGTTATTTCTGTCTTTAGGCCTGTGCTTCAATTCTGTTTTTTATTTCATCTTTTTAGAGATGGGGTCTCACTATGTAGCCCAGGTTGGTCTTATCTCTAAAAAATAAACATTAAAAAAATGTGCTTCAGAGATTGGGGTGCCCTTGGTTGGGGAGGTACGTAGTGGAATTGACAGTAAAACATGCAAGTAAAAATTCTAGCAGATGCATGAAGAACACATGAGGCATGCTCCCGTCTCCAGGAAAATGAACTTGCTGTTTCTTCTTCCTGGAACTCACTTCTTCCAAACGTCTGCACAGTTTTCTTCCTCTCTCCCTCAGGCCACCCTCTCAGGGAGGTCTTCCCTGCCCAACCTATTAAACATTGTAAAACTTCCCCAGCCTGGCATTCCCTCTCCCCACCTCCTGCTTTGTGTTTCTCTACAGCACTTGTCATCTGACCATTCTGTTTTGTTTATTAGATGATCAGTATCCTAATATGAAGACTGTATAGAAAATAGATTCAGAGGAATTTAAATGTTGTGTTGGAGAGTTTAGAAAAAACAACTAATAAAGATATAGAGCTGGGCACAGTGGTTCACGCCTGTAATCCCAGTACTTTGGGAAGATGAAGCAGGTGGATCACCTGAGGTCAGGAATTTGAGACCAGCCTGGCCAACATGGTGAAACCCGTCACTAATTAAAAATACAAAAATTACCCAGGCATGGTGGTGCATGTCTGTAATCCCAGCTACTCGGGAGGCTGAGGCAAAAGAATCGCCTGAACCCGGGAGGCGGAGGTTATAGTGAGCCGAGATCGTGCCACTGCACTTCAGCCTGGGCGACACAGCAATACTCCATCTCAAAAAAAAAAAAAAAGATACAGGCTGGGTGCGGTGGCTCATGCCTGTAATCCCAACACTTTGGGAGGCCAAGGCAGGCAGATCACCTGAGGTCAGGAGTTCAAGACCAGCCTGACCAACATGGTGAAACCCCATCTCTACTAAAAATACAAAAATTAGCTGGGCGTGGGGGGTGGGGGGCACCTGTAATCCTGGCTACTCGGGAGGCTGAGGCAGGAGAATCACTTGAACTCGGGAGGCAGAGGTTTCAGTCAGCCAAGATCGCACCATTGCACTCCAGCCTGGGTAACAGAGCGAGACTCCATCTCAAAAAAAAAAAAAAAAAAAAGATACAACCACATGGAGCAATGAAAAATGAGAATGCGGTGACACACTCTCAGCTCACTGCAACCTCAGCCTCCAGGGCTCAAGCCATTCTGTGTCAGCCTCCTGAGTAGCTGGGATTACAGGTGTGCACCACCACACCCAGCTAATTTTTGTATTTTTTGTAGAGACAGGGTTTCACCATGTTAGCCAGGCTGGTCTCCAACTGCTGACCTCAGGTGATCCACCCGCCTTGGCCTTCCAAAGTGCTGGGATTACAGGCGGGAGCCACCACGCCAGGCCCAGCCTATCTATCAATTTCAGCTGCTCTGGGAAAGAGCCTTCTTGGGTGTCCTCCTGCTTCCATTGGGCAGATTGCTCTTCAGGCTTGCTGCACAGGTAGTGCTCTGGGACTCCCCTGAGCTCTTCCTCTGTGTTAGATTTCCTTTTTACTGGATCCCAAGTTCCTCCTCACCTTTTTTATTTACTTCTCTATTATATTTTTTGGTAGCTTCCTGAGAAAGACAGCATAGGAGAAAAAAAATTGAGACCTTGAATACCTAAAAACAATGTCTATTCTAGACCAGTCTGGGCAACATGGTGAAACCCCGTCTCTACCAAAAATAGAAAGATTAGCTAGGCATGGTGATGCATGCCTGTAGTCCCAGCTACTTGGGCGACTGAGGTGGGAAGATCACCTGAGCAAGAGAGGCAGAGGTTGCAATGAGCTGAGATTGCACCACTGCACTCCAGCCTGGGCTGGAGTGAGACCCTATCAGAAAAAAAAAAAAAAGTCTATTCTACTCTCATAATTAAAAAAAAATGTTTTCTTTTTCTTTTTTTCTTTTTTGGAGACGGAATCTCACTCTGTTGCCCAGGCTGGAGTGCAGTGGCACGATCTCAGCTCACTGCAAGCTCCGCCTCCCGGGTTCATGCCATTCTCTTGCCTCAGCCTCCCCGGCAGCTGGGACTACAGGTGCATGCCACCGCACCTGGCTAATTTTTGTATTTTTAGTAGAGACAGGGTTTCACCGTGTTAGCCAGGATGGTCTCCATCTCCTGCCCTCGTGATCCGCCCACCTCGGCCTCCCAAAGTGCTGGGATTACAGGCGTGAGCAACCACGCCCGACCAAAAAAAAAAATTTTTTTTTTCATTTTACTTGACTACAAGGTTCAATACACCACCCTCACAATTTTAAAACTAATTGTAGAATCCTAGGTCCAAAATTATTTGCCCTCAGAATTTTGGAAGAAATTGTCCCCTGCCTTCTGCTTTCCTGGGCCATTCTAATTCCAAATCCTTGACTTCTTTTTCTTCGAAAGCTTTTTGGATCTTCTGTTTTCAATGTCCTGAACTTTCATAATGATGAGTACTGTATGGGTCATTTTTTAATTCATTGTTCACTTAGGGGGCTACTGCAATCCAGAACGTCATGTCCCAGGACATTTTATTTTATGAGTTCTTTGGTAATTTCTCGTTTCAGTGTTCTGAAAGGTTCCTCAGGGTGGGTTTGTTTTTCTACTTCCTGGGAGATTCCTTGGCTTTATCATCCAAAACTTTCTATTATAATAAAATTTTAAATTTGGGCTCTATTGCTTTAATTTCCAAGAGCTTTTTATTGGTTTCTGATCAATCCTTCCCCCCGTGTATATAGCATTCTGGTTTTGTTTCATGAATATGAAAATCTGTTTATTTGGCTAGCTGCATTCTGTTTTCTTCTCATCAACTCTTTCACTCTTACTTTTTTTTTTTTTTCTTTTTGGAGGGTCTCACTCTGTCACCCAGACTGGAGTGCAGTGGCACTATCATGGCTTACCGCAGCCTCAACATCCTGGGTTCAACCAATCCCCCTGCCTCAGACTCCCAAAGCGCTGGGATTACAGGCATGAGCCACTGCACCAGGCTAGCTCTCACTGTTTCATCCTTTTCTTCCTTCCTTCCTTTCTTTCTTTTTTGTTTGTTAGCTTTTTATATCTGGCTTTCATTCAGGGAGCGTTCACTAAATGTCTGAGAATCATTAGTTATTCACGTTTAGAGTGAGGCACTAGAAAGCTGATTGAAAGATCTGAACGCAAGAGGCATGTTTGCTGATTTGTGTGTTTCACTCTGGGTTGATCAGGCAGTAAGCTGACTTTTCAGTATGTGGAGGATTTTCCTCAAGGGTCTCAATGTCAGTCTGTGCAGAACTTTTCCCAAGGGTCTTTCTTTTTCTCCAGGGAGTCACTTGGACTTTTGCTTGGAAAGTTGACTTAAAAAATTTTTTATGGCCAGGTGCAGTAGCTCACCCCTGTAATCCCAGCACTTTGGGAGGCCGAGACTGGTGGATCACTTGAGGTCAGGAGTTTGAGACCAGCCTGGCCAACATAGTGAAACCCCGTTTCTACTAAAAACACAAAAATTAGCCAGGCATGGTGGTGTGCGCCTGTAGTCCCAGTTACTTGGGAGGCTGAGGCAGGAGAATTGCTTGAACCTGGGAGGCAGGGGTTGTGGTGAGCCGAGGTTACTCCACAGTACTCCAGCCTGGGCGACAGAGTGAGACTCCGTCTCAAAACAAAAAACAAAAAAACCTAGCCAGTCGTGGTGGCCCTCACCTATAATCCCAGCTACTCGAGAGGCTGGGGCATGAGAATTGCTTCAACCTGGCAGGTGGAGGTTAAAGCAAGCCAAGATTATGCCACTGCACTCCAGCCTGGGCGACAGAGCGAGACTCCATCTCAAAAAAAAATTTTTTTAACCTTTAATTTTTAAATTTATTTTAGAAACAAGGTGTCACTATTTTGCTCAGGCTGTCCTCAAACTCCTGGGCTCAAGTACCTCAGCCTCCCGAGTAGCTGGGACTACAGGCATGCACTACCATGCCCAGCTCCTGGAAGGCTGACCTATGACTGCCAGTGTTCCTGGGGCTGAGTGATATAAAGAGCTGGACTTCTTGCCATTTATTGATCCAGACTCCCCTGGATTTCAGGATGGCCTCTCACTCCTCCCTCTCCTGTTGCCTAGTACTCCTGTGTCTGGGGATTCTCTTGTTATACTCTTTCACAGAACAAACCTGTCATCTCCAGCCATAGTGGGGAAAGGGGGCTCTCTCAACACAGTCCTAGTTCTGTAAGGAAGAAGGGGAAAATTGACTCTGAGCAGATGTAGGAGAGACTTTTGGCTGTTTACCCAAATCCCCTTCCTTTTGCCCTTCTTTCTGATTTTTTTCACCTCTGAATGGCCTTGGCACGGGATTTGCTTGGATGTGAATAGATGACACAATTCTGGCCAATCAGAAGTGATGGGAAACCTGCTGAGAGCTCCTAGAAGAGCTTATCTTACTTGTTAAAAGGATTATAAAATAGGGCCATTCCCTTTTCTGCACCTGGATGTTGTCCTGTGGGAATGGAATGCTTGGAACTGCTTCCATCCTTCTCAATCATGAAGGGAAGGCCAAAAAAAAAAAAAAAAAAGAATCACAGAGAAGGTGATCTGATGTCACAGTGTCTTTGAACCCTTAGATTAACCATCTCTAGAACCAGCCTAGTTAAAGCCTCCTTAATATGTGGGGTAATAAATACACTATACTCTAAGCCCTAAAGGACCAGTCAAATCAGCATCACCTGGCATCTTCTTAGAAACATAGACTCTTGGCCAGGCACAGTGGCTCTCACCTCTAATCTCAGCACTACAGGAGGCTGAGGCAGGTGGATTGTTTGAGCCCAGGAATTTGAGACTAGCCTGGGCAGCATGGCAAAACCCCATCTCTACCGAAAAAAAAAAAAAATTAGCCAGGCGTGGTGGTGCACACCTGTAGTCTCAACTACTTGGGAGGCTGAGGTGGGAAGACTGCTTGAGCCCAGGAGGCAAAGGTTGCAGTGAGCTGTGACTGGGCTACTGCACACCAGACTGGGTGATAAAGTGAGACCCTGTCTCAAAAACAAAAAACAAAACAAAACAAACAAACAAACAAAAACAGGTTTCATTCCAGACCTACTGAATCAGGATCTGTATTTTTAACAAGATCCTCAAGGGACTGACATGCTCACTAAAGTGTGAGAAGCACTTTAAGCCATGTTTAGCTGTTTTCCTTCTTATTTGTGGCTGAACACACATTCTAATCGATAGAATGGGTGTAATACATACCTTGAATGCCACGTGTCACATCTCTTTGGCCCACCTTGATTTTAGGAAAAGTTTTTAGGCAGAACTCTTAAGATGTCCCCCACCAAGATTCCTGTCCTCTAGCTATTCAATTGAAAATAATCTAGTTACTGTTGTGAAGGGACTTTGTGGAATGGAATGAAGTTTACTAATTAGTTGACCTTATATTTTATAATTTTTTAAATTAAAAAAACTTTTAGAGATGAGGTCTCATTATGTTACCCAGGCTGGTCTCTAACTTCTGGGCTCAAGCAACCTACCCACCTTGGCCTCCTAAAGTACTGGGACAGGTGTGAGCCATTGTGCCTGGTCTTTTGTTTGTTTTTTTTTTGTTTTTTTTTTTTTTTTGTAGCGACAGGGTCTTGCTATATTGCTCAGGCTGGCCTCGAACTCCTGGGCTCAAGTGATCCTCCCATCTCGGCCTCCCAAAGTTCTGGGATTACGGGCATGAACCACCACACCTGGCCAATAATTGACCTTAAACAGAGGAAGTTACCCTGGATTATCTGACGGCATCTAATATATCACATGAGCTCTTAAAACCAGAAGAGGAAGGTATGAGAGAGAGGTAGAAAGGGAGGTCAGAGAGATCCAAAGTGTGAGAAGGACAAGATCTGATGTTGCTGGCTTTGAAGATGGAAGAAGGGGCCTACAAGCCAAGAAATGCAGCAGGCCTCTAGAAACTGAGAAAGACCCCCAGATGACAGCCAGCAAGCAAATGGGGGCCTTAGCCCTGCAATTGTGTGGAACTGAATTCTGCCATTGAGCTGGACGTAGATCCGTTCCTAGAGCCTCCAGAAAGGAGTGTAACCTGCCAACGCCTTAATTTTGGCTTCCTGAGATTCCAACCAGAGAACTCACTAAGTCACACTGTGCCTAGACTTTTGACCTACAGAAATCATGAGACAGTAAACTTTTGTGCTGTTTTAACTGCTAAATTTATAGTAATTTGTTATGACAGCAGAAAATGAGTACATCTAGGATGGATGGTTCTGTGCGAGCTTAGTCTTCCTCACACTGGCGGCATCCCACTTGAATAAATAATGTGTCCGTCTCTCTTTATACCTGCCTCAAAACCTTCTCTGATGTCCTGGGAGCCTGCTTGGCAACAGGAGACCAGAAATACAAGGAAGTTAACTCCCCTAGGGAAAATGCTTGACCAGTGGAGGAGGGGGTCAGTAGGTAATTGCTTCAGCCTCACACCTCCTAACTCTGGGAGGCATTTGTACACTTCTGAAAAGACGTGGCAGAATTAAGTCCCCATTATCTATAGCAGCGACATCCTCAGTGCACCATTGGTTTGGCTTTTCTTTTGTTCTTGTCTCATTCTGTTCAATTCCTAACTCTTACTTCCTGAGATTACCTTCCAAATGACCTCCTGCTCCCAAGTCCCCTTCTCGGTCTTGTCAGAGATTGATAGGCAATCAATAGTCAGCTCCATCAGCTCACCTTGCTCAGAATAAAAGGGTAACTTATTGGAAGAATGGTCAAGTGTTTCACACCGCAACTAGGCCGCCAGGAAGACTGAAATCAGGACACCAATAACACTAAGTTTCTCTCTGTCCCTTCCCTCTAATGGCATTATCTTGTTTGTTTGTTTGTTTGTTTGTTTGTTTGTTTTTGAGAGAGGGTCTCACTCGGTCACCCTGGCTGGGGTGCAGTGGTGTGATCACGGCTCACTGCAGCCTTGACCTCTCAGGCTCAAGTGGTCCTCCCACCTCAACCTCCCGAGTAGTTGGGAGTACAGGCGTGTGCCACCATGCCTGACTAATATATTTTAATTTTTTGTAGAGATGAGGTCTCACTATGTTACCCAGGCTGATCTCAAAAGCCTGAACTCAAGTCATCCTCCCACCTCAGCCTCCCAAAGTGCTGCGATTACAGGCATGAGCCGCCGCACCCGGCAAATGGCATTATCTTTAAAGAGGATGAAATCTCTCCTGCAGACCAGAGAGTAAAATCCCAAAAAATGACTGGAATTGATGCCCTTTGGGTCAGTATTCATGATTGGTCCAGTGGAAGATGGGAAGCTATCATTGGACTAATTTTGACCACTAGGTCAGAGTACTAGCCCTGGGTCAAACTGTCAAGGCCAGGTGGCAGTGTCAAGGACTCCAGGCATGGCCAACAGGGGACACAATTGTTTCAGGGCATCCCAGAAATAGTGGGATGACTGGGAGCTGGGGAAACCTTCCCACTATTTTTCCAAAACCTTCACCACCCATTCCCTGTTCTCTTAGTTCCTCGTTAATGATTCTTTCTGTTTCCTTCTTAGACTCTCTCCTTCCTCTGCCTGTCCCAGAAATGCTGGTGTTCCTGAGAGTGCCGTCCTTACCCGTTTTCTTCTCTTTCTTTCTTTCTTTCTTTTCTTTCTTTCTTTCTTTCTTTTTTTGAGACAGAGTCTCGCTCTGTCACCCGGGCTGGAGTGCAGTGGCGTGATCTCGGCTCACTGCAACCTCCGCCTCCTGGGTTCAAGTAATTCTCCTGCCTCAGCCTCCCAAGTAGCTGGGACTACAGGCGCCTGCCACCTCGCCTGGCTAATTTCTTGTATTTTAGTAGAGATGGTGGTTTCATCGTGTTGCCCAGGCTGGTCGCAAACGCCTGAGCTCAGGTAATCCACCTGCCTTGGCCTCTCAAAGTGCTGGATTACAGGCTTGAGCCACTGCACCCAGCCTCTTCTCACTCTTTCTATTCCCAGAGTCACCTCACTCTTTGGTAGACATGGTATTCTCTCCAACATTTAACCCACTCCACAAATGTAATCTCATCTAGTCATGGTAATTCTATCCCCCTCGGCAATAATTTGTCTGGCATAAAAAGGCCTAAACCAGATTAGACCAAGGAGATTCAATGAGATGTTTGTTTAGGACTTCTGGGAAAGAGAAATCAGTCTTACCCTTGCCTGTGGAATGGGAAGAGCAGTCAATAGCCATAGCAGCCATTTTGTGGCATGAGGGGAACTGGGTTTGTATATGAAGTCAGTGGTGGGGAGAGTAGAGCAGTGAGACGGGAACATCTCAGGTTCCTAATGACATTGTTGGATCAGAGAAAATACCCACTCTGCCCTGCCACTGGGCTCCTTGCTTTGCAAGTTGATACACTGGCATATTCCTTAAGTCAGGCTGAATCGGGTATGGGCGACCTGGAGCTGAAGGCATTCCACTTCATTCACATTTACCACCATAAGGTCTCTCAAGCTCACTTTCCTCGGCTGCAGGTCTACCAACACTTCCCAAGCTCCCTGCTCCTCTTCCTGGGTTCCCTACAATTCATTTTACTTAACCAATAAGAACTGGGTGCCCGCCATCATCCCAAGCTCTGTTTTAGACATGCAGACAGGGAATGAAACAAAGTTGCTGTCATTGCGGACCACTGAAGGAGGCATATGATAAACAAAACTATCTTCTGAATAAATGAAGTAATGAATAATGCAGTGTAGGAACTCTATCAATAGCGAGTGAAAAGCTTATTATCTACAGACTATCACACCAGGGGCTGGTACTCACTTAAACGGCACTAGGAAGTGAGTGTCAGATGCTGTTCCGGCAGCCCTTGGCGTCTAACAAGGTAAATAAGACGGGGCCTGTCCTCTGGAGCCCAGAATCCAGGAAGAAAGGCGCACATGTATTGAGCGCTTGCTTTTCAGGCCCCGTGGAAGTGCTTTACGGGAACCATCTCATTTAATCCTCCCTGACTCTAGGAGGTTCTCCCAGGAGAGACCGCTCCAGACGACATCAGGCCTACAAGCCAAGAAATGCAGCAGGCCTCTAGAAACTGAGAAAGACCCCCAGATGACAGCCAGCAAGCAAATGGGGGCCTTAGCCCTGCAATTGTATGGAACTGAATTCTGCCATTGAGCTGGACGTAGATCCGTTCCTAGAGCCTCCAGAAAGGAGTGTAACCTGCCAACGCCTTAATTTTGGCTTCGTGAGATTCCAACCAGAGAACTCACTAAGCCACACTGCGACCCGGCAGGCTGGGCAGTGCAGCGAGCTCTGGAGAGTGCGCCCTGACCCGGGGTCCAGGCCCGGTCAGTGTGACCTTGCGCGAGTCACGGTCGTCCTCCGCCCGCCAGGCCCCGGACGGCGTCTGCAGGGTCCGATTCCTGGGGATTTCCCGACGCCCCTTCCCCCGAGGTTCAGGGGCTGCCTGGGGTGCCGGGGAGGGGGGCCGAGGGATGGGGGACCTGGGGCTAGAAGGGTGGCACTGAGACCCGTAGGGAGGGGGCCAGTGAAGTGAGTAAAGGTGGATCGACGAAGAAGGAAATCCTTGGGGAGAGAACCACCGACGCGCGCTTCTTTCCCCCCCCCGCCCCGCCTCCGCCCCCGCCCCCGCCGCGCCGCCTCTCTCCCGCGCTCCGGAAGGCCTGCGTCCCCGCTCCCCAGCCAGGCGCCACCACCTGCCGCCCAGGCAGCCAGGCGACTCTTCTTTCGCGGGTCACGCGGCCTGACTCAGGCCCCTGCTCCTGTGGCCCCGAAACTCGCCGTTCGCTGGGCCTTGCGTTGCACTCGGCGTGCAGTTCCCCCTCGGCTCGCGGCCACTTGGTCCGCGCCGCCTGCGTCCTGTGTGCCGAGCCCGCCCGCACTGCGGGGACAGGCCGGGCGCCGCCCACGCCGCGCTCTGCCGGGCGCACAGTCTGCCTGGGAAGCGCGCGGCCGGGCGGGCGGCCATGGCGCGGCACGCTGGGAGGTAGCGCGGCGGCTGCAGGAGCGCACAGTCGGCCATGGCCCGGCGGCGGCGCCGCGCCTGCATCGCTCTGTTCCTGGTGCTGCTCTTCGCCTTCGGCACCCTCATGGGTCTGCGCACGCTCAAGGCTCCGGACGGACTCCCGGCGCTGGGCCCGGGCCTGGAGCTGGCGCCCTTTGAGCGACGCCCAGAGGGGGCCCCCGCGCCCGCTGCCAGGGCCCCGGCAGCCCCTGCCGCGCCGCCCCCGCCGCCGCCGCCGCCCCGCACCGCGGACCCTGGCGGCTCCCCTGGGCCGGCACCCGCGGAGGCCGAGCCCGCCCCCGTGCAGAGCCTGCGCGTCTACTCGGACCTGCACGCCTTCTACTACTCGTGGTACGGGAGCCCGCGGCGCGAGGGCCACTACATTCACTGGGACCACGTCATGGTGCCGCACTGGGACCCCAAGATCTCGGCCAGCTACCCCCGCGGCCGCCACAGCCCCCCAGACGACTTGGGCTCCAGCTTCTACCCGGAGCTGGGGCCCTACAGCTCCCGGGACCCCGAAGTGCTGCGGGAGCATATGACCCAGCTCAAGGAAGCCGCCATCGGTGAGCGCCCCCCACCCCGGGCGGCCCTGCCCCCCAGCCTCACCCTTCCTCCTTCCCACACCCCAGCTCCCTCTGGTCCTGTCACCGGCCCTTTGGTCCCACTTATCCGCCAGCCTGGCTTCTTAGCTGTTCCCTCCCACTCTCATCCTGGGCCCACCATGCGACACCGCCCCTCCGTCTAGTATTCAGACCCCCCAGCTGGGCCCTTCCATCCCTAACATCCAGGGCCCTTCCCATAGGGCGGAACTGCTAGGAGTTTGCACCAGGAGAGGGAGGCAGAGTCTTCAAATTTGTTGGGCGATGGGAAGTGAGGCCTGGAGTCCTGGCCCGCAGGTTCTGGGGTTCAGAGGAGTGGAACTTAGGGCGGCCTCTGCTTTCATGGCAGGTACAGGGTAGAGCAGCAGCCGTTCCTGCTTTTGCTGGCTGCAGAGAGGAAAGTGTGCCCGTGTTCCATGAAGGCCTCTGCTCTATTTGCAGTTGGAGGTAGTGTTGGGGGTTTAGAGGCTTTTCATCAAGCACCCAGCTGGAGGGAAGGTCCCAGGGCGCCTCCTTCGTAGGCTATGGAGGGGAGGCTCACTTATTTCGGATTTCGTCACTGAATTTTGCTGGATTTTACAGATGGCCTCTGCTCAGGGCTCTTCTCCATGCGGGACGTTAGGGTTAGGGGTGCTTCTCTTCTTCAGAGGTAGGCCTGTGGCTTCCAGGTGGGTGTGGCACTGTCCTCCCATTCCCTTTGTTCTACTACTTGCTGAGGCAGTCTAAAGCCTGGCTCCCTTCCGGCCTGGCGCGCTACGGTTCCCGCAGGCGCTCCGCTTCAGCACCGCGGGCGTGGACAGCTCCGGGGCGCGAGGCTCTGGGACTCATCTGCAGGAAGTGAACCTGGCAGGAGGCTTGCTTCAGGTTTTTAGGAACCATTTTTGCAATTGGAGATGTTTGTGAGGAAAAAAATCTCTGTTGAGGGGGGTACTGTGTGTCTCTGAAGTGGCCTCTGTGTTGCGTCTCAGGCGTCCTGGTCCTGTCCTGGTACCCACCTGGCATGGCTGATGATAACGGGGAGCCCTCAGATGACCTGGTGCCCGCCATTCTGGACACCGCCCATCAGTACAGCATCCAGGTGAGTCTCCAAGAAGAGGCCACGTGCTCTCTGCCCTATTCTGGAGAGTTGCTCTCCTCCGCCCACAGGGTTAGTGCCTCTACAGAAGTTCTTGGCAGTAGCCCAAAGGGATAACAAATATGTGGCAAGTGTGGTTTTGGGGGAGGGTTCAGATAAATGGTGCCTATGTTGCTCTTAGTTTTTTGAATTCTAAGAAAACTGAGAAAACTAAATATAGGACCAAGAGAAGACTAAATAATTATCACTTTTGTTAAATAATAATAGAGGTTAGGTTGTAAACCCTGGTGGAAAAAGGGTAGGCAAGAGCCAAAGGGACCTGCAGACTCAACTCTCTAGTGGGAGGCAGTGCTGGACCTCGAGGAGTAGGCAGGTGTTCTCAGCAGGTGGGCTCACTTTCAAGAGGAAGGACGGACTGGACGAAGCATTTCCCCACATGTGCCAATCAAGTAAGTCATCCCTTGCTTCTGTGGTGAAGGAAGAAAAATGATAGAGAAAGAAGAAAAGCCCCACTCCCCTATTCCTGAAGAGAATTCCACCACTGACATGTCTAACAGATCACAGCAGTTTTCCACTGACACAGCTTCAGCATACTTATTCCACTGTTTCAGGCAGCTAGCACCAACCACTTGGAGCTGGCACAAGGTTGAAACCTATTAGCCACCCTGTAACAGCCCACCAAAATGATTCCCACATGCCCTGCTGCGGGAGATGGGCAAACTGCTCACCCCTGTTTTGGCCTTCAAGGGCAGCAGCTGCCTTTATCTCTACTGTGCCCACCACTGCCAGGCCCTCTTCTGAACTCAGCCTCTCCTCCAGGCCATGGTTAGATCCTGAGCCTGATATGTTGTGGCCCCTAGATAGACACTCACCTGACCATTACTCCTCTGTTTGTGGCAGGTGGCCTTCCACATCCAACCCTACAAGGGCCGGGATGACATCACTGTACATGACAACATCAAGTACATCATTGACACGTAAGGCTGCTCTGGGGGCCGGGATTTTGGTGGGGATCAAAATGGAGGTAGGGATAGAAGGTTTGGAGGGGCAGGTCAAGAGACACAGGGCATAATGCCTGTGTTTCCCAGCAGCTGTTTTATAGTAAGAGAGTACTGGGCCTAAAGTCAGGCAGCCTGGGTTTCAATTCCTGTCCTGTGGCTTCTAATCTGTGATGAGGCAAGCCTCTTAACCTTTGAGTCTTGTGAGAATCACACGAATTAATATATGTGAAAGTAGCTTCTACAATGTAGGCACCTCATTTATTCATTCAGAAAGTATTGAATGAAGGCCAGGCATGGTGTAATCCCAGCACTTTGGGAGGTCGAGGCAGGCGGATCACTTGAGGTCAGGAGTTCGAGACCAGCCTGACTAACGTGGTGAAACCCCGTCTCTACTAAAAATAAAAAAATTAGCCAGGCGTGGTGGCGCACACCTGTAATCCCAGCTATTCAGGAGGCTGAGGCAGGAAAATCGCTTGAATCTGGGAGGCGGAGGTTGCAGTGAGCCGAGATTGCACCGCTGCACTCCAGCCTGGGTGACAGAGCGAGATTCCATCTCAAAAATAAATAAATAAATATTGAATGAGGCTGCGTGCAATGGCTCATGCCTGTAATGCCAGTGCTTTTTTTTTTTTTTTTCTTTTTTTGAGACAGAGTCTCACTCTGTTGCCCAGGCTGGTGTGCAGTGGCACAATCTTGGCTCACTGCAACCTCTGCCTCCTGGGTTCAAGCGATTCTCCTGCCTCAGCCTCCTGAGTAGCTGGGATTACAGGTGCCCACCACCACACCCAGCTAACTTTTGTATTTTTGTATCTTTAGCTGGGCGTGGTGATGCACAGCTATGGTCCCAGCTACTTGGGGGGCTAAGGTGAGTGGATCACTTGAGCTCAGAAGTTTGAGGTTACAGTGAACTATGATGGCACCACTGTACTCCAGCCTGGGATTTCACCATGTTGGCCAGGCTGGTCTTGAACTCCTGACTTCAGATGCTCTGCCCACTTCGACCTCCCAAAGTGTTGGGATTACAGGTGTGAACCACTGCACCCGGCCTCCCAGGGCTTTGGGAGGCAGAGGTGGGAGGATTGATTGCTTGAGGCCAGGAGTTTGAGATCAGCCTGGGCAACATAGCAAGACCCCATCTCTACTGAAAAAAAAAATTAGCTGGGCATAGCAGTGCATGCCTGTAGTAGTCCTAGCTACTTGGAAGGCAGAGGTGGGAGGATCACTTGAGCCCAGGAGTTTGAGGTTACAGTTAGCCACAATTACACCACTGCATTCCAGCTGAGAACAGAGCAAGATTCTGTCTCTTAAAAAAACAAACAAAAAAAAAGAGAGTATTGAGTGCCTACATGTGTCCAGGCACTGACTTAAGCCCAGTTGTACAGTAATGGGTAGGACTAGCGAAATTTCTGATTTCATAATGTTTACTTTCTAGTGTATGTTGCAGGTACTGTGGAGCAGACAGTAATTAAATGGGAAAAATCAAACAGTGATCTGTACAGGATTTTGTGCTAGAGTGTGCCCACGATGCTACTTAAGAATGGATAGTCAGGTCAGGTGAGTCTGAGGAGACAACAGGTGAGCTAACACCTGAATGAGCAGTCAGGGCTGGGTGTGGTGGCTCACACCTGTAATCCCAGCACTTTGGGAGGCTGAGGTGGGAGGATCACTTGAGGCCAGGAGTTTGAGACCAGCTTGGGCAACATGGGGAGACTCTATCTCTACAAATTTTTTTTTAAACATTAGCTGGGCATGGTGATGCATGCCTATTGTCCCAGCTATTTGGGGGGCTGAGGTGAGTGGATCACTTGAGCCCAGGAGTTTGAGGTTGCAGTGAGTTACGATGGCACCACTGTACTCCAGCCTGGGCGATACAGTGAGACTTAAGAATAAAAAAAAGAAAAAAGAAAAAAAAGCCCAGGCCCAGTGGCTCACACCTGTAATCCCAGCACTTTGAGAGGCTGAGGTGGGTGGATTGACTGAGGTCAGGAGTTCAAGACCAGCCTGGCCAACATGGTGAAACCCCATCTCTACTAAAAATACAAAAATTAGGCAGGTATGGTAGCGGGTGCCTGTAATTCCAGCTACTTGAGAGGCTGAGGCAGGTGAATCACTTGAACCCCAGGAGGTAGAGGTTGCAGTGAGCTGAGATCGCCCACCGCACTCCAGCTCTGAGCAACAGAGCAAGACCCTATCTCAGAAAAAAGTAGTAATAATAAGAAGAAAAAAGAAAAGAAAAAGGGTCAGCTCTGCAAAGATCCGGAGGCAGGGAGAAAATTCCAAGCAGAGGGCTGGCAGATGCAAGTCCCATAAGATGGAACAAGCTTGCATGACACATGAGAGCCGGATAGAAAGGCCAGATGGGGAGTAATAGCTGGGAAAAGAGCAGGAATGGAGTAGGCAGGGCCAGATCAAGTAGGTGGGAATAATGAATGGATTATATGGAGGCAGGATGGGAGCCTGGAGACCAGTTAGCTGGCTGTTGTTGCAATCCAGATGGAAGACGGTGGTGGCTTGGCTAAGGGTAGGGAAGTGAGGCTTAGGAATGACAACTGGAGAGAGGAAGGAGGGAACCAGGTTCTTGCTTAGAGGCATGATGACTCCAACTGTGGAGACTGACTGGCTCCAGAACTGGGCTGTGTTGCATCCGTATCTCATCCACGGGAGGTCCTACAGCTGTGCTGGTCTCTCCCATCCAGCTGAGGCTCTTCTTTCTCCTTCTCAGGTATGGCTCCCATGGTGCATTTTACCGCTATAAGAACAGCATGGGCAAGAGCCTCCCACTCTTTTATATCTACGACTCATACCTGACGTCCCCTGAGGCCTGGGCCCACCTCCTGACACCAAACGGGCCCCATTCGATCCGCAACACGCCCTACGATGGGGTCTTCATAGCGCTGCTGGTGGAGGAGGGCCACACCCACGATATCCTGGCCGCCGGATTTGACGGCATGTACACCTACTTTGCCTCCAATGGTTTCTCCTTTGGTTCTTCCCATCAGAACTGGAAAGCTGTGAAGAACTTTTGTGATGCCAACAACCTCATGTTCATCCCCAGTGTGGGGCCTGGCTACATAGACACCAGCATTCGGCCCTGGAACAACCACAATACGCGCAACAGGGTCAATGGCAAGTACTATGAGACGGCCCTGCAGGCGGCCCTGACAGTGAGGCCCGAGATCGTTTCCATTACCTCCTTCAATGAGTGGCACGAGGGCACCCAGATTGAGAAGGCCATTCCCAAGAAGACACCCACCCGCCTGTATTTGGACTACCTGCCTCACCAGCCCAGCCTGTACCTGGAGCTGACACGCCGCTGGGCGGAGCACTTCATCAAAGAGAAGGAGCAGTGGCTCATGTGAGGGGCCTGTAAATGGGCGTGAGGTGCTGATGTCCTTGCCTTGCTGGAAGATGTCACCATGTGGGGTTCAGCTGAGGTTGTAGCCACTCACTCGTTCCCAGGTCAGAGGTCAGCAGATGGGTGTTTCTGGGTGGGCCGTCAGGCATGGGCCTGTGCAACACAGAGCCCGTTCCTCAGGCGAGTGGTGCTGAGGTGCTCTGTGGTGATGGGAACGGCAGAGGCTGGCAGGTGACTGAACTTAGCCCAGGGCAGCTCCACATCCTGGGAACACTTTCATGTAACCCCTTCTAGTTTTGAACTCTGCAGCAGGCTGGTGCTGTGTAGTGGCCACCCAGTCACCACCCTTGGAAGGGTGTCAGGGTCTGGGCTCGCATGCACCCTGCTCCCTTCTGCCAGCCTGCATCCTCTCCTCAGGCCTCCTTCCCACATCATCTGTCTTCTCTAAGTTAGGGAACCATATTTGAGACTTTCAAAAAGGGAACTTCTAGGTTTAAGCTCCTCCCAGTAGATTCCTGAACCCAATTATCAGGAAATCATCCTGAGCACTCACAGGTTCATTTAACACTCACTCATCAAGCACCTTCCTATGTGCTAGGTGCTGGGGAAAACTTGACCAAGGAAGAGTTCCTGTCCTGAAGCTTCCAGGACCCAGCTTTCCTTTTCTGGTGTGGCCTTGTAGCTAGTGCCTGGGCACAGGTGTTTTTCTTTTTGCAGTTTTACCTAGTGCTGGGAGTTCAGTTCTTTTTCCTCTAGAAAAATACCTCTGTGCTCCAGAGCCTAATTTTTCCCAGATGCATATTTAGCTCTAGGGAGAGGACTAGGAGGAAATCCCCCTCCCTTTAGCTGCCTGAACTGACTGAGGCCCACTCACTAGAGCCATGTTCAGTGCTACTGTGATTAGTAGTAATTAAATATGAACTGGTATTCTCAAGTAAGCATTCCTTTTGCTCTCTTTAAGACCTCACAGATTCTGACCTTAGATTCTGTGACAAACTGATACAGGAGCTGGGCTGGCTATGGCTTTACCACAACAAGTAGGTTTGCTTAAGAAATTACTAAACAATGGCTGGGCGTGGTGGCTCACTCCTGTAATCCCAGCACTTTGGGAGGCCGAGATGGGCGGATCACGAGGTCAGGAGATCGAGACCATCCTGGCTAACAGGGTGAAACCACGTCTCTACTAAAAATACAAAAAAATTAGCCAGGCGTAGTGGTGGGCGCCTGTAGTCCCAGCTACTTGGGAGGCTGAGGCAGGAGAATGGCGTGAACCCGGGAGGCGGAGCTTGCAGTGAGCCGAGATCACGCCACTGCACTCCAGCCTGGGCGACAGAGCGAGACTCCGTCTCAAAAAAAAAAAAGTTACTAAACAAGGCTGGGCGTGGTGGCTCACACCTGTAATCCCAGCACTTTGGGAGGCCAAGGAAGGTGGATCACCTGAGGTCAGGAGTTCGAGACCAGCCTGGCCAACATGGTGAAACCCCATCCCTACTAAAAATACAAAAATTAGCTGGGCGTGGGTGCCTGTAATCCCAGCTACTTCTGAGGCTGAGGCAGGAGAACCGCTTGAACCTGGGAGGCGGAGGTTGCAGTGAGCCAATGTGGCACCACTGGACTCCAGCCTGGGCAAGAGCAAGACTGTCTCAAAACAAAAACAACAAACAAACAAACAAAAAGAAAACACAAAAAACATTACTAAACAAGATTTCTAGAGGGAATTAACAAACCAGTGCTTATTTACCAATAAACTAATACGCTAATTGCAGGAACCCTGATTAAAGCAGGCCCCTGTTAACACAAGATTCTTAGGATATACTTGGAAACAGGTGCATTGGAAACCACTGTACTGAGAAGTTTATGGGCTCAAGACTGAATTGGAAGCTAGGCGTGGTCGCTCATGCCTGTAATCCCAGCACTCTGGGAGGCTGAGGTGGAAGGATGAGTTCAGGAGTTCGAGACCAGCCTGGGCAACACAGAGAGACGTGTCTTTAAAAAAGTAAAAAATGGGCTGAGTGCCTTGGCTCATGCCTGTAATCCCAGCACTTTGGGAAGCCAAGGCGGGTGGATCACTTCAGGCCAGGAGTTCAAGAACAGCCTGACCAACATGGCAAAACTCCATCTCTACTAAAAATACCAAAAAAATTAGCAGGGTGTGGTGGTGCACACCTGTAGTCCCAGCTACTCAGGAGGCTGATGTGTGAGAATCACTTGAACCTGGGAGGCGGAGTTTGCAGCGAGCCAAGATCGTGCCACTGCACTCCAGTGTGGGCAACAGAGATTCTGTCTCAAAAAAAAAAAAAAAAGACTGAATCAGAATTTTGGGAACTAGGGTACAAGAGGGAAGGGGAGGAAGGAGGAAATAGACCCCAGTGGTCACCTCAAGGACACCCAGCCCCAGTTAGGTAACTGATATTAAGCCCCACCAGAGAGATGAGCAGGCCTGGCCACCTGGCTTTGGGGCTTAGCTGGGGAAACCAAGGCAGGCAGGGACAGCTGAAAGGGTTGGATGTTGACCTGTAGTAATTTACAGAAGGTAGCAACACTGGCTTCATTTAACACACACACAATCTGAAAAATACTAAACATGGGAAGGCCAGGGGGCAGAGGCAGCCATTCTCACACACTGCTAACAGCAGTGTAACTTGACTCAGTTCTTTTGAAGGCTAATCCATACTGAGAGCCATAAATACTTCCTACACTTTGACCTACTCTCCTAAGGAAATAATTCAAAAGAAGAAAAACAAACCATTTACAAATATGTTTAATAGCAGCATTTCTTTAAAGAAAAACAAAGTTCAAATGCCCAATAATAATTATGTTTAACACTTGGTACACATATAAATAGACAAAAGGCTGCGGAGAACACTGGATTTAAATAAAGGTGTTATGGGTATAATTAACTATAATTTATTTTATGAATAAATAAGAAAAAAGTCCCTGGCTATAAAGGATAGTGGAGGTTTATTTCCCAATATTCTTCCATTTGGACTGAACCCCTGCCAACTAAGCAGACATCCCACTATTACACCAAAAAGACTGCTCTCCCTGCGAGCAATTACAATACATGACACCACTAGGCCCAATGGCTCAGAGGGAAGAGTGGCCTGTGGCTCTTCAATCTTTATCCAAACCTGGTTCTAGCTTCAGGAGCCTTTGGTCACCTGAGACTTTTTATTTATTAATTTTTATGAGACGGAGTATTGCTATGTTGCCCAGGCTGATTCTGAACTCCTGGGCTCAAGCAGTTCTCCCGCCTGGGCCTCCCAGAATGTTGGGATTACAGGCATGAGCCACCACACGCAGCCACCTGAGACTTTTTAAACAGCACCAGCACTTCTGGCTGGTTTGAACCTTAAATGCCACCACCCACCAGAGAGGAGGCTCTCACTAGATTCTAAATCTGTTATTTAATTACTTTTCAATTGAAAAACAAAACAGACAGAAGAAACTTATTAGAATAAGGCCACCTAGGAATGTTCTTAACTTTTCCATTCAGCTTTTGGCTGATATATGAAAATACAAATAAATACATCCTTTCCCCAGGTGCAAGGCTAAACCAGCAGCTCCAAGGGCTTGGTCTACAGTGCTCAGAAAGACACACTGCCTTAAAAGTCAGGCTAGTGCCCTAGCTCCGGTGGCCTCTGCAAATGAGGCCTTGACAGTCGTCAGTGGACAGACACATAGTATCCAGCACCAGGTCTTGGGCCTTCCTGCTTCCCAGAGTTTCACAGGTAGGACGCATGTGAGGGGAGCAGTCCGTACTTCTGTTGGAGGATGGCTGTAGTACTTTCCAGGGCACTGAGGAGGAAACAGGACAGTTACCAGTCTGACTTCTCAGAAGTCCCGAGCCCACCAGAGGCTGGTGAGCAGGGACATCGAAACTGGCTAGCCTTGTTAAGCCCTGTTCATCAACCCTTGATGAAACCTTTTGAATCCTAAGAAAGCCAGGAAACTTAGTCCCACTGCAACTACCACTTCTCCAAACCTGGCCCACACTCCTTCAGGGCAACATAGGAGGCACCATCTTTATCTTGTCAAAGCTTTTTTGCATCTCTCCAACCTCCCTCAAATTATTTCCCCACACCACAGGAAAGAGACTTACCAGCCTGGACGAATGATGCCAAACTTTCCGGGCACAGACAAATCAACCACAGTTGAGCCAAGGCGACACTCGGGGCTCTGGCCATCCCCAATTTGTCCCCCATCAATAACCAAGGACAACTGAGGCCAGAGATCCTGGAACTCCTGAGAAGAGGGAGAAGGAAGAGCATGGACACTATCCCTGGTGTATCCAATAATGTCAAACTGCACGCAGTCATCAAAGGCCATATAGTCTTAAAACAGAAGGCACTTTCCTCTAAGCAGAGAAAGGAGCTTCATTTAGTTAAGGTCAACTGTGCCAAAGACACTGTATTCTATGAGGTTTGGAGGCCTCCTGGGTTAGCACTCCAAGTAACACCTATCTAGGGTTTAAAGAAAATCTTGCTATGTCAAAAGGAAATTTCACACATTGCTTCAGTTAGGGAAATATAAGTACAATGAATGGAGTTCTGGGCAGAGATACGGGCTATAACTCTAGACTTTCCATCGTATCTCCGTGTGACTGCATGCAAGTTACTCTATCCAGGCCTACAAGACAAGTGGGCTGGACTAGATGATCCTATGTCCTCATTTCATTTGTTCTAATCTATGTAGCCAAGACAGGACTAGGATGATCTTTTCTTTGACCTGGCTTGCCGCAAAGATAAGAGAACAGGGTCAAGAGTCAAAAACTAGGTAAAAAGACCAGGCATGGTGGCTCACGCCTGTAATCTCAGCACTTTGGGAGGCTGGATCTCTTGAGGCCAGGAGTTTGAGACTAGCCTGGTCAACATAGTGAAACCCCATCTCTACTAAAAATACAAAAATTAGCCGGGCATGGTGGCACACGCCTGTAATCCCAGCTACTCACTCGGGAGGCTGAGGCAGGAGAACTGTTTGAACCCGGGAGATGGAGGTTGCAGTGAGCTGAGATGGTGCCACTGCACTCCAGCCTGGGCAAGAGAGTGAGACTGTCTCAAACAAAACAAAACAAAAAAAAACTAGGTAAAAATCTGGTCACTTAATGGCTGCGTAACCTGGAACAAGTGATTCCAGCTCCTTCTAGCTCTAGAACTATGCTCCTGGATCTCACTGCGACTCTGATCAGGGTAGGAAGAGTAGAACATGGTAGATTCTGCATGCCACCAGCACTCAGTCTTTGGGCTATGAGAAGGATACTCCCCCTAGAGCAGTGGACTGAATTGTTAACTGAGCTAGAGCTTCCCCAACCCCCCAAGGAAGACACTGCAGTGGCAGTTAGGCCTGGAAATCTGGGACAGGAAATCATAAATACCAGTTACTGTGTTGGACAGGTCAAATGATTGCTGACAAGGTAAAAACCTCCCCTCCCTGTGCCACATCCCGATTCTTGCTCCTGGGGTACAGCCACCAGGACCAAGTCAAACCTGCACTCTGAGAATGGGAAGGGATGCTGAACTCTCACTTTCTAAGAACCCTGAGCCCCACTCTAGGTCTGGGAATGGAAAACCCATCGAATGGAGTTCTGAGCAGGGATACGGGCTCTAACTCTGGACTTTCCATCGTATCTCTATGTGACTGCACGCAAGTTACTCTATCCAGGCTTATTAGCTGGATGTAATAAGCCCAAGGAAGGCCCAAGGCCTGATGCTGGATACTATGTGTGATACTATGTGTCTGGCCGAGTCTGGGGACACAATGTAGCTTATTACTACGTTTTACATCTTAGTAATAAGAAAAAAAACGAAATTTCTATGTGTCCTCCTTTGTTCTAATCTATGTAGCCAAGAAAGGATTAGGATGATCCTTTCTTTGATCTGGCTTGTGGCAGAGATAAGAGAACAGGGGCGAGAATCAAAAACTGGTTAAAAATCTGAGTCAGTCACTTAATGGCTGTGTGACCTGGAACAAGTGATTTAACTTTCTGGAGGCTAAACTTCATCTTTTTTTTTTTTTTTAAGAGACAGAGTCTCGCTCTAGAGCCCTGCCTGGAGTACAGTGGCACAATCTGAGCTCACTGTAACCTCTGCCTCCCAGGTTCAAGTGATTCTCCTGCCTCAGCCTCCCAAGTAGCTGGGATTACAGGCATGCGCCACCATGTCTGGCTAATCTTTGTATTTTTTATTAGAGATGGAGTTTTGCCATGTTAGCCAGGCTGGTCTCAAACTCCTGACCTCACATGATCCACCTGCTTGGGCCTCCCAAAGTGCTGGGGTCACAGGCATGAGCCACTGCCCTTGGCCTTCTTCATCTTTCTTTACAGCACTGTCGTGAAGATTTATAGCCTAACTGTGTTCTCCAGAAACTGTTATCTCCAGAAAAACAGGAAGACATTGTTCTTATAATCTTTCCTATTATTATAAAGACTGAAGAAAAGACCAATTCTCCCCCTGGCTTTTCAGACTTTGAGATAAAATCTTTCAAATTTTTTTAATTTATATTGCCCCCCACCACCTCCCTGCCAGCTGGGCAACCTTCCCACTGTTGGCCCAAGAACTCTCATGCCTGGCCATCCCAGTGTACTATCAATGCCACTGATTCACAGAAAACAGTATGTGCGCTGGTGACATTTCCAGGGGAAGGACTGGGTAAACTCACCTCGACATTCAGAGAACTGGCCTGGGAGCTGAGGTTGGCACTAGTGAGAGCAAGCGGACCCTCAAACATCTGAGCCAAGTCTTGCATAAAAGCATGATCAGGAATCCGAATGCCTACAAGCTGTAAGGCAAGGGGAAAGGGATCATGAGAAAGGTTGGAAGGGATAAGAGGGTAAGTCTTATCTGGATCCTAGTGAAAGCCAAGTGGCCTGGAGTCTGGGGACACAAGAGAAAACTTGACTCACAGGCGTAAAAGGGTTTAGGTCCTTGTTGAGCTCCTCCGAGCGTTCCATCACCAGGGTCACTGGTCCTGGCAGTAGGTCTTTCAGGAGCCCCTCAGGTACTCTCACACGGCAGTATCTGGGAAACACAGAAGAATAAATCCATTCAAAATTGAAGGGCCACTGGTGGTCCTTTCCTAGACTCTAGGCAGACGTAGAAAAGGAATCCTTCGAGTTTACAATGGGAGCCGCCTGTCTCCCTGCTTCACCTCCCTAAGAGCTTGAGCAGAAAGCAGGGCTCCAGAGGCGCACCCCTGGCTTGACGCCCATGTGCCTCTGGTCTCAGGGACTACAACAGCTGCACCGCTGTGATATCATGATAGTGGGATCAAGCTCCACGTTTTATTTTCTTCAAGGCATTCGCTATTAAATTAAGCTACTGTGTTTGTTTGCTTTTTTCCCGGGGGCCTCCCCAATTAGCACAAATACGCCAAGGGAACAGGGTCCCTGCCTTTCTCGTGTGTTGCTGCTTCCCAGCAGCATGTAGTTCAGGGCCCGGGGCACGTTAAGTCCTCGGTACATATTTCCAGTTCCGGATTCCTTGGTGAGCCTGGACAAGCCCCTCCCGCTCTCTGCGCCTCAGTCTCCCAAGCCTGTCACCGGAAACCCCTCCCGCGGTGCCGCCCCTAGCGGGGCCGGGTCGGGGCGGCCTTACCTGTAGACGTCGGCCACGCGGCCGAGGCATACGGCCAGAGGCTTGGCCTCGCTGCGACCCTTGAGGCGGTACACAGCGCGCAGAGCCGCCGAGCAGCTCGCCGCGCAGGCCAGGCCGTACAGCGTATCGGTGGGGACGGCCACCACGGCGCCGGCGCGCAGCTCGGCCACGGCGGCCCGCAGCGCCTCGGTCCAGCCGGCGCGCTCCGGGCTCGCGGCCTGCACGGCCCCGCTCCCCGGGAGCCGCAACAGCCGGGCGCCGGGGGCCGCCGGAGCGGGACTCGGCGGGCGGAAGAGGCGACCGCTCCGGGAGCCAGCAGGCCCCTCGCTCAACCCCACGCTGGCAGCCACCGCGGCCCTCATCCCCCTGCACCGACGCGCCGGAGACATCCGCCCAGGCCCGCTTCCGGGAGGAAGTGACGCTCCCAGCCAGCTTCCGGTCCAGGAGACTCGGCCCCGCCTCTGCGCCGGGCAGCTTAAAGGGACCACGACCCCCAGGAGGATTGAAGGAGACCGGTGGGGACGGGGCGGGGCGCAGCCTTGCGAAGCCCTAACGCAGCGCTGGGGAGGGGGGCGGCCGAAAGGGGGGCGGTGGTCGGGCCGCGCAAGCGGAGATGGAATGGGGCCCGGGCTCAGACTGGTCACGGGGGTGAGAGGGGGCCCGTCGGGGCGGGAGGAAGGGGCTTGGCCCCGCGCAAGCGCCGGCCCTGACCGTCTGTCTCTCGCTCTCTCCCGGGCAGGGAGGCTGCCGGCGTGGACCGCGGGAAGGCGGGGCTGGGGCTCGGCGGGAGGCCACCCCCACAGCCGCCCCGGGAGGAGCGCGCCCAGCAGCTGCTGGACGCGGTGGAGCAGCGGCAGCGGCAGCTCCTGGACACCATCGCAGCCTGCGAGGAGATGTTACGGCAGCTGGGCCGCCGGCGCCCGGAGCCGGCTGGTGGCGGGGTTAGTGCCCACCCTGGGCTGGGCTGGGGTGGGGTGGGGTCTGCCCACTGGCTAGGCTGGCCAAGCCCTAGCTTACCCTGGAGGGGGGAAGTATGTCTCCGCCGCTTTATCCCTAACCTCCTTTGATCTGGTGAGAGGTTTCGAAAAAGTTAATACTATCCAAATGCCAAATGGCCACATCCTTGTGGGGCCTAATCCAAGGCCTTGCCTCCCAGCCTCACTTTTTTCCTTTCTGTTCCAACTAGAACGTCTCAGCCAAACCTGGAGCGCCCCCCCAGCCGGCTGTCTCCGCCAGAGGCGGCTTTCCAAAGGATGCTGGCGATGGAGCTGCGGAGCCCTGACCATCCCCGAGCAGAATACCCTGACTTCTCTCCCTCCCCAGGGCCGGTGGCTGGACTCTGAACAACTCCCTTCAGTAAAGGGGCCAGTCTTCACTGGCAGTGGCTGGTACTTGGCTCTCAGCCTGGAGTGGCAGCTCTGCTAGCAGCTGGGTTCACTCCCACTTCATCCTGGCTGAAAGCAGTGCTGTGCTTTGAAATGCAGCCAATGAATACCCAGTCTGATTACCCAGATTTGGGCAGACCAGCAGTGCTCGCCAGAGTGGTCTGGCCTGCTATGGGGGATCCAGGTGGTGTTACATGTCCATTTCATGTTTTGGGGGCTTTTAGCCCCACAAAACACCTTCAGTAGAGCCTTGATTAAAAGGAAACCTGCAGACTCTCCTGGTGACCGACGTTTCCTTTCTGTCCCCTCTCCAAGACTGATGGCTGGGAAGGGGGGAGTGGTGGAAAAATGTCAACTATGGGCAGGGTTGGTAAGAAATGCCACAGATACTACCAGATTTAAATAAGCATTTAATTAGGATTTCATTAGTATTTAATATTGCTTTTTCAATTCCAAAAAGTTAAATTTTCACTTTTTAGCAGATATTTTAAAGTACAATATTAAGTTTATACAAAATGAGCAATTAAGCAAACACCATTATTTCACATTCTTCAAAAATACAAATTCATATTTATTCTTTTTTGGGTTTGGAGGTTTCTTCCTTTGGAAGTACTGAACCTGTAACGTTTTCACATCGCTCAGTGGAAGTCCGTTGTTCCCATGTTTCACACTTACTTTTACATAATCCAAATAAAACTATTTGGGATTTTAAAAGTTGTCACCAAGACCCCGGCCAATGATTAGTGTATGTCAAAAAAAAGGGCTCTTGGGGGCTCTTGCCTTTCCTGGCTAGAAGATCTGAGCCAGAAATTCAGCAAAAATCTGTTTCCAGCCACCCTCCCCAAATAGGGACTAGAAAGAGTTCACAGGAAAAGGGAACAGACACCTTGAACTCTGACCCCCACCCCCACATTCTCCAAAACACAACGAAGGATGTAGACTGTTGAGTCAAATAGCCCTTGGGAGGCCTGAGAACACAGCAGGAAAAGGGCAAGAGAAAGCCTCTGACTTGGCACACTACGAGGATAACAAGGATATTGCAAAAAACACCCCTGGGTTTTGGTGCAAAAAGGTTTTATGAAAAATTTTCCCATAAGAAAAAGTAGAAACTGCATTGAGCTGAGAAAGTGACACTACATTATCACCCAATTTTTGGCCCAACAGGCACACCACCAAAAGGGCAGTGTGTGGTTTTAAACCTCAATTCCAGTAAAAAAGCTTGTACTATGTACACATTGACATAAAGATCCAGTTTAATTTGCATTTTTCAGTGCAGACTGAGAAGCCCTCTCTTGAACAGGAGTAACAGTGAGAAATGCCCAGTGGTCGTCGGCTTCCCCAAAGGGCATCAGAAGAAATACAGGACTGTTTCCCTCTCTCCCTAAAAAACATGCAAGAGGAAACAGGCCAAAATGGCTAACCAATCAGAAATATGCTTCAGTTTTGTTGCCTCCACCCCCAAATATTAAGGAACAGACAATTTCTGATCTATGTCACAGCAGAACTATTTGCATATTGGATCTATGAAAATCCTTCTGCTTTGGCTGAAGTATATTCTAAAACTTGTCTATTCTATAGCCTGAGAATTGAAGATAAAATGGGGGAGGTGGAGTAAAGGAAGAAAGTTGATAATGATTCATGGGATGTAATGTTTGTTTATAGGATTTAATGAAGGCTGGAGGCCTTTTTGCTTAAGGAACCAACACAGGTAGTATGGGGAGCAGTATGGAAATGGCTCATGTTGCCCCCTGCCACCCATGCCTCCCCAAACATATTTCTGATTGGTGGTGTAAGACAATTGTAAACTCTTGAGAAATATTGTTGCAGTTCCACAAATCAATGGTTTCAATCACTCTGGAAAAGTCTTTAAGGACAATGGATGTGATTACAAATATAAAAGTCTAGAAGGTGCCAGGTTTCTACCTAGGAACAATCTGTTCCTTCCTTTCAGGCATCATTTTGTAATGGTGAAGAGGGAAAAGATGGCGAGAGACCAAGAAGTGATGAAAAAGGGCCTCAACAGTCAGCAGAAAACAGGACCCACAGCAGTTCTTCAGAGAGCCTGAGGGGGCGCCCTGGGGCACACAGGGAAGGCTTGCATAGATTGAGCGGTTGCTGAGAATGCATAATAGTGTTTCCCTATGGACAGTCTCACAGCACAGGGCTGATTGAGCGGAAAAACGCTGCCAGGCCAGGGCCACATGGGACAACGACCATCAAGCTACACATATTGCACCAAGGTAAGTGCTTTTCTTTTCACACCTCAATTTAACTTTTTATTCTGAGCAAAAAATAAAACTTTGTGGAAAGTATATATATGTATATATACACACAAAAGAAATTGCAGCAATCGGGTTAAAGATAAAATAACCTAAAGTGCTTTTTTATTTTATTATTTCTTTAATATACCAATATGAGGTTCTGCAAACTTGTCCCTCTGGACACATTCAGCATTATACAAAGTCTCTCAGGAAAACCCACCCACCCTCCAATATCCCCATCAGTCCACAGCCTTGACCCTGAAAATAAAACTCTCCGATCTACCAACTATCCCAGAGGTGAAGAAGAGAAGCCCCTTGCCTTTTACTCAGAGAGATCTTCACATCTTAAGGCCCCTCCTGGGCTTTGTACCATGATCTCCTTCTAAACGGAGGTGGAATTCAATAAATGACACCACTTCTGTCACCAAACTGGTGGTGCCCCCATGAGACTGGCCAGACCCTGCCAGCAAAGACTGGGCCACCTTCCCTCAATGCCCAACCTACCTGCCTGGGAAGGGCCAAGTTCACTAAGGCAGTTTGGTGGTGCCAGCCAGTTTCCTTACCACCTCCTAAGTCCATGAACCCCAATCCCTGGTGCTAAGCACCCTTTGAAGCGGTTGTCTAATTGGAGATGTTAGTAGGAGCTAGAAGATAACGTACAGGGTGAAAATGGTTAAGTTTACTATGGGAGGGGAAAAAGGCTTGATTTTTACCTGCTAGAATTCTACAAATCCTCCCTAACCTCACCCTAGGTTCATTTCCCAAGTTTGGGAAACCACACTCACCATGAAGGTTCTTTCTGGCTCCAGCTTAGCTAGGGGCCCTCTCTTCTCCAAGGTCCTCGGCACTAGAGACCAGGCTTATGGAAGGACAGGTAGGAAAAGAGAACTGGAAAAGGAGGGAAAGAAAGACTGCCTATCCTGGGAAATAAACCTGATCTTCACAACCACTCACTGGCATTTTAAGCACATTCCTGATTTTTCAAAAGCTGATTGGATCTGATAGTCTCTCTTGTAATCTAGAGTCACCCTCAAAAGGCAGATACTTCAGCTTCTTCAACTGGAAAAATCTGTCAGCCTAAACACTGTTTAAGATGCTGCTTCGTCACCCCCGATCTTTGAGAGTGAAAAGGCCACTGACCTGGGTAGGGCCCAACATGAGCACAGCCCTGGCTAACCAAGAAGAGTCGCTATTTAAACTGTGGGTGCTTCAGATGTCCTTCCCTGGGCTCCTATTTCCCACTTCCGCCCCAGGGAACCCAAATCCCAGGTGACCACAGGATGGGGATATGGGAAGGTCATTACTGCCCTCTGATACAAGCTTACTTTGGGGTCCCATCACTACTCTCTCAGAAGTTGTAAACAGCAAGGGCCCTACCTCAAAACTTCCCATGGGTGCGAGGCCCAGAGACAGCCAAGGACAACTCATGCTCAGCAGTTGGTTTTCCAGGAGGACTGGAAACCTCCTGCCTTATCAACTTCTGCTGAGGTCAATGGTCAACAGAAGCCACAATCCTTTTGGGGAAGGGAGTGCAGAAGGTCAAAAAGAAGTCAATTCCCTAGACCAGGCATGGTGGCTCACACCTGTAATCCCAGCACTTTGGGAGACTGAGGCGGGAGGATCACCTGACGTTGGGAGTTCGAGACCAGCCTGACCAACATGGAGAAACCCCGTCTCTACTAAAAATACAAAATTAGCCAGGCGTGGTGGCGCATGCCTGTAATCCCAGCTACTCGGGAGGCTGAGGCAGAATTGCTTGAACCTGGGAAGTGGAGGTTGCGGTGAGCCAAGATTGCGCCACTGCACTCCAGCCAGGGCAACAAAAGCAAAACTCTGTCTCAAAAAAAAAAAGAAGTCAATTATTCTGGCTAGGGTCCTGGAATGAGAAATTGGCTGCTTGTAGTTAAGATTTCTTACTGCCATTTCTCCTCATGGCAGTAACAACATTCACCACCACTGCCCTCTTTGTCTGTCCCTGAACATCCTTGCTAAAGGCAGGGAGGGCCTCTGGCTCCAAGGTAAATTATCTGTTCTCAATAATATCTTGGCTGGCCCTGAGCAATGGCTCAGAGAACAGGAGAGTGACCAATGCAGATCCCTTTACATTAGGGAATGAAAATGCAAGGCAAAATTATGGCTGCTTCCTGCCTGACACTGTTGGCTTAGAAGAGCAGCCTTGTTTGTGGAACACCACTCCTTGCTCAGGGCAAGGAAAGGGCTCTTGGGAGGCAGAGGCCTATTCTGCACCTCAGGCCATGCCTGGCCTCTGAGCTCGGTGAGTTTGGTCAGCACTCATGACTATGTTAATATAGCCTGTTGAGGGAAACTTTTCATGCTAGTATGGATTGTATCTTTTATTTTAAGAGGCAATGACTTGGAGCCAAAGGCAGACATATGGATATAATTCTATAACACACACACACAATTTTTTCCTATAACACAACTTAATGAAACATTCCAAATGAGATAACTTATTGCAACATTTCAGGCTTTTTGGTGGAAAGGGAATTTTTTTGTTTTGCTATACCCTGAGTAGAAGATCATCGTTTTGTGTTTCTTTTTTTTTTTTTTTTAAATAAATCACATGACTAAGCTGAGCAAGTCACATCCTTGTTTGCACTGTATGAGGCTGTATGCAAAATCCAGAGGGGGGCAGAGATGGAGGGGGCAACCCAAAGCCTGGCTGGAACCTGGAACCAGGACACCTGGCCTGCCAATTACATGCCACCTCATATGAATTCCCTTAAATCTGCACCTTCTTCTGATAAGCAAAATGCAGCCCTTCTGCTCTGAGGAAGAAAATACCATTAAAAAGAAGGCAGACCACCAAACAGCACTGGCCATAAGCCACAAGTTCACTCTAGGACAAAACAGCGATGTTCCCCAAGGAAAATTCACTGCGATCTGCAAGCCCTGGCAACCAACCGAGAGAAAGAACCAGGAAGGCAAGGACAGTGATCATGTTGCTAGAGCCTGCTTTGCACACACGTCATCAACAGACAGCAGTCAACAAGCTGCCTAGGGCCTCTGCAGAGCCAGATCAACCCCACAGCCTGTGAGCCAGGCCTTAAGCTGCCTATTTGTGCTGAAGCGGGCTGCAGAACGACCCGTGTTATCCACCCTGAGCACCACCAACACTAAGCACAAATGACAACACCATCTCACCTGAACCCTGTCCAACTCACAGCTGCCTCACTGGCCTTTGCCACTGCCCTCTCTGATGGAGCAAGGGTCTGGCCTTCCAAGCAAATGTCAGCCTCAGATTCAAAAGACACATAGGAAGGAGCAACACCCAACACACTGAAAACTCCTGCCCGATCCACAAAGACCCCAGTGCAAGCGATGGGCAGCATCAGATTGATGGAAACCACACCCTTTCATTTAGAATTTTTATGCACACGAGTAACCTTAGTTTCCAAGTTCACATGACAACAAGCAAAAGTGACATACAGTGCAGCCAAACAGTTCACTTATAACTTAGCTTTTTTTGTTGTTTTTTTTGTTTTTTGTTTTTTTCCAAAGAATAGTTCCTTAAAATGGATGCTCCTGGGATGTGAATAAAGAAAATACGTCTGAAAGGTGAGGATTTCAAACAGTAGATTTCTTCATCCTTCAAATTTCTGACCCATGATGGCAGGCATTGTACCTCATGCCTCCTGCTCACCCGCTTTTCCCAGAGGTGAGCACACATGGGCCCTTCACTTGGAGAAGCTGCTGGTGAGGCCCATCTCCTCCTCCCCCTGCAGTAGTGCTTCAATGGGAATCAGATTGGACGGGGTGTCCAGGCTCTGGAGGGATAGAAACTCTGACACATCCATGGCACTTAATGTTTCTGTCTGAGGGTCTGAAGGAGTCTCTGCTTGTCGGCTTTGCTCACAGGAGGAGGGCAAGGTAGAGGATGATGACCCGGGAACAGGGGCTGAAGAGAAAGTCTGCGCTGGGAGCTGCAGGCTGGGCCCATCAGGAGCCTGGGGGCTCGGCTCTGGAGGGGGTGGGGAGGAGCAGCCCTTTCTCCTGCTGGATGCCCGCTCCTTTGCAGAGTCCCGGCATGCACACTGACACTGACATGCCTCTTCTTGTTTGATGATGATCACAGGAACACTGAGGCCAATCTGCTGGACAGAGCTCCCTGCGAGAGAGGCAAGAGAGACTGCTCTTCAAGTAGCTGCAGGGGCAGGAGCATGAGGGACAGGGATACATGGACTAGGTGAGAGCAGAGTGCCATGGGAACCATGGGAAGGATGGTTGCCACACTTCGGGCTTCGTTCTGCTTTAAATTGGACCACATGCCCTCTGAGGTAAAAGAGGGACACTCCCCAGCCCGAGACAAAGTCCCGTTTCCTTAGAAAGTCACACACACGATCTAGATGCACCCTGTATTTCCAGCTTCATTTCCAGTCATTCTCCATTGCACCCTCCCTGTGGAGGCCTACTTTTCCTGACACGTTCTTTATACCCCTGGGCCTGTGGGCTCTTCCTTACGACTAAAATCCCTGGACACCTCTCTTCTGGAGAACTGACACTCATCTTTCAAGACCTAGCTCACTCCCCCACTCTCTGTAGGCCTATGCAGAGGACTAGCTTGGATGAAGCCGGTACCCAGCCTCCCGGCACACATGCACAGTGCTGCTGTTTTCCTTCCACACCTCTCTCCTTGCGGTACAGGACCTGCTTGGTTCTGCCTGCCCAGGAGACTCTGAGCTCCTTTAGGACATCTTACTCATCTCTCTTTCTCTCATGTGTTGTACGAACACTTGCTCCATATTCAGCCAGGCTTTGTGTGTCTTGACAGAGCTAAAGACCAATGGGCAGGATGAGGTGCAGTGGCTCATGCCTGTATGTAATCCCTGTACTTTGGGAGACTGAGAAGGGAGGATTCTCTTGAGCCCAGGTGTTTGAGACCAGCCTGGCCAATATAGTGAGACTCTGTCTCTACACATAATAAAGAAAAATTAGGCCGGGCGTGGTGGCTCATGCCTATAATCCCAGCACTTTGGGAGGCCAAGGTGGGCAGATCACTTGATGTCAGGAGTTTGAGACCAGCCTGGCCAACATGGTGAAACCTTGTCTCTACTAAAAATACAAAAATTAGCTGGGCATAGTGTTGAATGCCTGTAATCCCAGCTACTTGGGAGACTGAGACATGAGAATCACTTGAACCTAGGAGGCAGGGGTTGCAGTGAGCCGGGATTGCGCCACTGCAGTCCAGCCTGGGCAACAGAACGTGACTCCATCTCAAAAAAAAAAAAAAAAAGAAAGAAAAAAAAGAAAATTAGCCAGGCATGGTGGTGGAGCATGCCTATGGTCCCAGCTACTTGGGGGGCTGAGGCAAGAGGATTGCCTGAACTCAGGAGGCCCAGGCTGCAGTGAGCTGTGATCGTGCCACCATACTGCAGCCTGGGTGACAGTGAGACCTTGTCTCAAAAACAAAACAAAACAAAGGCCAGTGGGCAGGAGAACAGGGTGGGAACGGGGAGGCCTGACAACTAGTGCTTTGGTTCCACCACAGATTCACTTACAACCTTGGGGGAGTCAATTAATTTTTCTGGGTCCCAGTGTCTTAATCTATAAAATAAAGAATTTGAATAAAAGGAACTTTCAGCTCTATATGTGTCTCTGACCCAGATGCTATTTCTTCATTACTGTAATTAGAAAAGAGTCCAGTGAATTAACAACTGCCCTCTTTAGCATTAGCTGTGATTCAAAAATTTTTTTCTGGCTACATTTTAAAGCTGTATCTGAAAGGGAAAGAACTGTTACTAGTTAAAGAATGTTAAACACGGTATTTTGGCCAGACGTATACTAACTTCTAATAGTTGTGAGAATATGAAATACTCTAGCCAACAATACAATGTGAAGAATTTAACTGAGGCTGTTTAAAGATTTTTAAAGTTTTAGAAACTGGGACAAAGCAATAATTAGCTGTGCCTCAAGGGACCCACAGAGTTGCCTTCTCTTAAGGCTAACATGGAATTACATACCTGGGCTACTGGCTACTGGTACTGCAGTGGTAAAAAACACCTTCTCAACTTTAGATGCTTGCTGCTGAAAAAAGAAAAAGAAATCTCATTTATAGCCACTGTAATATGGCAGATCCCCAGGGACCTGAAGCCTCACCAACTGTAATGGTCATCCAAGAAGACAGAAAACCCTTAGTGTTCAGGGATTTTTGTACTGAGTGATGTTTTGTTTGTGCTCTGACATGAGGTCACTGCACTGTTTGACATTCAGTGCTGACAACGTAGTTAGCTTTGTACGCCACTAGTTGGCTGGCTCCCAGCTGCCTAATCCAGTAGGTTCTGTATCCAAAGGCTCCTCCTCCTCCAAGGTTGCTTTTCTCAAGCAGATTGTCTTCTCAGAGGGATCCCAGGGCTAGCTTTCCTTCAGGCTCTCCACATTCCCTGCTGCCCCCTAGTACTTCTAAGAAAGCTGGAAAGTTCTTTTTTTCCCCCTCAGAGATTAAGCTGCATGCCAAGGACAGGTTAAGGCTTCCTCTCACAGGTAGACAGCCCTGTAAAGGCCTTGTGCTGTAAGGTGCACAGCATAGTTCAAGGGTGGGCCCTGGATTCAGCCACACTTGGATTCAAGTCCAAGCTCTGCCACTTATTAGTTGTTGGTGTTGGGCATGTGATTTAACTTCTTAAGAGTCTTGTTTCCCCACCTGTAAAAACAGGAATAATAACTACTATGGATGGAGTATCTGTCCCCTCCAAAACTCATGTTGAAAGTTAATCCCCAGTGTGGCAGTATTGAGAGGCTGGGTTTTTAAGAGGTGACTGGGTCATGAATGAATTAATTCACTCATGGATTAATGAGTTATCATGGGAGTGGGACTGGTGGCTTTATAAGAAGAGTAAGAGAAGGAGGGTGTGGTGGTACATGCCTATAGTCCCAGCTATTTGGAAGACTGAAGGAGGATCACCTGAGCCCAGGAGTTCAAGGCCAGCCCAGCCTGGAACATAGTGAAATTCTCTCTCTTAAAAAAGGCCAGGCGCAGTGGCTCACGCCTGTAATCCCAGCACTTTGGGAAGCCGAGGCGGGTGAATCACAAGGTCAGGAGATCGAGACCATCCTAGCTAACATAGTGAAACTCCATCTCTACTAAAAATACAAAAAATTAGCCGGGCATGGTGGCGGGCGCCTGTAGTCCCAGCTAATCGGGAGGCTGAGGCAGGAGAATGGTGTGAACCCGGGTGGTGGAGCTTGCAGTGAGCCGAGATCGCGCCACTGCACTCCAGCCTAGGTGACAGAGCGAGACTCCATCTCAAAAAAAAAGGCCAGGTGTGGTGGCTCACGCCTGTAATCCCAGCACTATGGGAGGCCGAGGCGGGCAGATCACGAGGTCAGGAGATCGAGACCATCCTGGCTAATACGGTGAAACCCCATCTCTACTAAAAATACAAAAATTAGACGGGTGTGGTGGCGGGTGCCTGTAATCCCAGCTACTCGGGAGGCTGAGGCAAGAGAATGGTGTGAACCTGGGAGGCGGAGGTTGCAGTGAGCCGAGATCGCACCACTGCACTCCAGCCTGGACAACAGAGTGAGACTCCGTGTCAAAACAAAAAAAAAAAAATGAAGAGGAAGAGAGGCCCGAGCTAGGATGTTCAACCCCTCGCCATGTGATGCCCTGTGCTGCCTCAGGACTCTGCAGAGGGTCCACACCAGGAGGGCGGCCCTCCAGATGTGGCCTCTCAACTTCGGACTTCTCAGCCTCCATAAATGTAAGAAATAAATGTATTTTCTTTATCAATTACCCAGTTTGGGGTATTCTGTTATAAGCAACAGAAAATGGACTAAGACAATAACCAAAAACCTCTTCAAAGGCCTCTGTGAGGATGAAATGAGATGATGCACGTAGGACACTTGGCACATGGTGAACATTCAGTAAACATTCATTATTTAAGACCGGGCGCGGTGGCTCACGCCTGTAATCCCAGCACTTTGGGAGGCCAAAGCGGGCGGATCACCTGAGGTCAGGAGTTCCAGAACATTATTTATATTATTACTAAGTAGGACTATAAACCTATGCCCAGAAAATCACCCTTTTCGCTCTAGTATACTTCCTATTACATGGGCTAAAAGGTTTCCACTTTCTTGAAGTCTTATCTTGAGGCAGCTTTGTCTTTTATCTCGCTAAAAAGGAAATTTAAAATTGCCTCTAAGATGAGTGTGGGAGGAAAGTGAAAGCTTCTGGCTACGTTATAGCAGATGACACTATAAAATAATAATGGAGGCTGGGCGTGGTGGCTCATGCTTGTAATCCCAGCACTTTGGGAGGCCGAGGTGGGCGAATCACCTGAGGTCAGGAGTTGGAGACCAGCCTGGCCAACATGGTGAAACCCTGTCTCTACTAAAAATACAAAAATTAGCCAGGTGTGCTGGTGCATGCCTGTAGTCCCAGCTACTTGGGAGGCTGAGGCAGGAGAATCGCTTGAAGCCAGGAGGCGGAGGTTGCAGTGAGCCAAAACTGCACCACTGCACTCCAGCCTAGGCAACAGAGCAAGACTCTGACTCAAAAAAAAAAAAAAAAAAAAAAAAAAAAAAAAAAGGAGAAGTGAGACCCTAAATATCTGAAAAGAAAATGGATGACTTGTTTCACTCAGCACCCCAGGACAGGGCCAGAGAAAACAATAAAAACCACATGGAGGCGGGCTGGGTCACAATACTGGAAAGCCCTTTCCAATGACTCTAGCTATCTAGAAATGGACATAGGCTCTCTAGATCTAGACGGGGTTGGCACCCTAGTTCTGGAATTTGAGTGTTCTCCCTGTTGAGCCCCAAATGGCCTTTCTAGTGTGTCTAATAGTAGCATACATCCACCTCTAGGTTCTCCAACTTAGTACATCCTTTTCTCCATCTAATTCCTACCCATATCTCAAGGCTGACCTGACCTGTATGGCCACCCAACAAACCATTAGTGTCTGAACCCCTCAACGCAGTGGCCAAGAGCCACCAACTCTGGGATCAATCTGCTTATGCTTAAATCCCAGCTTTGCCACTTGTGAGCTCTGTGAACTTCAGCCAGTCACTTAACCTCTCTGGACCTCTGCTCTCCATTGGGAAAATTAGACCTACCTCCTAGGATTGTTGTAATATGTTAAAATGTGTTTTGTGTGACATATAGAGCTGCAGCTATACAGAGATAGTAAAAATATCAATGATTGCTAGGGGAGAGGGAAGTGGTAGAAGGGATGAATAAGTGAAGGACAAGGAATTTTAAAAAATGTGAAACTATTCTGGATATTGCTTAATGGTAGATACATGACATTATGCATTTGTCAAAACCAATAGAACTGTACAGCACAAAGAATGGACCCTAAACTATGGACTTTAGATAACAATAATGTATCAATACTGGTTCATCAGTTGTAACCAATGTACCACACTGTTGCAAGATGTTAGTAATAGGGGAAAAAAACAAGATGATAGGGAGAAAAAACAATAATAATAATAGGGGAGGGCTGGGCATGATGGCTCACGCCTATAGTCCCAGCACTTTGGGAGACGGAGGCAGGCAGATTGCTTGGGTCTAGGAGTTCAAGACCAGTCTGGGCAACATGGCGAAACCCCGTCTCTACAAAAAATACAAAAAATTAGCCAGTCATGGTGGTGGGTGCCTGTAGTCCCAGTTAGGAAGCTAAGGTGGGAAGATGGCTTGAGCTCAAGAGGTGGAGGTTGTAGTGAGCTGAGATCGCACCACTGCACTCTAGCCTGGGTGACAGAGCCTCAAAATATATAATAATAATAATAATAATAGGAGAAACTAGGGGTGGGGAAAGGGTTTATGGAAACTCTCTGTACCATCTGTTCAATAAAGTCCAAAAAAAAGTAATCTAAAAATAATGTACGTAGGTAATAACTGACACATTGCAGATCCTCAATTTTAAAAAATATGTAGCACAATAAGTCCTTACACATAGTAAGGACTCAATGAATAATAGCTGTTGATGTTTTTTAAATTACCATTATTAGTATTTAATATTTAACCTACTGGTAATATTAACTTTCTTTTTGGCATTTTTAGCCTCTTTAACTAGAATATATGTTTTTATAAAAAATAAATCATGTTTTTTCTCTTTTCTGTATCCTCCAGATACTCAGTATAGTGTCTGGCAAATATTAGGCTTTCAAAGTTGTGAGATTGGCCACCCTGAGACAATTCTTCACGATGAAGCATTAACTGAATGACCAAGTCATTTCCCTAGTCATCAAGACCAAGTACTTCCTCAGAAAATGATTCTATGATGGGCTGTGGGAGCACAAGTTAGCTCTCTGACTTGGCCACTGCTGTCCGGTGCCATCTGACTGGGTCACATCAGTCCCTCACATCAGTCTGACTCTGCCTTGAAAACAACCTTTTTCTGGAATATTCTGGGACCTCTGGAGTTTGCTGACTGCTTTTTTATACTAGATGATGTGATTAGATTCCAGTATCAGTAGGAATATTTGTTTGAGTGCCTCCTGCTAGATAAAGACTGTTTCTCTGCCTCCTTACTATAGGTACTGACCACAGCATTTCCTACGTTTATACCACTTGATTATGTGGAAAATGACTAAAAGGTAGAATTACATGTTTCACGGTGGATATGACAGCCACTTTTCTTTTTGAAGTAAAAGCTTCTGAACATGTCACCTATGTAAATACACTTCACCCCACTGGGTATATTCATACATAATACTTACAATTTGTTCTTGGTTTTGTGGAGAACTGGTGGCACCATTTAATATCCATTGTAAGTTCTGTTCTCCCATGACTAGGCTGGACTGCAGGATAGCTGTGTTGGGAGTTGGGGTGATGGTTATTGTGGGATTATTAGTTAGGACAGAGTTGGCACCCAGGGGCAGAGTCTGGACCATGGCTGGCAGGGGCTCAGTAGTACTTTGTGGTGGGGCTGGTGCTGCCACAGCTGATGCCACTGCCGCTGCTGATGCAGAAGCCCCAGCAACAACAGAAAGTCCTGGTACAATGGGCTGCGGTGCCTGGGGGTGCGGAAGAAACTCTTGATGATTAGCAGCAAACTGTGTGCTGTGGGGAACAGGCACTTCTGGAGGTTGTAAGAGAGCAGGGGGGTTGCCAAATGCAGCTTGCTGGGAGCCAGGTCCTAGGGAGGGAGCAGGCGGAGGAGCAGACGGAGCTGAGGCAGGTAGTAGAGGCTGGGGTGGCTCGGAGAGGCCAGGTTGCAGTACAAGTGGAAGAGATAAAGATGCTGAATTTCCTGTGGATGGCGGAACATCACTGACTGACTCTGCATCACCATTAAAACTTTCAGTCAAGGAAGCTGGCAAGAAAAAGAAATAGAAATATATATACATATCCCAAGCCTTAGATGAGCCACAAAAACAGTCATTATGGGCTAAACAAAACACAGCTGAAGTCCACTGAGCTGATCTCTTCATAGCTAGCAGGCCAGCTTTCTGTCATTTTCATTTAGTGACACCTCTGGTCAAAGTATCACGTTTCACCATCAACCTCACTTCCTAAATGTGAAGACCCAATATAGTTCTAACCATTTAAAAAAGTGTCTTAAGGCTTTTCTGGAAAAGAGACTAAACATCCTTTTTTTGACATGACTAGTGACTATACTTTCTGACTAATGGGAAGTTTTACAGACAAATTTTCATGAAACACAGTATGATATATGCAGCTGAAGTTTGTGGATTTGTGGGTCCTGTCCATTCACAGACAGTGTATCACATCAGAAGAAAGAGCTCACAAGGCTGGGCATGGTGGCTCACGCCTGTAGTCTTAGAACTTTGGGAGGCTGAGGCGGGTGGATTGCCTAAGCTCAGGAGTTTCAGAGCAGCCTGGGCAACATGACAAAACCCCATCTCTACCAAAAATACAAAAAAAAAAAATTAGCTGGGTGTGGTAGCACGTGCCTGTGGTCCCAGCTACTCAGGAGGCTGAGGTGGGAGGATCACTCAAGCCTGGAGGTGGAGGTTGCGGTGAGCTGAGATCACACCACCGCACTCCCATCTGGGTGACAAAATGAGACGCTGTCTCAAAAAAAAAAAAATGTAGAAGAAAAATCTCACAGCTCCTCCCCATTTTGGTGGTTTTACAGCCAACAGAAGATTCTGGGAAAGGAGATTCTCTTCTTCAGGACTGAGGGAAGTAGGGGAAAAGATGGAATTAAACTGAAAGACCCAAACTTTCTGACCCTTTATAGAAAGCTCACTTCATTTACGCTAACTAGAATGATTCATTGTGCCTGTGACTCAGTGTGTCAGCAAGTGCTTAGATGTGAGTAGAAAGAGTCCGTGTGACAAACCTGTCTGTTGAGGATCTTCCTGAATTGCCGTATCATCTGAATTCTGGAACATTGATTCAAAGATGATTGCTGGTGAAATTGTGCTGAGGTCCTGGCCCTGGGTCTGATGGAGAGAGACAAAGATGTGAGATTGGCCATCTTGAGACAATTCTTCACCATGAGAAAACACATTCAAAGCAGCAGAACTAGAATGAAAATCTTTTGATATGCATTTTGTTTCTACCTTCTGCTATTTAAAGTAACATGTATTTTCTTAAGCCTTAGACACTAAAGATTTGGGTCCTCAAATACTTTATTTTTATTTATTTATTTTTTAATAGAGACAGAATCTCACTACGTTGCCCAGGCTGGTCTTGAACTCCTGGGCTCAAGCAATCCACTCAACCTCAGACTCCTAAAAATGTTAGGATTACAGGCATGAGCCACCATGCCCAGCCCCTCAAACACTTAAAACAGGAATTGGCACACTATGACTTGCCAGTTGATTTCCTGTTTTTGTAAATAAAGTTTTATTGGAACACGGGCACATGCATCCATTTATATATTATCTGTGCTACTTTTGCTACAATGGCAGAGTTGACTAGTTGTGACAGAGACCATGGAATCAACAAAGCCTAAAATATTTACTGTCTGGCTCATTACCAAAAAAAACCTTGCTGACTTCTGATCTAAAAGACCAAATCTTACATTAAAAAATGAGATTACAGGCCAGGTGTGGTGGCTTATGCCTGTAATCCCAGCACTTTGGGAGGCTGGGGCGGGCAGATCACCTGAGGTAAGGAGTTTGAGACCAGCCTGGAAAACATGGTAAAACCCCGTTTCTACTAAAAATACAAAAATTAGCTGGGCATGGTGGCAGGCGCCTGTAATCCCAGCTACTTGGGAGGCTGAGGCAGTAGAATTGCTTGAACCTGGGAGGCGGAGGTTGCAGTGAGCCAAGATCGCACCACTGCACTCCAGCGTGGGCGACAGAGCAAGACTCCGTAAACAACAACAAAAAAATTATATAATATTCATTACCCTGCAACTTGCTTTCCTCATGTAATAATAACATTGTGAATATTTTTCATAATATCTATGATATTCTAGTATGTATGCATGGTAATAAACAAGACAACAATGGTGAACAATAGTGATACCTTTATACTTAATAAAAGGTCAGAGGCATTAAAAACAAAAAGGTAAAATGTGAGGGGGGAGACCCAACACAATGTCCTGAGGGCCTGCCTCCCCACAGGCACTAACTAAAACGAGCACTCTTCACTTTAGTTCAGGGAAGGGGAAAGACTACAGTTCTTCTATCCATGGTCAACCTCCAATCCACCTCTACCCCTACAGTTCGTAGGGCAAGAGTGGTAAGGGCAACTGCCTACAAAGTCCAGAGAGGGAAAAGAAATACGTGAAGCAAGGGAGGTGGGTTGTGGCATACTGGAGAGAATGCATGCCAGTCACCTCAAGGGCTTCAGCCGAATGCTGCCATGGGAATATGCAGGCCAGGGATTACCAGAACTCAAGTGGCAAAATTTTGACTTTCTTTTTTTTGAGACAGGGTTTCTTTACTCTGTTGCCCAGGCTGGAGTGCAGTGGTATGATCATAGCTCCCCGCAGCCTTCAACTCCCGGGCTCAAGTGATCCTCCCACCTCAGCCTCCAAGTAGCTGGGACCACAGGTATGGGCCACCACATCTGGATGATTTTTTAATTTTTCTGTAGAGATAGGGTTTTACTATGTTGTCCAGGCTGGTCTGGAACTCCTGGGCTCAAGAGATCCTCCCACCCCAGCCTCCCAAAGTGCTGGGATTATAGGTGTGAGCCACCACATCAGACCCAGAAATTTTGATTTTTACATGAAATCTACCAACTTGTAAATAAAAGCAAGTACAGCTGACCCTTGAACAACATGCATTTGAACTGCACAAGTGGACTTATACTTGGGACTTTTTTCCACTTCTGCCACCCCTGACACAGCAAAACCAACCCCTCCTCTTCCTCTTCCTCCGCCTACTCAATGTGAAGACGATGAGGATGAATCACCTTTACAATGATCTACTTCCCCTTAATAAATAGTAAATTTATTTCCTCTTCCTTGTGATTTTCTTAACATTTTTTTTTTTCTAGCTTACTTTAAGAATACAATACATAATACATATAACATTCAAAATATCTGCTAATCTAAACTGTTTATGTTATCAGTAAGGCTTCCAATCACAGTAGGCTAAGGCCATTGCTAGCTCAGTTTTGGGGGAGTCAAAAGTTATACTAGGATTTGGTTGTGCAGGGGGTTATGGGTTGGGAGGCCAGCACCCCTAGCCCCTGTGTTGTTCAAGGGTCACATGTAATTGAAAATAACTTAAACACACTGTATATACCAAACTAAAACCTCTTTTTAGGGCAGATCTTGCCCTAGTGCCAACATACGTTTTAAGGTCATTTTGTAACAACTCTGCTTCTAGAAGGCAGAACTCAGAAGGATCACTTTGGGATTGGGTAGAAGTGTGGTGATGAGTGGGGCTGTCCACCAATCTAGAAGTGCTCAAAGATTAAATTGCCCACTGGAGCCAAAAGGGAGCAATTCTTCTTTTCCCCCCCTTTTTTTCAGACGGGGTCTAGCTCTGTTATCCAGGCGGGAGTGCAGAGGCGCAGTCAAGTCACTGCAACCTTGAACTCCTAGGTTCAAGATCCTCCCCTAGACCTCCCAAGTAGCTGGGACTACAGGCGCACGCCACCATGCCTGGCTGCTTTTTAAAAATTATTTTTAGTAGAGATAAGGTCCTGCTACGTTGCCTAGCCTGGTCTTGAACTCCTGGCCTCAAGCAGTCTTCCCAAAGCACTGGGATTACAAGTATGAGCCACCACCACCAGCTGATGATTCTCTTCTACGTCTATCAGCTGAAGGAGGGGAAATTCAGTGATTCCTTTTTTTTTTTTTCTTCATTTCAGTGATCCTGATTGCCAATATGATAGAAGGTGAAGTCAGAAATTATGTGAGGCCAGGCGCAGTGGCTCACACCTGTAATCCCAGCACTGTGTGGGGCCGAGGCAGGCAGATCGCTTGAGGTCAAGAGTTCGAAACCAGCCTGGCCAACACAGTGAAACCCCGTCTCTACCAAAAGTACAAAAATTAGCTGAGCATGGTGGTGCGTGCTTCAAATCCTAGCTACTCGGGACGCTGAGGCAGGAGAATTACTTGAACCTGGGAAGTGGAGGTTGCAGCGAGCTGAGATCAAGCCACTGCACTCCAGCCTGGGTGATGGAGCAAGACTCCATCTCAAATCTATGTGGGACAACTTCCAACTTCCAGTCCGGACAGAGTTAAAACTCATAGGCCAATAGTGTGACTTTCAAATTTTCATTGTGACACAAAGTAAGAAATACATTTTACACTGTATATACATACATTCTTCATATTATATACATATCCATATGTGTAACTGAAACAAGTCTATGAAACAGACCTTATCCTTACTATGTGCAATGTCCTCTGATTTTTTTTCTATTCTATTGATGTCTTTGAAATGCTGATTATAAACCACTATTTTAAAACCCAATGAAAAGGTGCAATCCAGTTTGAAAAATAGTTGACTAACAACTACCACTGAGCATAAGCTTTGCAACCTCCTCATAGTTGTTATTATTATTATTATTATTATTATTATTATTATTATTTGAGACAGAGTCTCGCTCTGTTGCCCAGGCTGGAGTGCAGTGACATGATCTTGACTCACTGCAAGCTCCACCTCCCAGGTTCACGCCATTCTCCTGCCTCAGCCTCCCAAGTAGCTGGGACTACAGGCGCCTGCCATCATGCCCGGCTAATTTTGTTTTTTGTATTTTTAGTAGAGATGGGGTTTCACCGTGTTAGCCAAAATGGTCTTGATCTTCTGACTTCGTGATCCACCCGCCTCGGCCTCCCAAAGTGCTGGGATTACAGGCGTGATCCACCCTCCTCGGCCTCCCAAAGTGCTGGGATTACAGGTGTGAGCCACCACGACCAGCCATAGTTATTACTTTTGTTCTGTTTATAAATCATTATAGGTAGTAACATAATTAAAAACGAATGAGCTATATTTGTCAATGATATTAGGTTGGTGCAAAAGTATTTGCGGTTTTTGCCATTACTTTCAATGGCAATTACTTTTGACCAACCTAATACCTCAATAATACTAGGGAAAAGAAAAGGAATGGGCTTGTGTGCCTCCAAAACATATGTACAAAAATGTTCACAGCAGCACTATTCATAATGGCTCCAAACTGGAAACTATCCAAAGGCCCAACAGGAGAAAGAACAAATATTGGTATATTCATTTAGTGTATTGTGGTATATTCACTTAGTGTAATATTGTTCAACAAGAAGAATGAATGACCTGTAACTGTATGTAATAATATGGCTTAATTTCTTAAACATAATGTTATGAGAAGAAAAGCCACACATAAACAAGTATATGATTCCAATCATAAAAGCATTAAAAAAAAAAAAACAGGAAAAACTAATCTTAGTTGTTGTAAGTCAGAATAGTGGTTGTCTGCAGGGAGAGATCATGGCTTTTGGGGGTATGTGAGGGGGGGGCCTCTGGGGTGCTGGGAATGTTATTTTGTTTGTTTTCTTTTGTTCTGAGACAGAGTTTCGCTCTTGTCACCCAGACTGGAGTGCAATGGCACGATTTCAGCTCACTGCAACCTCTGCCGCCACGGTTCAAGTGATTCTCCTGCCTCAGCTTCCCGAGTAGCTAGGATTACAGGCGCCCGCCACCACACCCGGCTAATTTTTGTATTTTTAGTAGAGACGGAGTTTAGCCATGCTGGCCAGGCTGGTCTCAAACTCCTGACCTCAGGTGATCCGCCTACCTCAGCCTCCCAAAGTGTTGGGATTATAGGCGTAAGCCACCACGCCTGGCTGGGAATGTTCTTTTTGACCGGGGTGCTGGTTACATGGGTGTGACGAATTGTGATGATTCATCAAGCTGTACATTTATAATACATGTGCTTTTCTGTATGTATATTGTACCTCAATAAAAAGCTTGTTAAAATTTAAAAAAAGGAAAATGCTGAAGCCCCTGCCAAGCTTCAGGGCAAAAACGCTGGGAGCAAAGTGGGTAGGAACAACTTTCACAAGTAGAGAAGACAAGAACAGGCTGAGCTTTCCAGGCCTGGAGCAAGGAGCAAAGAGCAAAGGGCAAAGAAGAGGAGAATACAGGTAGCTGTCTGGGACCAGGATGGATCCTGGAGCTGAGCAGCCAAAAGGCTTCGAGAAGGCCATTCCCTAGCACCTTCAACTCTCCTCTAACAAAAGATCTGAGCAAACCAAAGTTCATTTCTAGGATATGCATACATATGGCTGCTGAGAAACCCATAAAATCATTATCTCATATAAATTTACTATTTGATTTTAACAAGTCCTGATTCTCTCTTTTTTTTCTTTTTTTTTTTGAGACAGGGTCTTGCTCTGTTGCCCAGGCTGGAATGCAGTGGTGTGATCATGGCTCACTCCAGGGCTCAAACAATCCTTTTGCCTCAGCCTCCCAGATAGCTGGGACAACACCAGCTAATATTTTATTTTTACTAGAGATGAGGTCTCTATTAAAAAAAATATTTTTATTAGAAAATACCACCACCACACCCAGCTAATATTTTATTTTTACTAGAAATGAGGTCTCACTGTGTTGCCCAGACTGGTCTCAAACTCCTGGGCTCAAGCCATCCACCCACCTCTGCTTCCCAAAGTGCTGGGATTACAGGCATGAGCCACTGCACATGTCCCTAATTTTTTTTTCAAGCAAAGAAAATTTAATCCTGGCCGGGCGCGGTGGCTCACACCTGTAATCCCAGCACTTTGGGAGTCCGAGACGGGCGGATCACGAGGTCAGGAGATCGAGACCATCCTGGCTAGCATGGTGAAACCCTGTCTCTACTAAAAAACACAACAAAAATTAGCCAGGCATGGTGGCGGGCGCCTGTAGGCCCAGCTACTGGGGAGGCTGAGGCAGGAGAATGGCGTGAACCCAGGAGGTGGAGCTTGTAGTGAGGCGAGATCGCGCTACTGCACTCCAGCCTGGGCGACAGAGCGAGACTCTGTCTCAAAAAAAAAAAAAGAAAAAAGAAAAATTAATCCTATTGCTTCAAGGAATTGTGGCCTTAGTTTGAAAGGCTAAAATCAATTTCCACATCTGAGATAAACACTGGGTACCAGGAGCATGATCTATAATTAAACCCCAAGGGATAGTGCTTCTCTCTCTTGATTATATAAATTGTGATAGGAAAGGCTTCCCTTTTTCATAAGTACTTGGTGTCCCCTTATGCCAGGGTATTTTCCTGGTGACCCTAGGGCTCCAGAAAGCTCGTTAGTCATATGTCATAGTCTTGGCCAGAGAATAGACTCCTAAGCTATTTAACACAGTTACACGTTAAAGGGATATTATTCCTAGAAATCTTAGGCTGGGTAGCTTTGAGGGCATCTAGACCACCCAGTGCAGAAATTTCTTTTAGAACATTAGTTGTAAAATAGGAATATGCATAAAAGTCATGTGATGTACCCATTTAATCTTTTTCTCTTTGCTCTTTAGTTTGATTCATTTCTATTATTGATCTTCAACTCAACTGATTCTTTCTTCTGTCATTTCCAATCTGCTGTTAAGCCCCATCCAGTGAATTATTTCAGCTATATTTTTCCGTTTTAGATTTCCATTTGGTACACTTTTTACGGTTTCTATTCCTCTGCTGAGATTTCCTATTTGTTCAATCATTACAAGCATATTCCTTTATGTCCTTGAGCATATAATAGCTTTTAAAAATCCTTGTCGCATAAAAAAATAAAAATAAAAAAAATCCTTGTCTGTTAATTTTAACATTAGATGGGTCATCTTGGGGTCCATCTCCACAGATTACCTTTTCTCTTGTGGAGGGATCATGTTTTCCTGTTTCTTCACGTGTTTACTAATTTGGGATTGCTCTGAACACTACAAATGATATATTTTAGAGACTCTGGACTCTGTTACACTTCTTGGAAGTGTGTTGACTTGTTTGTCTGAATATTCCATTAACTTCATCTCCCTTGCAGTGGATGCAGCTATGATCTTTGTGTAGATCTTTAGCCTTGGCTGGGCTGCTTAGAGTCTATCCCACACATCCATGGCGCAGGGGTCAGCCAGAGATTCGGAGAGAGTTTATACACAGAACTTGGGGCTCCCCCTTAGTGACTCTTTCCTTTCCAGGCTACCTGCCTTCACTTTCCAGGTGCTGTGGCCACCCTGAACTCTGTCCTCTGGTTATTCAAGCCAGTAAGATTGAGTTTTTATAAGTTTGGCTGCCTCGTTGGGTGCCAACTGGGGCTTGCCCAAGGTGGATAAGCCATAAAACTTGCAAGCCTACCCAGTGCCTTTACCATCTTCCAAGCAATCCCTTCTTCCAAGGTTACCTCTGCTTGCTATTGGTTGCTCACCAGTGCCTTTCCACAGTTGTTTTTTATATTTTGTCTAGAATTTTTAGCTGTTTTCTGCGGGAGAGTTGGTCTCATAAGAGCAACTCTGCCACTACCAGAAGGAGAATTAGGCCTTGTCGTGCTTACATAAAAATGCAGGTTCAGATGCCACGGTCAGACAAGCTGACTCAGCAGGCTTGGGGGGAGGCCCAAGAACCTACAACTTCAGAAGTGCTGTAATTGACTCCACTAACCACTCTTTCACAGCATTCCTGAATCATTCAGTCTCTGTTCAAATACTTCCCATCATATTTATTCATTATGCACATAATCACAGAAAATCTAGCCTATGCTATATTTATTTACCAGGAAAAACGACAACAAAAAACCCAAACTCAAAATTAGTGTTAGCAATACTATAAAACTCTCATGTTCAACATGGAGGAGGCTGCATAAGCTCAGACTCAATGCATTGGTTTGTAAGTTGCATCATGGAGCCATGGGAATGGCAGTCAAATTTCCTAACAGCTTGAATCAAAGCAATCAGATTAAGATAAAGTGGGCTTGTCCTTTAGCAGATAGAGGCCTCTATATGTGTAAGAGGTTTTCTTCAAAAAGCTAATAAACCTAAAGAAGGGAAATTTTTCTCTCCCCATTGCACAGAAAAAAAATAAATAAATAAAATTAAAATGAAAAAGGAAAAGACCAAGCCAGGTCATATAGATAGGATTTGAGAAAGTCCAGAAACTAGAATTCTGGTTATGTCTTACAGTACTAGACTTTAAGTTCCTCAAGGACAAACTATACCAACATTTTTAACTACTATAAGCTCAGTACTGGCACAGTGCCTGGTCAATAAATATTTGCTAAATGAGTAAAAAAAAGAAATTTTCTGGGGCCAGGTTACCGAGTGAGTGACCTGCGTCAAAAGGAATCAGGCATCAGAGAGAACAGGCTCTAATAGAACTCTTATCAGAAGAAGAAAAAATCCTACATGGTCAGTAATTAAACACAATTAAATTTAGAAAACTTCAAAGACTGGCCTGCCTCAATTTTCCCACCAAAGGGAGTGCTTAATTCTTGCCCTTATTTTTCTAGCACTGGTATTACAGGTACACTTACCGTACTGGAATTTTCTCGCAATTCAGAATCTGTGGACAGAAGGCTCAAGTCACTTAGACAAAGTGAGTGATTTGTATCCTGTGAAAGAGAAAAAATTCTAATTGAGTAACAAAAATCAGGATTTACAGTGGCATATCATGTAACAAAACATTTGATTACAAAGTCCCTAATGTTCCACATGTCTACATGTATTATCTGAAGAAGTATAAGCCAACCAAAGCAAGGGCTAAATGAATTAATTTTTTTTAAATTATACTTTATGTTCTAGGGTACATGTGCACAATGTGCAGGTTTGTTACATTATGTATACATGTACTATGCTGGCGCGCTGCACCCATTAACTCATCATTTACATTAAGTATATCTCCTAATGCTATCCCTCCCCTGCCCCACCCCGTGAATTAGTTAATTTTTAAAAATCCTGATATTCTTACAAGAATATCTTACATTTCTTAAAAATGATTAATAAAGAGTTTTAGAGGCTGAGAGTGGTGGCTCACGCCTGTAATCCCAGCAATTTGGGAGTCTGAGGCAGGTGGGTCACAAGGTCAGGAATTCGAGACCAGCCTGGCCAACATAGTGAAACCCCATCTCTACTAAAAATACAAAAAATTAGCTAGGCGCGGTGGTGTGTGCCTGTAATCCCAGCTACTCGGGAGGCTGAGGCAGGAGAATCACTTGAACCTGGGCGGCAGAGGTTGCAGGGAGCCAAGATCACGCCACTGCACTCCAGCCTGGGCGACAAGAGTGAGACTCTGTCTCAAAAAAAAAAAAATAATAATAATAATAAAGAGTTTTAACATTATCTTATGACTAAGGCTCCAAAGTAACAAACCTATAATAATGTGAAATTAATACTATCTGTATACCTGGTCTCATCATTTACAGTGATTTCACAGGACCTCATTTGCCATTCATATAAACCTTGGAAGTATTACTCTATATCCCCATTTTTTATTCTTTTTGTAACAAATTGCCACAAACTTATATTCCCATTTTAAATATCAGAAAACTGATGCTCAGACAGTAGGAATCAAGTGCCCCCAAACACACAGCTAATTAGCAGAAGACAAATCCAGTGCTTCTGACTGAAAAGTCAATGGTCCTTCCACCACTGTGTTTCCCACATGGGCACTGAAAGGCTCCTTACTCAGAGTGGTACTGGGGATTTAGAATTCAAATTCCACTGCCCAGACTAAGTGAACTCTGGAGTCCCAGAATGCCAGTCACAATTCACACTTTAGGTGGTAGCCCTGCTTACCTCAGATGCTCCTATTCATGCACACACTCAACAAACATTCATAATGCATCTACTATGTATTAGACACCGTTCCAGACCCAGGGATACATTAATGAACAAACTAAACTCCTCCCCACGTAGAGCTTACGTTCTAGCAGAGAGGACAAAAAACAAATAAATATACAATGTGCAAGAGGATAAGTGTTATGGAGAGTAAGGGCAGTAGGGAACTCTGGGATAGGAGTTGCTCTTTTATTGGGTGGTTAGGGAAGCCCTTTTAGGTAAGTGGCATTTGAGTAGAGAGTGAAGGAAAGAGGGTATCAACCATGCACATATCTAGAGAAGATGTTCCAAGCAGAGGGTACAGCAAGTATAAAGGCCTAGGGGCAGGAGTGGACACTCCTTGGTTCAAGAAACCACAAAGAGGACCATATGGCTGAAGTGAGAGGAAGAAAAGTAGGCAGGGCACAGTGGCTCACATCTGTAATCCCGGTACTTTGGGAGGCCAAGGCAGACAGATCACTTAAGCTTAGGAGTGCAAGACCGGCCCAGGCAACATGGTGAAGACCACATCTCTACTAAAAACACAAAAAAAACCTGGGTGTGGTGGTGCATGCCTGTGGTCCCAGCTAGTTGGGAGGATCCCTGAGCCAGGGAGGTGGAGGTCACAGTGAGCAGAGATTGCACCACTACACTCCAGCCTACAGGACAGAGCAAGACCCTGTTTCAAATAAAATGAAATAAAACAAAAATAAAAGCGAGGTAGATGAGATCAGAGAAGCAACCAGGCCAGAATGTGTAGGGCCCTATAGCCTACTATAAAGACTGACTTTTACTTCAAGTGATACAGGAAGCTACTGGAGGCCAGGTGGGGTGGCTCATGCCTGTAATCCCAGCACTTTGGGAGGCTGAGACAGAGGGTGGGGGCGGCGGGGGTGGGGGAAGGGAAAGACTGCTTGGACCTTATCTCTATTAAAATAATTTTTAAAAATCTATAAAATAAAAATTTAAAAAGCTACTGTGGGTTATGAGCAGAGGACAGACATTATCTGCTTTATGGTTCAGAAAGATCACTCTGGCTGATATATGTAGGACAGTCTATTGTGGAGTGGACAGAAGAGGGGGAAAAGGTCCTAAGAAGCTCACTTAACAGGTTATTGCAATAATCCAGGCAAAAAGACAACAGTAGACTGAATGAAGTAATCAGAAGAAGTGATGGGATTCTAGATAAATTATCAAGGATGAGCTGGCAGACTTTGCTGGCGGATGTGGAGTGTGAGGGAAAAAAGAGTCAAGAATGACTATAAGATTTTTGGCCTTTGCCACTAGAAAACCAGAGCCGCCATTTACCAAGACGAGGAAGACTGCAGGAAGAACAGGTTTGGACATGTTAAGTTTGACAAGAGTAGATGATATCTGGGTGAAGACGTCGAGTAGGTGGTTAAATACACAAGTCAAGACACTGATCTTGACCCTGACTTCTTCCCGCTCACTAACAGATATACAGAGAAGACATTTTAACCTTTGATTGTGATACACAAACAACTGTTGAAGTTCTATGGTACCCAGATCAAGAGACAAAAACACTACACACCTCTGATCCATTGTGTTGTGGAAGTGCATTGTATGAGTGTCCTTTGTTATCATGACCTTTCATGTGACTTTTGAGACTGTATTGAGTGCTGAATGTTTTCTCACAGCCATTACTGGGGCAGAAGAAGGGTCTTTCACCTGCAAGAATAACAAAGTAGTGTTAATTTACCATAAAGTCATTTCACTGGATTAAGAAATCTACCTTTCCCTAATAGAGGTAAGTAAGTATTTTTAAGAGAGTTTGGGTAACAGTTGTTAAAAGTTCAATAAATTACACATTAATCATCTCAGTCCTCAAACTCAATGCTGAGCAAAGCATTGGGAATGCCTACTGCTGGGAAGTTTAAAGAGTAGATTTGTTTCTCACAGGTTGTTTTTTTTTAGAGTGTCTCTGTATTGGTTTCATCTCTTAAGGTTGAATACCTGAGGTCCGCCTCTGAAAGAAACCCAAACATTCTAGGTAAGGCTGAGCTAATTATGCTCACCTGAATATATACAGGATCTATATCTCTGTATATCCACCTAGCTCTACAGGTCTCAATGGAAAATTGATAGTTACAGGCTTGATGAAACAAAAATTGGCCTAAACTCACCAGTATGTGTACGAACGTGAGTTTTAAGGTGGTGGCTTGCTGCAAATGCTTTTCCACAGCCATCGTGATCGCACCTAAATTTGTTAAGGAAAGAGAAACAGGAGTCATTAGCTAATAGATCTTTATCCTGAACGTCTTTTTTTTTTTTGAGATCGAGTCTCGCTCTGTCCCCAAGGCTGGAGTGCAGTGGCGCAATCTTGGCTCACTGCAAGCTCCACCTCCCGGGTTCATGCCATTCTCCTGCCTCAGCCTCCCGAGTAGCTGGGACTACAGGTGCCCACCACCACGCCCAGCTAATTTTTTGTATTTTTAGTAGAGACAAGGTTTCACCATGTTAGCCAGGATGGTCTCGATCTCCTGACCTTGTGATCCGCCCGCCTCGGCCTCCCAAGTGCTGGGATTACAGACGTGAACCACTGTGCCTGGCCTCTGAACATCTCTTATAAATAGAAACTAAAACAAATATTCAGAACACTAAGATCAGATCAATGACACTGGTTTTAGAGATGGGAATGATGAGAGGTTCTTGAAAAAGTAAGGTGGCATATCTGGGATCAGAGAGAACTGAGAGCCCAGGATAAGTATTTCTTGTCCTACAGGTAAGGTCCATGTTGAGAGCCCTGACAACAAAAGTCTTTTGATGAATTACTTAACAGACCTCTGTTGACAGTGACAGTCCATATGAAAAATCTGCCAGTGGAACATTAGGAATATCAAGAGTAAGCAAAGTGGCTCTCAAATATGTACATGGCTTGCAATGTAACATAAGAACAAAATCAATCAGAAGATAGGCTCAAGTAACTTATCTATAATCTTGTGTGTCGAGATCTACTTCATTCTCTTTTACTGTCTTGATAACCAAAGCTAAAAGGAATCTTTCCCTCCTCAGAACTCCTAAGGCTTTTCTTTACATTTCTTTTATGGCAACTCTCATTTCCAATCTTATTTTCTCTGTGGATACATCTGGTATCTGCTCTCCTAGAGTGTAAACTACTTGAGTACAGGATCCACGTAGCTCTTTCTGTAGTTCCTGCACATAGCAGACATTCCTTAATTACTTATATGAATGAATGCATTTTCTTATAAACCAAAATATTTTATTTCTTTAAATAGAAAGCTTCTCTAAAGCATTTTCATTTTTAATTACATGCAATCATCATCATGTCTAAAGTCTCATTGAATATTCAAGAAAAATGCAGTTTTAATCATCACAAAAATAAATGCATGTGACTGGATAGAAATCAGAGTCCTCTCAGCAGCCTACGGGAAGGGGGGCGGCGGGGAATAACCTAAGCTTCACAGCATCCATCTGTAGAGTAACCAATTACAATCTAACTACTCTTGCCCTTAAAGGGATCATGACTCAGGAATGCATCTGTAACTTAAAAACACAATTCCTTTTTTTTCTGAGACATGGTCTCTCTCTGTTGCCCAGGCTGGAGTGTAGTGGCATGACCATGGCTCACTACAGCCTTGACCTCCCAGGCTCAAGCAATCTTCCCACCTCAGCCTCCTAAATAGCTGGGACCACACGCATGCGCCACCACTCCCAACTAATTTTAAAATTTTCTGTAGAGTCAGGGTCTCACTTGCCCAAGCTGGTCTTGAACTCCTGGGCTCAAGTGATCCTCCCACCTCAGTCTCCCAAAGCACTGGGATTACAGACATAAGCCCAGCCCACAATTCCATTTGATTGGCATCTAAGAGTTGACTGTCTCTAACGACTTTTTATTTCTAAGTACCCTAACAAAACGAGTGGTTTAAGAAGGAACAGGTAGCATATCTAATGCCTTGAATATCCCCTGCCAAAATTCAAATACATTGTTTATTTTTTTTTTATTTTTATTTTTTTTGAGACAGAGTCTCACTCTGTCATCTAGGCTGGAGTGCAATGGCACAATCTTGGCTCACCACAACCTCCGCCTCTCTGGTTCCAGCAATTCTCCTGCCTCAGCCTCCAGAGTAGCTGGGACTATAGGCATGTGACACCACGCCTGGCTGATTTTTGTAGTTTTAGTAGAGATGTGGTCTCACCATGTTGGCCAGGCTGGTCTTAAACTCCTAACCTCACATGATCCACCTGCCTCAGCCTCCCAAATTGCTGGAATTACAGGCATGAGCCGCCATGCCCGGCCTCAAAGACATTGTTTATGGGCAGTTTTTGGCAATACATCTATCTATATTACATTTAGGGGAAATCCTTACAAACTGATTATCTCATTAAAAATGTCATATAATCATCCCAAAGCTGATTTTGAATACCTGTTGAATGCCTGGAATCATGCTATATACTATGAGCAGAGAAGAAAGTAGATAACCCAAGTCCCTCCTTCAAGTTTATAGTAAATGTATCTATTAGATATACATATGTTGACATATATGAATAAAAATGGATGCTCCTATATGTTTGTGTATACACACGAGATATTACAAAGCAATAATTTGAACAAGTAACAACTGCACCACTAAGCTAAGCATCCCTACCTCTCATTTCCTCTCTTGTCTCCTCATTCCCTCCCTCCTTGATTCTTAGGTAGGTATCCCTCCTCTGGGCTTAAGGCACTTTGGCCATCTTGCAGCCTCAGATATTATCCACAAATTTGTGGTTTTTTGTCACCAGACAAAGGTTCTTAAGAAGAAGGCCTGCTTCGGAGTATTTCTCTAGCACTAATAAAAGTACCCACCACATAACTGAGTTTCAACAAATGCTTCTTGGAAATAAATGGGAAAAAATGAGGCAGAAAGGCCATCATCCACAGAGTAAGGATGTTCTTGGACTCCATCAGCACCCCTCTAATCTGCAGTGGTTGGTTATAGCTGTCCTGGGGTGAGCTAACACTGCTAAATCAAGAGCTAGTAAAGGGAGTTTTCTTTCTTTTTTGAAAAATTCCAGAGTATATCAAGACCCCCAGCTGAAACCTGGTCAGTGACAAATAGAAAACAGTAAGACCTACCGAAATGGCTTTTCCCCTGTATGAGTTCGAATGTGCTTCCTCAGATCACTGAGTGTGGTGAAGTATTTGCTGCAGCCTTCAGATTCACAGTTAAACGTTTTCCCTGTGTGAAGCCTCTGATGTGCTTTCAGCCTGCAAAATATTCCAGAAAAATTCCCTTTGTCATAAAATTCTTTTTTTTTTTTTTTTTTTTTTCTGAGACAGAGTTTCGCTCTTGTCGCCCAGGCTGGAGTGCAATGGCGCAGTCTCGGCTCACTGCAACCTCCTCCTGCTAGGTTCAAGCGATTCTCCTGCCTCAGCCTCCCAAGTAGATGGGATTATGGGAGCCCACAACCACGCCTGGCTAATTTTTGTATTTTTAGTACAACGGGGTTTCACCAGGTTGGCCAGGCTGGTCTCGAACTCCTGACCTCAGGTGATCCGCCTGCCTCGGCCTCCCAAAGTGCTGGGATAACAGGCATGAGCCACTGCGCCTGGCCTCCCTTTGTCATAAAGTTCTACAGAGCCTCCCCATGCCAGCTTAATGTGCTTCAGGATCAAGTGCGTAAGAATTCTATACCCATAACATATTAGTATCCAACATATTTTGCCCCAAAAGAAACGCAGAGAATAGCACAGTGGTATGAGTGTGACTCTGGAGACAGACTTCCTGGGATTCAAATCCTGACCCCACATCCTGCTTGGATGGGGAAACTTAAGCTAGTTATAGAACCCCTCTGTGCTTCCATTTACTTATCAGCTATTGTGGGGACTAGCACTTGGAATCATGCCTAGCACACAGTGAGTATTTTTAAGTGTTAGCTACTGTTATTTCTATTACTTTATACTCAATACTGAAGACTATTAAGTCTCCTGATACAAACGTGAAAAAGAGAATTGGCTACTGAATAGGCCACTCCCCATTTCTCAGGATAGAAAAGTCCTTCAAGCTTAGGTAGGACAGAAGCCTTAGCACAAAGATCCTGAGCCAAGGGGAGATAGTACTCTATGCCAAGCACTGAAATGCCCAGGCCAGAATGCTGCTCCATGAGATGCAAATCTAAACAGAAATGTACTGTCGCTTCTAACCAGCCCAAGATACGTCCATCTTTAAGTAACAGGTTTCTCTAATGCATTTTTAAATTTTTTTCTTTCATTTTCTGAGATCTGGCAGAAATGAATTTTACGTAGTTGAACACAGCTGCGCTCTTTTAAAGCCCTGAAAGTGAAAACAACTCCTCTGCAAGGGGAAAGAGCTCTGCCATCACAACAAGGTCAAGGTCAGAGGCTGGCAGAGCATTGGAGACGAGACTGACCTGTACAGTGTGTTGAATGCCTTCTCACAGCCCTGCACGTCACACTCAAATGGCTTCTCCTTCGTGTGCACTCGCACGTGGATCCTGAGGCTGTAAGAGGTAAGGAAGGCTTTGCCACAGCCCTCCTGATTACAGACAAAGGTGTACTCTCCTCGGTGAGTCTTCTGGTGGGTTCGCAGGTTGCCTGCTGTGCTGTAGGTGCGGGGACAGCCCTCAAAGGTACATTGGTACCGCTTTACCTGGCAGAGAAAAGATACCTCATCAACAGGACAAAAATGCTGCCCAGGGCTTAACTCCCCCACCCAGAGCTCAGCTCCCAAGAGATGCTGTGGACAATACAACTGGGTTTTCATCATAAACACAGAAAACAGCCTCTAGCAGCAAAGTGGAAAAACCTTATTGTTGATCAAATCATACCTGGACAACACATAATGATTTATGGGGAAGAAATAAGTCTATATGTAGATGAATATTCTAAATGAACATAAGAATGTTTTCAGACTCTATATACATCTACCCACTAAAAGTACACTATACTGTTACAGCTACCTGTATTCAGATAAGATCTTAACTTTGTTTTAAGGCTTGACTAAACACCCTGACCTCCAGAACTACAACTTGATTGGAATTACCAATATTAAATTGAGTTTAAAACATCTGGAAATTTACATACTTAATCATCAAACATATTTCCCTAGATTGTTTCCACTGCATATTTTCAAGCCTACAAAATGACAACAACATATTGCAAATTTCTTGGAAGATTTGGTGATGTGATAATTCTCAAACTGCCAGCCTCTTGTTTCCTTTCACCATCAAACTTCTTGAAAGGGGAGTCAATTCTTCACCTCATGGCAGAAGGTTAAGAAAAAAAAAAAAGCTGCTTCTCCGACAAATATCAAATGGCAGATGACTCTAGTGCAGTGGAGGGCCTGGAATGGGAGGCCCAGCAGCTTCCTCAGAGACTTTGGCAGGGATATTGGGGCCAGGGTCATGGCTGTGGTTGGCCTGGAGCCAGGGCTGAGGCCATGGAGCTCTCAGAGGCAAGGCTGAGAACAAGGAGTGGATGCCCATCACCAAGCTGGGCTGCCTGGTCCAGGACATGAAGATCAAGTCCCTGGAGAAGGTCTAGCTCTTCTCCCTGCCCATTAAGGAGTCTGAGATCATTGACTTTTTGCTGGGGTCACCTCTCGAGGATGAGCTTTTGAAGACTACACCTCTGCAAAAGCAGACCCGCGCTGGCCAGCACACCAGGTTCAAGGCCATCGGGGACTACGGTGGCCACATCGGTCTGGATGTTCAGTGCTCCAAGGAGGTTGCCAATGTCATCCAAGGGGCCATGATCCTGGTCAAGCTCTCCACTGTTCCTGTTTGGAGAGGCCACTAGGGGAACAAGATCAGCAAGCCCCACGCCGTCCCCTGCAAGGTGACAGGCTGCTGTGGCTCTGTGCTGGTGTGCCTTATCCCTCCCCCACCCCACCCAAGGCAATGGCATCATCTTGGCCCATGCCCAGGAAACGGCTGCTGATGGATGGTATTGACAACTGCTATACCTCTGCCATGGGCTGCACTGCTACCCTGGACAACTTCACCAAAGCCACCCTTTAGGCCACCTCTAAGACCTATAGCTACCTGACCCCTGATCTCTGGAAAAAGACTGTATTCACCAAGTCTCCCCGTCAGGAATTCACTGACCACCTCATCAAGACCCACACCAGAGTCTCTGTGCAGAGGACCCAGGCTCCAACTGTGGCTATAACACAGGAATTTTACACAAGAAAAATAAAGTGAATCGAGCCTGTTTAAAAAAAGAAAAGAAAAAGAAGAAGGCAGGGTGCGGTGGCTCATGCTTGTAATCCCATCACTTTGGGAGGCCAAGGCAGGAGGATCACTTGAGGCCAGGAGTTTGAGACAACCTGGGCAACACAGCAAGACCCTGTCTCTACCAAAAACAAACAAAACCACAAAATCAGCCGAGCATGGTGACACATGCCTATAGTTCCAGCTATTTGGGAAGCTGAGGTAAGATTGCTTGAGCCCAGGAGTTCAAGGTTACAGTGAGCTATGATTGCTACTGCACTCCAGCTTGGTAGACAGAACCAGACCTGGCCTCAAAAAAGAAAAAAAAGGGGGAAAAAAAACTAGATAAACAATAATAGAAATAAAAATATTAATAAAGAAAATACCAAAATACAAAAGTTAGCCAGGCGTGGTGGCACATGCCTATAGTCCCAGCACTTAGGAGGCTGAGGTGGGAAGATCCACTTGAGTCTGGAAGGCTGAGGCTGCAGTGAGCTATGATCACACCACTAGACTCCAGCCTAGATGACAGAAAAAATAATAATAACAATAACATTTTGGGCTGGATGATTTAGAAAAGAAAGAAAAAAAAGAAAAAGAATTTTTAAAAATTTAAAAAATGGCAGTTGACACCATTTCCATCAATGCCCATGTATTTCTTAACCAGTTGGCAAGATGGCTTTACTGTAAGAAATTATTCTCTTAACTTCCCGGTAGTCAGACTCTTTCGTCCTTCCCTATTTTCCTTGACTATTCGCAAACATGTCTCATTGATGATACCCTCAATGTCTGAAAACTTGTCCTTCACAACATAGTAATGCCTTGGGGCACTCTTTAACTCCTTCTCTGAGATACTTCTTTCCCTTAACCTCTAAGTGTAGGTGTAGGGATTCCCAATTTTGTCTCTCATCTCCCAAAGATCCTCATATCTATACTGATGCGGTAGAAGAAGCACTAGACTTGGCAGCAGAAGACTGAATTCTGGCACTTTTGTTCAACATAATTTTTTTTTTTGTTTGAGACAGAGAAACCAAGAACAATGATGTCACCAGAGCTAAAGGAAAAAGGGTCTCAAGGAAACATGATCAACATGTTAAATGTCAGAGAAAACAAGGAAGATAAAGACTGGGGAAGTGACTGGATCCAGCAGCTAGGAATTCACTAATGACTTAGCAAGACTAGTTTCAGCGGACTACTGGGGTCAGGGTCCGGATGCAGGTGACTAAATGAAAGGTGAAGTGGAGGTAGAGGCTAGAGATGAAGTACGGCAGCACAAGTGAACTCCTGAGTTGATAAAGTCTTTTTGTTTTTGTTTTTAAGAGACAGGGTCTTTGTTGCCCAGGCTAGAGTGCAGTGGTGTATTCACAGCTCACTGTAACTTCAAACTCCTGGGCTCAAGTGACCCTCCCTCCTCATCTTCCATAGTAGCTGGGACTACAGGCATATGCCACCACACCCAGCTAATTTTTAAATGTTTTGCTATGTTGCCCAGGTTGGTCTGGAACTCCTGGCCCCAAGCAGTCCTCCTGCCTCGGCATCCCAAAGCAATAGGACTACAGGGTTAAGCCACCACGCCTGGCCTGGTTTTTTTTTTTAAAGTAAGTCAGTTCTTGAACATATTTGGAGGCAGAAAAGTCCTGGAAGAAGGAGAAGTTGAGGATTTAAGGAGGAAAATAAAGAAGAGCAAGATTTAAAAGCCCGGGAGGAGGGGAAAGCCTCAGGTAGGAGAGGGACATTTAGTTTCAGAGAAGAGATTTGAGATAAGGATGAGTGTGACTCAAGGATGGACAAAGTTTTCTGTAAAGGGCTAAACAAAAAATAGTTTAGGCTTTGTGGGCCTTATGGTCTGTGTCACTAGTCACCTCTGCATGTTAAAGTAGCAACAGACAATACGTAAATGAACCAGCAAGGCTCTGTTTCAAAAACGTTACTTATGGACACTAAAATTTGAATTTCATATACCATGATATACTCTTATGATTTAAAAAAATCATCTAAAAATGTAAAAACCATTCTTAGGCTCAAGGGCTGTGCAAAAACAAGTAACTGGATGGATTTGGCCTGTAGGCCACAGTATGCTAACCTCTGAAACCTGTGGTGGTAGGGTAGTAGGGAGGGCCCCTACTCCTCCTGTCTCCCCTCCCACCCCTCCCCCATCCATCCAACCCCCATCTGATCTTGCACAAGTCTTTAGGTTCCTTAGTCAAGTGCTCTCACCTGTTCATTGTGTTCTCTTTCCACTGCCACACAGAAGAAGCTCCATAAATATTTGTTAAACTGAATTCCTTATTGAATCACTAATCCAGGCATTCTTCTCACGTCTCAGGACCTAGTTTTGCAGTCATTTGTTGCCAGATTAAGTCTAAAACAGTTTTCCACACATTCCATCTCTCTGCTCAAATGATAAAGTCCCAATTCCTTAGCCTAACATTCAAAGATCTTTCCAGGGCTGCTTCTGTCTTCTATCACATTACTCAGTAAGCAGCCAAACAGAAGACTCTGTCTAGGCCTATAAGCAACAGTACACTCTTACCCATTTGCAAGACTGAATTCCTACTTCCCTGACTTCGTTCTCTCCTTCTTCTCCACTGGAAATGCCTAGTTCCTTCCTTCTCCGCTTTTCTGAGTCCTTCTCTTCCTTTAACGCGAGCCTCAGGAACTACACGCTCCTTCACCATCATTCCATGTCTACATGACAGTGCCCTTCTCTAAATGCCAGTAATACTTACTATACCACTCATTTGACACTTAGTTTATACTGTTAATTATTGTCTCATGCATATATTCTGACTTCCCATCAAGACTAAAAACCTCCTTTGTGCTGCCAGATAGAGAATTGAAAATGATCACTCACCACTAAGGAGAAATGGGATTGTGGATGCTGGGATAAAGGAGTCTGCATGTATCAATCATAAAGCTTACAACAATGCTGAATGATAAGAGCAGAATTTCACTCTTAAGATGCTACAGCTTTTGTTAACTTTATAAGTAACTGCAATAAATAATTAACTACCCCCTCCTGTCTCCCTGCCCTGCCAAACTCTACTCCCATTCATGTTTTTTCATTTGCACAATTCAAGCCTCCACTAAATGACCCTTCCTCTAGGAACTCTTCCTGACTGACCCTTACTTCTATCCCAGACTAGAATAGGCATCCTAATTATAGGTTTTCAGAGCTTCCTGTAAAGCACATGATAAAATTAAGATGCAATAATTACCTGATTAAACCATTTACATCATTATGTTTCATGGCTAGGCACAACAGTTATCTGAAAAACAACAGGCACTAAATAAATATTTGTCCAATTAAATGGGTGAATAGCTACTTCCCGGCTGGACTGTAAGCTCCATGAGAGCAAGGACTACGTTTATCCTGTTCACTGACACAACTTCCGGGACTAGCATTGTGGAGAAGTGGCGCTTGATTTATATTTTTTGAATGAATGAACAAATGAACAAAACCAGTGGGACTGAAAAGGTAGTGACAAGGACTACAAGTGACATGTGACAAAGGAATAGTTTCAAGGAGAATGGTCAAGTAGGTCAAATGTAACACAGATGATTGATAAAACACCTCTTGGATTTAGCTGACTCACAAAGTCATAATTGCCTCAGCACAACCAGCTTCACTGGAATGGTAGGAACAGAAGTGAGAAAGTGAGACAATGAATATCAACTACACTTTCCAGAAATTTGGCTGAGGAGAGAAAGAGAGGGGAGGGGGCGGATAGCAAGTTAGAAAAGGACACAGATTGGGGAAAGTATTTGTTTGATTTTTATTGATTGATTGACAGATTGACTGATTGAATAGATGGAGTTTCTCTCTGTCACCTAGGCTGAATGCAGTGGCATGATCTCAGCTCACTACAGCCTCAACCTCCTGGGCTCAAGCAGTCTATTTCAGCCTCTTGAGTAACTGGGACTATAGGTATGTACCACCACGCCTGGCTAATTTTTGTATTTTTTGTAGAGATGGGGTCTCACTATGTTAGGCCAGGCTGGTCGGGAACTCCTGGCCTCAAATAAATTTCTCACCTCAGCCTCCCAGAGTATTGGAATTACAGGTATGAGCCACCACACCCGGCCTGAAAATATTTGTATTTAAAAGTGGGGGAGACAGTTGACTGTCAAAGCAAATGCGTGCTCCCCCCATAAAATGCTGAATAAATGAGTAATCTCTTGCCTCATTTGGAGGGAGAAGAAGAAGTCACTATTCTGTGTCTTTCAGAATCATTTTAAAATAGCACAAAATTTCACAAAAAGGGAAAACTAAACCTCCTCAAACTGGATCAGAGCAGGAAATTGCAAAAACGTGTAGGTTTTCATGGTTACATACAGGAGGTATTGCAACATTTGGAACATTTCAATACAACTAAGGTTTATCATTCATACATCCTAAAAATTATGTTCCAGAAATTATACTGTCCTGGGTGCTAGGAATACATATAAAAATTGTCCCTACTCTCAAAGAGCTCAAAGTCAAAAGGAAAATCAGACAAGAACAACATGGTTTGAGAAGTTTTACTGATAACAGATATTCAGCATACTATGGGAATATACCAAAGAAACATGTAACAGACTTCAGTGACCTTAGAAAGGCTTCTTGAAGGTGGTGATCCCCAACCTGAATTTAAAGACATGAGCAGCTGGGTGATGGAGTGAGACCCCATTTAAAAAAAAAAAAAAAAAAAAGCTTTCCTCCAAAAGAGCTTCAGGCTCTAAGCATAACTTTAATCTTCCTGAGTGGCCTCAAACAGCTGTCGATTACCCTGTTAGGGAACATGGAGGGAGCACAGGTTAGGTGCACTGAGGATAACATCTCATGCTAGTAATGGGCACAAAGTAGGAGCTTTCAGAGAATTGATGCTGATTTACAAAGTGTTCTGAGCAGTTCTAGAATACAGAAATATTTAACAAAGATGACTGCCTTGTTAAGATAACAGAATCAGAGAAGAAAGGTGAATGGGATAAGCAAAAGTGAGAAAATAAAACACTGTGACCCCAGAAGGCAAAAATTTAAAAAAATTAGAAAAAGAAAAAAGTCAACACCTGTGGAAAGAAAGAAAAAAGAAAAAAGGCTGGGTTTTTCCTGGAGGAAAAGAAAGTGAAAGTGAGAAGCAGATTTTACACACATTTACAGCCCCCTATTCCACAAGAGAGTTCCTGCTTCTGGGCACCTAGCACATGAACATTCTCATAAATAAATGACTGGCCTGGCTGTTATGGCTATAGAAACTGCCTTTTCCTCCCCATCACTAGTGACTTCCCTTCCCTCTCTGTGTCCGACTCCATTCCCCACACCGGCACTGGTATCATTTCTTCTCCATAATGGACAACCAAAAAGCTCAGAAATATAAGAACCCTGAAGATCTCATTTCGACAGGCCTCCCATCCCCCACCATGAGAGCTGACTTCATCCAGCTGTTCCCCACACCTCAAACCTTTACCCTTACAGAACAAGTACTGCTGTCCCTTCATTTCTTAGCCCTTTTCACAGCCAACAGGTCTCAATACCTGATTCTTGTATCTTTGCAAAAGTGGTGTGTGATGGTAGAAAGCATAGGCTTTGGCATCCAGAAAGTCCTCAGTTCAAATCTCGGTTCTACCAGTTGCTAGTTGTGTGTTTCTAAGTGTCAGTCTGTCATCTGTAAAATGGGGGCTAATAGTATCTATGTTATAGGATTGCTAAGAAAATTAAATACAAAACTATATTAAAGCCCATAACATAGTGATCGGTACATATCAGGTATTCAACAGCCAGCCATCTTCCTCTCTCCACCACCATTGCCAGCATAATAGAAGTCCTCATTCTTTGAGAGCCCTTAGCTCTGCCTGGTGCCCCAAATGCCCACCATGGAAATAATTTTCAGTGGCCTGATACTAAGTCAAAGGAAGCCAAGTATAAGAGAGAGGAGTGGCAAGAGCTGGTATCCACAGAACGCCTGCAGGGGACTACAGACAGGTTCTCATTTTAAAACACTGTTGTATGGGCCAGTGAGGTGGCTCATGCCTGTAAGTGCTCACCTAGCACTTTGGGAGGCTGAGGTGGGAGGCTCACTTGAGCCCAGAAGTTCGAGACCAGCATGGGCAACATAGCAAGACCGCGACTCTCCAAAAAAATAAGAAATTAGCCAGGTGTGGTGGCTGAGGTGGGAGGATCGCTTGAGCTGGTGAGGTCAAGGCTGCAGTGAGCCGTAATCACTCCACTGCACTCAGCCTGGGTGACAAAGTGAGACCCTGTCTCAAAAAATTAAATGAATAAAACACAGTTATAAATGGCGGTTTATGTTCCATGGCAGTATTAATACAACAGTTCAGCTAATTAGGGGTTACCAAGATTTCTATGGGCTATCCTGGAACCTAATCACAATTTATATGTAAGCTTGTCTCAAGGAGAAAACACCTCCCAAAGAGTGCCTAACAAAGAACATTTTAACCTCTTGTTAAACTGGACATTACCTCTTTACCTCCTTCAAGAACCATGGGGGTCTATGAGGAAAAGAAAGCAAATGAACATCCAGCGAACAATCATGATGCACCAGACACTATGCTAAATGTTTTATACATATTACATATGAATAAATCTCATTTAATCTTCACAAAATGCAATGGGATATTTCTATTTCAATTTTATAAAAAAGGAAACAGAGCAGCTTGCCCAAGGCCACATAGCTAGTACATAACAGAACAAAGCTGGAACCTAGGTTGAAACTATCCCTTTGCACATCACAGAAGAAACAAGTAAGCCTGATTTAAATATGAGGAGAAAAAAATAAAATTCAGGTTCTTTTGCCAATGTCATATAACAGCAAAATGTTGGCAGTACTTAATATGTACAACCTATGTGAAATGTAAATCGAGACCTATAATTCCTATAGCACCAAGTTTGAAACCCAATTGTACACAAAACCAGTCTAGTCCCTTTTCCAGGCCAGTGGACCTGAGTGATGGAAATGCTGATTACTAAGGAGAGGTATATAATACACATGCAGACACACTGATAAAATGGCTTCATATGGGGGTAAATGGAAAATGCTTCTTGCTCTGGATTCCTACAGAGCCTCACACTTACAAGCCATCAGAGTTCAGAAGGGAACCTGCAAAGAAATGTAATCACAGTATGCAAAGACTAAAAAGTCGGTAGTTCCCCTCTAGGAGAGTCAACAACATCTTGGTTTGTCTGAGTGGATCATTCCACTGCCTGAGGAATTTATAATGAGGCATGAGATTGGAACTAGGTCTCCCAAAGTAAAGGACATACATTGCAAAAAGGCTCCAAAACACTGGAGTCAGATTTTTCCTGTTATACTTAAAATCTGTCACACTAAAAGAAATAACTCTCCTCTTGGAATGCCACTGGCCATGCAATTAGTTCATGGTGTGTCTAGAAGCAATATACCAAGCAGCCTAAAAACATTGCTGTAGGCCAGGCGCAGCAGCTCACACCTGTAATCCCAGCACTGTGGGAGGCCAAGGCGGGTGGATCACCTGAGGTCAGGAGTTCAAGACCAGCCTGACCAATATGGTGAAACCCCATCTCTACTAAAAATACAAAATTTAGCCAGGCCTAGTGGCACATGCCTGTAATCCTGGCTACTCGGGAGGCTGAGACAGGAGAATCTCTTGAACCCTGGAGGCGGAGGTTGCAGTGAGCCAAGATCGTGCCACTGTACTCCAGCCTGGGCAACAGAGCAAGCCTTCACCTCAATTAAAAAAAAAAAAAAATTGCTGTAACTGTGCTTGTTGGTAGAAAATGATACCTTTCCTAATCAATGTGCTGGAATACTTTGGTGCATCATGTAGAATAAATTTTGCATACGATTCCTAGGGTTTTTTCATGCTCCTTGGCCAACTACTCTATAGAAAACTGGCAAGGTCAGTTAGCCATGGAGGATACATCACGTCACCAATGTAGTGCAGACAGAGGTAGATGAACAGGTAACTAGACCGTCCTGGCAGGTTCTATGGAAGGGCACAGATTCAAGAATGGACTGCACAAACCAACTAAAGAAAACACAGTTGCCAGGTGTGGTAGCTCATGCCTTTAATCCCAGCAGCTCAGGAGGCTAAGGAGGGAGAATTGGTTGAGGCCAGAAGTTCCAGGTTACAGTGAGCTATGATGATGGCCTGGGCAAACATAGCAAGACCCAGTGTCTTAAAAAAATAAAATAAAATACGTAAACAAACAAACAAACAACAAGACGCAGCTGCTTCGAGACTTGGAGTAGAAAGGCCTTAAAGGGCCAGACATGGTGGCTCATGCCGGTAATCACAATACTTTGGGAGGCCAAGGTGGAAGGATTGCGTGAGCCCAGGATTTTGGAACCAGCCCATAGTGAGACCCCTCTCTACCAAAACAACCACCAAAAAGTAGCCGGCACAGTAGCACATGCCTGTGGTCCCAGCTACTGTGGAGGCTGAGGTGGCAGGACGGCTTGAGCCTGGGAGGTTAAGGCTGCAGTGAGCCATGATCGTGCCACTGTACTCCAGCCTGGCTACAGAATGGAACCCTGTCTCAACCAAAAAAAAAAAAAAAAAAAAAAAGCTTTTGTTTTTAGGCAGAATGAAAATATTTTGATTAGAAATTTTGCAAGCTGGCCAAGTGCCATGGCTCATGCCTATAATCCCAGCACTTTGGGAGGTCGAGGCAGGAGGATTGCTTGAGCCCAGGAGTTTGAGGTTACAGTGAGCTACGATCCCACCACTGTAATCACTCCAACCTGTGTGACACAGTGAGACCCTGTTTCAAGAGAGAAAGGAAAGAAGAAAGACAGAAAGGGAAAAGAAGGAAGGAAGGGAGGGAGGAAGGGAATGAGAGAGAGAAAGAGAAAAAAAAGGGAGAGAGAAAGAGAGAGAGAGAGAGAGAGAGATCTCAAAGCTACCAAATCAGTAGGGAGACAGTAATGAAATAACAAGTATGAGAATAAGATACGTGAAATTCGAGTCAGAATGACCAGCGGCCTTGTGGTAGGAAAAGACTATCTGTGGCAAGGTTCTGGTTGGTTTATTTTTTGCGCAAGACAAGCATGAAGAAAAGAAAATGAAGTAATAGGTAAGCCAACTCCACACTATATGAAACAATGAAAAAACCAGGAGTAAACAGGAAATTCAGGCTAAAATGTGACTCAGAAAATAAGCTGCTTGGGAAGCCAAGAAGACCAACTAGTTATCAAATGATTTGATTTCTCAAGAGTAACACCTGTGCATGGAGGGAAAAGAAAAAACCAAAAACCAAGCTGAAAAAAAACGAAAGGAAAAGGAGTAAGGAAGAGCTAAAGGATCATGAAGTCTGTTATCGAGTAGTCATAAACATCAGCCTCTTCAGGCCAAATAAGTGGATTTTAATGCCAAAATAAAATCACTGCCAAAACAAAAGCTAAGCTAAGACAGTGCTTCAGGAAGGCAAGCCTCCTGAATGTCTGGTCATTAAGCAAGATTTTCGAAGACTAAAGCTACTGCTACTTCTCCTTCAATCTCCACCCAACCCCAAACCTACTGATTTCAAGAATATAGCATCTTCCACAAAGGTCTCATGGATAGCATGGAAAAATGTGGGTGAGAGGAAAGTGGAGTGAGCTAAATCCCCAGCAAACTGAACAAAGTGCTCATAATATCCTTGACCCTGTGCTATTCAATATGATTATCAATGATCTGAAGACAAGAATGGCAAACCAGACTTGCAAATAGAATAAACCAATTTGAATAGTACAAAGTGGAAAAGTGACAGCTTTTCACTGATTGCATAATCATTCCCTCTGTACCATCTCCTCCTCTTCTGCCTAGATCAGCATTTCCCAAAATGTGTTCCACAAAACACTGATCCCTGGAAATTAGATCTGAAAAATGGTTTCTCAAGTTTAAAGCATTTGAAAAATTCTGTGTTTTCTTCCTTCTTAGCTGTTGGCACATCAAAGGCTCTGAGAAGTCCTAATCAACAAATTTCTGTCTTGGTTTAACTTAATGTTTCCCGAACATTCGCTCATGAAACACTTTCACACAGTAATCACTGATGGAGGATGGCCTAAAGTTTAGGTCCTAAACTATGTCCAAATTACCTATGCTAAACAAAAATGATTCAATCTCCTTGAGCTAGCTACTACTGCCTCATCACTCTTCTTCCTCTAACTACCAAACTTATTTAAAAAAAAAAAAAAAAGCCAACTTGACATTTCCTGCCTCCTGTTTCCTCATCACTCACTCACTTCTTCATCACTCAAAACCTGGCTTCAGCCCCAGTGCTCTGCTGCAAGTCTTCTCATGATATGTGAACAACTGCACAACCAGCACAACTAAAGGCTTCTTCGGGGCTCCTCAATCCCTCTGCAGGGTCACACAGGAATATTCTCATTTGTTGACACTCTCTTCCTTCAGCTTCCACAACACTGCAGTCGACCCATCTCTTTGACTACTGTGATCTTCTTGGGTTCCTCTTTCTCTTTCCAACCCTTAAATTCTCAGGCCAACTCTTACTTCTCCCTTAAGTAAACTACCCACAGTTTGAAGGCCCCTTTCTACTACTATTCTAACTCCAAACCATTTCTTTGACCTCAGATACACGTTTCCAATGAGCTTTCCATTTGTTCATGTTACTTTTCTCCAAGGACTATACATTCAATACACTCCTACCAAACTCTTTAATTACCCCATCAAAACTTTTTCCTTTTCCCATCTTTCTTGATTCCTATGAATGGGATCACCATTTGGAGGGTGCGGAGAGCAGAGTTAGCCACTTTCTCCTCAGCATGCACACAGCACTTCGAATACACCTCTGTTAAAATATCTACCACAACGGACTCTTAACTGCTTAACTCTTCACCTAGATTTGAGCTCCATCAAAAAGCTGTGCTAAGACACAGCAGAAACTCAACAAATTTGGGAAAATGGATGAATCCTTTCAATCAACATGATTCAAAACCTTTTTTTTTTTTCCAACCAGATTCTCATTTTGTTGCCCAGGCTGGAATGCAGTGGCACAATCATGGCTCACTGCACCCTCCGCCCTCTGGGTTCAAGTGATTCTCCTGCCTCAGCCTCCCAAGTGGCTGGGACTACAGGCATGCACCACCACAACCGGCTAATTTTTGTATTTTTAGTAGAGACAGGGTTTCACCATGTTGGCCAGGCTGGTCTAGAGCTCCAGACCTCAACTGATCCACCTGCCTCTGCCTCCGAAAGTGCTGGGATTACAGGCATGAGCCACTGTGCCTGGCCTATTCAAAACCTTTGAATCATGCCCAACTCATGGCTCATTCATCAAACTCCAATAACACGTACGAAGTTCTCTCGTACTTCTACAAAAGTCCTTGATTCTTCCCATGAACAAGGCCACTATCCTTTCTTCAGATTTAAATGAAACCCCAAACATAAACTACAACTGTCTCCTAACTAGGCAAGAAGTCTCCAGTTTTCCTCTGCCTCCAAGCTACCTCTGCTGCCAGACCAATCCTTCTAAAATGCTACTCTAACCACATTCTCTATCTAACCACTCTAGCCTTGGCTTAGACACCTCCAATGGTTTCCCACCATTTCTAGGAGAGTACAGTTCAAAACCCATAGAAGGTTACCACTGCCTTCCATGTTTGGATCTTTGCTATCTTTCCATCCTTATCTCCTTCTACTACTATGTTCTAGTCTAAGGGTCAGCACACTACAGCCAGTGAACCAAATCCACCCCACTGCCTGTTTTTGTAAAGTCTTATCAGAACTTGGCCATGTTCATTCTTTATGTATTGTCTATGGCTGCTTTTGTGCTACAATGGAAGAATGGAGTAGCTCCAACAGAGACCTTATAGCCTGCAAAGCCCAGAATATTTACTATTTAGCCCTAAGCAGAAAAAAGTGTGCTGACTCTGTTGTAACAGGACAACTGGCTATTCCCTGAAAATGGCCTGTTTCCCACCTGCATTCCTTGTTTCATGCTGTTCCTCTCTCTTGGAAAAACCTTCTCCTGCTTTTTTCCTAAATTGTATGTATTCTTTAAGACCAGCTCAAACGCCACCTTTTTCACAAAGACTTCCCTGATCCCAGAATTAAGGGTGAGCTTCCCTGTGCTCACAGTGCAATATTTGTACCTCTCCTTCACATTTACCACACTGTGTTTGCTGCTATGATTATTGGTGTAAACAATTTCTGCTTCTATGCTATAAATCGACTACCACAATCATTTGCAACATCCACAGAGCATAACAGCATTTTGCTTTATAAATGTTTGTTGAGTTGAAATGAACCCCCCTACAAGCTCAAATATTGGACTGAAACCAACAAGATAAAATTTCATAGGGAGATATTTTTATTTTTTATTTTTTGAGATGGAGTTTTGCTCTTGTTGCCCAGGCTGGAGTGCAGTGGCACCATCTTGGCTCATTGCAACCTCCACCTCCCGGGTTCAAGCAATTCCCCTGCCTCAGTCTCCAGAGTAGCTGGGATTACAGGCGTCTGCCACCACGCCCGGCTAATTTTTTGTATTTTTAATAGACACAGGGTTTCATTGTGTTGGCCAGGCTAGTCTCGAACTCCTGACCTCAGGTGATCCACCAGCCTTGGCCTCCCAAAGTGTTGGGATTACAGGCGTGAGCCACCATGTCCAGCCGGGAGATATTCTTAATAAGGCTTACATGCAGGTCTCCATTTTCATTTTTGTTAGATCTGACAGCTGCATACATGAGAATAATCTAGAGCAGGGTTTCTCAATCCCAGCACTATCACTATTTTGGGCCAGTTCTTTGTTGTAGGGGGCTGTCCTGTGCACTGTAAAACATTTAACAATGTCTTTAACCTCTACCCACTAGATTCCAGTATCGCCTCCACAGTATGACAATACAAAATGTTTCTAGACATTGCCAAACATCTCCTGAGGGCAAAGCTGCCCGCAGTTAAGAAGCACTACTCTAGAAATTTCCAACTATAAGCTAACAGTAAGATGTTGCTGATAAAATGTAGACTATATAGTAATTGTAGTACAGTGTCCAGATTAAGAGATAAGAGCCATACTGTATTCAGTGCTAGTTGACTCACACTTATGAGACTGCGCTCAACTGCAGATTTTAAAAGGACTCTGGGGCCGGGCGCGGTGGCTCATGCCTGTAATCCCAGCACTTTGGGAGGCCAAGGCAGGCATATCCCCTGAGGTCAGGAGTTCGAGATCAGCCTGACCAACATGGAGAAACCCTGTCTCTACTAAAAATACAAAATTAGCTGGGTGTGGTAGCGCATGCCTGTAATCCCAGCTACTTGGGAGGCTGAGGCAGGAGAATCGCTTGAACCTGGGAGGCGGAGGTTGCAGTGAGCCGGGATCACGCCACTGCACTCCAGCCTGGGCAACAACAGCAAAACTCCATCTCAAAAAAAGAAGAAAAAAAGGACCTTGGAAAACTGGAATTCATATAATCAAAGGTGACTAGGCTGATGAGAGACTGGGGAAAATGTCACAGAGGGACATTTAAGTAAATGGAGGTGGTTAGCCTGTACAAGAGGAAGAAAAATCCATGATCTTCAAATAGCTGATGGACTGTTCTGTGGGAGAAAGTTTACTCAGGAAGGCAGATCTAGAACCAGTGGGCAGCACCTGCAGAAAGGCAGGTTTTGGTTCTATACAAGTAAAAGCTTTCTAACAATCAGAGCTGGCTAACAAATGTATTGGGTTGGGGTATGAAACACTCTGCTCTTGTTGTTCTGGATGTCTTCAAGCAGAAACAAGATTAACTGATGTCAGGGATGCCATAGGGAGATTTCTGCATAGGGTAGGAGGTGGGACAAGATGGTCTCTCTAAGGCTAGCAAAGGAAAAGTGATATGCCATCAATAAGCCATATGCAATTTTAAGACCTCAACCACAGCAAAAAAGATATTCCTTGCTAAATCATTCACCCTATTTCTGTTTGGTAACATCTTAGTCCTTGGTACTGTAACTACTAGTGACTTATTTTTTTCTAATTGACCTGTAATAGTTCCTGGATGGGCCGGGCATGGTGGTTCATGCCTGTAATCCCAGCACTTTGGAAGGCCAAGGCAGGTGGATCACCTGAGGTCAAGAGTTCGAGACCAGCCTGGCTAACATGGTGAAACCTCATTTCTACTAAAAATTCAAAAAATTAGCTGGGCATGGTGGTGCGTGCCTGTAATCCCAGCTACTCAGGAGGCTGAGGCAGGAGAATTGCTAGAACCCAGGAGGCAGAGGTTGCAGTGAGCCAAGATCGCACCACTGCACTCCAGCTTAGGCAACAAGAGTGAAACTCCATCTCAAAAAAAAAAATAGTTCCTAGATAATGTATATCACTACCTTTAAACCAGAACTTTTATTCTGCTAATAATAACCACTAATATAATTTGTAAAATGCTTTACAGTTTTCAAAACATCCTGACATGCATTAGCTTACTCACATTAGCTAAACATGAAAATGAAAACTTATTTTAGATAACCTGCTCTCATTTACTGTCTCTTGCCTGAATTTCCTTTTTTTTTTTTTTTTTTTTTTTTTGAGACTGAGTCTCTCTCTCTCATCCAGCCTGGAGTGCAGTGGCACGATCTTGGCTCCCTGCCACCTCCACCTCCCAGATTCAAGTAATTCCCCTGCCTCAGCTTCCCAAATAGCTGGGATTACAGGCACCCGCCACTATGCCTGGCTAATTTTTCTATTTTTAGTACAGATGGAGTTTCACCATGTTGGCCAGGGTGCTCTTAACCTCAGGTGATCCACCTGCCTCGGCCTCCCAAAGTGCTGGGATTACAGAAAGTGTTAGGATTACAGGCATGAGCCACTGTGCCCAGCCTGAATTTCTTTCTTTTTTTTTTTTTTTTTTTAGATGGAGTCTCACTCTATCGCCCAGGCTGGAGTACAGTGGCATGATCTCGGCTCACTGCAACCTCTGCCTCCCGGGTCCAAGTGATTCTCCTGCCTCAGCCTCCTGAGTAGCTGGGATTACAGCCATGTGCCACCAAGCCTGGCTAATTTTTGTATTTTTAGCAGAGACAGGGTTTCACCATGTTGGCCAGGCTGCTCTCGAACTCCTGACCTCAAATGATCCACCCGCCTCAGCCTCCCAAAGTGCTGGGATTACAGGCGTGTGCCACTGTGAAATAAAAGTTCATTAAACATTCACTAAGATAATAAAACATATTCCAGCAGATACTCATCTCTAAAACAAATCATTTAAACACAACCAGGAGATAAGCCAAATATAGTTATTTCTTCATCAAATAAGCAAACTCCAGTTATTTCCCTGTAGATAAGCTAAATAGTTATTTTAGCACCAGAAACATGGGTCTACTTAAGTGAAATTTCTGTTTTATTTATGATTTGGGGAAGGAAATTCGAGAAATTACAATTTGATATTCCCAAATTTCAATGTGGCTATACAAACCAAAAGTTCCAGAAGCAATCACAACAAAACCTGAGGCATATGTTGTTGATAGCAAAACTACTTAAGTCCTAACCCCATGCACTCCTTTACTCCCCAGCTAAAATTTGCACCAAGAATTTTGTAAGGACTTGCCCCAAAACCAAACTAGGCCCTCACTGACTGCTTTACTTACTTCTTTACGTTTTGTTTCCGGACATTCCGACTGCAGAGTGAGGGTTGCACCTTCAATATTTCTTGGCATGGGTGTGGAACCAGGGTTTATTGTCAAATGAATCTGATCTGGTGAGATAATGTGCTGCACATAACCCTGGGACATTGCTTCATGATCTATCAGGTGAAAGCCCTCTTCACCCCCTACTAGAAAAGGCAAGTGTTCTCCGCACTGTCCGTCGTCATCTTCATCCTCCAAAGTGCCAGGGTCCTGCTCAATAAGAACAGTGGTCCTATCATAAACAGTTCCAGATGAGGAAGGCACCAGTCCGTTTTTATCCACAAACCTGAGCATTTTATCATCGGGGGTCAGCTCATCTTCCTCTGCCTCAAAGTAGATGATGTTGTTGTCTGGACTGTGTTCCCCCATGGTTCAGTTGTGCTCAGCCCAGTTGTGAGAAATGAAAACGTAATGACTTGTCTGCAACAGAACAAAGCCAGAGTTAGAGTCATACCACAAGACCGACGGACCTCCTCAGCAACCACAAGGCTCATTTTCCCTCTCACTTAAAGAGCAAGCCAAAGCAAATGAAAAACCATCCTTGGGAATAATTTTTTTATTTTAACTTTAAAACCATCAAGTCATTTTTAAAGAAAAGCAATGCCGACTGGGCGTGGTGGCTCACACCTGTAATCCCAACACTTTGGGAGGCTAAGATGGGAGGATCGCTTGAGGCCAGGAGTTTGAGATCAGCCTGGTCAACATAGTGAGACCCCCATCTCTAATAAAAAAAAAAAAAAAAGAAAAAGAAAGAAAAGCAATGCTTTTCAAAAACTGAATAAGTTCATAAGACCTTCTGAATACGCCTGTCAAACAATTTGAAACTTGGTCAAAATATTTAAAGGGGACAAAAGAGCAAACAGAACAGCAGCTGCTGAAAGGCTGAGTTGCTACAAATCTTAAGGGAAACTCCATCCATTCAAATATCCTCCAAATCAGACCACGAGGCAGTAAATGGTTTCATGCAGTTTATGGTAGAAGGAGCAAGGCTTTGGAGGCAGAGTCATCTACCTACAAATCCTGTCTTTGCCTTTTACTACATGGGTAACTTTTCTGTGCCTCATTTTTCTTACGTGCAAGGTGGGACCAGTAATTCCTGTTCTCTCAAAGTTTTTATAAGAAATAAAAGAGGCAACATATGTAAAGCACAATGTTTGGTAAATAGTAGAGGAACAAGTATGAATTCCTTCCCCCCTACCTAGAACAGATGTTTCAACCTTCTGGGTGGAAGGGCTATTCCTCAATCAGGCACAAACAACGAAGATCACTGTATCTATTTATGTCCTAAAACAATATGGTGTCAACAAGAAGTTATGGTTCTGTGGTGGGCTCTCGTCCCTGAATCAATTGAGTCTTATTATTTTTGTTTCTACAGCTCCTAGCATAGTACACTGATACTATGATAAGAGTTCAGGAAATGTCAGCTAAATGACTGAAAGACATGGCTACCTACTCTCTCGTGAAGATATACTATCTTGGGAAGATACATTCTCTTGAGAAAAATACCACATTTGAAGCTTTCATGTTCTGGAATAGTGATTCTTCCTTCATCTGCAAACACAGGCTCTACAAATGTGGGTTTGGCAGGCAGAATAGAGAATTTTAAAATAATCAGCACATCCCTTTTAGTTTTCAGTCTGGCTTTGCGCTTTATCTTTCTCTTCTGCTCTGGGTTAGAAAGTGAGCCTTTACTTAGTGGGATGGCTAGACAGTTACCAGAGACAGGCCAAAGGATTGGATCCGGGAGGTACCGGCCCGACCCCTAGCTCTGGCTTACGCAACCCCACAGATGTACATTTCGCTGCATCTGAGCAGAGAGAGAAGAGCACCGAGGGCCCCAGTGGGCTGCCCCGGCACCCTCGGCGGCAACGCGGAGACCAACTGTCCGAAACAAACAAGACCAGGAGGTTTGAGGGTAGCCAACGAGGAGTGCGAACAGAGCCCCCTTGAGAGGAGGCTGGGAAAAGGAACCTGTCTGGGATAGCCCCCAGCACAGGGCTACACAGAAAAATCCGAAGACAAGCTGGGGGTCTCCAAGCAAGGAGGAGAGGGGCAGGGTCCGGGTCTCCATGGAAACAGGGAAGGGGGGCTGGATACCCATCCCCATGGAAACGGAGAAGGGGTGGGGTCCCTATGGTGACCAAACTGAGGTCTCTATTGGGAAATGCTTCAGGAGGGAGCCTAAGTCCCGCGCCTCCCGGTAAGTCCCAAGCCCAGGCCGAGTCTAGTTTCGCCTTTTACCTCCGCGGCTCCCGGCAACGGCGGCAGCAGCAGCTTCTCCCCTCCCCAGCGGCACCATGATTGCCCCCACCTTCCCCTAACGTCACTTCCGCTTCCTCTTTCCGGAGGAAGGTGGGGACAGAGGATCCGCCCCTCCCTGGCGCCTCTGGTTGGCTCAGGTTGTCAGGGGGCTGAGCTGCAGCCTCCAATTGGCGAGCGGGGCACCGAGGGGAAGGCGCCCAGGAGGTGGGTTCATCCGCGTGGGGAAGCGCCCGGGGTGGCCACGCGGGGCCCGGAGGGTGTCGCCCTCGCGGCACCGGAGTCAAGGAGAAGGGAACGAATCCCCAAGGAAGAATCCGAAATGTCCTCAGCCAGGTTTGCGCTGACCGCCCTCGCCCTGGCAGCCACAGCCGCAGCGGGAAGGACCACAGTTGGCAGTCAGAACCCTGGCTCCAACCCGCCAGGGGAGCCTGGACGGCCGCGACGTTCCCGGGTTTCTCCTGCCGGGACCCCGGCCTTCCCTTCAGCACCCATCAAAGTTAACACAGGCAGGAGGCCCAGAAAGGAAGACAAGACCCCAAAGGCAGAACTAAGAGTATTCTAAGCCCAGCTGGAGAGGACGCCGCCGCCTCTTCCCCTTCTCACGCGCTTGCCTAGGACCCCCAGCTCCCTTCTCACGCGCTTGCCCAGGCTGGCGGTCCCAACTTTCTTCCCCTGCAAGAGGACGCGGCTACGGCGGGACTCATGCCCGGGCCAGTTAGCGCCACCTACCGGCCACTCCCTTCCTTTCACCGTTCACATTGTCCTGCTGGCCCGCGTCTTAAACCCATTTCACAGTGCCCAGAAGTAGTGGGCATTCGTACCCAGGAAGCGATTCTGCCTTCGTTATGCCCCTGTCCTTTCCAAATGCCTGGAGGATCTAGCTGTTAGATCCTCCCAGCTGCCACTGCCTGTTTTAACCATAAGCTGCTTCTCTCGAATATTCAGAGTGGGACAACTCCAAAGACCAGACCAGGGGTCAAGGGGTTCAGGTCAGTGCCATAACCATTTCTTGCTGGAAGTATGTGAATAGTGACTGGTACCCACCAGACTGCCAGGAATATGTCTCTTTGGCCCCAAGGCTTGAGCCACAAAATCCAGCTGCAGCGAACTGCCATCTCTTAAGACATAAAAACATACACAACCGCCACTGTTAAAAATACATTTATCATTAAAATATATTACACATGGAGACAGGATGCATCATATACAGTTTGGAAGACTTGCTGGCCCAGAAAATCCCACTTGTTTCACCGAACACTCATTTTTTCAGTGATTTTACATTTTATTTTTAGAGACGGGGTCTCCCTCTCTCACCCGGGCTGGCGTACAGTGATGTGGTCATAGGTCACTGCAGCCTCAAACTCCTGTGCTCAAGTGAGCCACCCACGTCAGCCTCCCAAGTAACTGGGACCACAGGCATGCATCACCACACCCAGCTAATTTTTTAAAAATGTTTTTGTAGAGAGGGGGTCTCCCTGTGTTGCCCAGCCTGGTCCCAAACTCCTGGTCTCAAGTGATGCTCCCACCTCAGTCTCCCAAAGTGCCGAGATTACAGGCGTGAGCCACTGTGCCTGGTCATTTTAATTTTTTAAATGCCTGTATTGCCCTCAGAGGCTGAGCAACCAGCCTCAGAGTTATTGAGCCATTATCTGGGCAGGAACGGGGGTCGAGTTTGCATATGCATATACACATCCTCAGACAGAGCACTGAAAGCATCTGAGGTGGCTGTAGCCTATTTTATCCAGCAGCTTCTGCCTGCATTCTTGCCATCCAACTCATTGGCCTTTCAGGACTTTCCATCAAATATCTGATCATGGGGATCTCAGCCCAGACTGACTATGCCCTGGAGGTAGGGTGAGTGAGTACAAGTACAGTTATTTAAAAACATTTTAGGCCAGGCGTGGTGGTTCATGCCTGTAATCCCAGCACTTTGGGAGGCCAAGGCAGGTGGATCACCTGAGGCCAGGCATTCGAGACCAGCCTGGCCAACATGGTGAAACCGTGTCTATACTAAAAACACACAAAAAAATTAGCCAGGCATGGTGGCGGACGCCTATAATCCCAGCTACTCGAGAGGCTGAGGCAGGAGAATTGCTTGAACCAAGGAGGCAGAGGTTGCAGTGAGCCAAGACCACGCCAACGCACTCCAGCCTGGGCAACAAGAGTGAAACTCCATCTCAAAAAAGAAAAAAAAAAAAAAAAGGCCGGGCGTGGTGGCTCACATCTGTAATCCTAGCACTTGGGGAGGCCGAGGCAGGCAGATTACCTGAGTTCAGGAGTTTTAGAACAGCCTGGGCAACACGGTGAAACCCCGTCTCTACTAAAATGCAAAAAATTAGCTGGGCGTGGCAGTGTGTGCCTGCAGTCCCAGCTACTCGGGAGGCTGAGGCAGGATAATTGCTTGCACCCAGGAGGCAGAGGTTGCAGTGAGCCGAGATCGTGCCACCGCACTCCACCCTGCGCGACAGAGCAAAACTCCGTCTCAAAATAAAAAAAAATAAAAAATAAAAAAATCTGTGTTAAATAACTAAAGTTGAAAATTGAATGTCAGTTTTATTATGGTGGATTTTCTCCCGTGTCTTCACGACTCACAGCGCTGAGTGTGCTAACCAATGGTGGGCTTAATTGGGGTACTAGGCTCAGGAAATAGCTGCCATTCTTGCTACCAAGTGGCCTCACATAATTATCTTAAGGCATCTCTTGAGCTGAAACAGGTGGGGCTGGTAATTGGCAGCCTCAAGTAAAATAGGAGGAGAGAGAGGCTCAGAGTGGGTTGCAGAGGAACTGGTGAATAAATTCTTGAGCCTTCTTCTTCTCTGTCATATCAAGCTTTTGGTGACCAGCTGGGTTTCGAAGCAATAAGCTGCCAAATATGCTAGCTGCAAGAAAAAACACAGAAAAGAAATGATTCAGCAAAAGAAGGTACTAAAGACACACATCACTTAACGACAGGGATATGTTCTGAGAAATGTGTCATTAGGTGATTTCATCATTGTGCAAACATCATAGCGTGTACTTAAACTTTCACAAACCTGTACTTACACAATTCTAGATGGTATAGTCTATTGCTCCTAAGCTCCTGTACAGCATGTTACTATACTGAATACTACAGGCAATTGTAACACAGTGCTAAGTATTTGTGCATCCAAATATATCTAAACATAGGAAAGGCACATCAAAAATACGGTATTATGAGCTGGGTGTGGTGGCTCACACCTATAATCCCAGCACTTTGGGAAGCCAAAGCGGGCAGATCACTAGAGGCCAGGAGTTCAAGACCAGCTAGGCCAACATGGTAAAACCCCATCTCTACTAAAAATAACAAAAATTAGCCTGTCCCTGCCAGTGGGCTTTCCAAGGGGAATGGTGCTGTGTCAGAGGTGGCTGAGGTTGGGGGGTTGTGGGGGAGGCAGCCCTGCTTGGTGTCCTGCCTCTCTGGTTCCTGCCTCCTCCCCCAACCACCCCGTGTCCCCAGTGGGGGCTCGTCCCCAGGATGCGATGAGGTTCCATGAGCGTGGTAGGGATGGTTGAGGCACGGGCGTTGGAGGGTGTGGCCCGGTGGCCCCTGTCCAAGGGTTGGCTGTGAGGGCCTGGGTGACCATCTGGCTCCCACTGGCTCCCAGCCCTCTCCCATCCTGCAGTGGGGAGGGTCACTGCCCTTTAAAAAAAAAAAAAAAAAAAAGGCAGGGTGCGGTGGCTCAGGCCTGTAATCCCAGCACTTTGGGAGGCCGAGGCGGGTGGAATCACGAGGTCAAGAGATTGAGACCATCCTGGCCAACATGGTAAAACCCTGTCTCTAATAAAAATACAAAAATTAGCTGGGCATGGTGGTGCGCGCCTGTAGTCCCAGCTACTCGGGAGGCTGAGGCAGGAGAATTGCTTGAACCCGGGTGGCGGAGGATGCAGTGAGCTGAGATCACGCCACTGCACTCCAGCCTGGCGACAGAGCGAGACTCCATCTCTAAAAAATTAAATTAAATTAAATTAAAAAGCTGGGCATAGTGGCAAGCGCCTATAATCCCAGCTACTCAGGAGGCCGAGGCACAAGAATCACTTGAACCCAGGAGGCAGAGGTTGCAGTGAGCTGAGATCACACCACTGCACTCCAGCCTGGGTGACAGAGTGAGACTTTCTCAAGCACACACACACACACACATGCACACACAAACACACACGCACAAAACCACGGTATTATAATCTTATGGGCCCTCCATCGTATATGTGGTCTTTCGTTGACCAAGATGTTATATGGTACATGACTATACTTTTTTTTTTTTTTTTGAGATGGAGTCTCACTCTGTCGCCCAGGCTGGAGTGCAGTGGTGCGGTCTCGGGTCACTGCAGCCTCCGCCTCCCAGTTTCAAGCGATTCTCCTAACTCAGCCTCCCGTTTAGCTGGGATTACAGGCATGCACCACCACACTCAGCTAATTTTTGTATTTTTAGTAGAGATGGGGTTTCACCATGTTGGCCAGGCTGGTCTTGAACTCCTGACCTCAGGTGATCCGTCCACCTGAGCCTCACAAAGTGCTAGGACTACAGGTGTGAGCCACCGCCCCCAGCCCATGACTATACTTACTCTTGTGTTGTTAGGAGTGGGGAGGAGTGTCCAAACGCAAAACTTTCTGCTTTAAAAAATCTTTGCCCAGAGCTTGATATTTTAGTTCTACTGCAAGGGACCTGGGACCCTCCTCAACCTCATTTCTCATTACGAGTCTCTCAGTTTGCAGAAATGCTTTCCATAGACATTTGGCTGCTTACCTAGAATATTCTCATCCAAATGATTTTTTGCTGAATTTTTCAGCAGTTCTCGCAAAAACGCCATCAAGTAGTGGAAGACATTTTTGTGGAATATGGGGAGAGTAGAAATGACCTGAAAGAGGAAGAACCGGGATTTGTCTTTTGTTCACTGAATCATTTCTCAAGTGCCTACTATAGTCCAAGAACTGTATACACGATCCAAGTGCACGAGAAAGACTGTGCACAGAAAACTGGTTGCTTACCACTTGGCATAAGTATCAAAAGAGAGGTACGGGTCAAATGCAACATGAATTTAGAAGTCAAACTTTTAACTACATGTTCCTATAAGACTGAAAGAAATAAGACATTTTAGTTGGGTCTTGAATGTAAGACAAAATGGGACTTACAGAGGTTAATAACTGGGGTGAGAGCAAAGAAAGTATAAAAAAAGGGCAGGAGAAGGGAAATAGTGAAGTAAGTAGAGAGAACACTTTATGAGAAGTCAATTTTGGCAGGAGCATAATTAGAAGGGTTGATCAGGCCCTGATCAATGAGTACTCCAGCTATCTGCATATCAGAATCAGTTTGGAAGTTTGAATAGATTCCAAAAGTGATTATGGGCTCAGTGGCTCATGCCTGTAATCCCAGCACTTTGGGAGGCCGAAGAGGGTGGATCACCTGAGGTCAGTAGTTCAAGACCAACCTGGCCAACATGGTGAAACCCCATCTCTACTAAAAATACAAAAATTAGCCAGGCATGGTGGTGCACGCCTGTAATCCCAGCTACTCAGGAGGCTGGGGCAGGAGAATCGCTTGAACCTGGGAGGCATTACAGTGAGCTGAGATCGCGCCAATGCACTCCAGCCTGGGTGACACAGCAAGACTCCATCTCAAAAAAAAAAAAAGTGTGATTCAGTAGATTTGGGGTGTGGCTTTAGAATCTCTATTATTGGCAAGTTTTCTAGATTATTCTGCCAAGGCCTGTTGTATGTGTGAACCACCAAGCTAGATCATAGAACGTCTTCAATATTTAAGAAAATCAGTAATTGGCAATAGAGAGCCAAGTATAGTTTTTGACCAACAGTCACATGACAATAGCTTTAGAATACACAATCTGATGGCAGCATGCAAAACAAATCAGCAGAAGGAGATCGTGAATGCAGGGCACTGAACCAAGCTAAGTGCAATGAGAATGGAAGAGAGAGGATGGGTGATAGATCAACGAGACTGGGCACATGGGAGGCAAGGAGAGGGTGGAGTCAGAAATGACTCAGGTTTCGGGGTTGACTCACTGGAATTAAGGGTGATGCCATTAAAAGAAACAAAGACATAAGAGAAAGAGCAGGTTTGAGAAGGAAAGATAAGGTGTTCAGTTTCTGAGATGCTGCACTTGAGGAACTGTGTCCACTCTGTTCCCTTAGCCCCATGGGGTCTGGGGCTAACCACATGCTGCTCAATGCTTCCTCTCACCTGTTTGCTTGCTGTGTAGTTGCCAGAACACTCCAAGCAGTTATGGTAGGTGCTGTAACAGATGACAGGCTCTGGAAGGCTCTCCAGGAAAAGCAGCAGGGCTTCGGCTACAGAATGATTGCTGGCAGCTTTTGGCCCCATTGTTAAGGAACCGATAATGCTGCTGTCCATGGTTAGGAAAAGGCCCAGGAGCAAGCACATGCCAGAAGTGCTGCCTGCCCTGTCAGGCTCTCTGCTCAGGGCTAGGATGCCAGCCTAACTTCTCGAAGGGACCACACTGTTTGTCAGGTGAGCCAGGCCCTCCTGAGTTCCTGCTCTATTGGTTGCTTAAAGTTGTAAATTCTTAGCCTGGGCAACATGGCGAAACCCTGCCTCTACGAAAAGTTCAAAAATTAGCCAAGTGTGGTAGTATGCACCTGTGGTCCCAGCTACTCGGGAGGCTGAGGTGGGAGGCTCCACAGGCTCCAGCCTGGGTGATAGAGATGGACCCTGTCTCAAAAAATAAATAAATAAAGTTGTAAAGTCTTCTCTATGCAAACTTTAAGTAAAACATGGTAGCTGAGGATACAATATCAGATTTTGAGCCATAAAATACTTTACTTTTTCTCACCCCTCTCACTCATATTCTCTCTCTCTCTCTCTCTCTCACACACACACACACACACACACACACACAGAGCTGAATGTCTGAAGGATACAGAGGTTATCAATCATTCCAGTATCCAAGCAGTCCCTGATATGTTCAAATTCTGACCTCAGGCCTGGTTGCTGAAACAGATCTTCCTGCAAAAGGGAAGACAGTAACAAAATAATTATTTTCTCAGAAAATCATCAATGATTTCCTGACCTGGCAATATCAATAGCAGAATGCAAAAAGGAGCAGTGTGGTGAGGCCTCTGAATCACCTGACAGATGATCTGATTTAGGCTGATGTGGCGAATTCATCTTGCAGGCCTTCCCTGGCATGTTTCTACAATAGGTCTTCAGGCATCTATTATAAAACTATGGGTAGGGCACACATCACACAAGAAGATCCAACATTGGAGAAAATGTAAAAGCAGCTATGTGTCCTGCAGTGGTATAGAGGGATTACCCAGGGGAAAAAAAATGAAGAAAATATACAGTGCATAAGAGCATAAGAGAACGCTAACAAGGCACCTCAATGCTTTGGGCAAATAAAATTATGGCAGCCATCAGGCGTGTTGGCTTATGCCTGTAATCCCAGAACTTTGGGAGGCAGAGGCGGGTGGATCACGAGGTCAGGAGATTGAGACCATCCTGGCCAACACGGTGAAACCCCGTCTTTAATAAAAATACAAAAATTAGCTGGGCTTGGTGGTACATGCCTGTAATCTCAGCTACTCAGGAGGCTGAGGCAGGAGAATTGCTAGAGCCGGGGAGGCGGAGGTTGCAGTGAGCCAAGATGGTGAACTGCACCCCAGCTTGGTGACAGAGCGAGACTCCATCTCAATAAAAACAGATTATGGCAGCAAAGCTATTTCTATTAGTCTCAGGATACTTTATGTTCATTTGTTTTACAAAATGACTTAATACCATATAACTGTATTAATAATAACAATATTATATGTATTGCTCAAAAGTTCCATTTGAAAGGAGTGCTACAGAGAAGGTAGAATAGTACAGCACTGAAGAATATGACTTCTCTAGCCAGATTCACTGTATTCAAATTCCACCTCTGCCCATTTATCAGCTTTGGGACCTTAACCAAGTTATTCACCTTTCCAGGCATCTGTTTCCTCATCTGAGAACTACTGTGAAAACTAGAGGCAATGCTGTAAAAAACACTTAGAATAGTGCTTGGTACACTGCAACTTTCAATAAATGTGAGGGGAAGAAAAGTGAAAATGGAATATCATAAGAATGTATATTTTTTTAAAAAAAGGATGTTGCTCTGAAGTGGTAAAGTGGGCTTGTAGTTTGTATAGGTCTCCCTGAAACCTATATAAACAGGTCAGTGAAACTAACCAATCTGATTAGTGAAGGCTGCCCTAGTCACTCTAGAAATCAGGCCTCCAAATTTGTGGCCCAGGGGTTGCATCTGATCCCCTGCCTCTGCTTGGTTTATCAACAAGTTGGCCCCACCCATTCCCAGAAGCTGGTGAGAGTTCCTGAAGGAGAGCGATGACATCCTGAGAGGCCTCCAGGCAGCTTTCTGGCAGGGGGACCCCAGAGGCCATGGGAAGGAACATGCTATGCTGTGCTGGGATGGGCTTCCTATGCAACGCTGCTTCCCTTGGGGGTAATCAGGTACTACACGTAATAGCAGGGCCTCTGGCAGAGCGCGGTGGCTCATGCCTGTCATCCCAGCACTTTGGGAGGCCAAGGTGGGCGGATCACCTGAGGTCAGAAGTTGCAAGACCCATCTCTACAAAAATACAAAAATTAGCCAGGCATGATGGCAGGTGCCTGTAATCCCAGCTACCTGGGAGACTGAGGCGGGAGAATCACTTGAACCCAGGAGGCGGAGGTTGCAGTGAGTCAAGATCGCACCATTGCACTCCAGCCTGGGCAACAGAATAAAACTCTGTCTCAAAAAAAAAAAAAAAAAAAAATAGCAGGGTCTCCCAGGAGTGTGAAACATGGCATACTATCTATCCTTCCTCCCCTCCCTGGGTGAAGAACAGTTCTCCACAGTTTCCTTATGAAAAAAGTTCTTGGGGCTGATGGTCCTCAAGGCAGCCTGGCCTCAATCAGGTCTGAATGCTTAAACACAACCTACCTGCTGGACAGCATTTCGGTACAGGTAATCAACCATCATCCAGAGCTCTTTGGGGATTTCCATGGGGCTATCCAACTGGCTCCCATCATCTCCAGTCCATACTGGCATCAGAGTCTGGAAAGCAATCAAGATCATGACAGAACTTCTGCCAGGCTGGCTCCAGGAAAATGCATGGCATGGGGACAGCAAACCCACAGAAAAAGGAAAACATTCCACTGCCCCTAACCACGCATTCCACAGACAGAAATGAAATCAGGTGGTATGATCAAGGAACAAAAGGTAATTTTTGAGAATCAGGAGAGGGTTATGACAAGCAGTTTCAATGAATCAGGTCAAATATGCACCATCTTTTCAGGAAAAAATCATTCCTATAGCATTTCACTATTAGAACCAGAGAGAAGTTGCGGTCTGGTGAGGAAACAGCACAGACTTGGGAGTCCAAAAATCTGAGTTCAAGGCCCAGGTCCACTGTTTTGATTTTCTTTTATTTTTTTTTATTTTTATTTTTTTGAGACGGAGTCTCACTCTGTCACCCAGGCTGGAGTGCAATGGCACGATCTCGGCTCACTACAACCTCCACCTCCCAGGTTCAAGCAATTCTCCTGTCTCAGCCTCCCTAGTAGCTGGGATTACAGGCGTGTGCCATCACGCCCGGCTAATTTTTTGTATTTTAGTAGAGATGGGGTTTCACCATGTTGCCCAGGCTGGTCTCGAACTCCTGAGCTCAAGCAATCCACCCACCTCGGCCTCCCAAAGTGCTAGGATTACAGGCGTGAGCCACCGTGCCCGGCCCGATTTTTTTTTTAATTGATTTTTTTTTTAAATTTTGAGGTGGGGTCTCGCTATGCTGCCCAGGCTGGTCTTGAACACTTGGACTCAAGTGATCTACCCATCTCAGCCTCCCAAAGGGCTGAGATTACAGGCGTGAGCCACCATACCAAGCCTCCAGGTCCACTGTTTTTATTTATTTATTTATTTATTTACTTATTTATTTATTCGAGATGGAGTCTTGCTCTGTCGCCCAGGCTCAGTGCAGTGGTGCGATCTCGGCTCACTGCAACCTCCGCCTCCTGGGTTCAAGCGATTCTCCTGCCTCAGCCTCCCGAGCAGCTGGGAATACAGGCGCCCACCACTGCACCCAGCTAATTTTTTTATTTTTAGTAGAGACGGGGGGTTTCACCATCTTGGCCAGGCTGGTCTCAAACTTCTGACCTTGTGATCCACCCGCCTCAGCCTCCCAAAGTTCTGGGATTACAGGCGTGAACCACTGCACCCAGCCTCCAGGTCCACTGTTAACTCACCATATGACCTGTGACAAATCACTCTCCTTGATTGGGCCCCTGTTTTCATCTATATGATGAAGAAGAGGGAGTTCAAGACTCCCTAAATTTAAAAATGCACTGGAAAAAAAGCATACATATTACCATAGGTCTGCTCCAAATTAGTTCCCTTGTATTAGAATTGTCTCCATAGGAATCTTTTAGATGGCAGCAAATTTAGTTTAGGATGATAACCTACCGATGATGATTTAAAAAAAAACAAAAGAATAATATCATTGACCTACCGATGATGATTTAAAAAAAAACAAAAGAATAATATCATTGACTATGGAACTTTCATTATTTTAGAATTCATGGCTGAGTTTGTCTTCTTTTTTTTTTTAGAGACTGTCTTGCGCTATCGCTCAGGTACTGCAGACTTGAACTCCCAGGCTCCCTCCCACCTTGGCTTCCCAAGTAGCTAGGACTACAAATGCACACCCCCATACCCAGCTCATTTCTTAATTTTTTTGTAGAGATGGAGTCTCATTACGTTGAGCAGGCTGGTCTCAAAGTCCTGGCCTAAAACATTTATCCTGCCTTGGCCTCCCAGAGTGCAAGGATTACAATTGTGAGTCACTGTGCCCAACCCATGGCTGAGTTTCTCTAATGTACTGCTACAAACTGAATGTGTATGTCCCCCTCAAATATGTACGTTGAAACCTAATCCCTCATGTGATGGTACTAGGAGGTAGGGCCTTTGGGAGATGGTTAGGTCATAAGGGCTCTGCCCTGATGAATGGGATTAGTGGCCCTAAACAAGACACCTCAGAGACCTCCCTCCCCTCTTCTGCCATGTAAGAACACAGTAAGAAGATGGCCCTCTATGAATCAGGAGGTAGGCCCTCACCAGACACCAAAGCTGGCAGTGCCTTGATCTTGGACTTCTCAGTCTCCAGAACTGTAAGAAATAAATTTCTGTTGTTGATAAACCACCCAGTCTATGGGATACTGTTAAAGCAGCCCAAACAAAGATACATACTATAAGTGAACTACTGAAAAACGTGGTCACAGCATTTTGCAGCTTTTCTTTCCTATCAAGAAGTGGAGTTAGGCAGGGCATGGTGGCTCATGCCTGTAATCCCAACACTTGGTGAGGCCGAGGTGGGTGGATCAGCTGAGGTCAGGAGTTCGAGACCGGCCTGGCCAACATGGCGAAACCCCGTCTCTACTAAAAATATAAAAAAATTAGCTGGGCATGGTGGCATGCACTTGTAGTCCCAGCTACTGGGGAGGCTGAGGCACAAGAATCGCTTGCAACCTGGACGGCAGAGGTTGCAGTGAGCCCAGATCGTGCCACTGCACTCCAGCCTGGGTGACAGAGTAAGACTGTCTCAAAAAAAAAAAAAAAAAAAAGGCCGGGCGCAGTGGCTCATGCTTGTAATCCCAACACTTTGGGAAGCTGGGGCGGGCAGATCACCTGAGGTCAGGAGTTTGAGACCAGCCTGGCCAACATGGCAAAACCCCGTCTCTATAGAAAATACAAAAATTAGCCGGGTATGGTGGCGGGCACCTGTAATGCCAGCTACTTGGGAGGCTGAGGCAGGAGAATCGTTTGAACCTGGGAGGCAGAGGTTGCAGTAAGCCACGATCGTGCCACTGCACTCCAGCCTGGTGGACAGAGTGAGACGCCGACTCACAAAAGAAAACAAAACAAAACAAAAAAGGCCAGGCGTGGTGGCTTACACCTGCAATCCCAACACTTTGGAAAGCTGAGGCGGGCAGATCACGTGAGGTCAGGAGTTCAAGACCAGCCCGGCCGACATGGTGAAACTCCCTCTCTATTAAAAATACAAAAATTGGCTGGGTGCAGTGGCTCACGCCTGTAATCCTAGCACTTTGGGAGGCTGAGGTGGGCGGATCACCTGAGGTCAGGAGTTCAAGACCAGCCTGGCCAACATGGTGAAATCCCGTCTCTACTAAAATACCAAAATTAGCATGATGGCGGGTGCCTGTAATCTCAGCTACTTGGGAGGCTGAGATGGGAGAATTGATTGAACCTGGGAGACGGTGGTTGCAGTGAGCCAAGATGTGCCACTGCATTCCAACCTGGGTAGCTGAGTGAGACTCTGTTTCAAAAAAAAAAAAAAAAATTAGCTGGGTGTGGTGGTGTGCATGCCTGTAGTCCCAGCTACTAGGGTGGCAGAGGCAGGAGAATCACTTGAGCCCAGGAGGTGGAGGGTGCAGTAAGCTGAGATTGAGCCACCGCACTCCAGCCTGGACAACAGAGTGAGACTCCATCTCAAAAAAAAAAAAAAAAAAAAAAGCCAGGCGCGGTGGCTCATGCCTGTAATCCCAGCACTTTGGGAGGCCGAGATGGGCGGATCACCTGAGGTTGGGAGTTCCAGACCTGTCTGACCAACGTGGAGAAACCCTGTCTCTACTAAAAACACACAAAATATTAGCCAGGCGTGGTGGCGCATGCCTGTAGTCCCAGCTACTCAGGAGGCTGAGGCAGAAGAATCGCTTGAACCCGGGAGGCAGAGGTTACGGTGAGCCAAGATCACGTCATTGCACTCCAGCCTGGGCAACAAGAGTGAAACTCCGTCTCAAAAAAAAAAAAAAAAAAGAAGTGGAGTCTTTCTCCACTTGTAGAATCTAGTCTGGCTTCACAACTTGCTCTACCAATAAAACATGGCAGAAGTGGCCTTGTATGCATTTTGGAGCCTATGCTACAAAAGGCCTTACAGTTCTTCTCTCATGTTCTTGCCACTACCTACAGAAGACTGAGCTAGCCTTCTGAATGATGAGTCCATGTGGTGAGTGAAACCCAGAGAAAAGCTAACACCAAGACATGTGAGAGAGGCCATCTGGAGCCCTCCGGCCATCACAGCTGCCATCTGATTATAACCACACAAATGGGGCTAGGTGAGACAAGCAGAAGACCCACATGGGAAACCCACAGAATCATGAGGAGCAATAACTCGGTGTTAAAAACTACTAAAATTTCAGGATGGTTTGTAGCACAGCAATATACAGCTGATACACTAAGCAAGCTCTAGGAAGCTGAAGAGTTTCTAAGTCCCTAGGAAGGTAGGCATAGGAATATCTTGTTTGACTGGCTTGTCTGCTACAAAGTTCTAGATGTTTCTTTGTGGCATATTACTCACCAGCTCACTAATGGTTTCAAGTGGTAGGTCCAAGATTGGCTCTCTCATGTAACACAGTGTATGAATGGGAGACCCAAAACAGCTGGGCAGGTAGTTCCCAGACACAGACAAAAAGTAATCCTTTCCCCTGTCCAAGTGCAGAACCAGAATGTCCTCAATTTTGTCTTCACCCGAGTTGAGCTTTGTAGCTGTCATCTTATTTACGAAGAGCTCCAAGTCAATCTCAACATCAGAATCTGCAGAGAAATTTTAAAAATAATGTTGGCCGGGGGCAGGCCAAGAGGAAAGGGGAAAGAAGGCAGGAGGGAAGAGGGTAAGGCATAAAGGGTTAGGAAAAGGAAAGAAAAGGTATCAGCCAACCAACAAGCATCCAAATGTGCTTGGCATGCAGGAGACACAAGAACAAAGAGTTTATAGTCCAACTGGGAATATGAAAACAACAAACAAAAACATTTGAATAGACAAATGCTATAAAATTCAAGCACTAAGGAGCACAGCTCAAGCTAGAAATACTAACAGAATAAGAAGGCATGGATCAAAGAGCCTTCCCTGAGCCAGGTAAGATGAAGATGACTGACTCAGTAGAAGTGTAACGCAATTATCGGCCTGTGAATTGTCCACAAAACACCCTTCATTGTTCCATCACAGAGTACCATGCAGAGTGCGAAGGAGAAGTCGGGAAAAATGTGGATGGTACATTCCAGAGCCAGATATAATTTCTGGATTACTTCCCCATTATCAAGAGCAGATAATTGGGAGTTGATTATAGCAAGATAGTAAAATGGTTCCTTTAACAGCAGCACCTGCTATACAGCAATTTTATGTTTTCTCTTTCTGTGAAATTATGGAACACATAAATGACTGAGAATGCTTTTGAAACTGAACTCATGCTCCTCACTATTTTCTATTTTATTCATGAATGGGTTCATCTATAGGGCTTTTTAAAAAGCCTCAAGCAGAGAATAAAACACTCAAGCAAAAAGCTCATTTTAGGAAAATGAGCAAATATAGAGTAAGGCATTCCCCAAACCAGATACCAGGAAGCTAGGAACAGAGGCCTTACCTGGCAGGAGGAAGCCTCTGCTGGGGTTGGCATTCAGCCACTGCTTACAGTAAGACTCTTCATCAGGCTTGTTGATGAATTCAAAATGACAGGGTACTTGTCCATTATGAATTGTAAAGGATTCTACTTTCAATTGCATGTACTTCACATTCTGAAAACAGAACTGGGAAGAAGCCCGGGGCCAGTGAAAACCAGTGCCCTTTCCTCAGCAACCTGCCCAGCCACCCCAACTGGGCAGTCCTTACCATGGAAAGAAAATGAACCATCTCTTTTAAATGTTTCTGCTTTAAGTATCTACCTGGGAGGCCACAGTTCCCACTAAAGACTAGTTATCTGTGTTTAACCCAAAATCCAAAAATTCCGTTTGTTTTTGTATGTCTACTTCCTGAAGAAGTCAAAGTTTATATCTTCTATACCCAAAAACCATTTACAAAATACCCTTCACAAATTCCACTTCTAAACATGAAGATCAAGCCCATCCTTCCAAGTAGCTGGACATCTAGGGCATTAAAAATGCCATCTGCGGCTGCCACAGTGGCTCAGGCCCATAATCCTAGCAGTTTGGGAGGCCGAGACGGGCAGATCACTTGAGCTCAGGAGTTCAAGACCAGCCTGGCCAACATGGCAAAACCCCATCTCTACTAAAAATACAAAAATTAGCCAGGCATGGTGGCACAGCCTGTAATCCCAGCTACTGGGAGGCGGAGACAGGAGAATTGCTTGAACCTAGGAGGCGGAGGTTGCAGTGAGCCGAGATCGTGCCATTGCACTCCAGCCTGGGTGACAGAGTAAGACTCTGTTTAAAACAAACAAACCAAACAAAAAACGCCTTCACCTTAAACCCCAATTTGACTTTGTAGAATGTCAAGTGTGAGTGATCTTCCATGTGGCTCTTCCATGAAAAACCTTCAGACCATATTCAACTTCCTATATTACCTATTCCTTTTCTATACTGTCTTCCCTCCCATTAACTCATGGGTATCCAAACTCAATTTAATCTCAAAGCAAAGCATCAGTAAGAAGAAAAATCCATTGCAAGAATACACAATAGTTATTCTAAAATCAAAACACATTTTGAACCATATTCTGGTTTAGAAGAATAGGACATGATGACCTAAGCCAACAACCTCTCTCTTCTCAGCTAACACCATCAGCCTCACTTTATCGAAAAGCAGTCTATCAAGAAAGACCACAGTCCATAGTGCTATAGGTGCCTCCTAGAACTCTGAGCTCCAATAGATGAGGAGATTTAAGCTCTAGGAATAGAAGAGCCCAACACTAATCTTTTTTTTTTGAGATGGAGTCTCACTTGGTCGCCCAGGCTAGAGTGCAGTGGCGCGATCTCGGCTCACTGCAAGCTCCACCTCCCAGGTTCACGTCATTCTCCTGTCTCAGCCTCCCGAGTAGTTGGGACTACAGGTGCCGACCACCACGCCCGGCTAATTTTTTGTATTTTTAGTAGAGACAGGGTTTCACCGTGTTAGCCAGGATGGTCTTGATCTCCTGACCTCATGACCTGCCCACCTTGGCCTCCCAAAGTGCTGGGATTACAGGCGTGAGCCACTGCACCCGGCCTGAGCCCAATGCTAATATTCTTAACATGTCCTTCCTACCTCTCGCTTGGACAGGGACACAGAAGGAATGTTGGCATTTTCCATCTTATCCAGGGAGCGAACAATTTCCTCCAGTGTCTTCCGGTAAAGCTCGTCATTTACGACCCTCACCTGAAAGGGAAACATCAGAGACTGAGTACCTTGGCTTCTGCCCATTTCCTCTTTCTCAGTATAGACGGCATTCACAGCACTGGGAAATAGCAGTTGATAGCAACACAGAAAACAAAGGCTATAGATTTAGTTAATTAATGAACTCCATTAACAATTGACTTAGAAGGATCTGCCAGAGGCAAAGCTTGTGGTACAGGCATCTGCTTCCTGATTACCAGAAAAAAATACATGGAAGTGAAAGCATGGTTAGCAGTTAGTTCTGCCAGGTCTTAGGACCAGGGCAGAAAAATGCTTGCCCAGTACCTAGCTCTATTTTGCTTGCTGCCACCAACAGGCCAGCAGTGAGAACTTTTTCTAAGGCTTTGATTTAAAGCAGTGTTTCTCAAGTTTGTTTTTTTTTTTTTTTTGCAACAAGGTCTTGCTGTCACCCAGGCTGGAGTACAATAGAGTGATCTTGGCTCACTGCAACCTCCGCCTTCTGGGTTCAAGTGATGCTCCTACCTCAGCCCCCCAAGTAGCTGAGACCACAGACACAAGCCATCATGCCCAGCTAATTTTTTTACTTTTTGTAGAGATGAGGGGTTTTGCCATGTTGCCCAGGCTGGTCTTGAACTCCTGAGCTCAAGCAATCCACCCACCTCAGCCTCCCAAAGTGCTGGGATTACAGGTGTGAGGCATTGTAATGATAATAAAGAGCCACCACAGATAGATAATAAATAAATGAGAAGGCTCATGCCTGTAATCCCAGCACTTGGGGTAGCCAAGGCAGAAGGATCACCTGAGCCCAGGAGTCACTTGAGACCAGTCTGGGCAAGACAGCAAGATGCTGTCTCTTTAAAAAAAAAAAAAAAAAAAAAAAAAAAAAGGGCCCGGTGGCTCACGCCAGTAATCCCAGCACTTTGGGATGCCGAGGTGGGCATATCACGAGGTCAGGAGATCAAGACCATCCTGGCTAACACGGTGAAACCCCGTCTCTACTAAAAATACAAAAAAAAAAAAAAAAAAAACCATTAGCCGGGTGTGGTGGCGGGCGCCTGCCTGTAGTCCCAGCTACTCGGGAGGCTGAGGCAGGAGAATGGCGTGAACCTGGGAGGCGGAGCTTGCAGTGAGCCGAGATGGCGCCACTGCACTCCAGCCTGGGTGACAGAGCAAGACTCCATCTCAAAAAAAAAATTAGTCAGGTAAGGTGACACACACATACAGGCATGCCTGTAATCCTACCTACTGAGGAGGCTGATGTATGTGGGAGGATTGCTTAAGCCCAGCAGATTGAGGCCGCAGTTCGCTGTGACTGTGCCACTGCATCACTGCACTCCAGCCTGGGTGACAGAACAAAACAGTGTCTTTTGAAAAAAAACAAAAAGAAAAGGCTGGGAGCGGTGGCTCATGCCTGTAATCACAGCACTTTGGGAGGCCGAGTCAGGTGGATCACGAGGGCAGGAGATCGAACCCCATCTCTACTAAAAATACAAAAAAATAGCCAGACGTGGTGTAATGTGCCTGTAATCCCAGCTACTTGGGAGGCTGAGGCAGGAGAATCGCTTGAACCCGGGAGGCGGAGGTTGCAGCAAGCTGAAATCACGCCACTGCACTCCAGCCTGGGTGACAGAGCGAGACTCCATCTCAACAGAAAAAAAAAAAAAGGAAAGGAAGAAAAAGATGCTGATCTCATAGGTAATCAGGGAAATGTAATCTAACATGATAAAATATCTGCTTATTGGGTTGGCAAAAATTTTGAAGACTGATAAAACCCAATATTGACAAGGGTATGGGAAAATAAACTTATACATGGTTGGTAGAAGTATAAAGTGGTAAAACTGTTGTGAGGGTAATTTAGCAAGATCTAATAAATTTAAAATACATTTTTTATTTGAACCGCTAATTTCATCTCTAATAATTTCATTCTATAGAAATACACTGATACACAAACATACATGTGAAGGGTGGTCACAACAGCACTGTGTATAATAGCAAAACTTTGGAAATAACTTTATGATCATCAATACATACATTATGGCTCATCCATACTATGGAATACTTTGCAACCTTTAAAAATAATGAGAAGAAAGCTCTACCTTCACTGTCCTGGAAAGATCTCCTAAGACATATTCAGTCAGGGAAAAAAAGATGTCCTCAGAGCAAAATGTATAATATGATCTCTTTTACAAAAAAGGAAAAATATCCTCAATGTTGTATACACAATACTGACACACCCATTTATAAACGCATAGAGAAAGGTCTGCAAAGAGACAGTTCAAAAATGCAAAAGGGAACTTCCATGTATGAGGAAAAATGCAGAGGCATACTAAAACAATTATTAACCAAGTTGTTAATAATTGTTTTAAATTGTCCTAAAAGGGGCTTCTTCCCTCTCAAAAGGAGAGGAAGAAACCAGAAAGACAAGAAATGGTCTTAGTTGTGAAAGCCAATTCCCTCCAGAATGATTACAACAGGTACCAGCTGCCACCTACCCCGATGTCAAACACTGAGCTGACAGGCTTGTGGTCACTGGTCTTCAGGGCCATGTGGCTCTGGTAACTCAGCTGAGTGATGTTCTTCCCTTTCCAGAGAATCCGATCACACCAGGCAGGAGCACGGCACTTCTCACTGAAATGCAAAGTCCACACTGGAAGTACTCACAGAAACAGCAGTGCCCGCTGCCTGGCGAGTGCCCTGGCTCAGGTGGGGAGTGATGAATCAGGGCCTTCATGTCCATGTGGCTAAGTCATCTGAGGCAGCAAGAGCAATTCGGGCCCACCAAGGGATAACATGTATCCTGTGGGTATCATCCAAAACAACCATGAAAGCTCAAAGCCAAAACAGAGTTCAGACTGATTCTCTGATCTTTATCCTCCTATGAGAATCAGGAGAGAATTAAAAAACCAATCTGACAGTAAGCATGCTATGGTCTTTATTTTTTATTTTTATTTATTTATTTATTTATTTTTATAGAGATGGAGTCTTGCTCTGTCGCCCAGGCTGGAGTGCAGTGGTGTGATCTCAGCTCACTGCAACCTCCACCTCCCAGGTTCAAGCAATTCTCCTACCTCAGCCTCCCGAATAGCTGGGACTATAGGTGTGCACCGCCATGGCTGGCTAATTTTTTGTATTTTAGTAGAGGTGGGGTTTCACCATGTTGCCCAGGCTGGTCTTGAACTCCTGAGCTCAGGCAATCTGCCCGCCTCGGCCTCCCAAAGTGCTGGGATTACAGGCGTGAGCCACCGCACCCAGCCTATGGTCTTTAAAAGATCTTGGTTAAGGCCAGGCACGGTGGCTCACGCCTGTAATCCCAGCACTTTGGGAGGCCAAGGCAGGGGGATCATGAGGTCAGGAGGTCATGAGGTCAAGAGATTGAGACCATCCTGGCCAACATGGTGAAACCCCGTCTCTACTAAAAATACAAAAATTAGCTGGGCATGGTGGTGTGTGCCTGTAGTCCCAGCTACTCGGGAGGCTGAGGCAGGAGAATTGCTTGAACCCGGGAGGCAGAGGTTGCAGTGAGCCGAGATTGTGCCACTGCACTACAGCCTGGCGACAGAGTGAGACTCCGTCTCAAAAAAAAAAAAAGATGCTAGTTAAGAGAACAGCCTCTGAATTCCCACTGCCTGGGTTCAAATCCTACCTGTACCCCTTGTCTGCTTGGGGGCCTCTTTAATTTTTCTATGCTTCAGTTTCCAATCTCATAAAATGAGGTTAATAAATCATACCTACTTCAACAGGTTCTTGAGGATTAAATGAGAAAATAACAAGGGCATCAAATAGTACATGGCACATGGTAAGCACTAATAAAAATATTAACTACTGACTTTGGGAGGCTGAGGCAGGCGGATCACTTGAGGTCAGGAGTTCAAGACCAGCTTGGCCAACATGGTGAAACCCTGTCTCTACAAAATTAGCTGGGCCTGGTGGCACATGCCTGTAATCCTAGCTACTTGGGAGGATGAGGCAGGAGAATCGCTTGAACTCGGGAGGCAGGGGTTGCAGTGGGCCAAGATCCAGCCATTGTACCCTAGCCTGGATGACAGAGCAAGACTCTGTCTCAAAACAAACAAACAAACAAAAATATTAACTACTGTGTAATGTCCAAGTACCAGCTAAGTTAGTTGGAATCATCTCATCCTAGGCACAGCTAAAAAGTAAACCAGTATTAAAATTATGGAACAAAGGCTAAGGCAGTCACAAAGTTAATACATGGGAAAGAAGCCTGCTTCATGAGCAGATACTGAGAGAAAATGTTTGATCAGAGTGCAAAACATAGGGAAAAAGTCACAGGAAGCATATATTCTTCCTTAGGTCCAAAAGGGCAAGTACTTCCCAGAATTTCTGGGTTTCCGTTTGCTCAACCCTTTGAAGCAACCTCTGACCTACCTGGTATCCCAGTCGTCAGAGCCCGTATCATACTTGTAAGTAGGCTGGAATGTGAGCTCACCCTCTGTGAAGCCTTCAAAGACAGTCTTTGCGGCCACCTGAATTTTCAGCTATACAAAAGGATGGGAGAAAAAAAAATATCAGAATAAAAAGGTCAAACTTTGAATTAGTGGAGAAAAGCATATCAATCTGGAATTCAAACTCTAACCCAAAGGAAAAAGCCCCAAAAGAAAGTTATTCTGTAAGATCTTAAGTTAGCTAACTCCTAGGAAGTGGACAAGCTGACCACTCTTTTGCCTGTATATGGTTTTTATTTTTTATTTTTTAAGTTTTTAATGTTTTATTTATTTATTTATTTATTTATTTATTTTGAGACGGAGTCTCGCTCTGTCACCCAGGCTGGAGTGCAATGGCGCAATCTCGGCTCACCGCAACCTCCACCTCCCAGGTTAAAGTGATTCTCCTGCCTCAGTCTCCTGAGTAGCTGGGATTACAGGCGCATGCCACCACGCCTGGCTAACTTTTGTATTTTTAGTAGAGACAGAGTTTCACCATGTTGGCAAGGCTGGTCTCGAACTCCTGACGTGATCCACCCACCTCGGCCTCCCAAAGTGCTGGGATTACAGGCGTCAGCCACAGCGCCTAGCCTAATGTTTTTTATTTTTCAGTCTCACTCTGTCACCCAGGCTGGAGTGCCATTGTGCGACCATAGCTCACTACAGCCTCCATCTCCTGGGCTCAGGCAATCCTCCTGCCTCAGCCTCCCAAGTAGCTGGGACTGCAGCTGTGCAACACCACACAGCTATATTTAAAAATCTTTTAGAGGCAGGGTCTCACTATATTGCCTAGGCTGGTCTCAAACTCTTGGCCTCAAGTGATCCTGCCGCCTTGGTCTCCCAAAGTGTTGGGATTGCATGTGCAAGCCATTGTGTCTGGCTAAGGCTCTTTCATAAGAGCATAGCTACACCCAAAGGGCCTGAGTATCATCTTACTGAGATATCTTTAAGAGGATTAGGTACCACTTAACAAACTAATAGTTTTTCTCTTCCAGGTATCAAACACTTCATCTGTGTAGCACAGTTGCTCCAAATATACATAAAGATAGAACTGCGTTGTCAAATTAGTTATGCGAACTGGGGGAAGCTCTGTGCCTTGGTTTCTCCATCTGTAAATTTTGGATTTATAATAGAATCTACCTCATAGGGTCTTTAGAAAGATTCACTGTCAACTTAAACAGTGCCTGACACATTAGGAAAACAGCTAGCATCCTTCCTATTAATTTTAGGAGCGCCTTCCAGATCACACTCTCAGCAAGATCAAAACCACAGGTGCTCTTCCCTCTTCCCTGGAGCACCACACTTGGCACTACACGGACTGGTGAAGAACTATCAGCTCTAACATTGCACATGGTCAGCTATTTAGTAGATACTACTTGCCAAATTCCTGAAAAAACTATTTAAAAAGCAACAGAAAATAGTAAAAATGTAGGTATGAATGTAAGCTGACCCTTACATATAGAGCTTAAAACCATGTGGTAGGCAGATAACACACAAAATGGGTACAACTACTTCAGGAAAGACCAGAAAAGAAGGCAAGTAGAGATGGGTATCAAACTACAAGAGAAATTAGAATGCCTCAGACCAGAACACAGAGGAGATAAACAGAGAAAGACATAACTAAGTTGAGAATCTTTTTCTTTAATTAATCTGCACTGGGGAAAAAAAGATAATAGAGGCTGGGCGCGGTGGCTCATGCCTGTAATCCCAGTGCTTTGGGAGGCTGAGGTGGATGGATCACGAGGTCAGGAGTTCGAGACCAGCCTGGCCAGCACGGTGAAACCCCGTCTTTACTAAAAATATAAAAAATTAGCCGGGCATACTGGCACGTGCCTGTAGTCCCAACTACTTGGGAGGTTGAGGCAGGAGAATTGCTTGAACCCAGCAGGCAGAGGTTGCAGCGAGCTGAGGTCACAACACTGCACTCCAGCCTGGGTGCCAGAGCAAGACTCTGTCTCAAAAAAAAAAAAAAGATAATAGAAAGATTTAGACTAATGACAATACTAAGGTTACTAAAAGGGAGGATATAGAACAACAACAACAAAAAAGGACTTTAACATTCTGAACAACCTGACCACCTGAACAGGTCTGAAATCTACTGAAAGAAGTAGCCAGAAGAAAGTCACAGGGAAACAGATTCTCTTGTACTGTGAAACAGCGAGTGCTCTGAGAAGGAAACGCTACGTCAAGCAATGATGGAGAACAGCAGGTTACAGAAGTGATTCCTACAGAAAGTGAGGAAAGCCACTTGGGAAGAGCTGTCACTCACACTAGAGAAGTGTGGTGACGAGAAGCACAGAGGAGAAGGAGGCTCATTCTAAAAACAATTATTACATCATCTTAAATATACCAAGTCCTTTCTTTATAGAAGCTTGGTACTCTTTTAGCCCTAACTTCAGACCTCTTGAATAAATGAATGACAAGGTGAGAGAGAGAACATGCTCTTGCTCCCACAGGAGACAAGGTGCTTCAGGAGAGAGCCAATGGGGAGACAACTATGGAAGAGGGAAATGCAGATGAAATGAAGAAATGACTGGACAACATCAGGAACTCAGGGAAACCTCCCAAGCCAAGGAGGAAGAGGCTGCGAGTTTGGAAGCCAGGCTTTTCTGTGCCCTCATGGTGGAGGACAGCTGCTGGAAGAGGGCACAGGTGGCCATCTGTACCTGATCATATGCATACAGCATTTGAAAGTCCTTCTCTTCGATGAGCTTTTTCACTTTTTCCACATCCAGCTCTTCTATCCTGTAGTTGAGGTCCCCCAGCCACAAGATCACACTGTGAGGACAGAGCACAAAGGTAACAGGGTTTAGGAGGAACTTTAACCTGATCTACCCAGGGTGCTTCTGACAAAGGCCCCTGAGGCTCAGCCTCTTGGGAGGTGGGTGGGAAAATGGCTCAACTGTTCGGAAAATTTTTTTCTCTCGCCATCCCATTTAATAATCTAATGTGATGCTTGCTCAATTATCTTGGTCCAAGTTCATTATAAACAGCCTTGTGTTCTCCTTAGCTATTTTATTCTTGTAGGTTGGAAAGACAGTCTAATAAGATCTAAAAGATAGTAATTTACCCCATTCCTGGGAAGAGGGAAAAAAAATCAAGAATTGAGAGTCACGCCAATCACCCAGAGATCCCAAATCAGATGATGCCACGATACCACCTCTGCCTCTGTGTATACTGCAACCCACAAAACACACTCTCAGCCTTTGTTTCTAGAGCAGAGTTCCTCTGAAACAAAGTTCAAACTTTATAGTGGAGCCTGGATTTAACCAGCAGTATATCATTGGTTGGCTCTTTCTGTACTGCAGAGTGGAGTGTAGAAGGTGTTTGATTCCTTCTGCTGCTTTGGGAAAAAGCTAACTGAAGGCTCCCTGATGACACTGTACATCTCATTAAGTCTAATACTGCTGTATCTGAAGCCAACAACCATGTCATTAGAGAATCTGCACAGCAGTACACGCACACCAAAATTAATGCATCCACAAACTAAAAGCAGACAAACTGACACATAAGCTGCGACCTCACAAACTAGGATGCTGCAGGTTCACCAGAATGGAAGAGCTCGGCTGCAAGACACTCCCTGCTAGGCTCCCTGGAGAAGAAAAACCATCCTGTCAGCTTCCAGAACACCAAAATGCTCCAGATAGTTCCACCTCGGCAGGCAGGACAAGAGGCGTTAACTCTGTTTACTCCTTGGCAGATATCACGGCCCCAGTGGCTTCTTCCTCTTTATAAAAGAAGTGGCGTATGTTATCATAAAGTCTAAAATTCTAAGGCTTTGACTTTAGACAAAGAGGAAGTTGTAGAGATAAATGAGATAAAGTAAAGAGAAGAAACAAAAATGAGCACAAGATGCTCTCAGAAGCTGCAACTATATCTTTGTAAAGTTGAATTAAGAGGAAAAAAAGACCAAGTGGAGGCAAACAAATGTAGTCCAACTCTCAATTATACATGCTCTGGAAAGAACAGACAAATAAAATCCTAAAACATACTTCTAAAAACTGGGTTTGAGATGCTCATTCTTTGGTTGTTTTCTTCATAATGTTGGAGGTAGGCAGACCCAAATTAAAATAAATCTTTAAAAAAAAGAAATCTTAAGCAGAACTCAGACTACAATATAGCCGTCAACTGCTGTTTTGTCATATTCTCTGCTCAAAATAAACTTTTCCTTCTCCTTTCTCCTCTCCTTTCCTTTCTTTTTTCTTTTCTCCTCTCTTTGTCTTTCCCCTCCCCTTCCCTTTCTCTTATCTTCCTGCCTCAGATTCCTGAGTAGCTGGGATTACAGGCATGCAGAATCACACCCAGCTAATTTTTAAATTTTTTTCAGAGACAGGTTCTTACTATGTTGCCCAGGCTAGTCTTGAACTCCCGGGCTCAATCGATCCCCCCACCTCAGCCTCCTAAAATGCTGGGATAACAGGCATGAACTACTGCACCCAGCCTCACTTTCTTCTTATTTCTGGCTGCTATACTATAGCAGCCAGGGATTCTCACACATGTTGATAAAATTAAATACTGAAAAAACAAATGGCCGGGCGTGGTGGCTCATGCCTGTAATCCCAGCACTTTGGGAGGCCGAGGTGGGCGGATCACGAGGTCAGGAGTTTGAGACCAGCCTGGCCAACATGGTGAAACCCCACTCTCTACTCAAAATACAAAAATTATCCAGGCCTGGTGGCACGCACCTGTAGTCTCAGCTACTCGGGAGGCTGAGGCAGGAGAATCATTTGAACTGGGAGGTGGGGGTTGTGATGAGGCGAGATTGCGCCACTGCACTCCAGCCTGGGAGACAGAGCAAGACTCCGTCTCAAAAATAAATATATAAATAAATAAAACTTATACCTTCCCAAGGACACATGATGCTTGAGAAAGACTCTAGAGTGTGCTTGCTTTGGCAGCACATATACTAAAATTGAAATGATACAGAGAAGATTAGCATAGTCCCTGAGCAAGGATGACATGCAAATAAAAATTTAAAAATAAAATAAGAAGGCCGGGCACGGTGGCTCACGCCTGTAATCCCAGCACTCTGGGAGGCCGAGGTGGGCGGATCATGAGGTCAGGAGATTGAGACCATCCTGGCTAACACAGTGAAACCCCGTCTCCACTAAAAAATACAAAAAATTAGCCAGGCATGGTGGCAGGCGCCTGTAGTCCCAGCTACTCAGGAGGCTGAGGCAGGAGAACGGTATGAACCTGGGAGGCGGAGCCTGTAGTGAGCCTAGATCACGCCACTGTACTCCAGCCTAGGCGACAGAGCGCGACTCCATCTCGAAAAAAAAAAAAGTAAGAAAAGAGAAAGACTCAAGAGATCTGCCAGATAGCAAGTTAGGAAACTAAATATTTTCAAGAGATATAATCCATGTATAACCAAGAGGTGGGAGCTACCACCATTGCAGCAATAGGAAACCACCACCAGGCATCTCCCCATGAAAAGACAGAGCCCACAACTCTATGTACTCATGGTGAACCGCATGGGGTGGAAGCCCAGACTCACTCATGGTTGCTGATGGTGAGAGGGGGAAGGCTTGGGTCAGGCTGACAAAACTGCATTCGAGAACAAATGTCCTTATAGTCCTGGTTCCTCCTCTCATACTCTTCAATGTGGGCTGCCAAGTGAGAATTCACAACGCAGATGCTGGTGTTGTGGAACTGGAACCTGATCGCCACGCCTCCCTTGTTGCCCTATGGAAAGGATCCCCAAAGAAATCCAATTCAAACTTAATTGTGTCAGTCACTTAAACCTACAAACTTTCTGGCCGGGCACGGTGGCTCACGCCTGTAATCCCAGCACTTTGGGAGTCCGAGGCGGGTGGATCATGAGGTCAGGAGTTCAAGACCAGCCTGGCCAAGATGGTGAAACCCCGTCTCTACTAAAAATACAAAAATTAGCTGGGTGTGGTGGCAGGCGCCTGTCATCCCAGCTACTCGGGAGGCTGAGGCAGAGCACTGGTTGAACGCGGGAGGGAGAGGTTGCAGTGAGCTGAGATCACGCCACTGCACTCCAGCCTGGGAGACAGAGTGAGACTCCATCTCAAAAACAAACAAACAAAAAAAAAACCCTACAGACTTTCAAAATGTTTTGTCTTAATCTTTATAATAATCCTGTGGTATTATCTATATTGTACAGATTAAAAAAAAAAAGAAGGCAGAATGACTAGCCAGTCAATGGCAAAGCTGAATCCACAACCTAACTCTCTCGAACTCCTGGCCTCAAGTGATCCACCCACCTCAGCCTCCCAAAGTGCTGGGATTACAGGTGTGAGCCACCACACCCAGCCCCAAAACCTAGCTCCCTTAATCCAGTGTTCTTTTCACTAAATCACAGGCAAACCATAGGTACCCTTTGAAAACACAAAGCTAAGCTCTCACAGAAGAACCTAAAAACAGAACTTTAATGGCCTCAATAAGAAGAGGAAATTGCAAACCTACTGTCAGCATTCTTTGTTTTTCTGAATGACCCAGCATAGTTTCTGCAACATACTTCATGGGTGAAATGGGAGGATCAACTGGAGGCTCTAGTGTTGGGGAATATGAGGACAGGCGCTAATTGGTTAAATCAGCAGGTAGTTCACTAAAACAGTTTCTAAATAGTTTGCTCGACTGAGCCCTGCTTGAGGGTATGATTCATCTTGGAATATTGGCACCTTCAAACTGGGACACGTGTAGTCACTGTGTCATCAGAAGTGGTCAATACCTCAGGAGCTAAGGTCCTCAATGTGCCAAACAAACCAACCAAGGACTCACCATCCTCCCCATGATTCCTGTCCCCACAGTCTCGGCTTCCACTTCTGAGATATAAGCTGCATGCTCCTGTTTGACATATAACAGCAGCATAATCCCAACCAGTCGGATAAGCTTCACCTGGAAAAGAGAGACATGGCATTAAATAGAAATTGCAAACAGGAATAAATACCCCAAAGGAAACATAGTCTGGAAGCTGGCTGAGAGTATTCACGTGTCTCCTTCTCCACACTAGAACACAGGTAATCATCTGTTCAATTCACCAAGCATGCTATGTGCTAACCTACGAGTGGCGAGACCCTGCATCTTTCCCACCCGGAGGCACCCCTTCTGGAAGATCTGGAAATGAAAATTGCGGGATAATTAAGACTGGCTTAAGATAAAGGTCATGGAAAAGGTGAAAAATGATCTTGGAATTTCCCTGCATGGCAACATAAAATTAAGAGGTCCCTGACTCCTCTCTTACCTTTGCATATTTGGCATCTGGATGAAGACCCTCTGACACAGCTTTGAACCACTCTTCCTCCTTTGGGGTATCGTGAAAGAAAAAAGCTTCCTTACTCAGATCAAGCTCCTGGAACCTATTTTGAGAAGCAACCAGTTAGATAGTAAAGAAAAGTAATGTGCAAATGACACATTCTCAGATTGGTTTAGGTGCATAAGCCCTAGCTTTCTAGCTAAACTTCAGGACCCTCAGGAGGAAAAAATAAACATTTAGAGCCAAGGAACTAAATGCCAAGGAACTTTGCAGGTGCTGTTGCAAACAAAAACCCATTTTCTTTTCATGACCAGCCTATGAAGTAGTTCGAAGTGTCCCTATTTTACATCTGTAACCCCTAGTTCACACAAGCACCAAGTGGCAAACTGGGATTCAAACCTTGGTCTACATAAATTATGAATTCTAGTTCTTTTCAATATACCATACAAGCTTTGCTGCCCCTCCCCACTAGTAATGCCCAGTATAGAGATGAGAAGATTAAAAAAAAAAAAGACTAACTGATGGGACTTTCTTCAGCTAACCTTTCTTCTCTGGCAGAAGATAGTTTTGCTTTGTAACCAAAAATGTATTGAATGTCCAAGCAATAAAGTTCAGTTCAGGATGCACTGAGTTCAGGATGCAATTCAGGATTTTAACAGAAGATTACACTAAAAATTAAATACTAGCACTTAAATGCCAAGCACCCCACTTTAATAGTGGCAGACATTTGCTTGCCATGAGGAAGAACATCAAACAGGGAAACAGCTGTTATCAGGCATCTGTTCATTTTTCAAATCCTTCACCTGTTGTGAAGACCCATCCTTCAACCACAGCTCTGTGTGCTTGAAGATGGAGAGGGGACTAGAAGAGAAGCACTCACCCTACACAATAGACATCTGGGGCCTGGATACCATTGCTCAGCCACAGCCGGAGGCATTCTTTGGGGGACTGCCCATTTACATTGTATGTTCCCGCAAAAAACCTGTCACCAAAGAGAAATAATTAGTGACTCCGAATCACTATGGAGATAACAGGAGAAAGCATTTTATGCTGATTTATGCTGGTTTCCGTCTCTGTGGACTGGCATTTTGAGACATAAGAAATGTCATTTCTAACCTAGACCAGGACTGCAGCACCAAGGAGTGACTTGCGGTCTGTCATGGTATCTGTTACTTTTGTGATAACAACTTCAAATAGTATAGGCCTACTCCGAACATTCCCACTTCCTTTAAACAGCCATTACCCAGGCATTATCTGCATAATTATTTGCCTTGTATATACTACTGAAATGAAAAAATGAAAAGTGCTTTGGTAATTACTTTTGGCAAGAAAGCAACACCAGTATTCAAAAGGCTATTTCTTCACCATAATTCACAGTTTGTATCCCTAGAAACAATGTTATTTTATCTTATAGTCCCAATGCAACGATTTTGAAAGATCTAGCAGAATCCCACAACCTTTATTAATTTAGCTTTTAGTAATCTTGCCTAAAAAGATTACCAAACACCAGCTAACTTCATTTTAGTAATTTCATTTTAAATGACTTTCTTCAAAGGCCCAGAATGCCAAGGGAGTATAAAACCTTGGAGGGATACATAAGAATCAAGAGGCCAGGTGTGGTGGTTCACACTTATAATCTCAACAATTTGGGAGGCCAAGGCGGGAGGATTGCCCAAGCCCAGGAGCTTGAGACCCATGTGGGCAACACAGTGCGACCCTGTCTCTACAAAAATTTAAAAATCAGCACATGTGTATTACCAGCTACTCCAGCAGCTGAGGTGGGAGGGTTACTTGGGCCCAGGAGGCTGAGGGTACAGTGAGCTGTGACTGCACCACTGCACTCCAGCCTGGGCAACAAAGCGAGACCTTGTCTCAAAAAGATAAAACATAAATAAATAAAAGAATCAGGATGGCGCTCCTTCTTCTGTACCCATTTGTCTCCACAAATATTTCTGTAACTATCTGCAAGTCGTGTCACTCCCACTATACCACACCTATCACCGTGCCCACCTAGAAAGGGCACAGAATAAATGCCTGTTAATAAAGAATGCATGGAATCACTCATTTTGAAAATGAGGGGAGAGATTCTATAGAAGAGTATGTCTCCAAATCCAGGTATAGGAGGAAGTGCTCAAATTCCAGAGTGCCAAATGATCATTCTGCTCTGAAAACATCCTAGAACCCAGTTAGCTACCTGAAGTTCTGGATATAGGTGTAATCCTCTTCTTTCTGTAGTAGATGTGATTTCACAATTGTATCTCGCAGTCCAAACTTCTGCATGGATAAAATATGAGCCTTGTCCGACACTGTGATAGTGGAGGAGCGAACCATGTCAGTAATTTCGGACTTGGATTTATTCTGTCTGGAAAAACAGAAGTATTTTTTTCATATGTGGATGAGTCCCCATGGCAAAATGAATGAATACAAAGCTAAAAGTTCCCCTATACAAGCATCTAAGTCACAGAAGACTAAAGGAGGCCAAAGTAAAATTTATCTACTAAAACAACACTATTTCTATGTGGAATTAAGTAAATTTATATTTTGTTGATTGTATAATATGTTGGTCTGGAGATTTTCCTAATAATAGAGTCACAGAATCTCAGACCAGAGGGGCATCTTAAAGATAATCTAATTCCCTCAGTTCTAAATGAGAAAAATGAAACCCAGTGTCATTAACGCCTCACCCACATGAATGGTGGCAGAGTATGGGATTCAATCATGTAATTGACAAGCCGGGCATGGTGACTCATGCCTGTAATCCCAGCACTTTGGAAGGCCAAGGGAGGCAACTCACTTGAGGCCAGGAGTTCGAGATCAGCCTGGCCAACATGGCAAAATCCCATCTCTACCAAAAATACAAAAATGAGCTGGGTGTGGTGGCACATGCCTATAATCCCAGCTCCTCGGGAGGCTGAGACACAAGAACCACTTGAACCTGGGAGACGGAGGCTGCAGTGACTGGGTGACAAAGTGAGACTCTGTCTCAAAAGAAAAAAAAAGAAAAAAACTGTAAAACCCTCTAGGTCCTTTAACTTGATCATTCTATTCTGTACATCTATTCCACAGGAATAATCCAAAATAAAAAGAAAGGCAATGAGAATTTATATTTTATTATTATTTGCATTGTACTGTATTTATAGTCGTAACTAAAATACTGATACAAGTAAGTGTTTTATCTTGACCAGACAGATTCTGGAGATATTCAGTAGGGGGCACTGGAGTACAGACTTCAGATATTTATATAATAACACACCTCAGGGGCGAGTCAGGAAAGAGTAAATAAAACAGGAAAAAAAGTCACTTCAGAGTCAGGAAACACCTAAAAGAATGAAAGAGTGAAATCAAACGTTTCTAATCTACATTTTCAAGGGAGGGCTAGACTGCCAGTTCCAAATCCTAGATTGACCACTTGATAATTCTGGGACCTTGGGTGAGTTATATAACTTCTCATTACCTGAGTTTCCCTAACTGTAAAACAGAAAAAAGTACTTACCTCTTAGGCTAAAATAAGATAGTCCAAATAAGAGCAGGGTGCCTGGCAGTAAGTGCAAATAAATGTCAGGTATTATTAAGAACATTTCCAGCCAGGCACGGTGGCTCATGCCTGTAATCCCAGCACTTTGGGAAGCCAAGATGGGAGGATCAGATGAGGTCACAAGTTCGAGACCAGCCTGACCAACATGGAGAAAACCCATCTCTATTAAAAATACAAAATTAGCCAGGTGTGGTGGCACATTCCTGTAATCCCAGCTACTCAAGAAAGCTGAGGCAGGAGAATCACTTGAACCCAGGAGGTGGAGGTTGCGGTGAGCCGAGATCATGCCACTGAACTCCAGCCTGGGCAGTAAGAGCGAAACTCTGTCTCAAAAAAAAAAAAAAAGGACACTTCCTAGGCCAGCTACCCTGGGACAACTTACATTATACCCAAAATGGTCTCAGTACTGTGAGGAGAACCTCAGTCCTACAAGGGACAAGTGAAGGGAGAGTTGCATTACCTTGGTTGCAAGCTTTCTGGTTTATCTTGACCCCTGGAGCTTTGGTCCATAGGCACTCCCTTCCCATTTGGTCTCAAACCATCAAAGTTAGAACCACCTAAAGGGAAGGAGAAGAAATTAAAATATACATACATAGGCTGGACATGGTGGCTCATGCCTGTAATCCCAGCACTTTGGGAGGCCAAGGTAGGTGGATCACCTGAGGTCGGGAGTTCGAGACCAGCCTGACCAACATGGAGAAACCCCGTCTCTACTAAAAATACAAAATTAGCCAGGCATGGTGGTGCATGCCTGTAATCCCAATTACTCGGGAGGCTGAGGCAGGAGAATCGCTTGAACCCGGGAGGCGGAGGTTGCAGTGAGCCAAGATCGTGCCGTTGCACTCCAGCCTGGGCAACAAGAGCAAAACTCCATCTCAAAAACAAACAAACAAACAAATAAATAAATAAATGAAACATACATATGCTTTAATATACAGACAACAGCTTCGGAAATTGTAGTCTAGGAATTATTGGTAGTCCACATATTGCTTCAAAGGGCCTATGCTGATGTCTGGGTGAAGTCCCACAGACCATACACAGAAGGAGAAAAAAGTATCTCATCCAGGTATCTTTACTGCTGAAAGTGTAACTATTCCAGCTAGTCTAACTCCCTTTTCTTGGATAAAGGGTACATTAAGGAAAGAATAAAACCATGAAATCTGAAAACCTGAGTTTTATCACCTGCTTTATTATTTATTACCTCCTGACTTTGGAAAAGCCATCTAACCTCTCTCAATCTCAGTAATTTGACCTGTCCTGCCTTCTTCACAGGTTTAATGTAGGGTCAACTGAGTTGACATATGAGTAGGCACTTTAAAAGCAATACAACATATTATAAAACATAACATAGCGACTTCCACTCTGAAGAGGAGAAAGGCAAGGGTCAGAGATTAAAACTGGAAATAGTCTAAGAGCTCTAGAAAATGAGAAGCGCTTGTCATTGTTGACAAATTGCCTTGAAAACCAAAGAGCCCAAGGGCCCAACCCAGAAATATTTTGGGAAAGTCGTTAAACCAAGATAAACCTGGAAAGGAAAATTAATCTGCCAATAGCTTCTCTGCTCTTTAAAAGCCAGATCTCTTGTCAACAGGGAACAACATGAAGCGGTCACAGAGAGATGTGATTTTAAAACCCAAGTTATGGGAAGGAGCTCTGGAGGAATGAAACACCACTGAAGAATTTTGCTGCGAAGACTATTACTAAACATGGATTTCTCAACCATGCATTCACATGAACCAGAAAAAAACTTTTGAAAAAAGAAAGCATAATCATTTGAACATGAAAATAATTACACCTCAATGCCTCCAATCAATCACCAAATGCTATAGACTGATTATTTATACCCCTGCCCAAAGTCATATGTTGAAATCCTAACCCCCAAGATAACATACTAGGAGTTGGGGCCTTTAGGTGTGAGGTGTTTAGGTCACAAGGGTGGAGCCCTCATGATTGGGATTAGTGCCCTTATAAGGGTTGAGGAGACTAGAGTTCCCCTTTTGCTATGTGAGAACACAGTGAAAAAAGACAGCTGCCACTAAGCCAGAAAGCAGGCCCTCACCAGACATTGAATCTGCCAGCACCTTGATCTTGGACTTCTCAGCCTCCAAAACTGTGAAAAATAAATCTCTGATCTCTGCTTTTGTTTTGTGGTGTTTTTCCTGTATGTTTTTTTATTATTTTCTTTTTCTTTTTTTTTTTTTTTTTTTTTTTTTGGGACAGGGTCTCCAGGCTGGAGTACAGCAGCCTGATCATGGTTCACTGTAGCCTTGACCTCCAGGGCTCATGTGATCCTCCCACCTCAGGCTCTCTGGTAGCTGGGATTAACAGGCACAAGCCACCATGCCCAGCTAACTTTTTGTATTTTTTTGTAGAGATGGAGTTTTGCCATGTTTCCCAGGCTGGTCTCGAACTCTTGAGCTCAAATGATCCTCCTGCCTTAGCCTCTCAAAGTGCTGGGATTACAGGTGTGAGCCATCACACCCAGCCAAATCTCTGTTGCTTATAAACCACTCAGTCTATGGTATTTTGTTATAACAGCCTACAGACTAAGGCTAAAAACTAAGACACCAAAGCCTTTCAATTTTGCTTCCTAAATGCCTCTCAAACCAATATATTCCTATCCCCAGTGTCACTGTGCTAGTCTAGGTTACCAACATCTCCCCTGAATGACTATAAAAGCCTCAACTAGTTTCCCTGCCTCTTTTCTCACCCCACCCTCTCCAACCCAGTTTCTACACTGTGGCCAGAGGATTTTTTAAAAAGTAAATCGGATCACATCACTTTAAATCTTTTAAAGGCTTCATACTGGATAAACCCAAATCCATACATACAATTGCCAAGGCTCTTCCCAGTCTGGATCCTACCCACTGCTCTAGCCCCAATACTCACCACAGTCCTTCAGCCCCTACCTCCTTGATGCCATGCTCTAAGCATATTAAGGTTACTGCAGCTATGCAAAGATCCCGTCAGAAAGCAACTTCCCTCTTCTTCATTCTGCTTTATAAGGCTAACTCCTACCCATCCTGTGCCAGGGGTCAGTAAACTTTTTCTGTAAAGGGCCACAGAGTAAATATCCTAGGCTTTGCAGGTCATACAGTCTCTTGCAACTGTTCAACTCTGCTGCTATAGTGCAAAAGCAGCTGTGAGTGTGGCTGCATTCTAACGAAATGTTATTTAAAGATGCTCAAATTTGAATATCATACAATTTTCACATATCACAAAGCATTATTCTCTTGAATCTTTTCAAACATTTAAAAATGCAAAAAATCATTCTTAGCTCATGAGCTGTACCAAAGCAGATGGCAGGCTGGATTTGGCCTATAGGCTGCACTTCACCAACTCCTGCTATAGGCCATATCTTAGAGGTCATTTCCTCCAAGAAGACTTCTCTAACCTCTCCTAGGCTGGTTAGATGCCCTGACATTGGTGTTTCCATAGCTCCCTGTACTCCCCATCACAGTCTTGATTGCTGTGTACTGTAGGTGTTTTTTCTTCCCAGTTAGACTGTAAGCTTACTGAGGACTAGACTTTGTCTGATTTATGCATCACTGTATCCCCATCATTCAGCATACCACCCAGCACATTATAGGCAGTACAGTCACACAATTCAATATTAAATGCGCAATGAACCTGAATCCCCATGCGTCTATGTTTTTCTTTTTTCTTTTTTTTTTTTTTTTTTGAGACAGGGTCTCGCTCTGTTGCCCAGGCTGGAGTGCAGTGGCGCAAGCTTGGCTCTTTGCAACCTCTGCCTCCCGGGTTCAAGCTATTCTCCTGCCTCAGCCTCCCGAGTAGCTGGGATTAGAGACACGCAACACCACACTCAAGTAATTTTTGTATTTTTGGTAGAGACGGGTTTTGCCATGTTGGCCAGGCTGGTCTCAAACTCCTGACGTCAGGTCTCCCAGTGCTGGGATTACGGGCATGAGCCACTATACCCGGCCCCTGTGTGCCTTATATGTTTAAATACGTAACATCCAAGTTCAAGTCTGTAGCATTCTTTTGGAATGTTTCAGGTAATCTTCCCATTGTCTCCAAAATATAACAAAAATAAGAAAGGAGAACTAGAATGGGTTATGTCTAGAGTTCTACTAACCCATAGTTACTTAATAATTATTTCTAGAAATGCAATCCCCAGCTGGATTCTACTTCTCTTTCTTTACTCTCACTGAGCTATAATAAAGCTTAGAGAGCTAAGGTATTTGAGTTAGTAATGGTGTATTGGGGACATCTGTTAGAATGACTGAAATTTAAAAAAAAGAAAACCAGCTGACAATTCCAATTGCTGACAAGGATGCAGAGGAGCCATGACTCTCATCCATTGATAGTAGGCATGGAAAATCATACAGACACTTTGGAAGACAGCTTGGCAGTTTCTTAAAAAGTTAAACAGTCTTACCATATGTTCTACCCATGACACTCCTAGATATTTACTGATCTGAAAGTATGCTGGGTGCACCATGGCTTGTGCCTATAGTCCCAGCTATTCGGGAGGCTGAGGCAGGAGGACTGCTTGAGCCCAGGAGTTTGAGATCAGCTTGGACAATAGAGACCCCTATCTCTTAAAAAATAATAAAATCCCTCTCCCTCTCCCCCTCCCCCTCCCTCTCTCTCTCCCCACAGTCTCCCTCTCCCTCTCTTTCCACGGTCTCCCTCTGATGCCGAGCCGAAGCTGGACGGTACTGCTGCCATCTCGGCTCACTGCAACCTCCCTGCCTGATTCTCCTGCCTCAGCTTGCCGAGTGCCTGCGATTGCAGGCGCGCGCCGCCACGCCTGACTGGTTTTCGTATTTTTTTGGTGGAGACGGGGATTCGCTGTGTTGGCCGGGCTGGTCTCCAGCTCCTAACCGCGAGTGATCCGCCAGCCTCGGCCTCCTGAGGTGCCGGGATTGCAGACGGAGTCTCGTTCACTCAGTGCTCAATGGTGCCCAGGCTGGAGTGCAGTGGCGTGATCTCGGCTCGCTACAACCTCCACCTCCCAGCAGCCTGCCTTGGCCTCCCAAAGTGCTGAGATTGCAGCCTCTGCCCGGCCACCACCCCGTCTGGGAAGTGAGGAGCGTCTCCGCCTGGCCGCCCATCGTCTGGGATGTGAGGAGCCCCTCTGCCTGGCTGCCCAGTCTGGAAAGTGAGGAGCGTCTCTGCCCGGCCGCCATCCCATCTAGGAAGTGAGGAGCGCCTCTTCCCGGCCGCCATCACATCTGGGAAGTGAGGAGCGTCTCTGCCCGGCCGCCCATCGTCTGAGATGTGGGGAGCACCTCTGCCCTGCCGCCCCGTCCGGGATGTGAGGAGCGTCTCTGCCCGGCCGCCCCGTCTGAGAAGTGAGGAGACCCTCTGCCTGGCAACCGCCCCGTCTGAGAAGTGAGGAGCCCCTCCGCCCGGCAGCCGCCCCGTCTGAGAAGTGAGGAGACCCTCTGCCTGGCAACCGCCCCGTCTGAGAAGTGAGGAGCCCCTCCGCCCGGCAGCCGCCCCGTCTGAGAAGTGAGGAGCGTCTCCGCCCGGCAGCCACCTCGTCCGGGAGGGAGGTGGGGGGGTCAGCCCCCCGCCCGGCCAGCTGCCCCGTCCGGGAGGGAGGTGGGGGGATCAGCCCCCCGCCCGGCCAGCCGCCCCGTCCGGCAGGTGAGGGGCGCCTCTGCCCGGCCGCCCCTACTGGGAACTGAGGAGCCCCTCTGCCCGGCCAGCCGCTCCGTCCGGGAAGGAGGTGGGGGGGTCAGCCCCCCGCCCGGCCAGCCGCCCCGTCCGGGAGGTGAGGGGCGCCTCTGCCCGGCCGCCCCTACTGGGAAGTGAGGAGCCCCTCTGCCCGGCCAGCCGCCCCGTCCGGGAGGGAGGTGGGGGAGTCAGCCCCCCGCCCGGCCAGCCGCCCCGTCCCGGAGGGAGGGAGGTGGGGGGGTCAGCCCCCTGCCCGGCCAGCCGCCCTGTCCGGGAGGTGAGGGGCGCCTCTGCCTAGCCGCCCCTACGGGGAAGTGAGGAGCCCCTCTGCCCGGCCAGCCGCCCCATCCGGGAAGTGAGGGGCGCTCTGCCCAGCCGCCCCTACTGGGAAGTGAGGAGCCACTCTGCCCGGCCAGCCGCCCCGTCCGGGAGGGAGGTGGGGGGGTCAGCCCCCCGCCCGGCCAGCCGCCCCGTCCGGGAGGTGAGGGGCACCTCTGCCCGGCTGCCCCTACTGGGAAGTGAGGAGCCCCTCTGCCCGGCCAGCCGCCCCGTCCAGGAGGGAGGTCGGGGGGGTCAGACCCCCGTCCGGCCAGCCGCCCTGTCCGGGAGGTGAGGGGCGCCTCTGCCTGGCCGCGCCTACTGGGAAGTGAGGAGCCCCTCTGCCCGGCCACCACCCCGTCTGGGAGGTGTACCCAACAGCTCATTGAGAACGGGCCATGATGACAATGGCGGTTTTGTGGAATAGAAAGGGGGGGAAGGTGGGGAAAAGATTGAGAAATCGGATGGTTGCCGTGTCTGTGTAGAAAGAGGTAGACATGGGAGACTTTTCATTTTGTTCTGTACTAAGAAAAATTCTTCTGCCTTGGGATCCTGTTGATCGGTGACCTTACCCCCAACCCTGTGCTCTCTGAAACATGCGCTGTATCCACTCAGGGTTGAATGGATTAAGGGCGGTGCAAGATGTGCTTTGTTAAACAGATGCTTGAAGGCAGCATGCTCCTTAAGAGTCATCACCACTCCCTAATCTCAAGTACCCAGGGACACAAACACTGCGGAAGGCCGAAGGGTCCTCTGCCTAGGAAAACCAGAGACCTTTGTTCACTTGTTTATCTGCTGACCTTCCCTCCACTATTGTCCTGTGACCCTGCCAAATCCCCCTCTGCGAGAAACACCCAAGAATGATCAATTAAAAATAATGATAATAATAATAATAAAATAAAATTAAATAAAAATAAAAATAAAATAAGATAAAAGTAGTGGCACATGCCCATAGTCCTAGCTACTTGGGAGGCTGGGGAGGGATGGTTACTTGAGCCCAGGAGTTCAAGGCTGCAGTGAGGTGTGATCTTGTCACTGCACTCCAGCCTGGGTGACAGAGGGAGATCCCACCTCTAAAAAATATGGCAAGAAAAATAATTTTTGTACACATAAAAACCTGCACAGAAAAGTTTATAGCAGCGTTAAAATCACCAAAAACTGGAAGCAACCAAGATATATTTCAACAGATGAATAAACTGTGATACATCCATATAATAAAATATTAAGCAATTAGAAAAATTAGTTATCAAGCCATGAAAATACATGAATGAATCTTAAATGCATATTGCTGAGTGAAGGAAGTCCATCTGAAAAGGCTATTTATTATATGATTCCAATTACACAACATTCTGGATAAGACAAAACTATAGAGACGGTAAACAGATCAATGGTTGCCAGGGGTTTTGGGGGTGAGGGTGGGGTCAAATAAATGAAGAACAGGGGACTTTTTAGGACAGCAAAACTATACTCAAAAGAAACTATAATGGTGATACATGGTAGTATCTATAGCTTTCAAAACCCACAGATTTTTACAACACAAAGAATGAAACTGGGCTGGGCACGGTGGCGCACGCCTGTAATCCCAGCACTTTGGGAGGCCGAGGCGGGTGGATCACGAGGTCAGGAAATCGAGACTATCCTGACTAACACGGTGAAACCCCATCTCTACTAAAAATACAAATATTTAGCCGGGAGCGGTGGCAGGCACCTGTAGTCCCAGCTACTCGGGAGGCTGAGGCAGGAGAATGGTGTGAACCCAGGAGGTGGAGCTTGCAGTGAGCCGAGATCGCGCCACTGCACTCTGGCCTGGGCGAAAGGTGAGACTCTGTCTCAAAAAAAAAAAAAGAATGAACCTTAATGTATACAAAATTTTAAAAAATCATTTAGGACGTCAGGAGATTCTGGAGTAAAATGCAGAAAATGACAAAAGTGTCTAACCTATATCACAAAGGTATGAAACCACCTCATTGAAGGGAGTAGGGGAAAAAGTGTTTACCTAAGTAACTTTAGAAATGAGTGGTATCTATAAGACTAAAGGCACCAGGAGCAGTGGCTCACGTCTGTAATCCCAGTACTCTGGAAGGCTGAGGCAGGCGGATCCCCTGAGGTCGGGAGGTCGAGACTAACCTGACCAACATGGAGAAACCCCATCTCTACCAAAAATGCAAAATTAGCCAGGTGTGGTGGCGCATGCCTGTAATCCCAGCTACTTGGGAGGCTGAGGCAAGAGAATCGCTTGAACCCGAGAGGCGGAGGTTGCAGTGAGCCGAGATCGCGCCATTGCACTCCAGCCTGGGCAACAAGAGTGAAACTGTCAAAAAAAAAAAAAAAAAGACTAAAGGCAAGTGGAACTGTACAGAAGCATTGTACTCTAGTTGATAATGGTGTTCCATGGGGGTCCTGATTAACAATTCTGAGGCCAGACGCAGTGGCTCACACCTGTAATCCCAACACCACTTTGGGAGGCCGAGGTGGGCAAATCACCTGAGGTTGGGAGTTCGAGACCAGCCTGACCAACATGGAGAAACCCCGTCTCTACTTAAAATACAAAATAGCCAGCCGTGGTAGCACATGCCTGTAATCCCAGCTACTCAGGAAGGTGAGGCAAGAAAATCGCTTGAACCTGGGAGGCAGAGGTTGCGGTGAGCCGAGATCGCACCATTGCTCTCCAGCCTGGGCAACAAGAGCGAAACTCTGCCTCAAAATAATAATAATAATAATTTTCTCAAGGTACCTCTAGGCCAAAAGGAATCCCTAACAGTTCTACTTAAGTAGTTAGGGCCAAATAAGTATTTAAGTCCTAACAACTTAGTAGCAATTTGAAAAAATAATACACATAAAAAGATTTCCATTTCATCTTTTTTTTTTTTTTTTATGGAGTCTTGCTCTGTCGCCCAGGCTGAAGTGCAGCGGCACGATCTCGGCTCACTGAAGCTTCGCCTGCCGGGTTCACGCCATTCTCCTGCCTCAGCCTCCCGAGTATCCGGGACTACAGGAGTCCGCCACCACACCCAGCTAATTTCTTTGTATTTTTAGTAGAGACGGGGTTTCACCGTGTTAGCCGGGATGATCTCGGTCTCCTGACTTCATGATCCGCCCGCCTTGGCCTCCCAGAGTGCTAGGATTACAGGCGTGAGCCACTGTGCCCGGCTGAACTACGTTCCACTGGAAGTTTGTCTGGTGTTCCCACAGATCTCCATGTTTACCTTGAATTTTTTTTTTTTTTTTTTTTTTGAGACAGCGTCTCACTCACTCTGTCACCCAGGCTAGAGTGCAGTGGGGCAATCTCAGCTCACTGCAGCCTCTGCCTCCTGGGTTCAAGCAATTCTCGTGCTTCAGCCTCCTGCGTAGCTGGGACTACAGGCAGATGCCACCACACCCAGCTAATTTTTGTTTTCGGTTTTTTTTTTTTGAGACAGAGTCTCTCTTGTCACCCAGGATGGAGTGCAATGGTGCGATCTCAACTCACTGCAACCTCCGCCTCCAAGGTTCAAGCGATTCTCCTGCCTCAGCCTCCTGAGTAGCTGGGATTACAGGCACGTGCCACCACACACAGCTAATTTTTGTATTTTTAGTAGAGACGGGGTTTCACAATGTTGGTCAGGCTGGTCTTGAACTCCTGACTTCATGATCCGCCCGCCTCAGCCTCTCAAAGTGCCGGGATTACAGGCGTGAGCCACTGCGCCCGGCTGAACTACTTTCAACTGGAAGTTTGTCTGGTGTTCCCACAGATCTCCATGTTTACTTTGAATTTTTCTTTTTTTTTTTCTTTTTTTTTTTTGAGACAGAGTCTCACTCACTCTGTCACCCAGGCCAGAGTACAGTGGGGTAATCTCAGCTCACTGCAGCCTCTGCCACCTGGGTTCAAGCAATTCTCATACCTCAGCCTCCCGTGTAGCTGGGACTACAGGTAGATGCCACCACACCCAGCTAATTTTTGTTTTCGGTTTTTGTTTGTTTTTTTTTTGAGACAGAGTCTCTCTCTTGTCACCCAGGATGAAGTACAATGGCACGATCTCAACTCATTGCAACCTCTGCCTCCAAGGTTCAAGCGATTCTCCTGCCTCAGCCTCCTGAGTAGCTGGGATTACAGGCATGCGCCACCACACACAGCTAATTTTTGTATTTTTCGTAGAGATGGGATTTCACAATGTTGGTCAGGCTGGTCTCGAACTCCTGACTTGGTGATCCGCCTGCCTCGGCCTCTCAAAGTGCCGGGATTACAGGCATGAGCCACCACGCCCGACCTGATATTAAATCTTATATTTATTCATTATTATTGGATGCCATTTCCACTAAATCGTGAGCTCTGCGAGGCAGGGACTTGGTCTTCTTTCTTCTGCTTCCTTGCCCAGTGCACAGCAGGCACTCTATGTATTAAGTACAGCAAAGTATCAGGAAATGTCAGCTGACGTCCAGCTCTACTACTATCTTCCTGTGTGACATGAGAAGTCACTTCTGCTCTTTGGGTCTCGGTTTCTTCATCTATAAAGTGGGGATTTTAAATATCAAAATTTCAGGGGCCTTTACCATATGGAAAGGCACCTGCACTTTTCAAACTAAGGAGTTATGAGGAAGTGCTCTGCTTCTGCATGTCAGTGGTTTCTAATGACTCTCTCAGGATGTTTCTTTAGGTACTTCCTAGCAGACTGAAAGGTCATCTCCTAAGGGCTGACAGTTTGTGGATTCAGTTCACGGCCAGGGGTACATAGCGTACTGATGGGAAAATGGCCCTGCATCTTGTCGATGTCTTCTCACAGGGGGTCTCTCAGGACAGTCCAGCAAGGACCAGAACATCTTCACTCATTACACTACCTATGGAAACTTTAAGGCATGATGTGGGGGATTTCCAGCCACAGGGCGGTCTTCTCGGAATCTCCTCTCTAGAACCTGGCACGGAAGCTGGCTGTCAGAGCAGCTCTTGACCAGATTTGCCATTACACAGCCCCATAGTTCCCCCTCTGGCCACAGCTTCCTGTCTTTTCTCCTCTCCTGCTTCCCTACTCCCACTCTGCCCTTTTTTTAACCTCAGACCTCCAATCTTTTTGTCACCCAATCTAATAGGTGACAATAGATATTTTTCCTTTTTTCCCCATGTTCGGTCACCAAGTCTTATGAATCCTCTATTAAATTTTTTTTTTTTGAGGCAGAGTCTTACTCTGTTGCCCAGGTTGGAGTGTGGTGGCGTGATCTCAGCTCACGGCTCCTCTGTGTCCTGAGTTGAAGCGATTCTCCTGCCTCAGCCTCTCAAGAAAGCTGGGATCACAGGCATGCACCACCACGCCCAGCTAATTTTTGTATTTTTAGTAGAAACGGGGTTTCACCATGTTGGCCATGGTGCTCTCAAACTCCTGACCACAAGTGATCCACCCACCTTGGCCTCCCAAAGTGCTAGGATTACAGGCGTGAGCCACCTCACCCAGCCTCTCTTAAATATTTTTATATCTGACTGTCTTCTCTATCCCTACTGTCATGCCTTAGTTTAGGCCCTTAATGTTTCTGGAAAGCCCACTTAATGATTTCCCTACCTCCATTTTCACCTCCTCCAATTCCATTCTGCCAACACCTAGAAGAAAACACAAATCTGGGTGGGCACAGTGGCTCATGCCTGTAATCCCAAGGCTTTGAGAAGCTGAGGCAGGAGGATTGCTTGAGTCCAGGAATCCAAGACAACATGGTAAAACCCTATTTCTACAAAAAAAAAATTTTTTTTGAGATGTTGTTTCGCTCTTGTTAACCAGGCTGGAGTGCAATGGCACAATCTCGGCTCACTGCAACCTCCACCTCCCGGGTTCAAACTATTCTCCTGCCTCAGCCTCCTGAGTATCTGGGATTACAGGCATGTGCCACCACACCCAGCTAATTTTTGTATTTTTAGTAGAGATGGGATTTCTCCATGTTGGTCAGGCTGGTCTCAAACTCCCGACCTCAGGCGATCGACCCACCTCAGCCTCCCAAAATATATTTTTTCAATTAACTGGGCATGGTAGTGCAAACCTGTAGTCCCAGCTACTCAGGAGGTGAAGGGGGAGGACAGCTTGAGCCAGGGAGCTCGAGGCTGCAGTGAGCCATGATTGTATCACTGCATTCCACTCTGGGCACTACAGTGAGACCCTGTCTCAAAAAAAAAAAAGAAAAGAAAAGAAAACACAAATCTGGACACGTCACTACTGTGGGTAAAATCCCTCAATAACTTAAATCATTTTATCAGAGGCATTTGAACCAGAGCAACTCCATCTTGAATAAGAGCTAGGTAAAATAAGGCTAAGACCTGCTGGGCTGCATTCCCAGAGAGTTAGGCATACTAAGTCACAGGATGAGATATGAGGGTCGGCACAAGGCACAGGTCATAAAGACCTTGCTGATAAAACAGGCTGCAGTAAAGACGCCTGCTAAAACCCACCAAACCAAGATGGCCACGAGAATGACCTAGGTCATCCTCATTGCTACACTCTCACCAGCGCCATGACAGTTTACAAATGCCATGGCAATGTCAGGAACTTACCCTATATGGTCTAAAATGGGGAGGCTTGAATAATCTACCCCTCGTTTAGCATACAATCAAGAAATAAAATAAAAATGGGGCCGGACGCAGTGGCTCACGCCTGTAATCCCAGCACTTTGAGAGGCCGAGACGGGTGGATCACCAGGTCAGGAGATTGAGACCATTCTGGCTAACACGGTGAAACCCCGTCTCTACTAAAAAATACAAAAAACTAGCCGGGCATGGTGGCGGGTGCCTGTAGTCCCAGCTACTTGGGAGGCTGAGGCAGGAGAATGGCATGAACCCAGGAGGTGGAGCTTGCAGTGAGCTGAGATCGTGCCACTGCACTACAGCCTGGGCAACAGAGAGAGACTCCGTCTCAAAAAAAAAAAAAATTAGCTGGGCATGGTAGTGCATGCCTGTAATCTCAGCTACTTGGGAGGCTGAAGCAGAAGAATTGCTTGAACCTGGGAGGCAGAGGTTGCAGTGAGCCAAGATCACGGCATTATACTTGACGGAGCAAGATTCTGTCCAAAAAAAGAAAAAGGCTTAAATAAAATATTTTTTGTCAGAAAAGTAAAAAGTGTAATGCCTTTTAGTTCACATGACTTAAGTAATCTTTGGGAAATAAAAACAGTTTTACATGCAAGGTGTGTAAAGAAACTGAAATATGTTTTTCATAAAAGATTATAAGAAGTCAGTCAGGCATGGTGGCTCATGCCTGTAATCCTAGAACTTTGGGAGGCCGAGGCAGACAGATCACGAGGTCAGGAATTTGAGACCAGCCTAGCCAACATGATGAAACCCTGTCTCTACTAAAATACAAAAAATTAGTCAGGCATGGTGATGCGTGCCTGTAGTCCCATCTACTCAGGAGGCTGAGGCAAGGGAATCACTTGAACCCAGGAGGCAAAGATTGCAGTGAGCCGAGATCGCACCACTGAGCTCCAGCCTGGTGACAGAGCAAGACTCCGTCTCAAAAAAAAATAATAAATAAATAAATAAGAAGTCACGGGAATGTGGATTTTTTTTTCGCCTAAAGGGTTAAAGGATTGTTTAAGTTAAATAGAATAAAACTGAAAGTTTAAGAGTTTGTTAATCTTGTAAATGAAATTCTGTGTGTGAACATACTGGCTAAAGTTAAGAGGGTATTATTCAGTTTTTCTGTAAATTAAATATTAGAATAAAAGTACAGTAAGTTTTTCTTAGAGCACTAATCTGCTCTTCAACAAAAAAAATTACAAAGGGTTGGCCAGTCACGTTGGCTCATGTCTGTAATCCCAGCACTTTGGGAGGCCGAGGTGGGCGGATCACCTGAGGTTGGGAGTTCGAGACCAGCCTGACCAACAAGGAGAAACCCCATCTCTACTAAAAATACAAAATTAGCCAGGTGTGGTGGTGCATGCCTGTAATCCCAGCTACTCGGGAGGCTGAGGCAGGAGAATAGCTCGAACCCAGGAGGCAGAGGTTGCGGTGAGCCAAGATCGTGCCACTGCACTCCTGCCTGGGAAACAAGAGCACAACTCCATCTCAAAAAAAAAAAAAATTTTAAAGGGTTATAAAAGGTTAATGAAAATCTTACCTTATGGTCAGGCATTAAAGTTGGATAGATTTGTCTATAAGGTTTTATTAAGAATTGGGTTTAACATTAATAGTATACTAATGCAAAGTGAAGTTTGGCTTATTTGGTATATAAATCATAAAGGAAGCATTGTCAAATATGAAATAGTGTTTGGCTTTCATTGGGCTGTATTTGCATAAATATGTTATTGAGGCCAGGCGTGGTGGCTCAAGCCTGTAATCCCAGCACTGTGGGAGGCCAAGGCAGGCGGATCACCTGAAGTCAGGAGTTCAAGACCAGCCTGGCCAACATGGTGAAACCCCATCTCTACTAAAAATACAAAAATTAGCTAGGCATGGTAGTGCACACCTGTAGTCCCAGCTATCTGAGAGGCTGAGGCAGGAGAATTGCTTGAACCCTGGAGCCAGAGGTTGCAGTGAGCTGAGATCATTGTGCCACTGCACTCCAGGCTGGGTGACAAAGCAAGATTCTGTCTCAAAAATAAATAAATAAATAAACAAAAATATGTTATTGGTATATGTTCCAAAATTATGGAAAACTCCTATAATTCTGTCATGACTTAGTGTATGTTACTAATAATTACAATTGTTATGTAAAATTGTTACATGCCACTGTGGTAACCAAATTTCTTTGTCAGTTGTGTTTTTGACTGTGGCTGCCTTAAAACATTTTGTCATCCACAGACAACTGTTGTCTTGTTTTAATCCTCTTTCAAAGGTGGTTTTAATCAGCTATAGGAATTTGAAAAGTGCTCTTGAATGCAGGTTTCTAATAACTTTGGAGACTGTGACATTAGAATTGAGGAAAAACTTTCAGGACTCATGCAAAGCTGAAATGTTCATGAATGTCAATCAGAACAGAAGTTAACTGCATGGACTGAACTAATAGAAGACTAAAGTAATCTTTTTGACTTTGCTTAAAACATTGCTGATCCCTTGTTTTGTTGTTCAGAGTCAAGAAAACTTTTCTTTTGAGCTATTTACATCTTTTAAAAATTGAGTAAAGTATACTCCTGTGAACAAAATTTAGACCGTATTTGTTTCACTCTACCTAATTTCTCAGAATTTGGAAACTATTTGTGAGTATTCTCAACTTATGGCAATATAATTATTTGCATAAGTGCAATAAGAATCTGTTTCTTTTTGCAATAGGACACAGTTGGAGAAATTGGTTATTTTACCAAGGCTTTGACTGGAATGGTATGTTTTCCTTTAAAGAATCAAATTTGACTAACAGAGCCAATAAAAGCCCCATGAGAAAACTGGCCTCATACCTTGGCTACAGACTCTGTACAGGGTTCTTGACCTGTGGTAATTAAAGAATGTCACTTTCTGACAGGCCCAGGAGCCCCAAGTTATCTTGGAACCTCAAGAGGAGAGAAATTTACCCAACTTACAGGTACTTCAGGATACAAACCCATGGCTGGGCTCAGCTTTAAAAAAGTATTATCTAAGATTTCTTAAGAAGCAGACTTCCATCAAAGCCAATTTTAAAAGCCTATGTAAAAAAATATTTATTCTTGCTGCACTTTATACAAATAATCAGTCCAAGTATAATAAAGCAAATCGGTCTTACCATGATTTGTCTTTAGTAAAAATGAAAGACTGGAGAGAGGAAAAAAATATATGTTTCAAAAACTATGGTTAGGCTGGGCATGGTGGCTCACACCTGGAATCCCAGCACTTTGGGAGGCTGAGGTGGGTGGATCACTTGAGGTCAGCAGTTCAAAACCAGCCTGACCAACATGGTGAAACCTCATCTCTATTAAAAAAAAATACAAAAATTAGCCAGGCATGGTGGTGTGTGCCTATAATCCCAGATACTCGGGAGGTTGAGACAGGAGGATTGCCTGAACCCAGCAGGTGGAGGTTGCAATGAGCCGAGATTGCACCACTGCCCTCCAGCTTGGGCAACAGAGTAAGACTCTGTCTCAAAAAAAAAAAAAAGAAAGAAAGAAAAAAAAAACCTATGGTTATTAGGTTCTAGTCTCATCAGTTGTGTTTACGTTTTTTCCTGCAATTTAGACTGACCCTACTTATTTCTATTAACCAACTAGTGATCTCTGGTGCAGCTCAGAAGAAACAAGAGATATAGGTAATGTAAAAACCTGGATCAATATTCTAATTCTGGGCATATATTGGAATCAGCTAGCAATCCCATATCAGCTTGGTTCCAACAGTTGCCCAGTTCATGAAAAGCCTTCTAATTTAGTTTATTTGGAATAATTTCACTTATTTTGCTTTACCGTTGTGGAATACATTGCTGTTGTACTCTTTGTGTAGAAACGCACAATAAGCTTACTGAATGTTTTCTTAAATTGAACACTTATTAATCTTCCAGATATTACCTTTTGTTGGAACTCAAGAGACATGAATGGCCTTGCCATACTGCTGCTTTCTGACTGAGCTCCTCTCTACCCTGAATACAAGAGACCCTCATAGTTAGGCAGGAATATAATCGACCTATTCAGCATGAAGAAGTTACAGAAGATGGATTTTCATCCCTTTGCAACCCTTATGATTAAGGGCTCTTTTATAAAAGGGAGGGAGAAATATCAGAGGCATTTGAACCACAGTAACTCCATCTTGAATAGGGGCCAGGTAAAATAAGGCTAAGACCTGCTGGGCTGCATTCCCAGACAGTTAGGCATTCTAAGTCACTGGATGAGATGTGAGGGTCAGCACAAGGCACAGGTCATAAAGACCTTGCTGATAAAACATGCTCAAGTAAAGAAGCCTGCTAACACCCACCAAACCAAGATGGCCATGAGAGTGACCCACCTCGTCCTCATTGCTACATTCCCTCCAGTGCCTTGACAATTTACAAATGCCACGGTAATGTCAGGAAGTTACCCTATATGGTCTAAAAAGGGGAGGCATGAATAATCTGTCAGGCCTCTGAGCCCAAGCTAAGCCATCATATCCCCTGTGACCTGCATGTATACATCCAGATGGCCTGAAGCAACTGAAGATCCACAAAAGAACTGAAAACAGCCTTAACTGATGACATTCCACCATTGTGATTTGTTCCTGCCCCACCCTAAGTGATAGGCTATGTTCTCCCCCGCCCTTAAGAAGGTACTTTGTAATATTCTCCCCCGCCCTTAAGAATGTACTTTGTACACCTATCCCAAACGTATAAAAACTAATGATAATCCCACCAACCTTTGCTGACTCCTTTCTCGGACTCAGCCCACCTGCACCCAGGTGAAATAAACAGCCCTGTTGCTCACACAAAGCCTGTTGGTGGTCTCTTCACAAGGATGCGTGTGACATTTGGTGCCAAAACCCAGGACAGGAGGACTCCTTCAGGAGACCAGTCCCCTGTCTTCGCCCTCACTCCGTGACCTCAGGTCCTCAGACCAACCAGCCCAAGGAACATCTCACCAACTTCAAATTGGGTAAGCAGTCTTTTCACTCTTCTCATGCCTCTCTTGCTACCCTTCAATCTTCCTCTCTTGCTACCCTTCAATCTCCCTGTCCTTCCAATTCCAATTCTTTTTCCTCTCTAGTAGAGACAAGGAGACGGCCAGGTGCGGTGGCTCACGCCTGCAATCCCAGCTCTCAGGGAGGCTAAGAGGCGGGAGGATAGCTTGAGCCCAGGAGTTCGAGACCTGCCTGGGCAATATAGCGAGACCCCGTTCTCCAGAAAAAGGAAAAAAAAAAAAAAAGAGACAAGGAGACACATTTTATCCGTGGACCCAAAACTCTGGCGCCAGTCACGGACTCGGGAAGATAGTCTTCCCTTGGTGTTTAATCACTGCGGAGATGCCTGCCTGATTATTCACCCACCCTCCACTGGTGTCTGATCACTGCGGGGACACCTGCCTTAGTCATTCACCCACATTCCCTTGGTGGCAAGTCAATTGCAGGGATGCCTGCTTTGGCTGCTCACCCACATTGCAGCCCAGGGCTGCTCACCCACCCACTTCTCCATGTCTCTACCTTTCTCTTTAAACTTACCTCCTTCACTATGGGCAACCTTCCACTCGCCATTCTCCCTTCTTCTCCTTTAGCCTGTGTTCTCAAAAACTTAAAACCTCTTCAACTCACACCTGACCTAAAACCTAAGCGTCTTATTTTCTTCTACAACACCGCTTGGCCCCAATACAAACTTGACAATGATTCCAAATAGCCAGAAAATGACACTTTCGATTTCTCCATCCTACAAGATCTAGATAATTCTTGTCATAAAATGGGCAAATGGTCTGAGGTGCCTGACGTCCAGGCATTCTTTTACACATCGGTCCCTTCCTAATCTCTGTTCCCAATGAGATTCATCCCAAAGCTTTCTTCTTTCTCTCCTGTCTGTTCCTTCAGTCTCCACCCCAAGCTCTGAATCCTGGGAATCCTCCTTTTCTACAGACCCATCTGACCTCTACCCTCCTCCCCAGGCTGCTCCTTGCCAGGCCGAGCCAGCTCCCAACTCTTCTTCAACCTCTGCTCCCCCACCCTATAACCCTTCTATTACCTCCCCTCCTCACACCCGGTCTGGCTTACAGTTTCATTCCGTGACCAGCCCTCCCCCACCTGCCCAACAATTTCCTCTCAGAGAGGTGGCTGGAGCTGAAGGCATAGCCAAGGTTAATCCTCCTTTTTCTTTATCCAACCTCTCCCAAATCAGTTAGCGTTTAGGCTCTTTTTCATCAAATATGAAAACCCAGCCCAGTCCATGGCCCGTTTGGCAACAACCCTTAGATGCTTTACCGCCCTAGACCCAGAGGGGCCAGAAGGCTGTCTTATTCTCAATACACATTTTATTACCCAACCCACTCCTGACATTAGAAAAATCTCCAAAAATTAGATTCTGGCCTTCAACCCCCCAACAGTACTTAATTGACCTCACCTTCAAGGGGTACAGTAATACAGAAGAGTTGTAATTACTTGCCTCCGCTGTGAGAGAAACCCCAGCTACATCTCCAGCACACAAGAACTTCAAAACGCCTAAACCTCAGGGGTCAGGCATTCCTCCAGGACCGCCTCCCCAGGATCTTGCTTCTAGTGCTGGAAATCTGGCCACTGGGCCAAGGAATGCCTGCAGCCTGGGATTCCTCCTAAGCCGTGTCCCATCTGTGCAGGACCCCACTGGAAATCAGACTGTCCAACTCACCCAGCAGCCACTCCCAGAGCCCCTGGAACTCTGGCCCAAGGCTCTCTGACTGACTCCTTCCCAGATCGTCTCAGCTTAGCGGCTGAAGACTGACACTGCCCGATCGCCTCGGAAGCCTACAGGACCATCACAGATGCTCTGGATAACTCTTACAGTGGAGGGTAAGTCCATCCTCTTCTTTATCAATACGGAAGCTACACACTCCACATTACCTTCTTTCCAAGGGCGTGTTTCCCTTGCCTCCATAACTGTTGTGGGTATTGACAGCCAGGCGTCTAAACCTCCTAAAACTCCCCAACTCTGGTGCCAACTTGGAAAACATTCTTTTATGCACTCCTTTTTAGTTATCCTCACCTGCCCAGCTCCCTTATTAGGTTGAGACATTTTAACTAAATTTTCTGCTTCCCTGACTATTCCTGGGCTACAGCCACACCTCATTGCCTCCTTTTCCCCCAGTTCAAAGCCTCCTTCACATCCTCTCCTTGTATCTCCCCACCTTAATCCACAAGTATAGGACACCTCTACTCCCTCCTTGGCAACGGATGATGCACCCCTTACCATCCCATTAAAACCTAATCACCCTTACCCTGCTCAATGCCAATATCCCATCCCACAGCACGCTTTAAAAGGATTAAAGCCTGTTATCACTCACCTGCTACAGCATGGCCTTTTAAAGCCTATAAACTCTCCTTACAATTCCCCATTTTACCTGTCCAAAAACTACACGAGTCTTACAGGTTAGTTCAGGATCTGCACCCTATCGACCAAATTGTCTTGCCTATCCACCCTGTGGTGCCAAAGCCATATATTCTCCCATCCTCAATACCTCCCTCCACAACCCATTATTCTGTTCTAGATAAACCTAGCTGACCCCATAAATCCTAAATCCTTTCCCCACTCCCCTTTCCATTCCTTAAAAAACAGCCCTAAAAGATGCTCCCACACTACCTCTCCCTAACTCATCCCAACCTTTTTCATTACACACAGCTGAAGTGCAGGGCTGTGTGGTCGGAATTCTTACACAAGAGCCGGGACCGCGCCCTGGAGCCTTTCTGTCCAAACAACTTGACCTTACTCTTTTAGCCTAGCCCTTACGTCTGCGTGTGGTGGCTGCCGCTGCTTTAATACTTTTAGAGGCCCTCAAAATCACAAGCTATGCTCCACTTACTCTCTACAGTTCCCATAACTTTCAAAATCTATTTTCCTCCTCACACTTGACGCATATACTTTCTGCCCCCCAGCTCTTTCAGCTATACTCACTCTTTGTTGAGTCTCCCACAGTTACTATTGTTCCTGGCCCAGACTTCAATCCGGCCTCCCACATTATTCCGGATACCACACCTGATCCCCATGACTGTATCTCTCTGATCCACCTGACATTCACTCCATTTCCCCATATTTCCTTCTTTCCTGTTCCTCACCCTGATAACACTTGGTTTATTGATGGCAGTTCCACCAGGCCTAATCGCCACTCACCAGCAAAGGGAGGCTATGCTATAGTATCTTTCACATCTATCATTGAGGCTACCACTCTGACCCCCTCCACTACCTCTCAGCAAGCTAAACTCATTGCCTTAACTTGGGCCCTCATTCTTGCAAAAGGACTACGAGTCAATATTTATACTGACTCTAAATATGCCTTCCATATCCTGCACCACCATGCTGTTATATGGGCAGAAAGAGGTTTCCTCACTACTCAAGGGTCCTCCATCATTAATGCCTCTTTAATAAATACTCTTCTCAAGGCTGTTTTACTTCCAAAGGAAGCTGGAGTCATTCACTGCAAGGGCCATCAAAAGGCATCAGATCCCACTGCTCAGGGCAACGCTTATGCTGATAAGGTAGTTAAAGAAGCAGCTAGCTTTCCAACTTCTGTCCCTCACGGCCAGGACTGGACAGTACTTTGCCCTTCTCAGAATTAGAGCCTGTCCTCGAGATGCTACAGGGTACTGTCCATTTGAACTTTTATATGGACGCACTTTCTTGCTCAGCCCTGACCTCGTCCCAGACACCAGCCCTCTAGGCAACTATCTTCCAGTCCTCCAGCAGGCTAGACAGGAAATTCGCTAGGCTGCTCATCTTCTCTTGCCTACTCCAGATTCCCAGCCATATGAAGACACCCTAGCTGGATGATCAGTTCTTGTTAAGAATCTGACCCCTCAAACTCTACAACCTCCATGGACTGGACCCCACTTAGTCATCTATAGTACCCCAATGGCTGTTCGTCTGCAGGATGCCCCACCATTAGGTTCATCATTCCAGAATAAAGCTGTGCCCGTCAAACAGCCAGCCTGATCTCTCCTCTTCCTCCTGGAAGTCACAAGTGTTCACCCCTACTTTCCTTAAACTTATTTGCATTTCTGAAGAGCAGTAATAACCCTTATGAGCCTAATACAACCCTTCATTCTATTAGGTCTATTCATCCTTACCCTACTTTTTGCAATAGGGCTTTACGCAGTCACCCCCACTACTTGTTCTGTGCCCCAAAAACTTGTCATCCCTATCTTCTGTCTAGTCATACTCCTATTCACCATTCTCAACTACTTGTAAATGCCCTGCCCTTGTTTACACTGCTGGTTTACGCTTTTCCTCCAAACCATTGTAGCGGATATCTCCTGGTACTATCCCCAATCCGCCACTCTTGACTCCCTCTTAGAGTGGATAGATGAACTTTGCTGACAGGGCACCCTCCGATACTTTTACCCTGATGAAGTCCTATTCTTTACTTTTATACTCACTCTTATTCTCATTCCCATTCTTATGCCATCCTCTACCTCTCCCCAGCTATCTCCACCACACTATCAATCTCACTCACTCTCTCCTAGCTGTTTCTAAACCTTCTTTAACAAACAATTGCTGGCTTTGCATTTCTCTTTCCTCTAAAATCACAGAGGCCTCGACTTACTCACTGCTAAAAAAAAAAAAAAAGGGGGACTCTGGGCCAGGCGCAGTGGCTCATGCCTGCAATCCCAGCACTTTGGAACACTGAGGTGGGCAGATCACGAGGTCAGGAGATCGAGACCATCCTGGCTAACACAGTGAAATTCTGTCTCTACTAAGAATACAAAAACTTAGCTGGGCGTGGTGGCGGGTGCCTGTAGTCCCAGCTTCTTGGGAGGCTGAGGCAGGAGAATGGTGTGAACCCGGAAGGCGGAGCTTGCAGTGAGCCGAGATCACGCCACTGCACTCCAGCCTGGGCAACAAAGCAAGAGTCTGTCTCAAAAAACAAAAACAAAAACAACAAAAAACATTTTTTAAATGAAGAGTGTTGTTTTTACCTAAATCAATCTGGCCTGGTATATGACAACATAAAAAAACTCAAGGATAGAGCCCCAAAACTCGCCAACCAATCAAATAATTACGCTGAACCCCCTTGGACACTCTCTAATTGGATATCCTGGGTCCTCCCAATTCTTAGTCCTTTAATACCTGTTTTTCTCCTTCTCTTATTAGGACCTTGTGTCTTCCGTTTAGTTTCCCAATTCTTACAAAACCGCATCCAGGCCATCACCAATCATTCTATATGACAAATGCTCCTTCTAACAACCCCACAATATCACCCCCTACCCCAAAATCTTTCTTCAGTTTAATCTCTCCCACTGTAGGTTCCCATGCCACCCCTAATCCTGCTCGAAGCAGCCCAGAGAAACATTGCTCATTATCTCTCCACATCGCCCCTAAAAAATTTTCGCCACCCCAACACTTCACCACCATTTTGTTTTGTTTTTCTTATTAATATAAGAAGACAGGAATGTCAGGTCTCTAAGCCCAAGCTAAATCATCATATCCTGTGACCTGCATGTATACATCCAGATGGCCTGAAGCAACTGAAGATCCACAAAAGAACTGAAAATAGCCTTAACTGATGACATTCTACCATTGTGATTTGTTCCTGCCCCACCCTAACTGATAGGATATATTCTACCCCCCCACTTAAGAAGGTGCTTCGTAATATTCTCCCCGCCCTTGAGAATGTACTTTGTACACCTATCCCAAACCTATAAGAACTAATGATAATCCTGCCACCCTTTGCTGACTCCTTTTTCAGACTCAGCCCACCTGCACCCAGGTGAAATAAACAGCCTTGTTACTCACACAAAGCCTGTTGGTGGACTCTTCACATGGAAGCACGTGACATAATCCACCCCTTGTTTAGCATATAATCAAGAAATTTTAAAAAATTAAAACGGCAACCAGTAGCCCTCAGGGCTGCTCTGTCTATGGAGTAGCCATTCTTTATTACTTTACTTTCTTAATAAATTTGCCTTTACTTTACTCTATAGATTCGCTTTGAATTCTTTCTTGCTCAAGATCCAAGAACCCTCTCTTGGAGTCTGGCTCGGGACCCCTTTCCGGTAACAATTTTTGGAACAAAACCCAAACCTCTGAGGATTGCATGAAAAGATCTTTATAAATAGCTTCAGACTTCCTCTCCAGCCCCATTTCCCATCCCCACTGGAAGCTTCTCTCTCTTACCTCCCAATCCAGTCACACCAAACTTACCTTTTCACACACTGCCTATTCACTCCACCCCTGATCCTGGGTATATCTTTCCATATCCCAATTCCACCTTCACGTGATGAACTACAAACTCATCCTTCAAGACTCAGTTCAGGAGTTATCTTCAAAAAACTTTCTCTGGCCCCCTCCATACATTCTCACATAACTCAGTGCTTACTTCCATCAAGGCATGATAATGGTTCCATTATGATAATGGGATCATACCTGGGTTTAATTGTTCTTATCTGTCTTACCTCTACACCTAGACCACTAGCTTCTTGGAAGCAGGGACCAATGTGCTATCTCTGGCCCCAGCTCACCACAATATATGGCACACACCAGGCAGTCAGTAAACACACCCTAAACAAACAGTCCCCAGGCAGATTAAGCTCAGTGTGATTTTTCTGTGTACTCTCATTGACCACCTTTCATGCCGACAATTGAAACCATTTCCCTAGGAGCAGCCTACCTAGTAAGTCAACAAGCTACAGTAACAACTGCAGCTTGATTGCGATGTGTAAAAGTGCAAGTGTTCTATTTTTCTTGCAAATTCTGTGCTTTGTACTGCATATTGTGTAGAACCAAAACTCTCACATGCCTCACTAAATAGACAGTGTTGACCCTTGAGGTGCCTTCCTCAGCCCAAGCAGCAACATAGCCTAATATAGACCCACAAGCCCTTATCTGAAGCCTCTTGGGCCAAGTGCATTTTGGAATTCAGAATGTGGGAGATTTTAGGAAGATAACACATTACCTGTATCAAATACTACATAACAACCCCAGCAGGGTCTGAGGCAATACCCAGTTAATCAAACGCTTTCATATTTCCACAGTATAACTTACGAAGAGTAATACTTAGTGAGAGAAACAAAGCCTATAAATAGTCTCATGTCAGTTCAAGCAAGTCTTACTGCCAAATTGAGCTTGGGTCAAACTTACAAGAAAAATTTGTTCCAGCCTTCAGAGCTTTCAGGACTTCAGAACTGCTGATAAGGGATTGAGGATGGTAGTTAATGAGCATGGCCTGACAATACCTATATGCATTAGAAAGGACTGGAGTATATGTCTGTGTGCATAGATACCACACTTATAAATATTCACATATGCTGTATTTGTATGGACTCAGACACAGACACATGGAAAGTCTGGAAGGGTGCACAGCAAAATGTTAACAGTAGTCATTTCTCAGTGATTAGATTTCTTTTTCTTTTTGCTTATATGTATTTCCTATAGTTAGCTATAATAACATGTTTTTTGTGTTTTATATACATACACAGGCTTTGGAGTCAAAGACACGTTATATTGAGAAAGTTATCTAACTTCTCTAAGCATCTGCTTCCTCATGTGAATAAGATAACAGTGTCTGCCTCATACAATTGCTGTCTTCTTTTCCCATAGTTAACTTGAGGGTATCCCTCACTGCATGACCAAGAGGTGTTCTAGAAGCCAAATAAGATCTGTTGAAGGCCCAGACCTATAAAACAAAGATAGGCAGCAAGGCCTTGATTTTAACATCCGGTAGCCAGGCCTACCACTGAATTGGTGTCTGGGTTTTTCTTTTTCCTTTTTTTTTTTGAGATGGAGTCTCGCTCTGTCACCCAGGCTGGAGTTCAGTGGTGCAATCTTGGCTCACTACAATCTCTGCCTCCCAGGTTCAAGCGATTCTTGTGCCTTAGCCTCCCAAGTAGCTAGGATTACAGGCACCCACCACTACACCCAGCTTATTTTTGAACTTTTAGTAGAGATGGGGTTTTGCCATCTTGCCCAGTCTGGTCTCGAACTCCTGACCTCAAGTGATCCGCCCACCTCGACCTCCCAAAATGCTGAGATTACAGGCATGAGCCACTGCAGTCTGGGCTTTTTCTTTTTCTTTCATTTTTTTTTTTTTCTTTTTTTTGAGGCAGAGTTTTGCTCTTGTTGCCCAGGCTAGAGTGCAATGGCACGATCTCGGCTCACCACAACCTCTGCCTCCCCGGTTCAAGCGATTCTCTTGCCTCAGCCTCCCGAGTAGCTGGGATTACAGGCATGCGCCACTACGCCCGGCTAATTTTGTATTTTTAGTAGAGATGGGGTTTCTCCATGTTGGTCAGGCTGGTCTCGAACTCCCGACCTCAGGTGATCCGCCTGCCTCAGCCTCCCAAAGTGCTGGGATTACAGGCGTGAACCACTGCGTCCAGCCAGTCTGGGCTTTTTCTAAAACATGCCATCATACAAAGAAAAAATAAATAAATTCAAACCAAAATGGAAATACCCCATTTGTTTTGAGAATCATCTGAGAGGCAGCAACATTATTTCTTCATTCAATTGCTCCTTCTGCCTCCTTTTGCTCTATTTCCTCCTCGAGGCCCCTTAGTTATTTGTAGGTACTCCTCAAGCCCTAGACCAGTACTGTCCAATAGAACCTTTTTGATGATGAAAATATTCTATAACTGTGTTGTCCAATATATATTGAACACTTAAAATATGGCTTGAGACCGGGCCCAGTGGCTCATGCCTGTAATCCTAGCACTTTGGGAGGCCGAGGCAAGCAGATCAGGCAGTCAGGAGTTCGAGACCAGCCTGACCAACATGGTGAAACCCCGTCTCTACTAAAAATATAAAAATTAGCTGGGCATGGTGGTGGGCGCCGATAATCCCAGCTACTCGGGAGGCTGAGGCAGGAGAATTGCTTGAACCCGGGAGGCAGAGGTTGCAGTGAGCCGAGATTGTGCCACTGCACTCCTGCCTGGGTGACAAAGCAAGACTCCGTCTCGGGGGAAAAAAAAAAATAATTATATATATATATATATATATATATATATATTTGAGAAAGGGTCACGCTCTATCACTCAGGCTGAAGTGCAGTAGCGCGATCTCGGCTCACTGCAACCTCTGCCTCCTGAGTTCAAGCAATTCTCCTGCCTCAGCCTCCCGAGTAGCTGGGATTACAGGCATGCGCCACCACACCCGGATAATTTTTGTATTTTCAGTAGAGACATGGTTTCACCATGTTGGCCAGGCTGCTATCAAACTCCTGACCTCAAGCAATCAGCCTGCCTAGGCCTCCCAAAGTGCTGGGATTACAGGCATGAGCCACTGTGCCCAGCCAAAAAACTGAAGTTTTTAATTTGATTTTACCTAAATTAAGTTTAGCCTGTAATCCCAGCACTTTGGGAGTTCACGATGGGAGGATGGCTTGGGACCAGGAGTTCGAGACTAGCCTAGTCAATCAACATAGCAAGACCCCATCTCTTAAAAATAAATAAATAAATAAAATAGCCATACATGGCTAGTGACTAGCACATTGGACAGTGCAAATCTAGACCTTGTTCTTCCTCTTCTACAAGGAACCCACCAGCCATCCTGGTTGATTATGAATGAGGCTGTCCAGCCCTGTCTGAGCTCAGCACCTCCACCATCCCCTGGGCATTTCTACAAGACGTTCTGTATGCAGGGGGGACCCAGGTAAAACTGTAGTCTGATTCTGGACTCTTTCCCTGAGCTCTCCCGCCTATTACCAGCACCATCATTCTTCCTATCAGCCAGGTGTACAGTCTTGCCATCGGCTCACCTCTCTCCTTGGCCCCCCAGAGAGAGTTAGTCATCCATTTCTTCAGTCTCACAGCTGCCTTCCTCCAGGCTACCATCTCCTCACTTGCTACCTCAGGAGTCTCCCAACTAAGAGATCTTCCCACTTCTCCCTACCCATTTAGCCTCTGCACTTGGCCTGATTAAACTCTGATTTCATCTCTCTGCTCTAAATCTTCCTGTACAGGTTAAGACCCAAACTGGTTCAATTGGCATCTGACGCCCTTTGCAAATGGCTCTACTCTCCTTCATCAATCCATCACCCAAAGACAGCCTGATCTAAAAGGATAGATTCTTCACACATGCCATCCGCACTCCTGCCTTCATATGAAGTTACTCCTACTTTTTGGCCACCTCTCCTTCGAAGCCCAGCCTCAACTCCCACCTCCTCCTTCATGAAGCCCTCCCCAGCCACATAAGTTCTCAGTAGTCATTTCTCTGAATTTTGAGTGTCTTCCTGTCTATATAATGTGTCTGGCACTTTAAGAAACATTAGACTGTTTTGGAAAATGCCTTGGGCTTTGGAATAAAATAGAGCTGGTGATGTTACTGACTCCATCCATCACCTCTTATGAAACCTCAAACAAATTACTTAATTTGCTTCCTCATTTGTAAAATGGAAGTAATGCTACCATATTTACGGAGACCTCAAAAGGATAAACAAATACAATCTACATGGGTCACGAACCTAGCACAATGCCTGGTACACAGCAGACATTCAGGAACTGTTCCTCTCCCTCTTCTCCATCACTCCTAATCCCCCACTGCTTTAATAATGATGACTACCATTTATCAAGTACCTCTCATAGTTAGGTAATACGTTCAATGCTTCATGCATTGTGTCTGATTATTAGCCTTGTTTTACAAATAAGGAAATTGAGGCCTAGAGCAGATAGCAGACATGCTCAAGGACATAGAGCCAGTAAATGGTGCAGCTGACATTAAAACCCAGATCTGCTTGACTCCAAAGTCCCACAGCCTCCCATTTTGCATGCATGAGGACATCATCATCAATGAAACTATAAACTCCCAAGGGTAAGTACGATGTGAATAGAAGGTTTAAATCTGTTTGGATAACCAAGCAAAAGTATCAGCACAGTCTGTACAGGATATGTGGGAGTGTGGCTGTCACTGCTGGGTGGAGATCACGTTCTACCCTTCCTGAGCACCTATTAGGTCTAGGAGGAGGTGTCCCCTCCTATCTTCTCAGTCACCAGCCTTTGCATCCCATTTCCAGCACACTGGAAGAACCTGCAAAACCATGCAAGCAAAATACCTGCAAACCATGTGCTTCAGAATACCTGACAGTTCAAACTGACCGGATTAAGTGAGTAGGTTCAATGTTTGCCAGCAAGATCATGCCCTGCACACACCACCAGGGGGACATTCCAAGGGCTCTCTAAGTCTGAGACAGGGCCTTACATACTAGCAAAGAATTCATGGGGAAATAAACCACTCTAGATCCAACTACCTAGAATACAAGTCAGGCTCTGTTGATGATGACAATGATAGTATTATAAATACTAATAATATTAAGAGCAAATACTTGGCCAGCAGTGGTTCATGCCTGTAATCCCAGCACTTTGGGAAGCCGGGAAGCCGAGGTGGGCAGATCACCTGAGGTCAGGAGTTCAAGACCAGCCTGGCCAAAATGGCGAAACCCCATCTCTACTAAAAATACAAAAAAAAATTAGCCAGGCGTGGTGGCAGGCGCCTATAATCCCAGCTACTCGGGAGGCTGAGGCACAAGAATCACTTGACCCAGGAGGCAGAGGTTGCAGTGAGCCAAGATCATGCCACTGCACTCCAGCCTGGGCAACACAGCAAGACTACATCTTAAAAAAACAAACAAACAAACAAACAAAAACTAATACTTAAGGCTTACTACGTATTGAGCACTGTTTAAATCACTTTACATATATTTTATCCTCACAACTACTCTATGAGGTAGGTGCTGTTATTATGTCCACGTTACAGACCAGGAGATATACACAGAGAGGTTAAATAACTTGCCCAAGAGCACACAGTAGTAAATGGCACACAGCCAGGGTTCAAACCCAGGGAATCTGAGCCAAGAGTCTGTGCTCTCAACCAATAAACTATATCACTGATGAGAAAACGAGAGGCTCAGAAAGCATTTCTGGCAGAGAAAATTTAACTTCAGCAAAAGCACAAAGATAGGGCATTATGGTATGCTTGGAAACAAGTAATAATAAGTAGGATAAATAAGTAGGGAAAAGTTTTATTTGAGAAGCACTAGGGATACAAAAGAAGAATGTGGCCGGGAGCGGTGGCTCATGCCTATAACCCCAGCACTTTGGGAGGCCAAGGCAGGCAGATCACTTGAGGTCAGGAGTTCGAGACCAACCTGGCCAACATGGAGAAACCCTGTCTCTACTAAAAACACAAGTATTACCCAGGTGTGGTGGTGGGCACCTGTAATCCCAGCTATTTGGGAGGCTGAGACAGGAGAATCACTTGGACCCAGGAGGCGGAGGTTGCAGTGAGCCGAGATCAAACCACTGCACTCCAGCCTGGGCGACAGAGTGAGACTCTGTCTCAAAAAAAAAAAAGAAGAAGAAGAACAAGAGTGTAAGAGTCAGGTCTCAAGTGCGACCTGAGTTCTATTTTCGACTCCGCCAATGACCAGATGAGTGATCACAAGCATGTTACCCTACCCTCTCTAAGCCTCAATCTCCCAGCTGAAAAACAGAGATCCTCGGCCAGGCGCGGTGGCTCACACCTGTAATCCCAGAGCCTTGGGAGGCCGAGGCAGGCATATCACAAGGTCAGGAGATCGAGACCATCCTGGCTAACACAGTGAAACCCTGTCTCTACTAAAAATTCAAAAAATCAGGCGGGCGTGGTGGCGGGCGCCTGTAGTCCCAGCTACTCAGGAGGCTGAGGCAGGAGAATGGCGTGAACACGGGAGGTGGAGTTTGCAGTGAGCCGAGATCGCGTCACTGCACTCCAGACTGGGTGACAGAGTAAGACTCCATCTCAAAAATAAATCAATAAATAAAAATAATAGAGATCCTCTTATGGAATTTTTGTGACACAGTGTAAGGCCCATGGACTCAAAGTAAGTGCTTAATAAATGGTAAGTGCTACTAATAATGATAACAACAGTAGTAAATTTAGGCTAAACTGTAAGACTTCAAACGCCATGTAGAGTTTGGATTTTACTCTTATGACAAAAAGGAGCTGTTTACCTAGCACATAGTACACAGGGCAGGTAACTCTTGAGTGACATTCATAACACAGGGCACCTGGCATTGAAAAGAATGGAAAAAATCCATTTTTTCCAGTTCAGCTTTGCCACCATCCCAAATTGTTTTGTTACTTTCTTCAAAGTTAAATAACCATGTTTAGTTTTCTTTTTTCATTTCTTTTACATTTCTCAAATATCTCACAGCTTTAAAAAGAAGTGCCATAGATTCTATCATTTAAAATGAACACAGGGCCAGGCGCAGTGCCTCACGCCTATTATCTCCACACTTTGGGAGGCTGAGGTGGGAGGATCACCTGAGGTCAGGAGTTCGAGACCAGTCTGGCCAACGTGGTGAAACCCTGTCTCTACTAAAAATACAAAAATTTTTTAAAAATAATAATGAATAAAATAAAGACCAGGCGTGGTGGCTCACGCCTGTAATCCTAGCACTTTGGGAAGCCAAGGCAGGTGGATCACCTGAGGTCAGGAGTTCGAGACTAGCCAGGCCAACATAGCAAAACTCCGTCTCTACTAATACAAAACTTAGCCAGGCGTGGTGGCGGGCACCTGTAACGGGCTTGCTGGCGAGCGCCTGTAATCCCAGCTACTCAGGAGGTTGAGGCAGGAGAACTGCTTGAACCCAGGAGGTGGAAGCTGCAATGAGCCGAGATCATGCCACTGCACTCCAGCCTGGGCAACAGAGCAAGACTGTCTCAAAAAACTAAAAATAAATAAAAATGAGCTGGGTGTGGTGGCAGACACCTGTAGTCCTGGCTACGTAGGAGGCTGAGGCAGGAGAACCACTTGAACATGGGAGGTGAAGGTTGCAGTGAGTTGAGATCATGCCACTGCACTTTAGCCTAGGTGACAGAGCTAGAATCTGTCTCAAAAAAATGAAAATAAAAATAATAAAAATAAATAAAAGTTAGCCAGACATGGTGGCACATGTCTGTAGTCCCAGCTACTTGGGAGGCTGAGACAGGAGAACTGCTTGAACCTGGGAGGTGGATGTTAAGGTGAGTCGAGATCATGTCACTGCACTCCAGCCTGGGTGACAGAGTGAACTCCGTCTCAAAAAATGAAATAAGCTGGGCTCCGTTTCAAAAAATGAAATAAGCCAGGCGCGGTGGCTCACACCTGTAATCCCAGCACTTTGGGAGGCCGAGGTCAGGAGATTGAGACCATTCTGGCTAACACGGTGAAACCCCATCTCTACTAAAAAATACAAAAAACTAGCCGGGCATGGTGGCAGGCGCCTGTAGTCCCAGCTACTTGGGAGGCTGAGGCAGAAGAATGGCATGAACCCAGGAGGCGGAGCTTGCAGTGAGCCAAGATCGCACCACTGCAGTCCAGCCTGGGTGACACAGCGAGACTCCGTCTCAAAAAAATAAATAAAATAAAATAAAATAAAATGAACACAGACATCTCTAAAAACACATCTCATGCCAAGCAAACCTGTAAGTTCTAGACTGGAAATCCAATTTGCACCCTGTGCAAATCCAATTTAGGCTGGCAAGGACTAAATATGACCAGTTTAGCTTTCAAGGAGGAAGACTACAGTGCAATTACTTTACGGCAACAGGTTGGTTAGTGGTGATAGGCCCCTGGAGAGATGACTTGAATTTTTCCTTCTCAGGCTTCCCTTCAGTGGGCCTTCTGTGAACTGTCTGTGGTCTGGTGATAAAGCTAAAAGAGAAGTGGGCAAGAGCAAACCAGGAAGCGGGGAGGGCAACACAGAGATGCAGAGCATGCTCAAAGAGGAAGGGGGCAGGAGTTGTTGAGGCCACAAAGCACCTTGGGCTAGAAATTGTATGGGTCTCTACAATTCAACCAGAGACAGACATTTTTTGAGCACCTACTGATGTACAAGGCATTCGGCTGTCATTTGGGAAGGAGAGAGAATGCAAAATGCTAAAAGCAGCAAGTTCAAGCTTACAAAAATGTAGCTGAATGAGAAGTCAACAAATAGGTGAAAAAGTACAGGGCTTTATCCAGAAATAATAAGCAGTCAAGTTTGAAGTAAAAGGAAATGAAGATAAGTTGTAGCAGATAAGACCAGACAGAGAAGCAGGCTGAGGTCAGGCAGTGCAGGACTTGACCACTATACTAAGGAATTTGAGCTTTATTCTATAGGCAACAGGGAGTGGTACAATATTGAAGTTCACATACAAAATAGTAGAATACGATCAAAGTTATGTTCTAAGGAGATCCCTAAAGGAGAGGGAAACTTGAGGTTGGGAAGACTTACAAGAAGACTACTGCAACAGTTCAGCTAAGAGGATACCAACATGAATAAGGGGGATTTTGAAATGTGGGTAGATAGGAGAGGCACTGCAGAAAAAAAAAAATGAACAGAATTTGCTTATTAGACATGAGAGCAGAGGGAAGAGTCAAGGATACCCTGAGGTTGTTAGTGACTGCATTCAGAAATATGAAAATGGAGGGAGGAAAGGAGTAAGTGCAGTTCTTTTTTTTTTTTGAGATGGAGTCTCGCTGTGTCGCCCAGGCTGGAGTGCAGTGGCGTGATCTCTGCTCACTGCAACCTCTGCCTCCAGGGTTCAAGTGATTCTTCTGTCTCAGCTTCCCAAGTGGCACGCAGATTACAGACGCAAGCCACCACACCTGGCTAATTTTTGTATTTTTAGTAAAGACAGGTTTTCACCATGTTGGCCAGGCTGGTCTCAAACTCCTGACCTCAGGTGATCCACCTGCCTCAGCCTCCCAAAGTGCTGAGATTACAGGCCTGAGCCACTGTGCCCAGCCAATGCAGTTCTTATCAGGAAGAAATCCCCCTAGGATAGACCCTGAAGACAGCAGCCAGGTTCTCAGTTCTCAGAGGTGAGCATTTACCATTTCTTTTTCTTTTTTTTTTTTGAGACAGAGTCTCGCTCTTGCCCAGGCTGGAGTGCAGTGGCGTGATCTCGGCTCACTGCAACCTCCACCTCTGGGGTTCAAGCGATTCTCGTACCTCAGCCTCTTGACTAGCTGGGACTACAGGCATGTGCCACCCTGCCGGGCTAATTTTTGTATTTTTAGTAGAAACAGGGTTTCGCCATGTTGACCAGGCTGATCTCAAACTCCTGGCCTCAAGTGACCCGCCCACCTCAGCCTCCCAAAGTGCTGGGATTACAGGCATGAGCCACCGCTGCTGGCCAGCATTTCCCATTTCTAATTGTATTTCCCAAATGAAAGCACGTCTAAATAATTAGCATTGCTTAAGTCCTGTGTGACTTTCCAGGAGGCAAACATTCACTCCCATTTTAAAGACATAAGAGGAAAGTTGAGACACACGTTTAATATCGTACAAAGAGGTCAAGCGCGGTGGCTCATGCCTGTAATCCCAGCACTTTGGGAGGCAGAGGCGGGAAGATCACTTGAGGTCAGGAGTTTGAGACCGGCCTGGGCAACACAGGGAGATCTCGTCTCTAAAAACAAAAAGAGGCTGCGCATGGTGGCTCACACCTGTAATGCCAGCACTTTGGGAGGCCAAGGCAGGCTGAATCACTTGAGGTCAGGAGTTCAAGACCAGCCTGGCCAACATGGTGAAACCCTGTCTCTACTAAAAATATAAAAATTAGTCCAGGCATGATGGCTCACGCCTATAATCCCAGCACTTTGGGAGGCCAAGGTGGGCAGATCACCTGAAATCAGGAGTTCAAGATCAGCCTGGCCAACATGTTGAAACCCCGTCTTTACTGAAAATACAAAGAGTAGCCAGACATGTTAGCACATGCCTGTAATCTCAGCTACTTGGGAGGCTGAGGCAGGAGAACTGCTTAAACCCAGGAGGTGGAGGCTGCAGTGAGCAGAGATCACACCACTGCACTCCAGCCTGGGTGACAGAGTGAGACTCCGTCTCAAAAAAATAAAATAAAATAAAAATAAAAATAAATAAAAACAAAAAGAGAAAGTAATAGTGCACCAAGGAACCATGAAGAAAAGAAAAAGAAAAATGTCCAGGCCTCTTGACATCCACTTTGTTTAAATTCTCATCATTGGCATTCCAAGAAAGAAAGTCTCTTCTCATTCATATTTGCTAGCTTCAGTTCATGTATGGATCACCAATAACAAAACTGTTAGAGCGTAATTTATTTTATATATTTATCTATTTAAATTTAGAGATATCACTATGTTGCCCAGGCTGGTCTGGAACTCCTCAAGCAAGACTCCTGCCTCAGCCTCCGAGTAGCTGGGACTACAGGTGCGCACCACTGTGCCGGGCTAACAGTATATTTTAAGTAGCAAAGAAAAACATGCAAGTCAGCTAGCATCTATCCTCCAACAGTACAGTATCTTTCCTCTAATAAATATATTGATGCCTCCCTCTTCCTGAACTGTCCCTCCCTGAGGATTTTTCTGTTCAAAGCTCCACTTCTAACTGAGTGTTTGTGGGTCACCTCACTTGCTCTCAACAATAACTGCAGAATTCCAAAACAAACTGTTTTCAGAAGAAAAAAAGAATCTTTAGGGGGTTCTCTTGTACTAGAAACATAAAACTGGATTAAATGGCCCAAAGAAGGAAAATGGAGAGGGGAACAACAAAAGGAAGAAGAAAAACGAATACAGTTCTCTTTTGTTTAAGGAAACAAAGTGACTTAAAATAAGTTACTTAGGAGCCTGCAGAGCTTCCCACAACGGTGGAAATGATGGGCAATATTTGTTCTCTAAGATAAACAAAAGCAAATTTATTTTCTCCATGCTAAAAGGATATGTTGGTCACACAAGTTTTACCTATTAGTACTGACAAAACAAGATGAAAGAGAGAGTGAGAGAGAAAACCACCCCGGGGGCTATTTTGCTAACATGCTCTCTGGCTTCTACTCTGGTAAACTAGGTTACCCTTTATGTTACCCTGAGATATAAATAGCATTCATTTCCTTTCACTGGCATGACAGACTTTAATACTTTGTTTCCTGGGTCCAGAAGAAAAAATACTTAAACACATCCCCTTGTAAATTTGAGTTACTACAAAGCTGGTTCATTTCTTTTTTTTTTTGAGACGGAGTCTCACTGTCGTCAGGCTGGCATGCAGTGGCGTGATCTCAGCCCACTGCAACCTCCGCCTCCCAGGTTCAAGTGATTGCTTCAGCCTCTCAAGTAGCTGGGATACAGGCGCACGCCACCACGCCCAGCTAATTTTTTATATTTTAGTAGAGATGGGGTTTCACCACGTTGGCCAGGATGGTCTTGAACTCCTGACCTTGTGATCCGCCCACCTCGGCCTCTGAAAGTGCTGGGATTACAGGCTTGAGCCACCACACCCGGCGAAGCTGGCTCATTTCTAATCAACTTTGGATTAAAAAAAAACAAAATGTATTTGCTATTACTGCTTTGTTAAAATAGCCCAGAATGGCCCCTGTGGGACTTCTGAGTAGCCATTTCCTTTTTAGTGCATAGTTCAAAACCCTCCAGAACACAGCTCCAGGTTTTGCATGTACCCAGGATGCAATGCAGGTGAACATTTTACAGACTGACTTGGATAAGTACTGGGCCCTGTACAGGATCCTCAATGGGGTTTTCTGAATAAGAGCAACTTCAGTTGCTAGATGGAAATAATGAGGTATTTCTCCCAAATCAGACTTCACTCTTTTTAAGGAAAGAAAAAGCTGCAAAAGGAAGTTAACAGCATCCCTGGTCATCTAGTGGTTAGGAAGAAAAAAAAAGAAAAGAAAAAAGATGTTAAGAACAGTGAGGCCAGGCGCGGTGGCTCACGCCTGTAATCTCAGCACTTTGGGAGGCCCAGGCGGGCAGATCACAAGGTCAGGAGATGGAGACCATCCTGGCCAACAAGGTGAAACACCATCCCTACTAAAAATACAAAAATTAGCTGGGTGTGGTGGCGTGCAGGTGCATGTATGTAGTCCCAGCTACTAGAGAGGCTAAGGCAGGAGAATTACTTGAACCCGGGAGGTGGAAGTTGCAGTGAGCCAAGATCGTGCCACTGCACTCCTAGCCTGGTGACACAGCAAGACTCCGTCTCAAAAAAAAAAAGGAGCAGTTAAATAAGTGCAGGAGCAGAAAGACTCCTACCAATCTACCGATTCAACTACCAATCTAAAGTCAGTGCAAGCTGGGCTTGGCAAGAGAATCACGTGAACAAGCTGCCACTCAACCAAAAGCATTACCTGACTTCAACACCACAAGTTACCTCCTAGACACTGGTCTGAACCTGAAGACGTGGATTCCAGTCTGAAACTAGCTCCATTTCATTTTTCTTTTTCTTTCTTTTTTTTTTTTTTTGAGACAGAGTCTCGCTCTGTCACCAAGGCTGGAGTCCAGTGGCGCAATCTCAGCTCACTGCAAGCTCTGCCTCCCAAGTTCACGCCATTCTCCTGCCTCAGCCTCCCGAGTAGCTGGGACTACAGGCGCCCACCACCATGCCCGGCTAATTTTTTTGTATTTTTAGTAGAGACGGGGTTTCACCATGTTAGCCAGGATGGTCTCAATCTCCTGACCTCGTGATCCGCCCTCCTTGGCCTCCCAAAGTGCAGGGATTACAGGCGTGAGCCACTGCGCCCGGCCTCATTTTTCTACTATAATCTCTACCAAGCTCAGCCTAACACTCCTGAATTCAGCAGAGACAAATCAAAGAAAAGAAAGGACATTTTGAAAGAATCATCAAAGATCATTCCTATCTCTATTAATGCAAAGGCAAAGAATGAAGACCAGATTCACCTATCCCCCAAAATGCCTGGGCCTCAAAGGTGCTCTATGCCCTTGGCTCACGCTACAAGGAACACTGTCCTGCTGGGCCAACCCTATACTCTCTTACCTCTATCTACGTATTATCAGACCCCTCTCAGTCAGACTGCCAGCTCCTGAGGGGTGCCTTTGTTTCTCCTGCCGTGAATCAAAAACAGCTTTTTTTTTTCTGAGGGGACAGAGTCTTGCTCTTGTCACCCAGACTGGAGTGCAATGCCGCGATCTCAGCTCACTGCAATCGCCACCTCCCGGGTTCAACTGATTCTCCTGCCTCAGCCTCCCAAGTAGCAGGGATTACAGGTGCCTGCCACCATGCTCAGCTAAGTTCTGTTTTTTTGGGGTTTTTTTGTTTTGTTTTGTTTTGTTTTGAGATGGAGTCTCGCCCAGGCTGGAGTGCAGTGGCGCGATCTCGGCTAACTGCAACCTCTGCCTCCCAGGTTCAAGCGGTTCTCCTGCCTCAGACTCCCGAGTAGCTGGGACTATAAGCGCACACTACCATGCCCAGTTAATTTTTTTTGTATTTTTAGTAGAGATGGGGTTTCACCGTGTTAGCCAGGATGGTCTTGATCTCCTGACCTTGTGATCCGCCTGCCTCAGCCTCCCAAAGTGCTGGGATTACAGGCATAAGCCACTGTGCCTGGCCTAATTTTTATATTTTTAGTAGAGACAGGATTTCGTCATGTTGCCCAGCCTGGTCTTGAACTCCTGATCTTGTGATCCGCCCACCTCGGCCTCCCAAAGTGCTAGGATTAGGCATGAGCCACCGCGCCCAGCCAAAAACAGCATTTTTAAGCAACCATTTGCCTTGGTTTCTCTAGGCTATCAAGTAGTGGGTATTTTGATCATATGCATATAGGAAAAAACAAATCTACTACTCCGTTTCCCTTGGGGCCTGTATCGACATCCAGAGGCAGCCCAAAGGGTTCTTCCCACCTGTTATAGAAGATGTAACTCTCCTCTGAGGCCAGAACAACTCTGGAAACAGAGATGACCCAAACAGAACTGGAGAGCTTGATACCATTTCTTACCAATTTTAGCAGCAGCAACTTAGCAATTAACAGTGTCACCCAGTCACTTACTGTAGGTATTACGATAAGATAAAAAAAAATTTTTTTTTTTTTGAGATGGAGTCTCGCTCTGTCTCCCAGGCTGGAGTGCAGTGGCACGATCTCAGCGCACTGCAACCTCTGCCTCCTGGGTTCAAGCGATTCTCCTACCTCAGCTTCCCAAGTACCTGGGATTATAGCCATGTGCCACTACACCCATCTAATTTTTGTATTTTTAGTAGAGACAGGGTTTCGCCATGTTGGCCAGGCTGGTCTCGAACTCCTGACCTCATGATCCGCCCGCCTCAGCCTTCCAAAGTGTTGGGATTAAAGGCATGAGTCATCGTGCCCAGCCAGAAACAGCATTTTTAAGCAACTGTTTGCTTTGGGTTCTCTAGGCTATCAAAAAGTGGGTATTTTGATCATATGCATATAGGAAAAAACAATCTACTACTCTGTTTCCCTTGGGGCCTGTATCGACATCCAAAGGCAGCCCAAAGGGTTCTTCCTACCTGTTATAGAAGATGTAACTCTCCTCTGAGGCCATAATAACTCTGGAAACAGATGACCCAAATAGAACTGAGGGGCTTGATACCATTTCTTACCAATTTTAGCAGGAGCAACTTAGCAATTAATAGTGTCACCCCACTTACTGTAGGTATTTTAAGAGAAAAATTTTTTTTTTTTTCGAGATGGAGTCTTGCTCCGTCTCCCAGGCTGGAATGCAATGGCACGATCTCGGCTCACTGCAACCTCTGCCTCCTGGGTTCAAGCAATTCTCCTACCTCAGCCTCCAGAGTACATGGGATTACAGGCACCTGCCACCACGCCCATCTAATTTTTGTATTTTTAGTAGTGACGGAGTTTCGCCATGTTGGCCAGGCTGGTCTCGAACTCCTGACCTCAGGTGATCCGCCCGCCTCAGCTTCCCACAGTGCTGGGATTACAGGCATGAGTCACCACGCCTGGCTGACAAAATTTTTAAAACTATTTATTTATTTATTTTAGAGACAGTCTCACTATGTTGCCTAGGCTGGAGTGCAGCAACTAATTCACAGGATCAATCATAGTGCACATCACCCTCAAACTCCTGGGCTCAAGCCTTCCACCTCAGCCTCTCAAGTGGCTGGGACTACAGGTACGCGCCACCATGTTCAGCTTTCAAATTATTTTAAAATAAAAATAAAACCGAAACCGTAACAATAATTCCTCACCAGCATATGGCTAGTCTCTGTTTTTTGAAAGGAAATGAAAGATTGAGATCCCTGCACATTTCTCAGTCGGGGCAGCTAACTGGCTTCAGAGCTAGCTGGCCTGACTTGTCATAGAAGACTAAGGGAATGAAGTGCCTGCATGGCCTGGCTCTGGTGTACTGGCTGAGAACACAGCACCCACCTCTTTCTGCTGCCATTGGCCTTGTCCTCCGCCAATTGTCTGGATTCTGGCAGTCTCTTGTGAAGGGGCAAGGAGATGAGGTGCTCTTAAACTCTCACCCGTCCCAGCACCATAGCCCAGAATGTCATGGAAACTCTAGTGATAGTGAACTCTGAGATAAGCCCAAGGAAGATGCAAACTATCAGCACCATCAGGCGCTTCGATCGCACCTTGTGATGGCTGCAATGAAGGAGAAACAAGCACCGAGGAAGTCCTCTGCTCACCTCGTTTCCTCTCAGTTTACAAACTCTTGTGCAACATGCCACTCCTCCCTGCCCCTCATAGTTTCCAAGCCTTGTAAGAGCAAGTGGAGGGCTGGCCCACACTTTACACAGCTACTTGACAGGCTCTTCATTGCTGGCAAATGACTGTCACAAATAGGTACTAGGGGTCATGCCAAAGCTCACACATAAATGGAGCCTCACGGACACACCCAGGGGAAAAAAGCACCAGGGGCCCTTGCAGAAAACCCTGGAGCTGGACAAAAAAAGACAGGTCTGCAGGTCCTCCCAGAGCACGGACTCACCCAAATTTCAGCCCTGAGCCTCCCATCTCCAAACGACAAGCTCCTGCTCAGCAACTGGCCTTCTGTGCTCCCCATTATCCACCAACTGCTGGGTGGGAAAAAACCTAGTCCTTTTATAACCTGTAACTTCATCCTGGCCTCTAGTCCCAGAGTAGACAGGGCTCCCCAAGACTCCAGCCCTGTACACTGCGCTATCATCACAGGGGCTGAGAACTGACAGAGCCCCAACACATACCATACCTCACCCAAAGGAAGACTCTATCGTAGGCAGGGCACCACTCCCCCACCCGCCCCACGCGACAAACTCGGAAGATCAGGATTGAAGAGCAAGCTCAGATGGAGCAACAGGCCCAGAGAGGGGCAGCGAGTGGCCCGAGGTCACACAGCGAGTTCGGAACGGAGCTTTACTAAAACCCCAGCCTCCGGATTCCCAAGTACCCCATTCCCACCCGCCTACCCTCGTCACGCACGCCTAAGAAGAACATCACAGAACTTCTGCCCCAGTGTCCCAGCCTCCAGAGGGCCACCAGGACTTTGGTCTTCGCCCCGAGCGTCCACTGGCCAAACCGCCGACCCTGCCCACCCGAGGGCCGGGCGCACCGCCGCCCCCGGCCCAGCTCCCCAGCCCAGCTTCCCGCCGCCCGCCGAACCTGCAGTGTTGCGCTCCCGAGAGCCGGCGGCGGCAGACATTTCCCTGCCTGCTTCCTCAAGCTCCTCATCCCGCCGCCCGTCCCGCGCGCTCCGCCCCCAGACGAACCCGCCCCCGTGTGCCCGCTCCATCAATCGAAAGCCTGTCTTCTCCATCGCTCCGCCCCAAAACAGAACGGAGCCCGCCCCCTGTGGCCGGGCCTCCTCCAATCCCCACCGTTTCTTCCGGGACGGATACCTGCCTCCGCCAATTGTCGCGTACCCTGGCCAGGTAACTAGGGCCGAGTTACAACCGCGCGGCGTTGGCATCTCCAGCTCCAGCTCTGCGCACCTATACCGAGACAGCCACAGGAATTCAGGATCCCGGGTCGCAGAATCGAAGCCTGTGCAGGAACAAATGGGGGCAGACTGAGCCACGAGCTTGAAGAGCCGGCTCTGCATGATTGTATTATCCCAAGAGACTCCGGCCCTGTTTCTCCCGCGCACAGAAGGGTTCTGTGCGCACTGAGGTTCAAATGCAAGAATAATTGTGAACACAAAAGTACTATTCCAAGGCAGAGACCACCGCCATTCCTTGAACCTCACGGTAACTATGTGCCAAGGTCTGTGCCTCGTATAAATATTATCTTCCTACTCCTCGTAACACACCTTTTATGAGGGAGGAAACTATTATCCCAATTTTCTTTTCTTTTCTTTTTTTTTTTTTTTTTTTTTTTGAGACGGAGTCTCGCTCTGTCGCCTAAGCTGGAGTGCAGTGGAGCGATCTCCGCTCACTGCAACCTCTGCCTCCCGGATTCAAGCGATTCTCCTGCCTCAGCCTCCCGAGTAGCTGGGACTACAGGCACGTGTCACCATGCCTGGCTAATTTTTTGTATTTTAGTAGAGACGGGGTTTCACCGTATTAGCCAGGATGGTCTTGATCTCCTGACCTCATGATCCACCTGCCTCGGCCTCCCAAAGTGTTGGGATTACAGGCGTGAGCCACCACCCCCGGCCTATTATCCCCATTTTATATACAAGGCAACCAAGTTCAGAGAGGTTAAGTCTGAGGTCGCAGAGTGACTAGCAGAGTGGAGGATTCAAACCGATGCCAGAGGGTTGGAGGATTTCACCACCCATAACCTCCAGCAGCAGTTGGCAGCCCACTCCAGAGAAACACACGCCGTAAGTAAGCAGTGTGTTTACTATGAAATATATCAAGACAAGTCCTCTGTTTCTCCCTTAACCAGACTGCCACTCTCCCTCTTAGAAATTCTTGAGTCACCTCTGTCTCTGACTCAAACCCTCTGACTCAAACTATCTGACTCTGGAACAGTTGCTCTTAACCCTCCTGCTATCCCACCTGCTCTGTCTGTAGAGCTGCATGAACCCGACCGAACTGAATAGGATGTGCAAGGACATGATATATGAGAAGACTTGAGTTCCAGTCCTGACTATGGCACTGCCAGACACAGCTTTTAAGTTGTCTTCAGCATTTACATACTATTAACCCATACTTGGCCTCGTCTGATCCTCAAAAAACTTGGCTTATTGAAGAAGGCAAGTTTATATTTCCATTGTATAAATAAAAAAGCCAAGGTCTGAAAAAATAAAATATATAGTAGGGCCAGGCGCATGCCTGTAATCCCAGCACTTTGGGAGGCTGAGGCGGGCAGATCACGAGGTCAGGAGATCCAGACCATCCTGGCTAACATGGTGAAACCCTGTCTCCACAAAAAATACAAAAAATTAGCTGGCCATGGTGGCATGCGCCTGTAGTCCCAGCTACTCGGGAGGCTGAGGCAGGAGAATCCCTCTAACCTGGGAGGTAGAGGTTTCAGTGAGCTGAGATCGCACCACAGCACTCCAACCTGGGTGAAAGAGTGAGACTCTGTCTCAAGAAAAAAAGAAAATACAAAAATTAGCCGGGTGTGGTGGCGGGCACCTGTAATCCCAGCTACTCGGGAGGCTGAGGCAGGAGAATAACCTGAACCTGGGAGGTGGAGGTTGCAGTGAGCCAAGATTGCACCACCACACCCCAGCCTGGGTGACAGAGCTAGACTCTGTCTCAATAAATAAATAAATAAATAAATAAATAAATAAATAAATAATAGATAAAATAAAATGTAGTGTTCACATTCACATTTAGGAAGTGACAGACCTGGGATCTGCACTGAAATCTCTGAACTCCGAGGGCTTTGGCATCAGAAACTGAAGTTTCAAACCTGGTCCCATTACTTCAATTTTTATTTTATTTATTTATTTATTTATTTATTTATTTATTTATTTATTTATTTATTTTGGGACAAACTCTTGCTCTGTCGCCCAGGCTGGAATGCAGTAACGTGATCTCTGCTTACTGCAACCTCCGCCTCCCGGGTTCAAATGATTCTCCTGCCTCAGACTCCTGAGTAGCTGGGATTACAGGCACACGGCACCACGCCTGGCTAATTTTTGTATTTTTAGTAGAGGCGAGGTTTCACCATATTGGTCAGTCTGGTCTCGAACTCCTGACCTCATGATCCGCCCACCTCAACCTCTCAAAAGTGCTGGGATTACAGGTGTGAGCCACCCCATCCGGCCCCTATTACTTCAATTGATGATTGATCTTGGGTAAGTTGCTTGCCTCCTCTGTGTCAATTTACTCGTCTGTAAAACAGGATATCTACTTCTTAGTATTGTTCAGAAGACCAAACGGAGAAATACAGTTGTTGTGCATTGTCTCGGTATCTAGAAAAATGTCTGGCACACAGTAGGTGCTCAATTAATGTTAGCTAACTGTGATCTCTTGTTAGCTGATGTTTCTCTAATAGTAGATTCTTAGCCAAGACACTTCCACTCTCTGGCCTTTTGTGCTGTACAACATTATCCATCAAGGACTGGGTGGAAAAAACCTAGTTCCTTTTGCCTCTAGTGCCTCTAGTAAAATGAAAGAGTTGGGCTGGTGGATATCTAAGAGTCTGTCAATACTGAGAGTCCCTTCTAACCCAGGTCCCTCCCTGAGGAAATCCCCATCATGACAAGCACTCAGAGAAGTTGGTTGGTACAGAGTTTCTCTGCTGGTTACCCCAGGTGTGGTGTGGACCCCAGAAGGATGACAGGTAAGGGGACTGCAAGACACACACCCAATCCTAAAAGAAAGAAGTCATCCTTGACTCCTGTCTTTCATTCTCATAGCTACCAACCTCTGCTCCTGCAGTCAACAAATATTTATTAAGTGCCTGCTATCTGACAGGCGGTGTTCTTTTTTTTTTTAAGATGGAGTCTTGGCCGGGCGCAGTGGCTCACGCCTGTAATCCCAACACTTTGGGAGGCCGAGGCGGGCGGATCACGAGGTCAGGAGATCGAGACCATCCTGGCTAACACGGTGAAACCCCGTCTCTACTAAAAAAATACAAAAAATTAGCCGGGCGTGCTGGCGGGCGCCTGTACTCCCAGCTACTCGGGAGGCTGAGGTGGGAGAATGGCGTGAACCCAGGAGGCGGAGCTTGCAGTGAGCCGAGATCGTGCCACTGCACTCCAGTCCGGGCGACAGAGCCAGACTCCATCTCAAAAAAAAAAAGATGGAGTCTGGCTCTGTCGCCCAGGCTGGAGTGCAGTGGCACGATCTCGGCTCACTGCAACCTCTGCCTCCCGGGTTCAAGCGATTCTCCCGCCTCAGCCTCCCGAGTAGCTGGGACTACAGGCACGTGCCACCACGCCTGGCTAATTTTTTTGTATTTTTAGTAGAGATGGGGTTTCACCATATTGGTCAGGCTGGTCTTGAACTCCTGACCTCGTGATCCGCCCCGCCTTGGCCTCCCAAAGTGCTGGGATTACAGGCGTGAGCCACCTTGCAGGCTGGCACTGTTCTTATCTCTGCGGATGAAGTTGTGAACGTGACCCAAACTCACTGCCCCCATGGTGCCTTCATTCTCATCAGTTTGACCTCTCTATTTTTCAAGTCCATCCCTCCTTCCCCATTCCCATCACCAGGGCTCTCCCAGGTCCCAGCCTCATTTTCCATTCCTTAGCCATTCCAGTACATTCCTATCTCCCTGCTCTAGTTCTCTTTTTCTATACCAGTTGCCAGAGGAACTTTTCTAACTTGCAAATCTTGCCTTATCACTCTCCAGCTTAAAAATTCCTTAATGGCGGCCGGGCGCGGTGGCTCACGCCTGTAATCCCAGCACTTTGGAAGGCCAAGGCGGGCGGATCACGAGGTCAGGAGATCCAGACCATTCTGGCTAACATGGTGAAACCCAGTCTCTATTAAAAATACAAAAAATTAGCCAGGCGTGGTGGTGGGCACCTGTAGTCCCAGCTACTCGGGAGGCTGAGGCAGGAGAATGGCATGAACCTGCGAGGTGGAGCTTGCAGTAAGCCGAGATCACGCCACTGCACTCCAGCCTGGGCGACAGAGTGAGACTCCGTATCAAAAAATAAATAAATAAATAAAATTCCTTAATGGTTCCCCATAAGCTATAGGGCAAAGTCCAAGCTCTTTGCTGGGTAGCTAAGACCCTTCATGAGATGCTCTCTGCTGACCCCTCCTGGCTCAGCTCTCTCCACACCCTCCTCTTCCCCCAAGTTCAGTCCCCACCAAAGGTCCTGCCCTTCCCTCCGACTGCCAAGCCCTTTTCCTCCTTGTTGCCTGCCTGGGGAAAAACTCTTCTTCATCCTTCTAGCCTAAGCTTAAATATCACCTCTGGCCGAGCGCGGTGGTTCACGCCTGTAATTCCCGCACTTTGGGAGGCCGAGGCGGGCGGATCACCAGAGGTCAGGAGTTTGAGACCATCCTGGGCAACATGGTAAAACCCTGTCTCTACTATAAACACAAAAATTAGCCAGGCATGTTGGCAGGCACCTGTAGTCCCAGCTACTCAGGAGGCTGAGGCAAGAGAATCGCTTGAACCCGGGAGGTGGAGGTTGTAGTGATACAAGATCATGCCACTGCACTCCAGCCAGGGAGTCTCAAAAAAAAATTCACCTCCTACATGAAGCCTTCCTGGGCTGTTTATAGGGGAGAGGGTGCCATGAGCTAAGGAAGCACTAGAGCAAAACACGCAAGGGCTCAGGCTCTGGAGCAGAACTTTTTTTTTTTTTTTTTGAGAGACAGAGTCTCGCTCTGTCACTATATGTTGGCCAGTCTGGTCTCGAACCCCTAACCTCAAGTGATCCACCCGTCTAGGCCTTCCAAACTGCTGGGATTACAGGCATGAGCCACCGTGCCTGGCCTGGAGTAGAACTATATAATCCTGCCTAATCCTGGCGCTATCGTTTACCAGCTAGGTACTCAGGCAACGCTCTTATCCTCTCTGAGCCTCAGTTTCCTCATCTATGAAATGGACACATCGATAATACTTCCCTTGTAAGATCGTGGTAAAGAGTATATGAGGCCAGGCCGGGCGCGGTGGCTCACACCTGTATTCCCAGCACTTTGGGAGGCCGAAGTGGGCAGATCACAAGGTCAGGAGTTCGAGACCAGCCTGAACAACATGGTGAAACCCCGTCTTTATTAAAAATACAAAAATTAGCCAGGCATGGTGGCGTGCACCTGTAATCCCAGCTACTCAGGAGGCTGAAGTAGAACAGTCACTTGAATCCAAGAGGCGGAGGTTGCAGTGAGCCAAGATGGCGCCACTGCACTCCAGCCTGGGCAACAAAGCAAGACTCCGTCTCACAAAAAATAAATAAATAAATAAATAAAAGTAAATGAGAGGCTGGGCAAGGTAGCTCACGCCTGTAATCCCAGCACTTTTGGAAGCTGAGATGGGCAGGTCACCTGAGGTCAGGAGTTCAAGACTAGCCTGGCCAACGTGGTAAAACCCCATCTCTACTAAAAATATAAAAGTTGGCCAGGGACAGTCGCTCACGCCTGTAATCCCAGCACTTTGGGAGGCCAAAGTGGGCGGATCACCTGAGGTCAGAAGTTCGAGACCAGCCTGGCCAACATGGTAAAACCTGTCTCTACCAAAAAATACAAAAATTAGCCAGGCATGGTGGCATGCGCCTGTAGTCCCAGCTACTCGGGACGCTGAGGCAGGAGAATCGCTTGAACCCAGGAGGCAGAAGTTGCAGTAAGCTGAGATTGCACCACTGCACTCCAGCCTGGGCGACAGAGCCAGACTTTGTCTCAAAAAATAAAATAAAATAAAATAAAATAAAAATAAAAATAAAAATACAAAAATTAGCCAGGCATAGTGGCAGGTGCCTGTAATCCTAGCTACTTGGGAGGCTGAAGCAGGAGAATCGCTTGAACCCCAGAGGCGGAGGTTGTAGTAAGCCAAGACTGTGCCATTGCACTCCAGCCCAGATGGGCAACAAGAGTGAAAGTTGGTCTCAAAAAAAAAAAAAAAAAAAGCTGGACACGGTGGCTCATGCCTGTAATCCCAGCACATTGGGAGGCCGAGGTGGGTGGATCACGAGGTCAGGAGTTCAAGACCAGCCTGATCAACATGGTGAAACCTTGTCTCTACTAAAGATACAAAAAATTAGCTGGGTGTGGTGGCATGCGCCTGTACCAGCTACTCGGGAGGCTGAGGCAGGAGAATCACTTGAACCCAGGAGGTGGAGGTTGCAATGAGCCGAGATTGCGCCATTGCACTCTAGCCTGGGCAACAGGGCGAGACTCTGTCTCAAAAATAAATAAATAAATAAATAAATAAATAAATAAAATTAACATTAAATTTAAAAAATTTTTTTAAAAAGGAGTAAATGAGATAATGTGTGAAAAGTTCTTGGAATAGTGCCTAACGCATGCCAAATCAACAATGAATGTGAGCTACGAGTCTTCTTGTAGAGGGGAAAAACATTTTCTGAGTTCCTGCTATGTGGTAGGCACTTTTACATGTGTTATCTCATTTAATTCTCACAACCCATGAATAAGGTATTCATTACATACAGAAGCCTACAAAAACTAAAGTTCAGAGAGGTGAAGTAGCTTGCCCAAAGTTGCACAGCTAGGTACTGGCAGAGATGGGTTTCAAACTCAAGGGGCTGTATAGCTTCAAAGCCCAGGCTCTTTGGTGTTATTTCTATTATTATACCTCCTACAACTATTATTAATAATCATAAAATATGTTATCCTTTTATTTTAAGATTTAGAGATAAATTTCCCCCTGCTTAATAAATTTGAAACCTCTTGGCTGGGCGCAGTGGCTTAGGCCTGTAACCCCAGCACTTTGGGAGACCAAGGTGGGTGGATCACCTTAGGCCGGGAGTTCGAGACCACCCTGACCAACGTGGTGAAACCCTGTCTCTACTGAAAATACAAAAAATTATGCTGGGTGTGGTGGCTCATGCCTGTAATCCCAGCACTTTGGGAGGCTGAGGTGGGCGGATCACCTGAGGTCAGGAGTTCAAGACCAGCCTGGCCAACATGATGAAACCGTGTCTCTACCAAAAATCCAAAAATCAGCTGGGCGTGGTGGTGGGCGCCAGTAATCCCAGCTACTCGGGAGGCTGAAGCAGGAGAATCGCTTGAACCCAGGAGGCGGAGGTTGCAGCGAGCCAAGGTCGTACCACCACACTGCAGCCTGGGCGACAAGAGCGAAACTCCGTCTCAAAAAAAAAAAAAAAAAAAATCAGCTAGGCATGGTGGTGGGCGCCTGTAATCCCACCTATTCAGGAGGCTGAGGCAGGAGAATTGCTTGAACCGGGGAGGTGGACATTGCAGTGAGCCGAGATCGCGCCACTGCACTCCAGCCTGGGCAACAAGAGCAAAACTCCGTCTCAAAAAAATAAATAAAATAAATAAACCTCTTAACCAGGCATTCAAAGCTCTATAATCATGTTTCTACTTCCTTTTGTTTTTGTTTTTGTTTTTTTTTTTTGAGATGGAGTCTTGCTCTGTCCCTAGGCTGGAGTGCAGTGGCGCAATCTCGGCTTACTGCAAGCTCCGCCTCCTGGGTTTATGCCATTCTCCAGCCTCAGCCTCCCGAGTAGCTGGGACTATAGGCGCCCGCCACCATGCCCGGCTAATTTTTTTATTTTTAGTAGAGACGGGGTTTCACCGTGTTAGCTAGGATGATCTCGATCTCCTGACCTGGTGATCCACCCGCCTTGGCCTCCCAAAGTGCTGGGATTACAGGCGTGAGCCACCGCGCCCGGCCTGTTATTTTATTTTTTAGAGACAGGGGTCTCACTCTGTTGCCCATGCTGCGGTGCAGTGGCGCAATCATAGCTCAATGTAGCCTTGAACTCCTGGGCTCCGGTGATCCTCCTGCCTTAGCCTCCCAAGTAGTTGGGATTACGAGCAAGCTACTAAGCCTAGCTGTTTCTTCTGCTTCCTTTTCCCTTATCCCCTAGTTTGAATCCAAGGGCAGTCCCCTTCCTGGCACAGCAAGCAAAATAAAGTGAAGCCCCTGGAGGCTCAGGCTCCACAGCAAGACCACAGAGAAGACCAGCCCTCTCCCATTGCCACAAAGACAAGAGATAGCTTGAAAGAAGACAGCTAAAAGTGGTGGGTAAACATTTAAGCCCCAGCACCTGTTGGCTTGAATTTGCATGTTCTATGACTAATCCTCTGCTCTGTACACAAACTCTCCTTTACCTGCCGGGCTAATGTCCCATTCTAAACAAATTTTGTCCTAAAGGCCACTAACGTTTCACTGCTAGCCCAAAGCTAGACCATTTTCTCAGCGGCAGTGAGTGACAGCAGGGTTCAAGGGCAGGAGAGCCAATATGACAGATGGTTCTAGCTGTGAGTTCTAGCTGTGGGTGGCAGAGAGAGGGAAGTTGGGCCGCTTGAAGCTGCTTAGTCTGCCAACTTGTAAGAGATTCTGCATCACAGTCACAACCTATCCTGTGCAACCCTGCCCAGAGCCAGGAGAGCAAAGGGGCCCTGCTGTAGTTAACACTCAACTCCAGAAACTGTAAACACAAAAGCAAACACCATGGTTGGCTGGCAGCCTGGGGGCACTATGGCTTTACACCAGCAGCTTCGAAAGGACACAGAAACCATGGGGTAAGAGTCCAAAGGGTGGAGAGTCAACTGGGGTGGGTAGGTGAATACCCAGCAACCCACCCACCCCCAGGGAGCCTGGGGTCTTACCTACCTGGACAGGCCCTGGCAACTTCGTGGAGGAACATCCTGGTTTGTGAACCAAAGGGCAGTTGGAATACGAGGCTAAGCTCTGCTGTGTCCAGCTGGACGGTCACATCTGAGCCTGCACAAAGGAGGCAGGAAATGAACCCTTGGCTGCCAGGAGCTAAGTGCTTGATGCAGCCTAAGCCTGAGAATGGAGAATCAGCAACCCAGACTCCCAAAGCCCCTTCAGCCCTTAAGCAACTTACTTGGGACAGCTGCTGGGACAACAAGGAAACCCTCTGTACCCTGAGTTCCAAATTAACATCATCCCCTCTTTATACAGGAGGCAGAAGAAGGCTCTGAAAAGTCAGTAAGCCTCAACTGCAGTACTAGATGGAACTGGGAAAGAACAGGTTCTCTGGATGTGTAGTCTGTTCCCCTCCCGATGAAATGAAAAGCACATAGAGGCAGACAAGAGGGAATGTCCATGGGTCAGTCTACCTGACTATGCCAGGTAGTGTGATAGGCACAGGGAATACCATGGTGAAGAGAATACACGTGGGCCCGTCTCAGGGAGCTAGACTGTAGAAGGCTTCCCTATTCATAGCATATACCCAATACCGGGCACATGGTGAGCACTCAAACCATGTGCTGAACTAACAGACAAACAGAAGCAACCTAGCAGAGCGATTAAGAGTGTGGGCTAGGCTGGGCACAGTGACCCATGCCTGTAATCCCAGCACTTTGGGAGGCCAGGGCAGGAGGATTACTTAAAGCCAGGAGTTTGAGACCAGCTTGGAAAACACAATGAGACACCACCCCCCGCCACCCAATCTCTATAAAAAATTAGCCAGATGTGGAGTCCCAGCTACTTGGGAGGCTGAGGTGGGAGGATCGCTTGAGCCCAGGAGGTTGAGGCTGAAGTGAGCCATATTTGTGCCACTGCACTCCAGCCCGAGTGACAGAGCAAGATCCTGTCTCAAAAAATAAAATAAAGGGCCGGGCGCGGTGGCTCACGCCTGTAATCCCAGCACTTTGGGAGGCCGAGGCGGGCGGATCACGAGGTCAGGAGATCGAGACCATCCTGGCTAACACGGTGAAACCCCGTCTCTACTAAAAATACAAAAAATTAGCCGGGCATGGTAGCGGGCACCTGTAGTCCCAGCTACTCGGGAGGCTGAGGCAGGAGAATGGCGTGAACCCGGGAGGCGGAGCTTGCAGTGAGCCGAGATCGCGCCACTGCACTCCAGCCTGGGCGACAGAGCGAGACTCCGTCTCAAAAAAAAAAAAAAAAAAAAAATATATATATATATATAAAATAAAATAAAATAAAATAGTGTGGGCTCTAGAATCTGAATTCTCTAAGTTTGAATCTTGGTTCCACCCCTTACTAAACTGTTTAATTTCTCTGGGCCTCAGTTACCTTGTCCATAAAATGGAGATGCAAACAGTGATAACCTCATAGAGCTGTGAGAAAAGCCTGATTTAGGCCCGGTGCGGTGGCTCATGCCTGTAATCCCAGCACTTTGGGAGGCCGAGGTGGGGTGGATCACAAGGTCAGGAGATCGAGACCATCCTGGCCAACACGGTGAAACCCCGTCTCTACTAAAAAAAAATACAAAAAATTAGCCGGGTGTGGTGGCAGGCGCCTGTAGTCCCAGCTACTTGGGAGGCTGAGGCAGGAGAATGGCGTGAACCCGGGAGGTGGAGCTTGCAGTGAGCCGAGATCGCGCCACTGCACTCCAGCCTGGGCAACAGAGCGAGACTCTGTCTCAAACAAAAAAGAGAAAAGCGTGATTTGGTGTATGTAAAACTTCTAGCACAATGCTGGCGTGGGATAATCATTAACTCATTATTTGCTTCTATTATTATTATTGTTGTATAGCAAAGCAGACAGACATTAAATATGTCAATATAAAGAATTACATCACTGATTGAGAGAGGCTGGCAAAAATAAGAAAAAGGCAAGCCAGGTGTGGTGGCTCACGCCTATAATCCCAGCACTTTGGGAGGCCAAGGCAGGTGGATCATCTGAGGTCAGGAGTTCAAGACCAGCCTGGCCAACATGGCAAAACCCCGCCTCTGCAGAAAATACAAAAATTAGCTGGGCATGGTGGCGGGTGCCTGTAATCCCAGCTACTTGGGAAGCAGAGGCAGGGGAATCACTTGAACCTGGGAGGCGGAGGTTGCAGTGAGCCAAGATCATGCCACTGTACTCCAGCCTGGGTGACAGAGTGAGATTCTGTCAAGAAAGAGAGAGAGAGAGAGAGAGGAAGGGAGGGAGGGAGGGACAGACACATGTATCCATGGGATACAAAACAATTTCAGGATTTTTTGGGGGTTTTTTGTTTGTTTTTTGAGATGGAGTTTCACTCTTGTTGCCCAGGCTGGAGTGCAATGGTGCGATCTTGGCTCACGGCAACCTCCGCCTCCCAGGTTCAAGCAATTCTCCTGCCTCAGCCTCTCGAGTAGCTGGGATTACAGGCATGCACCACCATGCCTGGCTAATTTTGTATTTTTAGTAGAGACGGGGTTTCTCCATGTTGGTCAGGCTGGTCTTGAACTCCTGACCTCGTGATCTTGGCCCCCCCAAAGTGCTGGGATTACAGGCGTGAGCCACTGCCCTGGCCTAATTTCAGGGGTTTAACAAAGGCTGCCTGGGAAGAGAAATGCATGAATGGAAGCCCTGAAGGCTGAGTAGGAGTTGGCTAGGTGAAGAGATGTGAGGCTTGCAGGAGGAGAGGACAGCGTGTGCAGGGGCTCCGGGGTGAGAATGTGTGTTATCGGGGGAGACGGAAACAGCAGCAAGGAGGAGAGTGATGGGAGATGAGCCCACGGAGATGGGCTGTGCCAGATCCTACAGGGTCTTACTTGCTGCAATAAGTTTAGCAGGGGGTGCTCTTACTTTACACCATTCTTCTTTCTCTGAAAATCAGGCACCCCTGCCCCGAGTGGGACCCAGACCAAGAGGACCACTCACCAAGGATGTAGAGTTCACCATCTGGGGACACTGTGGGGAGGGAAATGAGAATGCCCTTAGCAATTGAGCTTACTCCCCCTTGCCCCCCCATCAAGGACAAAGATGAGCTGGGGGGCCCATAGGAGAGGATTCATACCACCCAGCCCCCTGTGGCACCTTCTTCCAGCGTAAAATCCCGCGAGACTGGCACTATCTGGTCCAGAGAGACATCGTCCCCGGTAATGGCCATCCTCCGGTGCGTATAGAGGAAGAGACTAAGGGCAGGAAGCAGAGGTGAGGATGGGGGCCCGCTGGCTGTCCCTCAGCCCTATCTTGGAGGTCTCGGGGTGCTCACACTCGCTCGTTGGTCCCTAACACTGTGCTGGTGGTGCCCTGGCTAGGCACACTCCTCATGCCATCTCTGTCTGTGGTGCCCATCAGAGACTGCAGTTTTATGGATGAGGTCATCAAACCAGAACTTTTCTCATCTGCAGGAGCCCCTGATTGTTAGTAAAACACAAACACATGTTTGATCTAACCATGGTGCATTCTAGCACTGTGTGTGACAGGAACAGTGCAACCTTAGCTACCCACTTCTCTCCCTGAACCTGTTTCCCATCTGTAAAACTGGGGTGATGGATCAGAAAATGTCTAAGGCCCCCTCCCTCCCAGCTCCTAGACCCTGAGTCACTTACCAGCTATGAGACCTTTGACAACTATTACTCTCTCTCTGCTTCTGTGTGGTATGTGGGTGTTACTAGACAACATTTATGGAGCACTTTCTTTTTTTTATTTATTATATTTTTTAAATTATTTGAAATAGAGATAGGGGTCTCACTATATTGCCCAGGCTGGTCTTGAACTCAAGCAGTCCTCCCAGCTCAGACTCCCAAAGTGTTGGGATTACAGGCATGAGCCACTGCACCCAGCCTTATTGAGCACTTTCTACACACCCCATGGTGTTCGTTTTTTTTTTCTTGTTTTTTTTTTTATAGAGACAGGGTCTTGCTGTGTTGCCCAGGCTGCAATCGTAGTTCACTGTAATCTCAAACTCCTCGGCTCATGTGATCCTCCCGCCTCAGCCTCCTGAGTAGCTGAGACTACAGGCATGCACCACAACACCCAGCTAATTTTCTTATTTTTTGTAGAGATGGAGCCGGGGAGCGGGAGGTGGGGCGGGGTAGGGGGGGCGGTCTCGCTATGTTGCCCAAGCTGGTCTCGAACTCCTAGGCTCAAGCAATCTTCCTGCCTCAGCCTCCCAAAGTGTTGGAATTACAAGCATGAGCTACTGCACCTGGCCTAACTCACTTTACTCTTTAATATGGACAAATCGAGGAGTAAAACAACTTGCTCAAGATCATGTGGTTCCACCAGGTGCGGTGGCTCATGCCTAAAATTCCAACACTTTGGGAGGCTGAAGTGGGAGAATGACCTGAGGCCAGGAGTTCCAGCATGCAGCTATGAGTGCACTACTGCACTCCAGCCTGGGTGACAGAAAGAGACCCCGTCTCTAAAAAAAAGATCATGTGAGGCTGGGCACGCTGGCTCATGCCTGTAATCCTAGCACTTTGGGAGGCCAAGGCAGGTGGATAACTTGAGGTCAGGACTTCAAGACCAGCCTGGCCAACGTGGTGAAACCCTGTCTTTACTAAAAATACAGAAATGAGCCAGGCATGGTGGCGGGCACCTCTGTAATACCAGCTCCTCAAGAGGCTGAAGCACGAGAATTGCTTGGACCTGGGACGCAGAGGTTGCAGTGAGCCAAGATCACCCCACTGCACTCCAGCCTGGGCAAAGACCAAGACTCCTTCTCAAAACAAACAAACAATAGATCATGTGGCTTGTTAGTAACAAAGCCTGGGTTTGAACCCAGGCATTTGGACCACGAGGCTCAAGATCTGGACTAGTATGTTAAACTGTCTCTTCTCAAGAAACTTCCTCCTTAGATCTTGAGGATTATGAGTTAGTACGTGTGCAGGGTTTAAAATATAGTGTTCAAAAAATATTAACTATCATTGTGATAATTATTCTAGGAGACTCAGACCCTGCCCTGGAGGGACAGTTGAAGTTCAGCTGGAGGGTGCAGTGATGAACAACCCCATGGCCCAGACAGGTGGGGACCAAGCCCCTCACTCACGCGTGTTCCTGGCCGCCGTGCTCCAGGCGGTAGCGCACGAGTCCCAGGAGGCGGCTCTGCCGGCTGTCCCCCTCACACAGCACACCTTGCACCGCCTGCGGCTCAGAGTCAAGGGAAGACAACCCAGAGGCGAGGCCTCTCCCCACCCAGGCTGTCCCACCTTCCCTCTGTTCCCCTGCCCCCCCAGATTCACTGTGTGGCCTTGGGTGAGCACTCAAACCATGTGCTGAACTAACAGACAAACAGGCTCTCTAAGCCTTCCTTATCTATGAAATGAGGATAATAATCCCCAACTTCATAGGGAGTTAGGAGGATAACTGCGTATTTAAAGCATTTGGCTGAGAGTCCAGGACTCAGTAAGTACTTAGTAAATACTGATTTCCTTCTCCCCTGATGGTTCAGAGGGGCAGGAGAGGGGATAGACACCTCGACACCTTCCATTCCTCTTCCCAAGGCCAGGGCAGGCTCAGGGCCGCAGTTAGCACAGGAAGGATATGATGACGCAGTATTCCCCCTCAGCCAGCGTCTCCTGGATTGCCACAGACTGGTCCATGCTGGCCCCTGCTGAGCGCACACACCCTGTGGGAGGGGAGATAGGAGCCCCGCTTTGGTCAACAAGTTACGCATGGGGTGGTGGAGCTGCCTCAGAGGGGTTGGGGGCAGGAGGGAGGGGCCTTTGCAGAGGGAGATGGTACCGGGGAGGCCTGATCCTCCTCCTCCTCCTCTTTGTCCTCCCTAGAATAGGCCTTTCAGTTTTTAGGGATAGGGGTCCAGTCCCTTTGCCCCGCTGGGATCTACAGTTTGCTATACTGCCTTTGTCTGGGAGGGCATCCAGTTGCTCTTGAGTGTGGTCTATCCTTGTTGGAAGTGGGGTACGTGGATTGGAGAAGGGGACCTAGTCCCTTTGCTCCTAGGACATGGCTCTTCCTCTCTTTTGGGGACAGTTTTTGTTCTGCTAGCGCCTCTCTGGGAGGTGTCAGTGGTGTGTCCATGTGGGGTTCAGGGAACATCCCCTTACTGTCATTCAGGAGGGTCCCATTCCTCTTTCCTTGGAGACAGGAAGTGTCCCATTGCTGCTTGCCCTTCACCCCCGCCCCAGCAGGCCCATTGCATCAGCTGCAGGCCGGGGGTTGGGGGGTGTCCCAGCCCTCAGCTTGCCCACTCCCTCCTGCCCAGCCCTGCCCTGGCTTTCCTGCTCTGCTCCCACCCACAGCTCCCTGACATTGTCACCTACCTCCTGAGCTGTCACCACAGGGCGCACGGGACTCCGCTGCCCCAGGTTCCGGGACAGTGACTACATTTCCCAACAGCCCCTGCGCCACATGGTGGTCAGTCAGCCTGCAAGTCCCAGCATGCCCGAGTCAATCGTGGGGTGGGGAGTCTCTCCATCCGTGTTAACCCCTTAGGCCCTGGGGTACACTGGGCTTCCTATACCAGAAAGGTTTTCTAATGATTGCCCTCACTCCCATCCCCAGCCCTCTAGGTCATGGGGCCAGAGCTTCCCACCCAGAAGGAAGATGGTCACATTTTATCTTAGGGGAAGAATATAATGCATTTTTATTTTCTCCTTAGTTCCATCCTCAGCTCTTCTCACTCCAGGGTAGACAACCCGGACCTCTACTGAAACTCTTCCCCTAAAATAACTACCTTCTCCTGGTTTAATGGAGGGAGAACCAGACTATGAAGAACCATTATGTCCATTTTCCAGGTGGAGAAACTGAGCCTTGGATAGGTTAAGCAGTTTGACATTAAGTCCTGCAGCTAGCAGGTGGCAACACTGGGACTCCACTGAAAGTCTGACTGCAACTCCTGGGCCATTTATACCGCTACACACTGCCCTATTTCCTCCCTTAGCCCCACCCAGCCCTCCTGCCACACAGGGCTGTTTGAGGCTACTGGGTGTGAACGCACTTTATAAAGGGTATGACACTGTTCCTGTCCGGCAACGTCCTTCCCCTGATCCGCCTGGCTTTGTGACCTTGGCCAAGACCTTTCTTCCCTTGGGACTCAATTTCCCCATCTAAGATAAGGAGGTTACCCAAGATGGACAAAAAGAGCCAGCACAGGGACTGGGCACAGTGGCTCATGTCTGTAATCCCGGCACTTTGGAAGGCCAAGGAGGGAGGATCGCTTGAGGCCAGGAGTTTGAGACCCCATCTCTAAAAAAAAATTTTTTTAAATTTAGCCGGGTATGGTGGTGCATGCCTGTAGTCCCAGCTACTTGGGAGGCTGAGGTGGGAGGATTGCTTGAGCCCAGGAGTTCAAGGCTGCAGTGAGCTGTGATTGCTCACCCAGCTCAGATAAGGAATGCTAGGATCATTCTCACTTGGCCTATTGGCTGTTTAATTAAGCTGTAAGCTCCCGTTGGACAGGACTATGCCTTTTCATCAACATACCAGCAGTTTCTGGCACACAGTTATCTATGGAGTTAGTGAATTACTTTCTGAACTATTTTAATAAATACACCTTCTCTCAAGCTTTGGCCCAAACTGAAGGAATGGGCCTTCAGTGCTGGGGAGGGGGTGACTGTTGTGACTTGTGAACAGTTTCCCTTCCTCTTTCCCCAAGTGAAGTGGCCATCCTAATGACCAGTTCAACTTTGCATATGTAAACCCCTTCCAGAAACAGTCGTTGCCTTCTTCTCAATCCATTTCTTTTCCTGGAAACATCCACAGCACAAATGGAGCTCAAGTTTATTTGAATTCAGTGTCTAAGTCATGTGGACGATGAGGGGAAAGGGGATTGACTCAGACCCTTAGGATCAAGGGGTGGGGTCACTGCAGGGAAGCAGAGGAACCCCAATTCCAGCCCTGCTCTAGTGTCAAAGCCTGGCGAGGAGGGTCTGGGCAAAGTAGATGGGGCTGTGTGCTTTTTATGATGAAGAAACTGTCCCTGCAGGATTTGGGGGTCCTCCCACTGGGTGGGGGTCAGGCAGGAGGTTTTCTGTTTTTCCAGACAAACCCTATCCTCTCCCTGAGATTAGGGCTGAGGGCCTGCCCCCTTGGGGGGTTCCATGGTCAGGCCTAGGCCCTAGAAGGGGAGAAGTGAGGAGCCTTAAGCCCAGAGCTGTGGGCTTGATAAAGGCCTTTTACTAAAGATGCAACTACAGGAATCAGAGCTGGAGGGGGACCTGAAGGCTTGTAGATCCTACAGGGTCTTCTTGACTGCTGCTCCCAGATTCTGCTGGGCCCAGCTAGGGGAGCAGGAATAGGAGCAGAGCAGAGTGGAGGAGAAGTAGCATAGCCACAGCCAGGGCCCAGTGCAGGGGGTTTCTGGTGGCCCCAGGAGCTGCCTGGTTGAAGTGAAGTTTCCCATCCAGCTGAAGGCAGCTGCCTGAGGTTGAGGCTTGACAGCACTCCTGGTAGCAGGGTGGGGCCACAGCCCCATGACACTGGGAGGTCCCTGCTTCACAGGCCTGGCTGCAGCCTGCAATGTAACCTGAGCTGGAGCATTTCAGCTGCAAGAAGAGGTGGGACCATTCATCTTCCCCTTGCCCCTCTTCCCCACTCAAAGGCAGAAAGTGTTAAGTGGGTCATGGGTTGAGCTCAACCTCCTTGGACCCCTAGCTTCCTGCCCACAAGATCAGTGAGTTCCTAGTGAACATACAGGGTGGTCAGAAAAAAAGGGGCACATCGTGGAGGTATGGAAAATTCCAGTTGCTGCCTTTGGTGTTGGCATCATGCAGAGCTGAGGGGGTCAAGCTTGCTAGACCCCACGGCTGCTCCCAGCAGGTCTAGCTCCAGCCAGATTCTACTGCTGAGCTACCCACTCCAGGTAGAAGGAGAAAGCCATGCAGCTCTGAGGGAGGAGAGCTCCCTAATTCTTGGAGCATCGCAGGGCTCACCTCACAGAAGTCCAAGCCCTCAGGGCACATGGCCACAGCTTTCGGCCCTTTGAAACAGTCACCACCTTGGCAGGAGAAAGTAGCACAGATTTTCTTCTGGAAGAGAAAGCAGGAGGAGGTTTGGGAGCTCTGTGCAGACTGAACAGGTGGTAAATGCTGGACAGAGGCAAGGCTGGAGCCCTATCATGCCTGTGTCACTGGCCCCATCCACCACACGCTGTCCATTCCTGCCTCCACTTCCTAGAGGAGGCAGGTGAGAATGAGACACATTTCCCTGGAGGGCTGGCAAGGTGGTGGTCACCAGGGGTGGAATGGAATGTAGCTTGTCCTCTGGGATCGTCGGGTGGGCTAGGCCTAGGAGCAGAGCAGGACTGCCTGGGGAAGTGCTGTGACACCTCTGTAAAGCCCTGACCCCCTGCCTTGCCCCCAGGGAGAGCATGATGTGTGTGGGCAGCTCACAACCTGACATCTCCCCCACCACGGCCTAGATGAGCACAGGTGCTTGCCCCAGGCCTCTTTGTAGCTTGTTGGGGAGGGGAGTGCTGGATGGGCTGGACTGGGGAATGGTGGGGATGTTAGGAGTGGGGAATCTGAGAGGGGGTGGGGCACCAAAGGTAGAAAGCTCAGACTTGGGGAGCTAATGAGGAAGGCAGAGTTTTTTTTTTTGTTTTTTTTTTTTGTGGTGAGGTGGAGTCTCTCTCTGTCGCCCAGGCTGGAGTGCAGTGGTGAGATCTTGGCTCAGTGCAAGCTCCGCCTCCCAGGTTCATGCCATTCTCCTGCCTCAGCCTACAGAGTAGCTGGGACTACAAGCGCCCAGCACCACCATGCCCGGCTAATTTTTTGTATTTTTAGTAGAGATGGGGTTTCACCATGTTAGCCAGGATGGTCTCGATCTCCTGACCTCATGATCCACCTGCCTTGGCCTGTCTCGATCTCCTGACCTCATGATCCACCCGCCTTGGCCTCCCAAAGTGCTGGGATTACAGGCATGAGCCACCATGCCTGGCCTAGGAAGACATTAAAGGTAAGGGTCAGGGCCGGGCGCCGTGACTCATGCCTGTTATCCCAGCACTTTGGGAGGCCGAGGCGGGTGGATCACGAGGTCAGGAGATCGAGACCATCCTGGCTAACATGGTGAAACCCCGTCTCTACTAAAAAAATACAAAAAATAAGCCAGGCATGGCGGCGGGCGCCTGTAGTCCCAGCTACTCGGGAGGCTGAGGCAGGAGAATTGGGTGAGCCCGGGAGGCGGAGCTTGCAGTGAGCCGAGATCGCGCCACTGCATAAGCCTGGGTGACAGAGCAAGACTCTGTCTCAAAAAAACAAAAGAAAAAAAGGTAGGGGTCAGTCAGAAAAGGCCTAGAGGTTAGCATATTCATAGAGGTTGGGGGGGCTGGTGAAAATTGAGCTGAGATTTGAGGGCCTCTCAAAGGGCTGGGTTCAAAGTTGAGGGTTAGTGTGCAGAAGGGCTCTGAGCTTGTGGATGAGTAGGAATGGGAGTCAGAGGTGGGGGCTCTGAGGAATGGGGCTGGGAGCTGCAGGTTGGCGGGGCAGGGCTGAGTATTAAGGGTGGGGCTGTCTCACCCCAGGCTGACTCATTGAGCACGAAACAGAGTGGCCCTCCATTGCAGCACTGCAGCCTGCAGGGGTCTGGGCTGGGGGCTGAGCTATTGGACAGCAGACAAGGGCTAGGACCGGTTTCATTTCCCCCTTCACAGCTGAAGCTGCACCAGGCCATGTAGTGGGAAGCGTTGAGTTGAATCAGCTGGGTAGAGAGAATGCAGGCATGTCCAGGAGGATGGGGGCACAGCCAGGCCTGGGCCATAGCTCCACGTTCCCAGCATCCCAGATACTGACTCCTCTCCCTCCCGCTTCAGGATCTGTTCCTGCACCTTACTGTACCTGAATGTCAATCCCCCTTCCAATGGCCTCCCTCCACTCTCCTTCACCTCTGAGAAGTACCCTGGCTTGGGTCCCTCACAGCCCCAGCCCCACACCTCGCAGTGGTGCTGCCCGGGCTAACACTCTGTGGTCTGGTTGGAGAACTTTTCCTCCTGGTAGCACATCTCTCCGAGGCAGTGGAAGTTGTGGCATATCTGCGGAAAGGTTTGACCACTGTGGTCACACGCCTGGGGCTGAAGGCATTAGGAAGGCTGTCCCCTCCCTCATATGCTGCTTACCTGGACAGGAGCAGGGGTCAACTGACTGCTTGCCAGGTTCTGGGCTACCAGTAAGGCCAGCAGGAGGACTGATAGGAGGAAAAGGAGAGAGGGAGCCACTGCAGAGGCTGAGGCAGGTGAATCATGAGGTCAGGAGTTCAAGGCCATAACCAGCTCAAAGGTCATAGGTCAAAGAAAGGTCATGCAGCAGTTAAGTGGAAGAGGTCATGAACTTAGGGAAAAGTAGGGGCAGTCCCAGGGTCCAGCAGTAGTCATGGTCCAGGAAAGGCCAGGATCCCTGGGCTGAGGACAGCTACCTCTGAGCAAAGCAGCTCTGTGGCTACCATTGGCCACATACATCTTCAACTGAGGTGCTGCAGGAGCCAGAGAGAGGGAAGGACCAGTTCTGGCCAGCTGAGGAAACCTACAAGCAAAATTTCCATTACTGTACTATGCAGATGAATAAATTGAGGCTGGGGAACTAGGGTGGGGGTGGGTCAACCTTTAGGGAATAAGAGGTCTCAGGGGCTCAGCTTTCGCTTCCTGCAAGTCATACTGTCAGAGTGACACTGGGGCAGGCACAAAGGGGCCTGCATCCCAGTAACAGCCCCCCGAGACACATTTTGTCACTGGCATGGCAACAGCAGCATCCCAGCCTGAGGGGAGGCAGAACTGGAGCAGGTGCAGTGACAGGAAATACATACCCAGTGACTCTGATCTGGTCTCATTTGCTGCCAACGTCAGAAGGTGCCCGGGTGTGGGAAGGTGGGAGTCATGGGCTTCCTCAGAACCCAGGGCAGGAAAACCCTAGGCCACAGAGGGTCAAAAGTCCAGACTCACTTTGTCCAAGTGTTCTTCAGGATTCAGACCCCAGCCTGTCCCTAAATGAGTGCTGAGCCAAAGATAGGAGGTAGCTCTCAGACTTTGGGTTCCTGGATCCCAGACTCTGCCCCCTGCAACACTAAGGGGCCACACCTAGAAAGGTCTGCTAAGCCTGGGTTTAGGTTTTTCCATACAAGGTAGGAAACTGCTAGAGATGAGAGTGGGGCATTATTCCTATCTTCTCGCCCAGCCCTGGAAGCTGAGCACAACCCAGACCCTACCATTCCCAATGCTAATGGGGCATCTGTTTCCCTGCCCTCATGGATGTAATCCTCCATCAGCACTCAGACTTGTCTCTCAAGTGACAGCAGCCAGGGTGATGCGATACACAGGAGAGTGTGCAGCAAGGACTCCTGGGTTGGGCCCTTCTGATGGTGTCAGCCTCTCTGTTGCCCATCCGTCCCCCCCACCAACAAACACTACACTCAAGAAACAGTTCTCTTGCTGGGCATGGTGGCTCACACCTATAATCCCAGTGACTCAGGAGGCTGGGGCAGGAGAACTGCTTCAGGCCAGAATTTCAAGACCAGCCTGGGCAAGATAGTGAGATTCCCTTCTCTACAAAAAATTAGCTGGGCATGGAGGTGTGCATCTGTAGTCCTAGCTACTTGGGAGGCTGAGGTGGGGAGGTCACTTGAGCCTGAGAGTTGGGAGGCTGCAGTGAGCTATGATCATGCCACTGCACTCTAGCCTGGGTAACAGTGAGACCTTGTTAAAAAAAAAGTTTTTGGGGCCGGGCACGGTGGCTCACACCTGTAATCTCAGCACTTTGAGAGGCCAAGGCAGGTGGATCATGAGGTCAGGAGTTCAAGGCCAGCCTGGCCCATATGGTGGAACCCCGTCTCTACCAAAAACATGAAAAAATTAGCCAGGTGTGGCAGCGCACACCTGTAGTCCCAACTACTCGGGAGGCTGAGGCAGGAGAATTGCTTGAACCCGGGAGGCAGAGGCTGCCCTGAGCCGAGATTGCACCACTGCACTCCAGCCTGGGCGACAGAGCGAGACTCCGTCTTACAAAAAAAAAAAAAAAGTGACAGAGCGAGACAGAGTCTCACTCTGTCGCCCAGGCTGGAGTGCAGTGGTGCGATCTCGGCTCACTGTAGCCTCTGCCTCCCGGGTTCAAGCAATTCTCCTGCCTCAGCCTCCCGGGTAGCTGGGACTACAGGTGCGTGCTGCCATGCCCGACTAATTTTTGTATTTTTAGTAGAGATGGGGTTTCACCATGTTGGCCAGAAAGGTCTTGATCTCCTGACCTCATGATCTGCCTGCCTTGGCCTCCCATAGTGTTTGGATGACAGGTGTGAGCCACCGTGCCTGGCCTCCCATAGTGTTTGGATTACAGGTGTGAGTCACCGCGCCCGGCCAAATGAAGTTTTTACACAGTCAGCCCCTCTCCAAGGGGACTTCGGTTTCCAAAGGCCAAAGGTTCAAAGGGCTCAAAGGTTCTACCCAGGTCCCTGAAGCTTTGTGAAGAGCCCAGGCTTCCCACAGAAGCCCCTTTCCTCCTCCTTACTTTGCACAGTTGAGGCTGGAGGGACATCTCAGGAATATGATGGGGCAGGTGGACAGACACTGAGCAGAATCAGAAGGCTGGGCAAAGATAGATGGGTACCTCCTAGGCTGTATTAATCCAGGCTTCTTGTCCATCTCCTTTAGTCTGTGTGCCCCTCCATGGCTAGAGCATATTCTCAATATTCTCTGTGCCCCACCCTATCCCAGCTATAGACCTACCTGCACACTTGAAGGTGCAGAGGGCTGTGAGTGTGCATGCACAAGGCAGGGAGGCTACAGCTGCCGCCCCTGGAAACTGGAAGCTGCCCTTTCTCCTCCCCTCCAATCACTTGTCACCTCTGGGATTTGCCTCTCATGTTGCTGCCACCAGGGACACACAGGGACCACAGAAAAGAAGAAAGCATAGCTGCTGCCCAGACTGTAGTTGGAGGGAGAAAATAAAGCCACTTGAGCAGATCAAAAGACCGCTGTCCCAGCATCCCACTGGGAGGTGCCTTATTTGTCTGGATCGGAAACCTGGCAGGTGGAGAGGGCTCTCAGAAGAGATCAGAGGGAGAGGAGACCAGTGTCCTCCCAGGGTGGACCTGTAATGGGAGGACTCTTCTGGATGAGGGTGGAGAGGGTCACAGGTTCATTCCCACCCTGAGAACTCTGAGCTGAGGCTGACAGTAGGACCTGAAGGATGAGGAGAAAGGTTGCTATCATCCCAAGGATTTTTTTTTTTTTTAATGCAGAGGGAGAGAAATATCTCACAACTTCACTTCCCCAACACATTGGTTACCTTTAGGGTGCTCCCTTCACAGAGCCCTCCAGCACAAGTTGACCCCAGGGAGGGAAATGGACAGAAAATGGAGAAGAAAGGGATACCTGGTTGAAGCCAGAGACAGATTTCTTCACTTTCATCTGAGAAGTAGAGAGTAAAGACTCCTCCTGGGAGGGCTCATTCCAGGTGCAGCCTCTGGGTTTAGCAGCACCAATCTGAGGGTCAATCCCAGGAACAACTCCCTAAATGCTCCCTGCAGCTTTCCTCCATGAAGAGCTAATTGAATTAACTGTTCCCAGCAGTAAGTGCATTGGCAAAGGTTCCGACTCCATGTCTAAGAAAGATTCTTGGCTGGGCACAGTGGCTCATGACTGAAATCCCAGCACTTTGGGAGGCTGAGGCAGGTGGTCAATTGAAATTCTCTTCCTTTGGTTGACCCTATGGAGTCCAAACCTGAAGGATCACCTCTGAGAACCAATTCTGATGTGGTTTGCCTTCACCTCAGAAAACAGCTGTGCCCCTTGCAGCTGGATGGAGCTGGCCATATGGCTCTTCCTGCGTGCCCAGAGGCTGCTGCTGAGCTTCTTCACCTCTGGCTTCTGCCCTCACTGTCTCACCTCCGCTTTAGTTTTCAAGGTTTGATCTAGCTGTGCCTGGCACATGGAAGGCACTAAAAAAACCCTGAATGAATGAAGGTAACAAATGAACAAGCCTTTGCTGTGACAGGTAAGCCCGAGGTTCCCTCCAAGGTTGTTCTGGCACAGAGTTCGCACACTGACTGCAGTTACTGGGCAAGGGGATGGCAGGACTCCTTAGGACCTGGTCCCACTTCCTCTCCACACTGTAGAGGGAGAACCTATTAACCCTGGAGTCCCAGGTAGCCTCAAGACAGGGTTTTGAGGACTCCAACAGCTGGAAAGTAGCAGGTGCATTCCTTGGTAGCCCAATGCAGCCCCTGTTCTGACGAGCAGTCTGAAGGGCCGTCTTCTCCCCACATTTCCCATTCCAACGCTTTAACTCTCTTCTCAAATGGCAATGTCTCCTTGCACTTTGGGCCAGTTTCCACTAATCAGTGTTTCCAGTTGGCTCAATTAGGTTTAATTATTCACTCACTCTGCTTCAGCTCAGGCCCTGGAGAGGCTGTCCAACTGGAGTCTTATTTTTTTGAGACAGAGTTTCACTCTTGTTGCCCAGGCTGGAGTGCAATGGCGCGATCTCGGCTCACTGCAACCTCCGCCTCCCAGGTTCAAGTGATTCTCCTGCCTCAGCCTCCCAAGTAGCTGGGATCGCAGGCATGTGCCACCACGCCTGGCTAATTTTGTATTTTTAGTAGAGACAGGGTTTCTCTATGTTGGTCAGGCTGGTCTTGAACTCCCGACCTCAAGTGATCCGCCTGCCTCGGCCTCCCAAAGTGCTGGGATTACAGGCATGAGCCACTGCACCCGACCTGGAGTCTTAAATGAAGGAGTGAAGGCACAAGGGAATGAGTTGCACAGGGATGGGCTGAACTAGGAAGGAAAATACCAACCTAGAGTGCAGTGCCACTGGGGTGGGGGTGGTGAAACTTTACTGCCATGGAAATAACCAGGGCAAAAGATTGGTGTGAGGCAGAAGGCTAATTCAAGTTGGGATTTTTTTTTTTTTTTTTTTGAGACGGAGTCTCGCTGTCACCCAGGCTGGAGTGCAGTGGCGTGATCTCGGCTCATGGCAACCTTCGCCTCCTGGGTTCAAGTGATCCTCCTGCCTCAGTCTCCTGAGTACCTGGGACTACAGGTGCATGCCATCACGCCTGGCTAATTTTTGTATTTTTAGTAGAGACAGGGTTTCGCCATGTTGGCCAGGCTGGTCTCCAACTCCTGACCTCAAGTAATTTGCTGCCCTCGGCCTCCCAAAGTGTTTGGATTACAGGCATCAGCTACTGCGCATGGCCTGAGTTGGAATTTTTAAAAGTAGATATATTAGCCAGCCTGCCTCTGCATGGGATGAGTGCGGCACTGGTTCTTGGTAGGTTTTTAGAAAAATAAGATATAAATGTGTAATATAAAGAAAAAGATTAACATTTTTTTAAAAAGTAGATTTATTAAAAAACAGTTGAAGGTCTGAGTGTTGAGAGGCAAATGGGGTCTCTGGGGGATCCTGTCCTGCAGCAGGCCTGACTTTCAGATGACTGTGCTTATAAGGCAGATCAGTGCCTTCCTGGTTGCCTTAGTTCTTTCCATTTCAGACACCACATTTGGATCCTGGGGCAGCTGCTCAACTCTACCCAACTCTACCATGGCTACCTGGGATTGGAGAACATGTGAGTATTAGCTACTTTTACAGTCAAATAGGGATCTTGTAGAAGAAACAGGTAGACAGACCCACCAGTCTCTCATTCTGACCTAGCAAGCTGGTGAAGTCACTGTCGGTCCTAGTTCCCTTGTTTGTTGGGCTGCAGGCCCATTCCAACACAGCCCAACTCCCCCCCCCCCCCCTTTTTTTTTTTTTGAGATGGGGCCTCACTATATCGCCCAGGCTGGTCTCAAACTCCTAGGTTCAAAGGATCTTCTAGCCTCAGTCTCCTGAGTAGCTGGGACTACAGTGCGTGCCACCATGCCTTTTTTTTTTTTTTAATGAGACAGGGTCTCACTATGTTACCTAGGCTAGTCTCAAGCAACCCTCCTGCCTCAGCCTCCCAAGTAGCTGGGACTACAGGCACAAGCCACTGCACCCAGCTCCAACTCCTTTCTTTATGCAAATACAAAAGGCAAACCTTGGTGCGACACTTAGTCCTTAGTAGCAACCCTGGCTCATCCTCCTAGTCTTTCCCTAGTATTTGCATCAATGGCTAACTAAGCTGATGGCAGACCTCATCCTGGGGTAATACTCATTCAGGGAAGCAGCAACAAAGGAGGGTGGGGAAAGAGGTCAGGTCAGATTTACCTAACATGATATGTAGCATAATAGGTGCCCATTAAATCTCAGCTACTAGTAAAGTTGGTGAGGAAGAGGTATGGAGGCGTTAAGACCTGAAGCACTGAGTTGGTCCATAACCCTGGGCTTTAGAACAAGGTCTGGTTTTATTTTCTGGCAGAATCTTTTAAAATATAAAACAGATAAAACACATCTCAACCCTGCAATCTGCCAGCATGCCTTGTTTCTACAAGATGCATGCTAGACCATGAGACTACATAGCAAAGGGTCTTTAAGAGGATTTGGTTGGGAGAAATAGAAAAAGCAGATCTTAGGGAAGCCTGGGCTAGCCCAAAAGCTGAGCTACATCCCTGAACACTAGAGCAGTCCTTGTCTTTTCAGATCCTCGTATGTCTTCTTATTCACAACATTCCCACTTGAGTCTTCATATTCTTCCTGAAAAGGAAGGGGTACACTTTGTTAGACAGCTCTCCTAAAAGAAATGTTTGGAACCAATCTCTAAGTACCTGAGCTCATCCTGGCCTGATTCCATGGCATACTCTGGTACACTAAGATTGGCATTCATCTAAGCCTTTCTCAACTGGGGTTCCACAAGAGAATTAAGTCCCACTGCCCCAAAGCAGCCACCGTGTGCAATGAATTAACTTCTCTCGTAGACATCTAGAATGATATCAGTCATGACCCATCATTAGAGTATCTGAGAAAATAGTTTATTTAGCTCTCTATGTTTAAGATGGGGAACCCTGGTTGAGAAAGGCTGACCTACAACAGCAGTTTTCAAATGGTTCCCAAGAATCCCAGGATTCTGCTCAGAGGCCATTGCAGGGGTTGAAAGGGAAGCCAGGAAGTCTGAGCTTCCCCATGTCCAGGGCAATTCTGCTTGATTCTATTTTATATATCAGAGTACTATATTACAAGTGGAAGAGAGTTTTGCTGCCAAAAAGAAAAAAAATACTGAAAACCACTGACTCAAAAAAAGGGAGGCTATTGTCAGTTACTATGGGACTTGGAGTGAGTCAGTACCATTCCTTACATACATGTCATTCTTGATCTCTGAAACCTGCTGCTTGGGATGACCATCATAAGACCAACAAGGACATCTCCCTGTCGCTATGAGAGTATCATCTCTCATTAGATGCTTTCCTCAAAGGAGATCTAATACATGATACAGAGTCTCGGCATTTTAGTCTATAAATCTCCATGGCAGAACATGAGATTGGGTACTCCCACTTGCCATTTCAACTTTTTTTTCTTTTTTTTTTTTTTGTGAGGTAAGTTCTTGCTCTGTCACCCAGGCTGGAGTGCAATGGTGCGATCACAGCTCACTGCACCCTCGACAGCCTGGGCTCAAGCAATCCTCCTGCTTCAGCCTCCTGAACAGCTGGGACCACAGGCATGTGCCACCACTCCCCGCTAATTATTGTATTTTTTGTAGAGATATGGTTTCACCATGTTGCCCAGGCTGGTCTCCAATTCCTGGGCTCAAGTGATCTGCCTGCTTTGGCCTCCCAAAGTGCTGGGATTATGGGCATGAACTGCTGCACCTGGCCCATTTCAAAATTTGAATGGCAGAATACAATCTGTCTTTTTGTTGTTAAAGAGACAGGGTCTTACTCTGTCACCCAGACTGGAGTGCAGTGGTATGATCATAGCTCAGCAGCTGCCTCAAATTCCTGGGCTCAAGCGTTCCTCCTGCCTCAGTCCCAATTAGCTGGGACTACTAGCATGCGCCACCACACTTGGCTAATTATTATTATTATTATTTTTTGAGAAAGAGTCTTGCTCTGTCACCCAGGCTGGAGTGCAGTGGCACAATCTCGGCTCATGCAACCTCTACCTCCCCAGTTCAAGTGATTCTCGTGCCTAGGCCTCCCAAGTAGCTGGGACTACAGGCGTGCATGGGTGGATCACCTGAGGTGAGGAGTTTGAGACCAGTCTGGCCAACATGGTGAAACCCTGTCGCTACTAAAAATACAAAAATTAGTCGGGTGTGGTGGCGGGCGCCTGTAATCTCAGCTACTCGAGAGACAGAGGCAGGAGAATTGCTGGAACCCAGGAGGCGGAAGTTGCAGTGAGCTGACATTGCACCACTGCACTCCAGCCCGGGCAACAGTACGAGACTCCGTGTCAAAAAAAAAAAAAAAAAAAAAGGAAAAGTCAATTTGTAGATATTGTCACATTCTACTCGCTGCTGCAGTACACCAGGGACCATCTTTCACCTCCTTTCTACATGGTGAGGGAGCTCTCTATCACTTGACACTATCCCTAACACCATCCACATTAGTACCCACCTCAGTGTCAGGCTGCCATCGTTCTGAAGCCTTCTGCAATTTCAGTTTGGCCCACACTGCAGGATGAGAAATGAACAGCAATCAGGATGGACTGAACATCTGTTGGGTATCCAGTGTTATAATCCTCTCTCCCTGCCATTAGGATGCTCCCTAGAAGACTCTGCCTTTGAGATTCTTGCCTACCCCAAACCAGAGTTTTGGTTCTGGACCACCTATAGACAAAACCCTTTCCACTGCAAAATTCATCATGATCTTGCTTTGCTATAAAAGTTGGATCAAATATAACCAAAGACCTCCGAAAACAGAGAAACTGATACTCTTGAAGGAGGTTAATGTGGAACAACCTATGAGAATAATGGGGAAAGTGACTTTACTTTCTTAAAGCTCATAATATAAAAATTCTAATAGTTCAATAACAATCTCTATGAAGGAGAAAAGGTAAAGACATCCAAAAAAATCATTGTAGCTTCAGAAGGAGTGATCAGACAAGTATACACAAGAAAAAAACAGATACAAACCAGGGAAAGAACAACTTGAATCTTTTTTTTTGAGACGGACTCTCGCTCTGTCGCCCAGGCTGGAGTGCAGTGGGGTGATCTCAGCTCACTGCAAGCTCCGCCTCCCGGGTTCACGCCATTCTCCTGCCTCAGCCTCCCGAGTAGCTGGGACTACAGGCGCCCGCCCCCATGCCCGGCTAATTTTTTTTGTATTTTTTAGTAGAGATGGGGTTTCACCGTGTTAGCCAGGATGGTCTCCATCTCCTGACCTCGTGATCCACCCGCCTCGGCCTCCCAAAGTGCTGGGATTACAGGCATGAGCCACTGTGCCTGGCCAACAACTTGAATCTTAAAGTATGGTGTCAGGAAGGTGAACTCTTAGAACAGATGGCTACATGTAATACATAAGACAGGTCCACTGCCAGAGAGGGAAGATAATAAAATATCAATAGATGATGAGAAAACAGAACTTGATTCCTGCGTTTCCACCTTTCCCATCAAGCAGAATAATCTAAACTTGACAAGATTAGAAGAAATATCACAGAGAGACAGTTAAAGCCTAAGATGGGTGAATGAATAGTAAATAAAACAATATATGATAAAATGCTTAGCTCTGCACCTGGCACATAGGTGCTCAACTAATCAACTTTTCCTTCTTTGCTAATTGCTTTAAATGAGCTGAAGTTGGCCAGGCACAGTGGCTCATGCCTGTAATCCCAGCACTTTGGGAAGCTGAGGCAGGCGGAACACCTGAGGTCGGGAGTTCGAGACCAGCCTGATGAACATGGAAAAACCCCACCTCTACTACAAATACAAAATTAGCCGAGCGTGGTGGTGCATGCCTGTAATCCCAGCTACTCAGGAGGCTGAGGCAGGAGAATCGCTTGAACCTGGGAGGTGGAGGTTGGGGTGAGCCGAGATAACACCACTGCACTCCAGTCTGGGCAACAAGAGTGGAACTCCGTCTCAAAAAAACAAAAAAAAATTAGCTGAAGTCTTCAAGCCCAGGTAATATGCACATCAGGAAGGAATGGAGAAGTTATGTGCTTACTATGTGACAGGGCAGGACCCTGTCATATTCTTTGCCAAAGCTCTTCAAGAATCTAACCAAGAATTCAGCCTGGGTGACAAAGCAAGACTGCCAAAAAAAAAAAAAAAAAAAAAAAAGAAAGAAAGAAAAAAAGGCCGGGCGCGGTGTCTCACGCCTGTAATCCCAGCACTTTGGGAGGCTGAGGTGGGCGGGCAGATCACCTGAGGTTGGGAGTTCGAGACCAGCCTGACCAACATGGAGAAACCCCATCTCTACTACAAATACAAAATTAGCCAGGTGTGGTGGTGCATGCCTGTAATCCCTGCTACTCAGGAGGCTGAGGCAGGAGAATCACTTGAACCCAGGAGGTGGAGGTTGGGTGAGCCGAGATCGCACCGCTGCACTCCAGCCTGGGCAACAAGAGCGAAACTCCGTCTCAAAAAAACAAAACAAAACAAAACAAAACAAACAAAAAAAAACATTAGCTGAAGTCTTCAAGCCCAGGTAATATGCACATCAGGAAGGACTGGAGAAGTTATGTGCTTACTATGTGACAGGGCAGTACCCTGTCATGTTCTTTGCCAAAGCCCTTCAAGAATCTAACCAAGAATTCAGCCTGGGTGACAGAGCGAGACTGTCAAAAAAAAAAAAAAAAAAAAAAAAAAAAAAAAAAAAGGCTGGGCGCGGTGGCTCACGCCTGTAATCCCAACACTTTGGGAGGCTAAGGTGGGCAGATCACCTGAGGTTGGGAGTTCGAGACCAACCTGACCAACATGGAGAAACCCCATCTCTAATAAAAATGCAAAATTAACTGGGCATGGTGGTGCATGCCTGTAATCCCTGCTACTTGGGAGGCTGAGGCAGGAGAATCGCTTGAACCCGGGAGGTGGAGGTTGCAGTGGGCCGAGATCGTGCTATTGCACTCCAGTCTGGGCAACAAGAGCGAAACTCCATCTCAAAAAAAAAAAAAAAAAAAAAGAATATTAATAAAGTGCGACCAATCACCTAAATGGCGATTTCCGGTGGCAATTTCAGAGGGCTCTTTCTTAGCTTTTGTACAGTTAAAAAAAAATCATAAATCTAAACCAATGGAATAACTAACATAATAAATTTATAAGTAAAACCCTCTAAGTTAAAAAAAAAAAAAAAATCACTGCGGCCGGGTGCGGTGGCTCACGCCTGTAATCCTAGCACTTTGGGAAGCTGAGGTGGGTGGATTGCCTGAGCTCAGGAGGTGGAGACCAGCCCGGGCAACAAAGTGAAACCCCACCTCTACTAAAACACACAAAAAATTAGCTGGGCATGCTGGCGTGCACCTGTAGTCCCAGCCACTCGGGAGGCTGAGACAGGAGAATCGCTTGAACACAGGAGGTGGAGGTTGCAATGAGTGGAGATCGCGCCACTGCACTCTAGCCTGAGCAACAGAGCGAGACTCCGTCTCAAAAAAAAAAAAAAATCACTGCAACTTAAATGACAGTTCAGAATCTCTTGCTGCAGGCTAAAATCTCCAAGAGAGAAAATAAAAATTTCAAAAGAATGATCTAAACAAGTTAATCCAGGCCAGGAATGGTGACATGAGAATCACTTGAGCCCAAGAGGTAGAGGCTGCAGTGATCCAAGATTGTACCACTGCACTCCAGCCTGGGCAAAGAGCAAGACCCTGTCTCAGAAAAAGAGAGAGAAGACAGGGGCTGGGTTCGGGTGCAGTAGAAATTGAGGTAGAAATAAAACTACAAATGCTATGTGGTGAACCTAAAAAGTTCAAGGGAAGCCATGATGGGTAGAAATAATACAACTAATCAAAAACAGTGGCAATAACAACATTCATAGGGAGAAACTGACTAACCTAGACAGCTAAGTAGATAAATTCTGAAAGTAATACAATTGAAGAATCATGAAACTGCCAATGATAATTCTTTTTTTTTTTTGAGACAGAGTCTCACTCTGTCGCCCAGGTTGGAGTAAAGTGGCAGGATCTCGGCTCACTGCAAGCTCCGCCTCCTGGGTTCACGCCATTCTCCTGCCTCAGCCTCCCAAGTAGCTGGGACTACAGGCGCCCGCCACAACGTCCGACTAATTTTTTGTATTTTTAGTAGAGACGGGGTTTCACTGTGTGAGCTAGGATGGTCTCGATCTCCTGACCTTGTTATCTGCCCGCCTCAGCCTCCCAAAGTGCTGGGATTACAGGCGTGAGCCATTGCGCCTGGCCCTGCCAATGATATTCTTAAAAAAAAAAAAAAAAAAAAAAATTAGAGCCAAGCATGGTGGCTCATGCCTGTAATCCCAGCACTTTGGGAGGCCAAGGCGGGCAGATCATGAGGTCAGAGATCAAGACCATCTTGGCCAGCATGGTGAAACCCCATCCCTACTAAAAATACAAAAATTAGCTGGGTGTGGTGGCGCACGCCTGTAGTCCCAGCTACTTGGGAGGCTGAGACAGAAGAATCGCTTTAACCCGGGAGGTGGAGGTTGCAGTGAGCAGAGATTGCGCCACTGCACTCCAGCCTGGCGACAGTGCGAGACTCCGTCTCAAATAAAAAACAAGAACAAAAACAAACTCTGTATGGCTAAGAGAACACGATTTCTTTCTAGAAAGACTCTTAATGACTAACCCTTAAAAAATTACGTGATAAGTGTGATTTCAAAGAAGGCAGTAAGGCGTTGTGGAAAGAGGAAAGACTGTTTTAAGACACACGTGTTGTAATCCCAGCACTTTGGGAAGCCAAGGCAGGCAAGTCACCTGAGATCAGGAATTTGAGACCAGCCTGGCCAACATGCTAAAACCCTGTCTCTACTAAAAATACAAAAAAATTAGCCAGGCGTGGTGGCGAGCGCCTGTAATTCCAGCTACTCGGAAGGCTGAGGCAGGAGAAATCGCTTGGAACCAGGAGGTGGAGATTGCAGTGAGCTGAGATCACGCCACTGCACTCCAGCCTGGTTGACAGAGCAAGACTCTGTCTTAAAAATTAAAAAAGAAATTAAATGAAATGAAATAAAAAAAGAAGTAAAGAAAAAGGCTGCCATGAAAATGTTAATGGCAGAGAAAGCTACCACTGCGGGGAAAACAGGAAGCCTGGCGGTGGTCCTCTATGTGCTTCAGCAGCACATTCCCTGATATGCACTCCACTTCACTTTCTTCAAGAGGTATTTTGCTGCTGTGTTTCTATAGCCTCAAACACAAGCTTACTGAGGGCACTTCTATTTTTCCCTTTATATCAGTCATTCTCTTAACATGAGCATGGTGGCTCATGCCTATAATCCTAGCACTTTGGGAGGCCAATGCGGGTGCATCACTTGAGGTCAGAAGTTCCAGGCCAGCCTGGCCAACATGGTGAAACCCCGTCTCTACTAAAAATACAAAAATTGCTGGGCGTAGTGGTGCATACCTGTGGTCCCAGCTACTTGGGAGGTTAAGGCACAAGAATTGCTTGAACCCAGGAGGCGAAGGTTGCAGTGAGCCGAGATCAGCCACTGCATTCCAGCCTGGGCAACAGAGCAAGACTCTGTCTCAAAAAAAAATAAAAAATAAAAAAATAAAGTTGGGTGCAGTGCCTCATGCCTATAATCCCAGCATTTTGTAGGGCCAAGGTGGGAGGATCACTTCAGCCCAGGAGTTTGAGACCAGCCTGGGCAACATAAGGAAACCCCATCGGCACAAAAAAAAAAAAAAAAAGAAAATAAACTCAGAATAGTTTTATAAAGCACTTGCTTTCTTTGTCATAAGAAGTCAAGAAATTATATAAGTTAAAGAATCTTAGCGCAGTCCCACTGAAGAGATAATCTCTGTCAATATAAACAGTTTCAAATGACAGGTTGTAGCATGTTGCATGTTGGGCGGGGATCACGCCTGCAATCCCAGCACTTTCGGAGGCTGAGACAGGCAGATTGCTTGAGTACAGGACTTTAAGACCAGCCTGGGCAACATGGTGACACACCATCTTTACAAAAAATACAAAAATTAGCCAGGCATGGTGGCACAAGCCTGTAGTCCCATCAGCTTGGGAATCTGAAGTGGGAGGATCACTTGAGCCTGGGAGGCAGAGATTGCAGTGAGCTGTGATGGCACAACTGCACTCCAGCCTGGGCAACAGAGTTGGAAGCCCAAGGTTCAAGCTGACCAAACAGCTGAACAGCCTGCTAAACATAACTGAGAGTAAAGTGCCTGTAATTTAACAGTGGGGGGTGGGATGGGGGGGTAAAATACCTTACTTCTGTCTAATCAGCCAACAGTGAAATGTGACATAGATCCACTGAAAAGAATATAAAAAGCCGGGATGGGCGCGGTGGCTAACGCCTGTAATCCCAGTACTTTGGGAAGCCAAGGCAGGTAGGTCACCTGAGATCAGGAGTTTGAGACCAGCCTGGCCAACATGCTAAAACCCCGTCTCTACTAAAAATACAAAAAAATTAGCCAGGCGTGGTGGCGAGCGCTTGTAATTCCAGCTACTCGGGAGGCTGAGGCAGGAGAATCGCTTGGAACCAGGAGGTGGAGGTTGCAGTGAGCTGAGATCACGCTACTGCACTCCAGCTTGGGTGACAGAGCAAGACTCTGTCTCAAAAAAATAAATAAATAAATTAATTAATTAAATTAAATTAAAAAAAAAGAAGAAAAGAAAAGGCTGCCATGAAAATGTTAATGGCAGAGAAAGCTACTACTGCTGGGAAAACAGGAAGCCTGGCGGTGGTCCTCTATGTGCTTCAGCAGCACATTCCCTGACATGCACTCCGCTTCACTTTCTTCAAGAGGTATTTTGCTGCTGTGTTTCTATAGCCTCTAACACAAGCTTACTGAGGGTACTTCTATATTTTCCTTTATATCAGTCATTATTTAACACATTAAAATCAATTCAGAAAACTATCCATACAACCATTCAATCAAAATCTTGCATAAAAGGGAGTTCACAGACCCAGGCTAAAAGCCCTGGTTTATACTCAGCACAGAGCTCTTCTCAAAGGAGAAACAATCAGTATTGCCGACTAATTCATTTCTCTTAAAAATGCAATAATTAGCTGGGCACGGTGGATCACGCCTGTAATCGCAGCACTTTGGGAGGCCGAGGTGGGCAGATCACCTGAGGTCAGGAGTTCAAGACCAGCCTGACCAACATGGAGAAACCCGTCTCTACTAAAAGTACAAAATTAGCCAGGCATGGTGGCGCATACTTGTAATCCCAGCTACTCGGGAGGCTGAGGCAGGAGAATCGCTTGAACCCAGGAGGCACAGGTTGCAGTGAGCCGAGATCGCACCATTGCACTCCAGCCTGGGCAATATGAGCGAAACTCCATCTCAAAAAAAAAAAAAAAAAAAAAAAAAATGCAATAATTAGGCGCGGTGGCTCACGCCTGTTATCCCAGCACTTTGGGAGGCCAACATGGGTGGATCACTTGAGGTCAGGAGTTCGTCACCTCAACCAGCCTGGCCAACATGATGAAAGCCCATCTCTACTAAAAATAGAAAAATTAGCTGGGCATGGTGGCACATGCCTGTAATCCCAGGTACTAGGGAGGCTGAGGCAGGAGAATTGCTTGAGCCCAGGAGACGGAGGTTGCAGGAGCCAAGATCGTGCCACTGCACTCCAGCCTGGTGACAGAGTGAGACTCGTCTCAGAAACAAAGGCTGGGCATGGTGGCTCACGCCTATAATCCCAGCACTTTGGGAGGCTGAAGTGGGCGGATCACCTGAGGTCGGGAGTTCAAGGCCATCCTGGCTCACACAGTGAAACCCCGTCTCTACTAAAAATACAAAAAATTAGCCAGGTGTGGCGGCTCATGCCTGTAATCCCAGCACTTTGGGAGGCCAAGGCGGGCGGATCATGAGGTCAGGAGATCAAGACCATCCTGGCTAACACTGTGAAACCCTGTCTCTACTAAAAACACAAAAAATTAGCCAAGTGTGGTGGCGGGCGCCTGTAGTCCCAGCTACCGGGAGGCTGAGGCAGGAGAATGGCATGAACCCAGGAGGTGGAACTTGCAGTGAGCCGAGATCATGCCACTGCACTCCAACCTGGGCGACAGAGTGAGACTCCGTCACAAAAAAAAAAAAAAAAAAAAAAAAAAAAAAAAATTAGCCAGGTGTGGTGGCACGTGCCTGTAGTCCCAGCTACTCGGTAGGCTGAGGCAGGAGAATCGCTTGCGCCCGGGAGGCAGAGGTTGCAGTGGGCCAAGACTGCACCATTACACTCCAGCCTGGCGACAGAGCGAGACTCCATCCATCTCAAAACAAAACAAAAAAACACAAAACAAAAAACAGAAATGCAATAATTATACAACTGTCCTAGATTTTACATATCCACAACCTACTGCCTTTAACCCTGGATACACAGGGTATTAGGATGCTGAATTGAAGGAGTAGAGCCATTTGTACTCGCCTAGGAGACAGTAAATAAATCTTACTTACAGGAGACAGCATCTTCAATCTGTGTCACATTAGCAAAGTGAGCAGTGTTTGGGATGCCCAAACACCTCATGCCATGAGCATGACGCCATTCCTGGGAGAAGAGAGAAGCAAAAGGATCATGTGAAATGGGAATAGCTGAACACAGAGCACTAACTCCATTCTACTCATAAATCCTAACATGGCCCTTTGCAAGACTCCACCTAAAGGTAGCATTCCTTTTGTGATTCATGTTTGTAAACAGCTGGCTGTGACTGACAAAAGGGTGGTATTTCAAAGCAGCACTGCATTGTTTGCCTCACTGGGTTGGCTTGTAAACCTAGATTCTAGACCCAGTAGTCTTATACATAAAACCTCTGGGTCAAGATCACAGAAAAACATCACAACTCTCACTACATCTCCCATATTGCAGGAGAACTTACCAAAGCCCCAGCAACTCCAAACACCTGCATGAATAGGGGTTACTAATGGCAGGTCAGCATCATCTTTGTAGGTAAAGGAGAAGACTTTTATTAGGCACAATGATGTGGTGAGGAGAGAGCAGGGAGATTATACACTGACATGATGGCAGTTTTAACTAAGGGATGGTAAATGGCATGGGCTTTATCCTGGATGCCAACTCCAATCATTGTAGGAGGTGCTGAGAAGGATTCAGAACTCACTCATGGGCTCAGCAAAAAAGACCCATTATCAATTAGTAATATGTATGACTCAGAGAGGGGGAGAGGAGTTCATATAAATTTGTCATCCTTGGTCTAGCATAAATGTTTTCCTTTCTGTAAAATTTCCTTCCAAAATCTAAGAACTCTAAGTAGAGCCCACTTAGAGGTGAGCCCACTTACAGCAGTATCATCCGGACAATACCCTGTCTCAAGAATGGCTTGATAAATATCAGCCCCTTCATTTTTTATTTTCTCAAGAGGCAAAGATCCATTTAAGATCTGAAAGAGATCAGTCAGCCCTATTTTTTATCTTGAGTATTAGCAATGGGGTAGAGAAATAACCAAGAAGTCAGAAATTGGTCTAAAATGCTAGCAGAAAGACAAAAACAGAGAAGTTTAAGAGCAGGCAAGAGAAAACCAAATAAGGTTCAAAGAGTGGTGCGGTAGAATTCCTCCAGAAACTATCTCAGGTATTTAAGACTAACATTGGTGCCAAAAGTCAAATGCCATGGGCTTGATTTTAAAACCATCCTTCTCTGATTCCCTTCAGCTCTGGACACCAGTGGTCCACATAGGCTGCTCCTACTCTTTTCTCTAAAAGTCTCATGTTTTTACTTCAATTCCCAGGAAAAATGGCTCTGAATTCCTTACAGCAAAGTGTCGCTGGAAGGCTTTGGGCCCTCGGTAGGTGTAGTTTCCACAAATCTCACAGTTGTAGTTGATATTTAGGCCATGAAGCTTATACAGCCAGTAGGGAATAGGCTAAAAAAGAAAAAAACAAAACAAAACCAAGAAGTGTTAGCCTACTAAACTCTGTATCTGTTTCCAAAATGGGGAATGGGGAGAAAGTGGTAGTGCTGAGACTTACTTTGCCATCCCAGCCAAGTGGCAGGTTTTTGGGGTTGTAAATGATCTCGTTCTCTTCATCTTCACTCTCACTCTCACTGATCTGCTCTTCTTCCTCTTCTTCTCGCTCTTCTCCTGTCCTGGCTTGCTTGCGCTGTACATTTTCATGAGTGAGATGTCGCTGTTCCTAAAGCAGGTCCATAAATGAAAAGTCAGAAAAAAGTAGTGCAGAATAAGAAGGGAAATTTCCTGTTTTCCTGTAACTTTTGCTGACCCCTTACTTCCAAGGATAAGGTTCTTTCTTACAGAATAAAGGAAAATCTTGCCTTCATATCAGAACTCCTTATCAGCAGGCTCTACCTGATCCCAAAGAAAAGAGTCAAAGGTTTTACATCACTTGCCTAATTACTCATCTGAGGCTATTATAGAACAACAGAAAACAGTCTCATCTATTCTGACTCTAAAATATTTCCTGGCTGGGTGTGGTGGCTCACGCCTGTAATCCCATCACTTTTGGAGGCTGGGGTGGGAGAATCACTTGAGGCCAGGAGTTTGACATCAGCCTGGGCAACACAATGGGATCTCATCTCTACAAAACATTTACAAATTGGCTAGGCATGGAGGTGTGCACCTGTGATCCCAGCTCTTTAGGAGGCTGAGTTAGGAGGACTGCTTGAGCCCAGGAGTTTGAGGATGCAGTGAGCTCTGATCCCGCCACTGCACTCCAGCCTGGGCGACAGAGTGAGACTCCTTCTCAAAAAAAAAAAAAAAAAATATGCACACAATACAGGAGCACCCAGATTCATAAAGCAAGTCCTCAGAGACCTACAAAGAGACTTAGACTCCCACACAATAATAATGGGAAACTTTAACACCCCACTGTCAACATTAGACAGATCAACGAGACAAAGTTAACAAGGATATCCAGGAATTGAACTCAGCTCTGCACCAAGCGGACCTAATAGACATCTACAGAACTCTCCACCCCAAATCAACAGAATATACATTCTTCTCAGCACCACATCACACTTATTCCAAAATTGACCACATAGTTGGAAGTAAAGCACTCCTCAGCAAATGTAAAAGAACAGAAATTATAACAAACTGTCTCTCAGACGACAGTGCAGTCAAACTAGAACTCAGGATTAAGAAACTCACTCAAAACCGCTCAACTACATGGAAACTGAACAACCTGCTCCTGAATGACTACTGGATAAATAACGAAATGAAGGCAGAAATAAAGTGTTCTTGGAAACCAATGAGCACAAAGACACAACATACCAGAATCTCTGGGACGCATTTAAAGCAGCGTGTAAAGGGAAATTTATAGCACTAAATGTCCACAAAAGAAAGCAGGAAAGATCTAAAACTGACACCCTAACATCACAATTAAAAGAACTAGAGAAGCAAGAGCAAACACATTCAAAAGCTAGCAGAAGGCAAGAAATAATTAAGATCAGAGGAGAAGTGAAGGAGACAGACACACAAAAAAACCCTTCAAAAAAAATCAATGAATCCAGGAGCTGGTTTTTTGAAAAGATCAACAAAATTGATAAGACCGCTAGCAAGACTAATAAAGAAGAGAGAAGAATCAAACAGACGCAATAAAAAACGAAAAAGGAGATATCAACACCGATCCCACAGAAATACAAACTACCATCAGAGAATACTATAAACACCTCTACACAAACAAACTAGAAAATCTAGAAGAAATGGATAAATTCCTGGACACATACACCCTCCCAAGACTAAACCAGGAAGAAGTTGAATCCCTGAATAGACCAATAACAGGTTCTGAAACTGAGGCAATAATTAATAGCCTACCAACCAAAAAAAAGTCCAGGACCAGACGGATTCACAGCCGAGTTCTACCAGAGGTACAAAAAGAGCTGGTACCATTCCTTCTGAAACTATTCTAATCAATAGGAAAAGAGGGAATCCTCCCTAACTCATTTTATGAGGCCAACATCATCCTGATACCAAAGCCTGGCAGAGACCACAACAAAAAAAAGAGAATTTTAGACAATATCCCTGATGAACATCGATCCAAAAATCCTCAATAAAATACTGGCAAACTGAATCCAGCAGCACATCAAAAACTTATCCACCATGATCAAGTTGGCTTCATCCCTGTGATGCAAGGCTGGTTCAACATACGCAAATCAATAAACGTAATCCATCATATAAACAGAACCAAAGACAAAAACCACATGATTATCTCAATAGATGCAGAAAAGGCCTTTGACAAAATTCAACAGCCCTTCATGCTAAAAACTCTCAATAAACTAGGTATTAATAGGATGTTTCTCAAAATAATAAGAGCCATTTATGACAAACCCACAGCCAATATCATACTGAATGGGCAAAAACTGGAAGCATTCCCTTTGAAAACTGGCACAAGACAGGGATGCCCTTTCTCACCACTCCAATTCAACATAGTGTTGGAAGTTCCGGCCAGGGCAATCAGGCAGGAGAAAGAAATAAAGGGTATTCAATTAGGAAAAAAGGAAGTCAAATTGTCCCTGTTTGCAGATGACATGATTGTACATTTAGAAAACTCCATTGTCTCAGCCCAAAATCTCCTTAAGCTGATAAGCAACTTCAGCAAAGTCTCAGGATACAAAATCATGTGCAAAAATCACAAGCATTCTTATACACCAATAACAGATAAACGGAGAGCCAAATCATGAGTGAACTCCCCTTCACAATTCCTTCAAAGAGAATAAAATACCTAGGAATCCAGCTTACAAGGGATGTGAAGGACCTCTTCAAGGAGAACTACAAACCACTGCTCAACGAAATGAAAGAGGACACAAAGAAATGGAAGAACATTCCATGCTCATGGATAGGAAGAATCAATATTGTGAAAATGGCCATACTGCCCAAGGTAATTTATAGACTCAATGCCATCCCCATCAAGCTACCAATGACTTCACAAGCTTACCAATTTCTTCACAGAATTGGAAAAAACTACTTGAAAGTTCACATGGAACCAAAAAAGAGCCTGCCTTGCCAAGACAATCCTAAGCCAAAAGAACAAAGCTGGAGGCATCACGCTATCTGACTTCAAACTATACTACAAGGCTACAGTAACCAAAACAGCATGGTACTGGTATCAAAACAGAGATATAGACCAATGGAACAGAACGGAGTCCTTGGAAATAGTATGACACATCTACAACCATCTGATCTTTGACAAACCTGACAAAAACAAGAAATGGGGAAAGGATTCCCTATTTAATAAATGGTGCTGGGAAAACTGGCTAGACATATGTAGAAAGCTGAAACTGGATTCCTTCCTTACACCCTATACAAAAATTAATTCAAGATGGATTAAAGACTTAAATGTGGGCCGGGTGCGGTGGCTCACGCCTGTAATCCCAGCACTTTGGGAGGCCAAGGTGGGTGGATCACCTGAGGTCGGGAGTTCGAGATCAGCCTGGCTAACATGGTGAAACCCTGTCTCACTAAATACACAAAATTAACTGGGCATGGTGGCACATGCTTGTAGTCCCAGCTACTCGGGAGGCTGAGGCAGGAGAATCGCTTGGAACCAGGAGGTGGAGGTTGCAGTGAGCTGGGATCATGCCACTACACTCCAGCCTGGGCGACAGAGTGAGACTCTGTCTCCAACAAAAAAAAGAAAAAGAAAAAGAAAAAAAGACTTAAATGTTAAACCTAAAACCATAAAAACCCTAGAAGAAAACCTAGGCAATACCATTCAGGCCATAGGCATGGGCGAGGACTTCATGACTAAAACACCAAAAGCAATGGCAAAAAAAAGCCAAAACTGACAAATCGGATGTAATTACACTAAAGAGCTTCTGCACAGCAAAAGAAACTACCATCAGAGTGAACAGGCAACCTACAGAATGGGAGAAAATGTTTACAATTTACCCATCTGACAAAGGGCTAATATCCAGAATCTACAAAGAACTACAAAGAATCTACAAAGAGAAATGCAAATCAAAACCACAATGAGATACCATCTCACACCAGTTAGAATGGCGATGATTAAAAAGTCAGGAAACAACAGGTGCTGGAGAGGATGTGGAGAAACAGGAACGCTTTTACACTGTTGGTGGGACTGTAAACTAGTTCAACCATTGTGGAAGACAGTGTGGCGATTCCTCAAGGATCTAGAACTAGAAATACCATTTGACCCAGCCATCCCATTACTGGGCATATATCCAAAGGATTGTAAATAATGCTGCTATAAAGACACATGCACACTTACGTTTATTGCAGCACTAGTCACAATAATAAAGACTTGGAACCAACCCAAATGTCCATCAATAATAGACTGGATTAAGAAAATGTTGCACATATACACCATGGAATACTATGCAGCCATAAAAAAGGATGAGTTCGTGTCCTTTGTAGGGACATGGATGAAGCTAGAAACCATCATTCTGAGCAAACTATCGCAAGGACAGAAAACCAAACACCGAATGTTCTCACTCATAGGTGGGAATTGAACAATGAGAATACTTGGACACAGGGTGGGGAACATCACACATCGGGACCTGTTGTGGGGTTGGAGGACGGGGGAGGGATAGCATTAGGAGATATACCTAATGTAAATGACGAGTTAACGGGTGCAGCACACCAACATGGCACATGTACACATATGTAACAAACCTACACGTTGTGCACATGTACCCTAGAACTTAAAGTATAAAAAAAAATTAAAAAAAAAATATTTCCTTAACCAGGACTTTCTTCTCCTTTCCTCACCAAGATGACCACTTTTTTTTTTTTTTTTTTTTTTTGAGATGGAGTCTTGCTCTGTCGCCCAAGCTGGAGTGCAGTGGCGCAATCTCGGCTCACTGCAACCTCTGCCTCCTGGGTTCATGCCATTCTCCTGCCTCAGCCTCCCGAGTAGCTGGGACTACAGATGCCCGCCACTATGCCTGGCTAATTTTTTATACTTTTAGTAGAGACAGGGTTTCACAGTGTTAGCCAGGATGGTCTCGATCTCCTGACCTTGTGATCTGCCCGCCTTGGCCTCACAAAGGGCTGGGATTACGGGCATGAGCCACTGCGCCCGGCCCAAGATGACCACTTTCTAACTTGCCTTGAGTCTCTCCTCATTCCAATCCAATTTCCATTTTGCTACCAGGTTTATCTGTTTAAAAACCCAAATCTGTAGTGGCACGCTATCCTACTTAAGAGAACTTTTATTGGCTTCCTACTGCTTATAAGGCAAAGTCCAAATTTCCAACATAACTCTCTGACAGAGTTTTCTCCGACCATTCCCTCCCTCATAAGCCATATTCCACACACACTGCATTTCTCATTTCCTGAACATATAATTTTATCTAATACTGTTGTATCTTTGTGTTTGCTGTTTCCTCTACCAGAAACTTTTTCTTCTCCCTTCTCTCTTTCTACTTAGAAGACTCAACCTCACTTTATTCAGGTATGTATCACATTATATTGTAATTATTTGTCTCCCCTAACCACAAAATGAGTTTCTTAAGGGCAAGAGGCTGTGTCTTATTCACTATTGTATCAAAAAAATTTGCATAATGTCCAAAAACCAACAGACATCAACAAATGGTATAATAATGGCAAAAATCTTATCAGTTCATAGTGAGAGCAACTTCTGGAAAGTATTTGGCTAGAACTGGTTGGAATTCCGAAGAGAATAGTGCCATCTCCTGGCAGGGAAAGCAAAATGCTCTTAAAGGATGGAGAGGCCGTCGAGTGGCTCCAGCACTTTGGGAGGCCAAGGCAGGCGGATCACTTGAGGCCAGGAATTCAAGACCAGCCTGGCCAACAAGACAAAACCCTGTCTCTACCAAAAATACAAAAATTAGCCAGGTGTGGTGGCACACACCTGTAGTCCCAGCTACCAGGGAGGCTGAGGCACAGGAATCACTTGAACCCAGGAGGCGGAGGTTGCAGTGAGCTGAGATCCCGCCACTGCACTCCAGCCTGGGTGACAGAGTGAGATACTATTTCAAAAAAAAAAAAGAGGGAGAAAGTGGTGGACAAATCTCATGTCAAGGGCATGAGTGGCCTCCCAGCCACTCACAAGACTGGCAATTCAGCCTGCTGTCCACACTAGCACAGCCCAAGTTCACAGCGGAGAATATATCTCTCCAATGTCCAATGTCTAGCTAGCCTTTTACTGAAAGCAGTCATAACAGAATCACAGGTGACTAGTTCTACAGCTATTATACGAATGGTCCTCAAAGGCCGAATGAAAATGTCCACGGCAATTAACAAAAATATGTGAACAAGCTATCTGATCCAGAGCCATCCACTCAACGGACCATGCGAGTATGTGTAAAGGGAAAGGCTCTGAGAGTTAAAAATTGGGCTGGGCGCGGTGGCTCACGCCTGTAATCCCAGCACTTTGGGAGGCCGAGGCAAGCGGATCACGAGGTCAGGATTTCGAGACCAGCCTGACCAATATGGTGAAACCCTGTCTCTACTAAAAATACAAAAAACTAGTCGGGCGTGGTGGCGCATGCCTGTAGTCCCAGCTAGTCAGGAGGCTGAGGCAGGAGACTTGCTTGAACCCTGGAGGTGGAGGTTGCAGTGAGCCCGGATTACACCACTGTACTCCAGCCTGGGTGACAGAGCAAGACTCTGTCTCAAAAAAAAAAAAAAAACTGTACACAGCAGACACAATCAGAAAGGCTGGTCTTCTGAAGGACTCCAGAGACACTGATCATCTTTTCTGGATGAGTGCTGCCCTTTCTTCCACTTTTTCTTCCTGGAAAGAGATTTCTTTTCCTCCTACTCCTCTCCCTGCTTTCTCTCTGAGACAAGCATACTGGTCAGGCTAGGCCTTTCTCTACCCCAACCCACACTTCAGCTCCTCCTGAAATATTCAAGAACATTCACTGCCAGCTTTGTACTAATAATATTCTAGCCCTACTAAGTTTCTCATAATCTTATGAACATGTAAGTTGACTTACATGAGATGACTTATGAAAATGCCTTTTCATAAGTCATAACTGAAAGGCCACTTTGAGTAGCCTTTCTGTTACTTGCCCTTTGAGTGTCTGCTTTGTGGGCTACTCCTGAGTATTTTCTAAAGCTCAGGCACAGAATCTGCACTATTCTGGACATTATATTGTGAGGGGACTCTATTCTCCATGACTGGCTTTATGGGAATTGGGCAACTTTGGGAGTATCATCTAACAACAGAATAGGAACTTACTGAAGAGCCTTGTACCCTGACCTCTATTTTGTGCCATACTAGTTTATCAGCTATCCACTCCTCTTTTGAACCTAATGAAAAAGTATCTTCTGTGAGTTCCTCTCCCTTTAACTCCTGTGCTTTATACCATTTTCCACTTTCAGCAGTCAGTCACTTACCCCGAGAATCTCTACATATTCATAGATCTGGGCTTCTAGAAAAGCAATGTCTTTGTTCCTTTCAGTGTCTCTGAGAAAAAGAAACAAGCTGTTTCACTCAAGGATTCTCTCATCCATTGTTTTGTTCCCTATATCTGGGAACATTTATTGCACAACTGCATTAAAAATTATAAGCACATGAGAAATACGATGCTATGAAAGCAAATGCTCTGTTCATCTCAGGACTCTCTGACAAATACTGAGGGTATTTCTCAGAATGCATGGAGGCTTCCTCTATGACCTCACTTAGAAGATGAAGGACACATCAAGACCGCTTACATTTCCATCATTATAATCTACAAAGGAAATGTGGTATATAAGAGCAAGCTCTGCAGCAGGTAGACCTAGGCCCAAATCCTGACTCTGCTACTTAGAACTATGAGAGAGTGGACACATTCCATAACTTTTCTGAGTCCTTATCTGCAAAAACTCAGGATAACAACTAATTTTCTGGGTTGTTGTGAGAATTAGAAAAAAACGTACATTAAGAAAATACTGGGCCAGGCTCGGTGGCTCATGCCTGTAATCCCAGCATTTTGGGAGGCTGAGGCTGGCGATCACTTGAGGTTGGGAGTTTGTGACCAACCTCGCCAACATGGTGAAACCCTCTCTCTACTAAAAATACAAAAATTAGCTGGGCACGGTGGCTCACATGCCTGTAATCCCACCACTGTGGGAGGCTGAGGCAGGTGGATCACCTGAGGTCAGGAGTTCATGACCAGCCTGGCCAACATGGTGAAACCCCGTCTCTACTAAAAATACAAAAACTAGCCAGGCATGGTGGCGCACTCTGGTAATCTCAGCTACTCGGGAGAGTGAGGCAGGAAAATCGCTTCAAGCAGGGCGGTGGAGGTTGCAGCGAGCCGAGATTGCGCCACTGCACTTGAGCCTGGGTGACAGAGGAAGACTCCGTCTCAAAAACAAACAAACAAAAAACACACAAAAATTAGCCAATGTGGTGTTGCACATCTGTAATCCCAGCTACTCGGGAGGCTGAGGCAGCAGAATCACTTGAACCCAGAAGGCGGAGTTTGCAGTGAGCCGAGATTGTGCCACTGCACTCCAGCCTGGGCAACAGAGCGAGATTCCATCTCAAAAAAGAAAAAAACAAACAAACAAAAAAAACAACCCTGGGTCGGGCACGGTGGCTCGCGCCTATAATCGCAGCACTTTGGGAGGCCAAGGCAGGTGGATCACTTAAGCTCAGGAGTTGCAGACCAGCCTGGCTAACATGATGAAACCCCATCTCTACTAAAAATACAAAAAATCAGCCATGTGTGGTGGTGCGTGCCTGTAGTCCCAGCTACTCAGGAGGCTGAGGCAGGAAAATCTTTTGAACCCAGGAGGTGGACGTTCCAGTGAGCTGAGATTGCACCACTGCACTCCAGCTTGGGCAACAGAGTGAGACTGTCTCAAAAAAAAAAAAAAAGAAAAAAGAAAATACCTTGTATAAGTATGTAGCTCAAGAATTAGATTCAACTTTACCAAAAATAAGCTTAGAAAAATAGGTTTTGAACCTATTTAGCCTTTTAGCCTCCATAACCTATTAAAGGTGCCATGAATATGGTTTCAAATTTAGAAACTTGATGTGCTCTCAATCAGATGAATACAGACGGTCCTTGGTTTATATTAACAGTGATAGTACTCTCTGCTATTAGCAGAGATAAAGAGCAGACTGGATCTCTGTCAACCAATAACGGAGATAAAGCAGGCTTTAAAGTCTCCACTGTGGTTAAAAATTCTGCATGGGAATAACATTTAAAAGCCACAAGCAGCAGTGCTACCCCAGCCACTCACCGCTTGGTGCCCTTTGACTTGGGATTTTTGGCAAACAAAGAGGTATCAAGTGACTCCAGGGACTTTCCTTTGGTACTGAATAGTCTCTGGGCTCGCTCTTCTAGGGTCCTAAGGAGACAGGACGGCAAAGGATTTTAGGGTTACTTTACCACACAGGCTGGCTTATTTTTGCAGTGTGGAGCAACAAAAAAAATGGAATCAGAGCTACTTAGAAGACTGTGCAAACACACAGTAAATCGATAGTTTTGATAGAAAAACTATTCCTTACCCGCCACATTTCAAGCCTAAAGCTAAGAGAGCAGATTTCAATCTGTCCAAACCCAGAGAAGCCAACTCCTATACAAAGAAGAGAAAAATTACAATATTACATTAACAGATTTTTGGGAAACCCCAAATGCAGGCCAGAGGGTGGGTGTTCCTGAGGCTGTGGCAGGACCACACATTTCACAGCCAATCTAGCAGTAAGTCTAAACTCTCCAGAGGACTGAATCTATAGTTATCTTCAGACTTAACCATACTGATAGTGTTCCATTTACTTTACTACGGCTTAATGTAGTTAGAATAATTATTTCAGTTTCCCAAGTAGTAATTTTTTTCTTTTTGCCTTGCTACTTTCTTTGTAGATGCTTGATCTCAAGAAATAGTGCCTTATCACAACACAACCATGGTATTAAAGACAGGAGAGCAGTCTTTAAAGACAGAAAAATAGACAGAGAGAACACTACTACTGCTGAAGGAAACATACCTCCCAGGAGGAGAATGCAGAGAGGTCAAGATGGGCTCCAGCATGGGTCAGGGCACTGCTTGTCTCTTTCTGGAAAGAACAATATGGTATTTATTAAGATCCAGGTTTAGGCCAGGTGTGGTGGCTCACACCTGTAATCTCAGCATTTTGGGAGGCCAAGATAGGTGAATTGCTTGAGTTCAGGAGTTAGAGACCAGGCAGGGAAACATGGTGAAATCTTGTCTCTACAAAAAATTATCTGAATTAGCTGGGCATGATGGCATGTGCCTGTGGTCCCAGCTACTCAGGAGTCTAAGGTGGGAAGATCTCTTGAGCCCACAAGGTTGAGGCTGCAGCAGTGAGGTATGATCATGCCACTGTACTTCAGCCTAGAAGCCAGATGGAGACTTTGTCTCCCAAAAAACAAAACAAAACAAAACAAAACAAAAAACAAAAAAACCCCACCAGGTTTAGGATGAAGCTAAGGTTTGTCCACATTCTCTCCCTGGAGAGTTCAGGAAAAACTCATGTTTATCCCTAGAAGTGAGAATGTAGATTCCTAACATATGATCTGATAAGCTCTTGGTTGGCAGGAACCACATAGCAGTAATGATGTGATTGGTGAAAATCTGGGCACAGTCAAAGGCAAGTGGACCCTGGCAGTCTTGCTCCAAAGTACACTCAAAAAAACTCACATACGGCCAGGTGCGGTGGCTCACACCTGTAATCCCAGCACTTTGGGAGGCCGAGGTGGGCGGATCACCTGAGGTCGGGAATTTGAGACCAGCCTGACAAATATGGAGAAACCCTGTCCCCACTAAAAACACAAAATTAGCCGGGTGTGGAGGCGCGTGCCTGTAATCCCAGTTACTCGGGAGGCTGAGGCAGGAGAACTGCTTGAACCCGGGAAGCGGAGGTTGAGGTGAGCCGAGATCCCGCCATTGTACTCCAGCCTGGGCAACAAAAGCGAAACTCCGTCTCCAAAAAAAAAAAACATAGCATACTTGGCAGGGAATACCTCATTGTCACAAGTGATACCAAGGAATTGATACCTAATGCCCTAAAGTGGAAGCTCAAGATAAAGGAAAATAATTACTTCAATTCCCTGGCATGTCCACCATTCACATCCCACTGAAGCTCACCGGCCATCCAGGAAAGGTCCCATTCTCCCATTTCTTCTCAAACTCAGCCTGAATCTTCCCAAAAAGTTCATTCTGATCTTGGAGAGGCTTCACTCTATCTGTGTAATCCTGAAGGTACTCAAGCAGCATCTCTAGGTATCTACAGAGGAACACACAATGCAGACAAAGCAAAAAGGGTTTCTATTTTTGGTATCTTGTTATTCCCTGCAGAATATAAAGTACTTATAATTCTAGTAATGCTATCTTTTTAATACTCTTTTTTTTTTTTTTTTTTTTTTTTTGAGGCAGAGTTTCGCTCCTCTTACCCAGGCTGGAGTGCAATGGCGGGATCTTGGCTCACCACAACCTCCGCCTCCCGGGTTAAAGCGATTCTCCTGTCTCAGCCTCCCGAATAGCTGGGATTACAGGCATGCGCCACCATGCCCGGCTAATTTTGTATTTTTAGCAGAGACGGTGTTTCTCCACGTTGGTCAGGCTGGTCGCGAACTCCTGACCTCAGGTGATCCGTCTGCCTCGGCCTCCCAAAGTGCTGGGATTACAGGTGTGAGCCACCGCGCCCGGCCAATACTCATTTTTAAATGAACTTACAATGGACTTTTTTCCCAACATGTCATTTTGATTCTGACCTTTCCCGCCTCCTTTTATTCTCATAAAATGATGCTAAATACTAAGGTCTTAATTACTTTGCACATAAAAGATTTCAGTAAAAAGAAAATGAGAAAAAGAGGGGAAGGGTATAAAATCACTAATCAGGAGAGTAATTAACAAAAACATAAATTTTTCACTTATACATCACACCTAAGCATCTCACTTCAGTCACTATCTGAGAAAGTCTAATTTTTTTTCCCATTAAACTCCAAAAACACAGAAATCCCAGAGTGGGAGAGTTCCTTCTATAATGAGACAAAATTAAGAACACTATGGGCATAAGATGGAAGATGTGCCCACAGACACACCTTTGTCCACGTCCAGACTATCGCAAAGGTTTTAAAACCACATCATTCATAACCCCATCCTCCAATAAACCTGGAAGTATGCCTTCATGTATGCCTTCCAGGCAACAAATTCAGAACTTCACCCTCAAAAACTTCACATTATCTTCTAATCAAATCCAGGAGAGGCCTAGAAACTATTAATGCCTACCTCTTATACTCTGCATTCTTCCTTTCTTTAGGAATGTCAAATAATTGGTCAAAGATGGACAGGTATGTGATATAATCCAGCTTCTGAAAAGAGGAAAGAAATGACAAGAAATTCAGTTAGGTATTTATACTGTAACAAGTTACAATATAATCTCCAATAAGTGAGATCAAAATTGAGTGTTTTCTAAAGAAGTAACAAGGGCTGGCTAATTTTGGTTTTTTTTGCTTGCCTATCATTCAATCCTACTACAACTGGAGTGTTAATTTCACTGGACTGAAGGAAAATATCAGACATAATAACTTTACAAAATAAAGATCAAGTTAATGAACATTAAACTAAAAGAAACGTTTGTCGATTATTACCTCATGCTAGGGTCTTGGTTAAAGACTCTGACACCCTAAAACAAGGTGCTCAAAGGTGCCATTTGTTCACGCAAGTAACTACTTATTAAGCATCTTTGTACCAAGTACGGGGTACAGAAAACAACAAAACAGACAAGGGATCTGACTTGCCTGCATGGAACTTGAAGTTTGGTCACTACAACTCTGGGACATTTCTTCACAATTCCATGAGGAATCTAATCATGGATTTCCTTGTGATCCTTTTGAGATTGTCATATTAAACCTCATCTCTTGTGATAAGCTATTTTTTTTTTTTTTGAGACGGAGTTTGGCTCTTGTTGCCCAGGCTGGAGTGCAATGGCATGATCTCGGCTCACCACAACCTCCACCTCATGGGTTCAAGCGATTCTCCTGCCTCAGCCTCCTGAGTAATTGGGATTACAGGCATGAGCCACCATGCCCGGCTAATTTTTTCTATTTTTAGTAGAGACAGGGTTTCTGCATGTTGGTCAGGCAGGTCTTGAACACCTGACCTCAGGTGATCCACCTGCCTTGGCCTCCCAAAGTGCTGGGGTTACAGGCGTGAGCCACCGCGCCCGGCCTGTGATAAGCTATTTTTAAACATCTTTAAGAAAAGACATTAAATACCTTTTTGCTGACTGAAAGATCATGTTGTTTTATTTTCCATGTACCTAGTATTGTTTGTGTCTAAAACAGGAACACCTAGAAGAACACATAAATCTGGGTGGGCACAGTGGCTCATGCCTGTAATCCCAAGGCTTTGAGAAGCTGAGGCAGGAGGATTGATTGAGTCCAGGAGTCCAAGACTAGCCTGGACAATACAGTGAAACCCTATTTCTACAAAAAAAAATTTTTTTTTTTGAGTTTGAGTTTTGCTCTTGTTGCCCAGGCTGGAGTGCAATGAATGACACAATCTCGGCTTACCGCGACCTCCGCCTCCTGGGTTCAAGCGATTCTCCTGCCTCAGCCTCCTGAGTAGCTAGGATTACAGGCATGCGCCACCATGCCCAGCTAATTTTGTATTTTTAGTAGAGACGGGGTTTCTCCATGTTGGTCAGGCTGGTCTTGAACTCCTGACCCCAGGTGATCTGCCCACCTTGGCCTCCCAAAGTGCTAGGATTACAGGCGTGAGCAACTGTGTCCAGCCAGGAACATGGTATTTATTTAAAAAAAAAAAAAAAAAAAAAAGAATTTAAAGAAATCTTATGTAAGGCTGGATGCAGTGGCTTCCGTCTATAATCCCAACACTTTGTGAGGCCAAGACAGACGGATTGCTTGAGCTCAGGAGTTTAAGACCAGCCTTGGCAACATGGCAAAACCCCATCTCTACACAAAATACAAAAAATTAGCTGGGCATGGTGGCACACGCCTGTAGTCCCAAGTACTTGGTGGGGCTGAGGCGGGATCCATCACTTGAGTCCAAGAGGTCTAGGCTACAGTGAGCCAAGATCGCGCCACTGCACTCCAGCCTGGGTGACAAAGTGAGACCCTGTCTCAAAAAAAAAAAAAAAAAAAAAAGATTTATTTTGGCAAAGGTAAAATATGCTTGCTGTATTGATAATGGACTGGGTACAATGGCTCATGCCTGTATCCCAACACTGTGGGAGGCCGAGACAGGAGGATCATTTGAGGTCAGGAGTTTGTGACCAGCCTGGGCAACACTGCAAGACCCCATCTTTACAAAAAAAGACAAAAATTAGCCAAGTGTGGTGGTGGTATGCACCTGTAGCCTCAAATACTCAGAAGGCTAAGGCAGGAGATCACTTGAGCCCAGAAGTCGAGGTTGCAGTGAGCAAAGATCATACCACTGCACTCCAGACTGGGCAACATGGTAAGACCTCATCTCAAAATAAAAAAAAAAGTATTAATAAATAAATATGCTTCTTGTTTTCACTGTAGAAAACTTTCATTTTGAATAGTATTTCATTCCAAGAGAGCATATCACCTCTTTAATATTTACATAAGAGTTTTAAAACACAAGGAAGACACTTTACAATGGCTTCATGTCTGCTAGTTCCAGCCTACTGTCCTGACTCACTTCGAGAATCAGAACCTCTCTGCCCTTTCCCAGGCCTTACCTCAGATGCCTTCAGGTTAATGTACTTGAGGTAACAGTCATGGAGATCGAGATAACGACCATATCCCTCTTCATCTGTGAACTCCACCAAGTCTGAGGGAATCAGATACATCAATGATTCAGTTTCTACAGACCACTCTCTTGGACTTACCTTTTCAAATGGACTGTGTGTTCCTAGTTTCCTGAGGCAGCACTTCACCCAAATGTCTTCCCTTTGCTCACAATATAACCTCCAATAAGTTAAGTGAGATCAAAAGTGAGTTTTCTCTTACAAGGTAACAAGGACTGACTCATTTTAGTATTGTGAACTAAAGTGAACAATCCTTGGCTTTCCAAGCCAGTAAATTTGAGGTAGGAGAGAACAAAATGAACATTTTGCCCAAGACCAACTTAGGATGTCACTCTAGCCCAGAAACCAGCAAAGACAAAACCAGCAAGAAATCCTGGCTATAAATATCTCTGAGGCCATGGCTGCAAATCTGAGCTGTCATTAACCTGTATTTTTGCTGGTGCTGAATGAAATTTTCACCCCTACTTACTTTGTGCCTCTTCACTTGGATTCTCTCGAGCCTTCAGGAGTTCCTCAAATTCCACTGACATTGGCACACAGATCTGAGGGGAAAAGTAAAAGCTCAGGTGGATTTTTCTTTTTGCTTTTGAGATGGATTCTCACTCTGTGGCCCAGGCTGGAGTGCACTGGCACAATCTTGGCTCACTGCAACCTCTACCTCCCGGGTTCAAGCGATTGTCCTGCCTCGGCCACCCGAGTAGCTGGGATTATAGGCACACACCACCACGCTTGGCTAATTCTTGTATTTTTAGTAGAGACAGGGTTTTGCCATGTTGCCCAGGCTGGTCTCAAACTCCTAAGCTCAAGTGATCTGCCCACCTTGGCCTCCCAAAGTGCTGGGATTACAGGCATGAGCCACTGTGCCTGACCGCAGGCGGATTTTTCAATGTAAAAGTTGCAAGATCACAGAAATGAAATACACAGAAAGTTGGACTTCTGATGATTTATTTGGCCTTGATTTTTCACTAGGAAATCTACTACTGTTCTCCAATTACCTTGTTTTTCCCCGCTTTTTTGTACTGTTTGAGTAAAACCCACTAAAGTAACACATGCTCACAAAAACTCAAAAGTCCACCTTTATTAATTCTCCTGAGAACAGGTGACCACTGTTAACAGAGCTTTTGCTATGCCAGTGGTTCCCAAACTTTGCTGCACATTAGAATCACCTGGGGGAGTTTTTTTTTTAAATCCTGATGCACCTGATACCAATTAAATCAAAGGAGGGCAGGTATCAGTACTTTTTAAAGATCCCCAGGTGGCTCAAATATGCACAAAGTTTGGAAAACAGTGCTCTATGTATTTAAATATATGTATTTGTACAAGTACATTCATGCCTGCATAGGTTTTTGTTTTTGTTTTTTTAACATAAAAGACTTGCGTCTGACATTTAGTATATCTTGGGCATCCTTCTAATCAGTTATTTAAGCATTTATTCCTCATTACCTTTTGACCATGGCTGGAATAAGGTTAACACATCAGAATGGTATTCATTTATTCTCCCTTGGTTAGCAGAAGACCTCATTCTCTATCCTCCAAGGGGGCTATGTGTGTGAGGGTCCCTTCATTTACCTCCGCGCTATGTATTGCAATAAACAGCCTCTATTTTTTGCTGTTTTTAGTCTCTTCCTTTTTCCCTGTGCTCCTTCAAATAAGTATGCTTCTCTGTCTTCCCCAATACCCTCCTGTTTCTCCCCTTCTTTTTCCTACCAGACTTTTTTTTTTTTTTTTTTTGACGGAGTCTTGCTCTGTTGCCCAGGCTGGAGTGCAGTGGCGTGATCTCAGCTCACTGCAACCTCCATGTCCTGGGTTCAAGCGATTCTCCTGTCTCAGCCTCATGAGAAGCTGGGATCACAGGCGTGCACCACCATGCCCGGCTAATTTTTGTGTTTTTAGTAGAGAGAGGTTTCACCATTTTGGCCAGGCTGGTCTCCAACTCCTGACCTCAGATGATCGACCCGCCTCGGCCTCCCAAAGTGCTGGGATTACAGGCGTGAGTCACTGCACCTGGCTACCAGCCTTTCAAATGCATGTTCCATACTCCATACTTCTACTTCCCCATTACCCATCTTTACCTTGTGACCAGATTTCCATTCATACTACTTTAATGAAGCAGCAATCCTGGCAGATATAAATCAATAACAGTTGACACCATGACTGCCTTTCTGAAACTCTCTTTTGCTTAACTTCAGTAAGGCAACACCACCTGGAGTGGTCATGTGACCTTTCTGATGGAAGCCTTCCCAGGCCCTTTTTCTCTTTACCTTATTATAAGTGAGCTCCAGGGCATATGAGGGCCGGGCGCGGTGGCTCATGCCTGTAATCCCAGCACTTTGGGAGGCCGAGGTGGGCGGATCACAAGGTCAGGAGATAGAGACTATCCTGGCTAACATGGTGAAACCCTGTCTCAACTAAAAAATACATAAAATTAGCCAGGCGTGGTGGCAGGCACCTGTAGTCCCAGCTACTCAGGAGGCTGAGGAAGGAGAATGGCATGAACTCGGGAGGTGGAGCTTGCAGTGAGCCGAGATCATGCCACTGCACTCCAGCCTGGGCAACAGAGCGAGACTCCATCTCAAAAAAAAAAAAAAAAAAAAAGACAGAGTTAGGAACACAATTTATTGGGGAGAGTAATTTCTGTGAAAGATAAAAAGGAAGAGAAAGTAGGATTAGGACAGGATAGCCTAGACCACAATGCAGATTGGACAAAATCTTGACCAACCCAACGGGGAGCCATGGAGCAAAGATTATTCATCAGAGGAGTCTCAGAGTGGACCAAATTGCTGGGCCCTAGTACCCATACTGTGCTCAGTCACTGGCTGGGAGCTGCCCACAAAATGTGGCCTTGACTTCTTTTTTTTGAGACAAAGTCTCACTCTTGTCCCCCAGGATGGAGTGCAATGGCGCAATCTCGGCTCACTGCAACCTCCACCTCCCAGGTTCAAGTGATTCTCTTGCCTCAGCCTCCTGAGTAGTTGGGATTACAGGCACATGCCACCATGCCTGGCTAATTTTTGTATTTTTAGTAGAGGTTGAGTTTCACTATGTTGGCCAGGCTGGTCTTGAACTCCTGACCTCAGGTGATCCACCCACCTCAGCCTCCCAAAGTGCTGGGATTACAGGCGTGAGCCACCGTGCCCAGCCGGCCTTGGCTTAAAAGCTGAGGGAGATACTGAAAACACTGTATTGTAGGATGTCAGCTAACTATGGTCCTTGCAGCTAAATGGCAAGTTCTTTCTTGAAGTGCATTTGAATAGCACATGTCCAGTTTCCTTTATACCTTTCCTTTAGTATGCTTTAAGGATAGGTCTGGAGAAAATACTTTTCTGAGGACATACCTCATTTGGGTGCTTCCGGTGGAATTCCTTTATTTGCTTGAGTCTATTATAGAATTCAGCAAACTCATTGGGTCCTGAAATGGCATTGAGCTCCTCCTTTCGTAATCTGCAATTTCAGGAAAATTTCAAAGAAGATAGAGCACAAAGTCAGTCCTCTAACCATGGCTCCTCAGAAGCACTAACTCCTGGATTAGCTGTGACTGTCACTTACCCATCCTTATCATCATACAAATCCCTCAGGTTCCCACTGACCTCCATATACCTCTGAAAGGCAAATACAAAACCATCAGAATGATGCAATTTGCACAACTGTAGAGCTAAGCAAACAACAAGGGTTCTCCAGTCAAAGCCCAGGGCAACCTCAAGAGACATGGATATGAGATAGTCTTAACAGTTCTGTGCTTCCTAGTACCTTTAACAGCCCTGATTCCTGGTTAGTTTTTTAATAGCCCTTTAACAGCCTTGATTCCTGTTTAGTTTTTTAAGCAGGTCGATTGGAAGATTACCTAAATGATACATTTAAGGGGTGGCTCCTATCTTTACATACCACCGATGCCTAACTTCCCCTGTAACAGACTCACCCTCTTTGGCCAAACACTAGTTCCCACCTAACATCCTCAAAGATAAAGATGATATTCACTATTTCAAAACGCTTGACTGAGGAGTAGGCAGGCTAAATAAACATTACATAGGCTTCCTTTGTAGTCAAAGTATACTAATTCAGGATGGTACAGGTACATAGTCCCTCCTCCAAAACTTTTGGGACCAGATTTGTTTCAGAATTTGGAATGTTTAAGTTCAAAAGAGGTATCATATATTATGTAACATCCCTAGTGGAATCTGGAGCACACAGTTCTGCAGTAAACCTCATACCTTATTTACCAAGTGGGATAAATTAAAGACCATAAAAAGCCTATCACAGGTTCGGGCCAGGTTTTACTGTCAAGTGAGATCAGGTCAGATTTTGACACCAAATAATCACCCAAGGGGAAAAAAAGAAAATCCTTGGTTTTCAGAGTATTTTGGGGCTGAGGGCTTGTAATCTGATAATCTCCTGCAAATCAGAAGGTCCAAGTAGGTCTTTTATTCCTTTTTAAACAGGTTTCAAACATACACAAGAGTAAGGAACGTAGTAAAATGAACCTCCATTTATTCATCACCCAGTTTAAATAGCATCTTGTTTTTCTTTTAATAAACTGAACTATTACCAGACAAATGCAGTTTAGTAGTCCAAAACGCTTTAAAGTAGTATCCTGGGAGAAAAACACTAACATACGGGGTGTGTTGTGTGTGTGTGTGTGTGTGTGTATATATATATATATATTTTTTTTTTCATTTAAGGGAAGGATTGTAGCTATGCACCTGAGTCATGGACTCTTCATAACTATTGTTTGCACATCCAAGGGATACAGGATGCTGTAAGAATGGGCACGTGTAAGCCGGCCGCGGTGGCTCAAGCCTGTAATCTCAGCACTTTGGGAGGCCGAGGTAGGTGGATCACGAGGTCAGGAGTTCGAGACCAGCCTGACCAACATGTTTAGTAGAAACTCCGTCTCTACTAAAAATACAAAAATTAGCTGAGCGTGGTGGCGAGCGCCTGTAGTCCCAACTACTCCGGAGGCTGAGGCAGGAGAATCGCTTGAACCCAGGAGGCGGAGGTTGCAGTGAGCCGAGACCGCGCCACTGCACTCCAGCCTAGGCAACAGAGCGAGACTCCGTCCAAAAGAAGAAGAAGAAGAAAAAAAAAAAGGGCACCTTTCTGATTAATGAAGAATGCCCAAGAGTTCCCCATTCAGAGAACTGAGGAAGCACCCTCACGTTCGGCAGCCTGTGGACATCTGTCCAGGCAGAGAGCCCGCGACTGGCCAATCCGGTTACCTTTGGCCAGGGACTCATGCTGAGACACCGCACTTCACTTCCCCTCTCTTTTCCCGCCCTCGCCAACCCAAAGAGAGGCAGACAGCTGGGCACTCACATCTTGCATGGCCCGAGTGCGGTGATCAGAATTGATCTGGTCCCGGAGCTGAAAAAACAAACGGTGACACAAACGCCGTTAGTTTGCGTTCTGGAGTAGAAAAGGCCGCCCGAGGGCGGAGCTTACCCGCTCAGCTTTTACCAGCTGAGGCAGAAAGGCCTCTGGGGCTCCGGACCCCGGGAGGAGGTTACCAAGACCGGAGCTCGGAGAGGGAGCCCGGAGGAAGGCAGGGAGGTTCTGAGGGCCAAAGCAAGCTCTCAGAGGTCAAACACGGGATAGAGGCTCGTGCTCCTGCCGCAGCCTCTGCTCAGGCCCCACTCACCGTGGACTTCTTGGTGAGCATCTCTTTAGCCATGACGTCCATGAGCCGTTCCTTCTCCTCATGATAGCGCCGCTGCTGCTCCAGTATTGTCTCCATCTTCCCTTAGTCGCGGCTTCTCAATTCAGACCACCAACACGGCCGGAAGCAACTCCTGCCGCCCAGCGCGCCTGAGTCCCCACGTTGCGCATCAGGCTGCACCAAAGTTCCGCGAGTGCCGGAAGTGCCCCGGGACTTAAGAAAACAGGAGCACCACAAGGAAGGCCAGTCCATGTTATGGAGATGGCAACAGTGCCACCTGCTGGTGGGAGGTGTGGTGGAGCGATGCCGAGAGGTTCGCAGATGCCTCCAGGGGGCATAGGAAAACCCAAGAACCTGAGGTTCAGCGGACGGCTTCCTGCGGCTTGCTGGGGCCGGCTTGGCGGGCAGGTATCCTGTGTGGACTGCGCGAGCAGTTGGAGTGCGGATGGGAGTTGGGAAACCGGAACTTGAGGACGCAGCTTTCAGCATAAATTATGAGAACGTTTTCTCTTTCTCTGGACCTCAGCGTCTTTCTCAGGAAAATGGGAATAGTGGGGTTTTGCTGGTGGTGTTTTTAAAAAAATTCACATGTGAGGCCGGGCGCGGTAGCTCACGCCTGTAATCCCAACACTTTGGGAGGCCGAGGCGGGCGGATCACTTGAGGTCAGAGGTTCGAGACGACCAGGCTGGCTAACATGGTGAAACCCCGTCTCTACTAAAAACAAACAAACAAAAATTAGCCGGGCGTGATGGCAGGCGCCTGTAGTCCCAGCTACTCCGGAGGCTGAGGCAGGAGAATCGCTTGAACCCGGGAAGCAGAGGTTGCCGTCAGCTGAGATCGTGCCACTGCACTCCAGCCTGGGCGACAGAATGAGACTCAGTCTCAAAAAAAAAAAAAAAAAAGAAATTCACGTGTAGAAACGACTTGTCTATCGGCAGCGAATATGTTAAATAAAATACTGTGCATCCAACGAGATCAGGAGATTGAGACCATCCTGTCTAACACGGTGAAACCCCGTCTCTACTAAAACTGCAAAAAATTAGCCGGGCATGGTGGCGCGCGCCTGTAGTCACAGCTACTCGGGAGGCTGAGGCAGGAGAATCACTTGAACCCAGGAGGCAGAGGTTGCAGTGAGCTGAGATCATGCCACTGCATTCCAGCTTGGGCGACAGAGAGAGACTCCGTCTCAAAAAAAAGTAAAATAAAATAAAATAAAATACTGTGCATCCAAGCAGTGGAAGACCAGCTGTGAAATGACATACAGCCTTAAAAAAAATTCTGTCTATATATCTCCACTTGTAGGTAGAGAAATGCAAACATGTCCATGTGTTCATATGTTCACAGCGGCATTATTCATAATAGACAAAAACTGGATGCAGCCCAAGAGTCCATTAACTGGCAAATGGATAAAGTGTGGTATATCTATACAGTACAATGGAACATTATTCTGCAATAAATGAATACTACAATGATGAACCATGAAAGCATCATGCTAAGTGAAAGAAGCTAGACAGAAAAACAACAGTGTATGTCCAGATAAAACGTCCAGAACGGTGTTAAAAGAAAAACACTGGTGCTTGCTATGGCAGCACATATACTAAAATTGGAACCATACAGAGAAGATTAGCATGGCCCCTGCAAAAAGAAAAAAAAAAAAAAACACCGGTTATTACAGCTTGGTCTTTGCCTTATTTGAACACGGTTTGCATAGTTTGCCATGTTTGATTGGCCAAAACTCGGTGATTGGCAAAGAGTAGGCTATGGTCTGTTTACAACTCCATTTAGGTTATAGTTCACAATGTACAGAGAAACCTTTAGGCTAAATTTAAAATATGTAAGGAGGCAGCTTTAGGCTACAATTGAGTTAACAAAGGCAAATCTATGGAGGCAGAAATATGAGTGGTTGCTTGTGACCGCAGGTGAGATTGGAAGTGATTACAAATGCGCACAAGGAATCCATTTTGGATGGGTAGAAATGTTCTAAAATTGGATTGTGGTGATAGTTGCATAACTCTATTCATTTTATTAAAATTAATTGCTTTGTACTGTTAAAAATGGGTGAATTTTATGGTATATAAATTACACTTCAATAAAACTGTTAAAAACTCTGTATGAACTCATATGGAGAGATGGCCACACAAACTGAAAAAAGCTAGATGCACAAGTGTGTATAAAAATAGATGTGCAAAGAGATTATTTCTGTAAGGATATCCAAGTAACAGTAAACAGTGGTTGTTCCTGAGCAGACAGCCTTGGAGATCTGATATGGGAGATTTTTCTTTGTATACACCCCAAGCACAGCATAAAAAGTTATTCTTAAACATACTTTTTCAATTTAAAAATTAATTTAAAACTGAAAATACATATGTGCACATTTATGTTTAACAAAAAAGAACGAGGAGGACATAATGCATCACATTATTAGTAATTTACCTATTGTTCACTTTTTTCTTTTTTTTCTTTTTCTTTTTTTTTTTGATAGGGTCTCTCTCTGTTGCCCCAGGCTGGAGTGCAGTGGCATAATCATGGCTCACTGCAGCCTCCACCCCTGTGGCCCCCACAGGTGGGTGCCACCACCCTGGTTAATTTTTTATTTTTTTCCCACGCAACAAAAGCCACATTTAAAGTTTTGTTTTGGGAGTCTCGCTCTGTCGCCAGGCTGGAGTGCAGTGGCGCGATCTCAGCTCACGGCAACCTCTACCTCCTGTGTTCAAGCGATTCTCCTGCCTCAGCCTCCTGAGTAGCTGGGATTACAGGTGACTGCCACCACACCTGGCTAGTTTTTGTATTTTTAGTAGAGACGGGCTTTCACTATGTTGGCCAGGCTGGTCCTGAACTCCTGACCTCCGGGTGATCTGCCTGCCTTGGCCTCCCAAAATGCTGGGATTACAGGTGTGAGCCACCGCACACCAAAAAACTGCGAGGTTTTTTGTTTTTTGTTTTTTTTTGAGACAGGGTCTTTCTGTGTCATCCAAGCTGGAGTGCAGTGGCACGATCTTGGCTCACTGCAACCTCTACCTCCTGGGTTCAAGCAATTCTGCCTCAGTCTCCCTAGTAGCTGGGATTACAGGTGCGTGGCACCATGCCCAGCTAATTTTTGTATTTTTAGCAGAGATGGGGTTTTGCTATGTTGGCCAGGCTGGTCTTGAACTCCTGCCCTCAGGGTGATCCGCCCACCTTGGCCTCCCAAAATGCTGGAATTACAGGCATGAGCTACCACACCAAGCCAAGGTTTTTCTTTTTTTTTTGAGACAGGGTCTTGCCAAGCTGGAGTACAGTGGCACAATCTTGGCTCACTGCAGCCTCGACCTCCTGGGCTAAAGCTATCCTCCCACTTCAGCCTCCTGAGTAGCTGGGACTATAGATGTGCGCCACTACACCCTGCTAATTTTTGTATTTTTTGTAGAGATGGGGTTTTTTGCCGTGTTGCCCAGGCTGGTCTCAAACTCCTGGACTCAAGCGATCTTCCTGCCTTGGCCTCCCAAAATGCTGGGATTATAGGCATGAGCCACCAGACCCGCTGTAATTTTTTAAAAATTTTTACTAGAGATGAGGTCTCACAGTGGTGCCCAGGCTTGTCTGCAACTCCTGAGCTCAAGCAATCCTCCTGCCTTGGCCTCCCAAAGTGCTGGGATTATAGGCGTGAGCCACCGCACCCAGCCCAATTTTTCTACAGTAAACATGCATTACTTTTTGTTTTTAAAAGTTTGAAAGCAGGCTGGGTGCAGTGGCTCACGCCTGTAATCCCAGCACTTTGGGAGGCCAAGCTGGGAATTTCGCTTAAAGCCAGGAGTTCTAGAACAGTCTGGGCAACATAGCGAGACCTCATCTCTACAAAAAATAAGAAAATTAGCTGGGCTTGCTGGCATTTGCCCGTACTCCCAGCTACCTGGGAGGCTGAGGCGGGAGGATCACTTGAGCCCAGGGGTTTGAGGTTACAGTGAGCTATAATCTTCAAGCCTGGGTGACACCCTGTCTCAAAAAAGAAAAAAAAAGTTTGAAAAAACGGAGGCTGGGCATGGTGGCTCACGCCTGTAATCCCAGCACTTTGGGAGGCCGAGGCGGCAGATCACGAGGTCAAGAGATCAAGACCATCCTGGCCAACATGGTGAAACCCCTGTCTCTACTAAAAATACAACAAAATTAGCTGGGCATGGTGGCGCACGCCTGTAGTCCCAGCTACTTGAGAGGCTGAGGCAGGAGAATCACTTGAACCCGGCAGGTGGAGGTTGTAGTGAGCCGAGATCGCGCCACTGCACTCCAGCCTGGCGATAGAGTGAGACTCTGTCTCAATAAATAAATAAATATAAAATGGAAATAGTGACCTGTGTTTTGCCCACTCATGAGGGTGTTATGGGGATCTTATTTGTATATCGGAAATTTAAGCAGGACTGCCAAGCTTAGGGAAAGGACCCAGTCACAACTCATCTGGGGCTTTTCCTGGGACATTAGGAAAGAGGTAAAGTAGAAATCTCCATTCAGGGAGTGGGGAGACTCAGCAAATGTTTTTTGTTTTGTTTTGTTTTTTGGGGGGTATAAACTTGGAGAGCTACTGTATTTCTTGAATACGAGATGCCATCAAATGTAAAACTCAGTATTATTTTATGCTTTACTAAGGAAGAGAGAAAAAATTGTCAATTAAACAATGACACACCTTTGATTATATGTCTGGGTTTCTTTTTTTTTAAGACGGAGTTTTGCTCTTGTCCCCCAGGCTGGACTGCAGTGGTGCTATCTCGGCTCACTGCAACTTCCATCTCCGGATTCAAGTAATTCTCCTGCCTCAACCTCCGGAGTAGCTGGGATTACAGATGCCTGCCACCACACCCAGCTAATTTTTGTATTTTTAGTAGAGGCGAGGCTTCACCATGTTGTCCAGGCTGGTCTCAAACTCCTGACCTCAGGTGATCCACCCGCCTCGGCCTCCCAAAGTGCTGGGATGACAGGCGTGAGCCACTGCGCCTGGCCTTGATTATATGTCTGGGTTTCTAAGATGTTAAGTCTGAAAAATGTTTGTATTGAAATAAATCAAACAATTTTGTAGCTGCACATCTCTCACTTCCTGTTAGGTGGGTGGACCGCCTTACCACCACCATCCTCCAGTCACTGTGTCTCAAACCTGATGCCTTCCTGCCCCTAAATGTTTCTTCATCCCCACTCCAGGCAGCAAGTCTTGCCTTTTCCACTCGAGCTGCTACCTGCTGCAAGATGTCTCACCCGGACCACACTACACTAGCCTCCGAACCAGCCTGCTCATCTTACCCCTCCACTCCATTATTCATGCTGCAGCCAGCATGATCTGTCTACAACTCTGCTCATCACAGGCCCCTGCTTAAACAGTTCCATAGGCTGCATTTCCTGCAGGGTGAGGTCTGTGCAACTTGGCATTCGGCTTTTTAGGACCTGGGCTCTGCCTGCCATTTTACTCTCCTGGCACTTCCTCCAAATGGAATTACTTGCTACTTCCCCAAAGCACCGTATGTTCTCAGGCCTCCAGGCCTTTGCGCCAGTTGTTTTCTATGCTTGGACTGCTCTTCCTCAACAAGTATTTACTGAACACATAGTAAGTGCCGGGAGCTGAGAACGAGAGCGGGGAGCAAGGCAGGCAGGATCTCAGTCCTTAGGCTGGTGGGAGAGAGAAACAAATAAAACCGTAAGCATATGTGGTAATTATTAATTATAAACACACGTGGTAGGCATTCGTAAAAGTTTGTTGAAAATGTCGGGGAGGGAACTTAAGAGGGCGGGTCAATAGTTGCAGCAAACCACCGTGCACACGTATACCTATGTAACAAACCTACACGTTCTGCACACGTATCTTGAAACTTAAAGTAAAATAAAAAAAAAAAAAAGAAAAGAAAATGTCAACCATGGCTTCAGAAAGCGGTTAGAGTCCAGGATCTACCAGTGACTACCTATGTGACTTGGGGCAGCTGACTGCAGGCGTCTCCACCTCTGTGTAATGGAAGTAATAATGCCCGCCCACAGGACGGGAGGAATTAATATGAGATACATACAATCTGGCGGTTTCCGCCGGGCCGGAGGGGCTCTCCCACTCCAGGGCGCCGAGGGTCCGCCTGCCCAGGGCCGGGCCTCGCTGCAGGCAGCTGTGGGCGCCACTGTGTGCGCATACCTGCCCCGACAGCCGGACGGTCGGCCGAGCCCAGACCGCGGCAGCCAGGGTCAGGGACAAGGGACGTCGGACGCCGGGCGGGCGAGGGGAGCGTCGCCCCGCCCATCTCCCCACTTTGGGGGACAGCCCCCCTCGCTCATTCCCGCCTCCACCCTTGACTTGAATCACTGTTGGCGGGGGACGGGGCGTGACCCATTCATGCCGGGAATCGGATCCAGATGTTCCCGCGGCGTGTGCAGCTGCATCCTTGCCTTTTTTGGCAAAAAACGTGCGGCCGCGAGAGGATCCTGGGCCGCCCTTGCTAATCCTTGGGAAGAGGGGGAAGGGGGCTGAGAGGGTCTGGGCCCAGACTGGGGATCGGAACCAGGTCCTTGCTCTGCGGGCTTTGGGCAGGGCTGTTGGCGGAGGAGACTATTCGTACCAGCCAATTAAGGAACCCCACCGCCACCCTGGCTTTCATCTGGAACCTCCCCCAAACCCCTCCCTTCCCTACATGAGGGAAAAAGCCCTCTGCCAGCAGGGAGGCAGGACGAGCTCCAGAGGGAGGGTAGCTGTGGCGGGGATCCCCTTCATGGGGAGAGACTTCCCACCCCATGGCCCGGCCCCCCTCCACCCCACCCTGCAAGGATGAGGTCTAGCAGAGATTCTGAGCCTCCCAGTCTGCAAAAACCCTTCCTTCCCCATTATACCCTGAACACACACACACACACACACACACACACACACACACACACACGGAGGCCCCTGCTTCCTCACACCGCTTTATTGCAGAATCTGGAAGGGGGATGAGCCAATCTCACCCCTCTGCCCATCTATGGGCAAAATGGAGCTGAAATAAAATGAGAAGACACTCGGTGGCGACCTGCTGGGCAGCACCCTGTACCCTAGGGCCCCTTATCAGTGGGCTCCTGATCTGCTGCCCCCACAGCCTCAACCGCGGGGATGGGGTGGGGCAGGTCAAGCCTGAGAACAGTCCACTTTCAAGGACTTCCCAGGCACCCATAGGAGACCTGAAACCTATAAAGAGAAGTCTAGATTTAAGGGGGCCTAAGTCCCAGAGTCCAGGTTTGGAGGGCTCGGGTCTAGAGCCCTGATTTGGGGAGAGGACTCAGTCTGGGAACCCAGACTGCAGGGGAGAGGGTGAATTCTGGAGTCCAGGTGTGGGGAGGGGGCTTGACTCATGGAGGCTCTGTAAGAGCCCAGGTTTGGGGCCCTGGGTCAGGGAGTACCAGTTTGGGGATGCTGGAGTGGGGAGACAATCCTGGAGCCCAGAAGGAGACCCATTTTTTTTGGCGGGGGGAGCTGAGTCCCAGAGGTGGTTTAGAAAAGGAGCCACAGTCCTGGGCCCGTGGTATGGGAAAGCCTGGGTCCAGGAGCCCTGGCTTAGGGCCCTGCCTGGCTACAGCCCTGGCAGAGCACTTGGTCTCCATCCGGTACGAAGCCCTGGCCCACCAGGGAGGTAGAGCAGCGGGCGCAGGAGAAGCAGTTGTGGTGCCAGTGTCGGTCTTCAAAGGACACATACTTGCCTCCACCGAGTCCTGGAGGGAGGCTGGAAGTTAGCTATGCAGATGTGGGGATGGTCCGGCCCTCAACCTCACCCAATACCACATCCCACTCCCTTGCCTGCACCCTACCCACTCCGTTCTTTGACCCTTGTCCCACCTACGATGGGGCGCTTGCAGCTGCTGCACTTAGGTGCAAAGAGTTCTCCAAAACAGGCCACACAGTAGGGATCTTCATCCCGGGAGGTGAACTGCTGCCCTGCCAGGGGCGTCTGGCATCCGGTACAGACCAGACATTCTCGATGCCACGGCTGATCACGGTATGTCACTCCACCCTGTGTCAGCGTCTGTGGGGGCAGCATCCATTAGTAGGTATGAGTGGGGATTCCCACCCCACAACAGGCCTCACTCACCCCCACCTGGCTGGCCCAGCCCCCACCTTGCTGCAGCGGGCGCAGCGAGGAGCAAACTTGTTCTCATAGCAGGGCACGCAGTAGTGAGCACCCTTGTCGGGCACAAAAGAACGGGAGCCCAGTGGCTGTTCACAGCCACTGCACAGGAAGCAGTGCTCATGCCATGTCTGGCCTCCATATTCCAGCTTCCGGGACCCTGTGGGGAACAGGGGTCCCATTTAGAGGTTGTGTCCCATGCTCCTGAGGGCCACCCTCTGTAACTTCCCCAGGAGTCTCCACTCCTCTCTCAGCGTGAGCAGGGTGGTGTCCGTGCACATGCAGCAAGAACCCCCCCGCCCTATGTATATTACACATGCTAACCTCTCCCCAGACACCGGACATGATGACCCAGCTAGACACGAGGGTTTTGGCCTATGTTAAGCCCCCATATGTCCCAGAGATGACAATTTCAGCACACATCAAGCCTCCATGTAACAGTCATGAAGTCTCACTAAGAGCTAAGCCCTCATATAACAGATGTGATGATTTTAGCACTCACATGGGACCCCACATGTACCAGGCAAGTAAGTATCTGCCCACACAAAGTTCTAATGCCCTGGGCATGACAGGTTCGGTACATGCTAAGCCCTCGCATCTCCTCGGCACACCATTCTCCATAGGTGCTGAGTCCCAGCATTTCTATTAGGCATGCAGGTCCCCACACATGTTAAGCCCTCTGTTTATCTGCTTCTGCATACATTAAGACCCAATGCAACAAGCATGACAGTCTCAGCACACCTCTAGTTCCTACCTGTACTAAACATGCAGATATTCACACATGCTAAGCCCCCAAGTATGTATCACATGTGTCAATCTGCCTGTACATAGTAGCCCCCAGGAGTATACCAGGCAAACAGATCCCGTATATACTAAATTTCCAGAAACATGCTGTGTATGCAGGTCTTTACACAGACCAAGTCTCCATGTATCAGACAGACACATGCAAAGACCCTACGCAGATGCCAGTTCTCACACAAGATGAGCCCCTGAACACATACCAGGCATGACAGTCTCCCCACAAGCGGAGCACTGCGAGGAAAACGCACTGCAGTAGCAGTCATTGCAGAGCAGCTCACTGTCCTGGCAGGTGAAGGGTTCATCGGCTAGTGAGCGCTGGCAGCGGCAGCAGCGGAAGCAGCCCTCGTGGAAATGGCGGTCTTCATAGAACAGCTCCTGTGGGGAACACAGCAGGGGCACTGGCACCCAGGCCTCATGGACCCATCCTTTGCCCCCTTCCACTGGTCACCACCCACCTCCTGCCTGGCCTGGCCCTCTCCTTACCCTCGAGTCATGCCCGATAAGCTGCTGGCACTCAGCACAGGTGTTGGCAAAGGTATTGTCATAGCAGGGCACACAGTAGGGGCCGCTGTCTGTCTGGATGTACTTGCGTCCATACAGGGACTCGTTGCATTTTGCACAGTCAAATGACTCGCTCATGGTGGCAAGGGGAGAGAACCCTGTTAGGAGCACAAGGTGGAACTGGGGTCACACAGAGAGGCTGTGGCTTGGCTCCTGGCAAAGAGGCCTCTGCATTCAAAACACAGCCAAGAGACCCGGCATAGGAAATGCCAGTTCAGAGTAGGTGGGGATGGGGAAGGGGTGCTTCTGGGAAACCAGGAATCCCACATGTTTCTTTCTGTATTTAACTCGGGGTAGGAAGAGGTCAGGAAAAAAACCAGGAAGCAGAAGTTGTTTTCTTATCTAGGCCCTAGCAGATCTAGGGGGAGGGGGCTTTTCCTGGGTCAGTGACTCATTTCCTGTCCCAGCCAGCGTCTAGCCTCCACTGTCCCGACTGTCCCCAGCGTGGGAGAAGCAGGGGCAGGGAGCCACCCCACTCTACTCCTTATGAGCAGTACTCCCACCCTCTCCTGACTCCCAGGAAGGGACTTTAGGAATATGGATAAAGGAACCCTTAACCAGAGCTCTGGAGTACAGAACTTAGAGACGGGAATGGGCTGTGCCTGCCCCTCCTGATCCAGAAAACAGTGGAATGCTAGAGAGGTGCTGGACTAATGAATGGTAGAAGAGGCCAGTGTGAGAGGTTGGGCCTTCCCTCCCGGGGAATCAGCCAAGCAATGGGAACTTCAGAGGCTCAGCTTAGGTTCAAGCAGGAAGGAAATCCTGCAAGCTGGACACAGCCAGTCTTCCCTAGCTAGACCCTCTGCCCTCATCCCCCCACCCCCGCTGTGTCACACCAGCTTGGACAGCCTTGGCCTGTAACATCTGCAGCAGCTGTGGCGGCACAGATGGCCAGATGTCAGGTTTTGCCAGCAATGGGGAGAAAAAAGGAAAATGAAGTGTCGGGGGAGGCAGAGGGGAACTGGAGACAGACTGGGAGTGCAGTGTACCCCCTGCCACCTCCTGCTAACATCTGGCAAAACCCCAGGATCTTTCCATCCCCTGGGGTCATGATTTCCCTCCTACTGCCTCTGGGAGAGAAGGTCTCTCCCACCTTTTCCGATTTCTCAGGGTTTGGGACTAGGGAGCTGAAAGGAGAGAGAGCAAGAGCCACTGAAGACATTTTCTCCCCAATCAGGCCCCATCTTGGGTGGGGAGTAGGACAAGGGGGAGCCCTGAGAGCTGCTGCTGGAGACACCCAGCCCCCGACCAAACCTCAGACACTTTCCATTTTCTCAGGAACAAAGCATGTTTGTGGGATGAGGTCATCCACACAGCTGCCTCTGGAACAGGAGCCTAGGGAGTGGAGCGGTAGGGAAGTGGGGTTCCCAGACCTTTCTGCTGCCCCGGATTCCAGTCTCTAGCCCCAAAGTCAGAGCTCCCACCCCTGCTCTCCTCCATCATGAAGGCTGCTCTCTAAGGGCTGGGATCCTGGGGTAGTGGAGAGGAACCACCAGGACCCATAGGAAGGAGATGTTCTCACAGCTGTGGATGAGCCCGGGGAAGTTACAGGGACACACAAAGGAATCCACCAACCCACTCTCCCACAAGGCTCCAGTGCTGGCAGTCGCCAGGGCCTGCCCTGGCTCAAGCTGAAGGAGAAGTCCTCCTTTTCTCATCCACCCCCAGTGCGAAATTCTTGACAACAAGCGCTGCTCTGGCTTGAAGTTCAGACTCCAGGCACCAGCAGATGCCCCCAGCTTGGAGGCCTGACTCTCCATACATCAAGCCTCTGCGCAATGGGAGAACAGCCAGCTTGCGCTCCAGGCCAGGGCATGAGGCCACCAGGGGCCAGGGTCTTTAGAGCTGGAACTCCTGGGCTGGGGGCTATGGTGTAGAGAAGATACTCCTCTTTCTCAGCCCCCTTCCTGCCACTCAGGCCCAGGTTTCCTCTGGCCCAACATCTGAGGATTGCCTGGGCTGTCAGCCACGGGGCAGCAGGGGGCCACACAGGTGGAATGCGTCCACAGGGGGTGCCTGGGCCTCTTCCTTCCTTCTTGGCTTGGCCCACTGCGGCTGCCACCTTCTCAGGCCCAGGCTAGACTTGGGTCCACCCCCTGAGAGACAGTCAGCACTCCGAAACCAGGGCAACCCAAATAGGGTATGGGCATGGCTTCTATTTCCTTCCCAGAATCCCCCAATGCCCTAGTCTATCCAGCTGGGCTCTGGTGAGGACAGAGTAAAGGGCACCAACAAGGCCCACCTGTCTCTGCCCATACCCCTCTCCCTGCCCTTTTCCCTGGCAAGGCTGGGGACTGCGGGGACTGAAGGGAGCCAGCCTTGTATTCCTTCCTGACCGGCAGTGGGGCGGGGTTTGGGGGAGACTGCTCCTCTACAGATGGCTCACAACCCTGCACCTCCAACAATCTCCCCTCACAAGGCACCTCCCAGTGAACCTCCTGGAGCTCAGAATGACTGCGTAACTGGCTATGGTGTATGGAGCAGCTCAAGCTGTAAGGTTTGAATCCTGGCTCCTGCACTTACTGGCTGAGTGATCTTGGGCAAATCCCTAAGCCTGTTTTCCCATCTAATTAAATGAGATACTACCACTTCCTACCTCCTAAGTTTGTTGTCAGGCTTAAATGTGATGATACTTGTAAAGCACCTGGCAGATAATAAATACTCAGAAAATGGTAGCTATTAGTATTTTACTATTAGCGCCCTCACTCATACTGGGGCCAGATAGCAGTTTCACAGGCAGGTCTGGGTCAAGCAGCTGGACTGGAATTTTTTTTTTTTTTTTGAGACAGAGTCTCGCTCTGTCGCCCAGGCTGGGGTACAGTGGCGCAATCTCGGCTCACTGCAACCTCCACCTCCCGGGTTCAAGTGATTCTCCTCCCTCAGCCTCCCGAGTAGCTGGGACTACAGGCACCTGCTACCACGCCCGGCTAATTTTTTGTATTTTTAGTAGAGACGGGGTTTCACTGTGTTAGTCAGGATGGTCTCGAACTCCTGACCTCATGATCTCCCTGCCTCAGCCTCCCAAAGTGCTGGGATTACAGGCATGAACCACCACACCCTGCCTGGACTAGAATTTTTAAATAGAGATGGGGTCTCAATATGCTGCGCAGGCTGGTCTCAAACTCCTGGGCTCAAGCTATCCTCTTGCCTTGGGTTCCCAAAGTGCTGGGATTACAGGCATGAGCCACAGTGCCAGCCCAATTTTTTTTTTTTTTTTTTTTTTGAGACAGGGTCTCACTCTGTCACCCAGACTGGAGCGCAGTTAACTCCATCTCGGCTCACTGCAATCTCCACCTCCCAGGTTCAAGCGATTCTTCTGCCTCAGCCTCCCAAGTAGCTGGGATTACAGGAGGGCACCACCATGCCCAGCTAATTTTTGTATTTTTAGTAGAGATGGAGAGTTTCGCCATGTTGGCCAAGCTGGTGTCCGCTCAGCCTTTTTGTTTTTTTTTTTTGTTTTGAGTTGGGGTCTCACTCTGTTGCCAGGGCTGGAGTGCAGTGGCACGATCATGGCTCACGGCAGCCTCGAACTTCTGTGCTCAGCCAGGTGAGGTGGCTCACACCTGTAATCCCAGCACTTTGGGAGGTTAAGGCCGGTGGATCACCTGAGGTCAGGAGTTCAAGACCAGCCTGGCCAACATGGTGAAAACCCATCTCCACTAAAAATACAAAAATTAACTAGGCATGGTGGCGGGCGCCTGTAAGCCCAGCTACTCAGGAGGCTGAGGCAGGAGAATTGCTTGAACCGAGGAGGTGAAGGTTGCAGTGAGCCAAGATCATGTCATTACACTCCAGCCTGGGCTACAACAGCAAAACTCTGTCTCAAAACAAAACAAAACAACAACAAAAAAAACAACTCTGGGCTCAAGCAAACCACCTGCCTCAGCCTCCTGAGTAGATGGGACTACAGCCATGTGCCACCATGCCCAGCTAGGTTTTTCTATTTTTTGTAGAGATGGGGTTCTCACTATGTTGCCCAGGGTGGTCTTGAACTCCTGGCTTCAAGTGATCCTCTGGCCTCAGCCTTCCAAAGTGCTGGGGTTACAGGCGTGAGCCACTGTGCCCAGCCTGGTCTGAAATTTGACCTGGACATTCTCAGCATAGGCCCAGGGAGAGAATAGGGGGCCCCAGGCCCATGGGGCTTGCTGAGGACACCAGTGGGGAAAGTGGTCGCTTCAGTCCGGTCAGCCTGACTCTAGTAAGCTTAACTCTTGAGATCTCTCATGCAGGTCCACGGATGTAGACACCTGCATGCTGCTTTGCCACTCACAAAGTCCATGCCCACCACAATCTCATCAGATCTCACAAAAGGCAGGCAGGACAGAGTATCATCCCCATTTTACAGCTGAGCACAAGGAGGCCAGGAATAGAGCAGGTTCATGCCCAAGGTCCCGATCAGGACCCAGGTCCCCTGCCTCCCAGCCCAGAGCTCTTCCCTCTCCCTAAAAATGCTGCCCTGGTGATGAAGCGGATGGTGACATGGGGGTGGTCAGTTTTTAAGGGCAGGGGAACAGGAGATGCACCAGAGCCTGGCTCTTCTCCTCAGCTGCTAGCCCTGTGATTGGAAGACACCCAGAAGCCTTTCCAATGCCCCATGCCAACCATTCAATCCTTCTGCCCCCACCCCCAACATGCCCACTGTCCAGGAGGACCCTGGCCAGGTCCCACAGCTGTGAGTCAGGATCAGAACAGACCCCTCCCCCACCTTCTAGAAGCTGACAGGAGACTTAAGGGGAGAAATCCAACTCCCTCAACCCTCACCCTCTGCTACCGGGCACCAACCCCAAGCTCTGCTCTCCCCCATGTGGCCTGGAAGTCAGAGAAGTTTAGGGAAGGGGGTTGGGGAGCAAGATCCCGCAGCTGCTCTGGGGACATGAGAGGAACAGTTCATTCACCCTGGGTCCCCCAGGGCTGAGGCAGCCCATCCAAGATTTGAGTTCAAAAATAAGTTGGGGCTGTCTTGGTGGCTGTGTGTGTGCGTGGGGCTCTTCTTGATCTCGAACTTACTGTCTCAGGGCCTCTGCCTCATGGGGGATCGGTAGGCTCAGAGTTTCTGTTTCCCCACAGCCTCACCTCCCAATGGTTCAGGCCCGGGTAAGTCAGGGGCTGTCCTGGAAGCTGTCAGACCACCTAGGTCTCTCTGCCCCCACTTAGTCTCAGTTTCTGGTGTCTGTCTCTGCTTCACTCAGCATCTCTGTGTCTGGGCACACTTCAGTCTCTGTCTTTAGGTTTTGGACGGCTCTGTATCTTGACTGGCTGTCCCCCAGGGGGCCCATGCCTCTGTGGATCTCAAGTCTTGGTCTCTTCTTGTCTACATGGCTGAATGTCTCAATCCCCACCACCTCCCTTTCTCTGTCTCTGCATCCAAGTCTCTTTCGCCACCTCTGCACGCCTGAATGTCTCTGTCTCTAGTCTCTGAGCGTCTCTGCAGGCCTCAGAGAGCAGATTCAGCATGAGGCCAATGACGCCCAAGCCTCAGGGCACCTCCAAGGCCCGGGGAAGGGCCCTAGGGAATGTGTTCGCTGGGGTCCCACGTATGCTTTTTCTGAAAATGCTCCACAAAGCCTAGGACGGCCCCCATGCCTCGGGTCTGTCCACCAGTAACTCTGTACGCCCGGTGTGTCCTTGTTTCAGTGGTCTCGGTAGCCTCCTGTGCCTCGAGTCCCTGCCTGTCTCGGTCTCTCGCTCCACCGGGCTTTCCGAGAACCTCAGTTTCTCCAGCGCTTCTGGTCGGTCGGTCTGTCTGTCTCTCTCCGGCTTTTCTATTTCAAACTTAGCCCCCTCCCCCGCCCAACTCTCGCTGCCGCCCCCGCCCCCGCCCCGCCCGATAGCCCGGAGGGGTCCAGTCCCGGCGGGCGCTGTCCCGGGCTCGGCGTGCCCCGGGCACCCGTGGCCAGAGCCCGGCGGGTACAGGGGACCGGGGCCGCGGCTGGCCTCAGCCCTCCGCGGGTCCCTTCGCTCCCCGGCCTGGGCGCGGGGGCGGACCGCCAGGGCTGGGAGCCGGGGTCGGCGGGGCGCTCACCTCGAAGCGGGCGGCGGGAGCGGGGAGCGCGCGGCGCAGGCGGGGCCGGGAACCGGGCGCCGCGTCCCTCGGCGGCTCCTACCTGCGGGCCGGGCCAAGCGGGGGCCGAGCGAGCTGCCGGCGAGGCTGCCGACTGCAGACGGACCGTGTGGGCGAGTGGGAGCGCGGCCCCAACCCCTCCCCGAGGAAGTGAGCGCGGGCCCGCCCCGCCCGGACCCCGCCCCCGGCCCCCCAGCCCGCCGCGGGGGCCAGACCCCGCCCCCACCTCCCTTTCGGCCGCCAGTCGGCCCGGCCCCCTCCTCCCGCCCGGCCTAACCTGGCTCTCCCAACCTTCAAGCGGCCGGGACCCCGCCCCTGTCCCCTCCCCGCAGCCTCTGTTCTCCTCCCCTCCCACCCCCCATCCCCAGCTGCCAGAGGGAGACTGCTGTATTCCATCTCAGGCCGGCGACACGAGACCCCGCAGACCATGGTCCACTGGGGGAGTCCTCTGGCCTCCTCGGATCCCCCCACCCCTTCACCTTACCCCAGGGGTGACACTCAGCCCGGCCTTAATCCAGCCTGGAGGAGGACGTTTTGACTCTGCTGTCATGAGCCTGTCAGCGGGCACCAAGGTGTTCTCTGAAAACATGGGACGAAGAGAGGACCCCTCCCCACCATAGGGCCTTGACCTCCAAAGGGTTTTATTCCACAACTTTGAGTAGCAAAAACAGGGGTAACCACCTCCCCACTTCCAGCAGCCTCCTGACACTGAGAAGTCCTGCCTTGCCTGGGTTTCCGCAGTGCCCAGGAATAGTTTTGACCTTTGAGGCCCGGGGGAGACCCTAATCCTCGGCCCCATGATCTTTGGGCTTCTAGGGTGGGGTGTGAGGAGTGTGAGAGGATGGGGCACCTCAGGGGTGGTGGAGGAGAGGGGAGGGGACCTCTGCGGTGTCTGAGCCTCTGGCTTCCTCCCTGTGTCCGTGAGGGAGGACTGGCGCCTGCTAGGGACACGAGGCCCCTCCAGGTCCTTAAGGCCACCCCCCCTGGGATCCTCAGGCTTGTCACTAGGAATAAATAGCCTCAGTCTGGAAGAGGTGGGGGAGGGAGGGAGGCAGGAGGCTCTACTGTGCTGTTTGTGGAAACAAGAGACAACAAATCAACCCCGGAATAACCTTAGCATCTAGAGTGAAGATTCAGGTGCCCACAGAGGCCTCCCCACACCCCAGGCTGGGTGTAGCAGAGCTCTCACGGAGGAACTAACACCCTCCCAGGCTGGGGCTCCTGAGAACCTTTCCGTCCCATCTCTGCATCATGCCTGGGTTCCTGGGTCCCAAGTCACCCACCAGGTCTGGTTTCCTTTCAAAATTAAATCATTGCTTGCTTATTATTGCTGTTGTTGCCTAAATGGTAAGAGCCATGAAGGCAGGGCTCCGTTTTGTTCCCCACTGCCTTCTCAGTACTTACTCCAATATCCGGCACATAATAAACATCTGATGAATGAATGGATACCAGACACTGCTTCAGTATGTATGCCCCTCTAACATCCTCGGTTTGGATCACAGGCACCTGCTATCTGGAGTCCAGGCAGTGAGCATCCAGCCCATGGATGGGGCCTTTTTCTGGGATTTTTTTTTTTTTTTTTTTTTTTTTTTTTTTTGAGATGGAGGCTTGCTCTGTTGCCCAGGCCGGAGTGCAGTGGCGCACTCTCCGCTCACTACAACCTCCACCTCCCAGGTTCAAGCGATTCTTCTGCCTCAGCCTCCCAAGTAGCTGGGACTGCAGGTGTGCACCACCACGCCCGGCTAAATTTTTTTTTTGTATTTTTAGTAGAGACGGGGTTTCACCATCTTGGCCAGGCTGGTCTCAAACTCCTGACCTCAAGATCTGATCTGCCTGCCCCAGCCTCCCAAAGTGCTGGGACCACAGGCATGAGTGACCATGCCCAGCCTCTCTGGGATGTATCTTGCAGGTGTAAGAGACTCCCAGCCCAGGGGAGTGCAGTGAAGACTACTCAGCCTTGGTGGAGTGGGTACCAAGAGGAGGTCAGCTCTGGGGGACGGGAGGGCAAAGGTGGGGAGCCTTCAGAAAGCAAGGGGTTATGAGTGAGTACAGAAGGGGCCTGATAAAAGGCAGAGTATTGGAATCTCTGTTCTTGATGCATGGCTCTAATCTCTCCTAAATAGCCTTAATGAGAGCCAGTACTTCCTGAGTTCTTTCTTTGCACCAGTCCTGAACACTTTACATATATTGACATACCTGATTATTCAATAACTTTATTAAATATATGTGCATCTATATTTGTTTGTTTTTGAGACAGTGTGTTGCTCTGTCACCCAGGCTGGAGTGCAGTGGTGTAATCACGGCTCACTGTAACCTTAACCTCCTGGGCTCAAGCGATCCTCTTACCTCAGTCTCCCAAGTAACTGGGACTACAGGTGTGGGCCACCACACTGAGCTAATTTATTTTAATTTTAATTTTTTGTAAAGGCAGGGGTCTTATTAAGTTGCCCAGGCTGGTCTTGAACTTCTGGGCTCAAGCAATCCTCTTGCCTCAGCCCCACAAAGTGCTGGGATTACAGGCATGAGCCACTATTCCTGGCCTAAATATATATTTTCATCCTCATTTTAAAGATGAGAAAATGGAGGCACAGAGAGATTAAGTAACCTGGCAAGGGCGACACAGGTAATAATGGCAAAGCTAGGATACAAATCCCAATGGTTGGCCGGGCTTGGTGGCTCTTGCCTGTAATCCCAGCACTTTGGGAGGCTGAGGCAGGAGGATTGCTTGAGCCCAACAGTTTAAGACCAGATCTGGGCCAGGCGCGATGGCTCACGCCTATAATCCCAGGACTTTGGGAGGCCAAGGCGGGCGGATCACGAGGTCAGGAGATCAAGACCATCCTGGCTAACGCAGTGAAACCCCGTCTCTACTAAAAATACAAAAAAATTAGCCAGGCGTGGTAGCAGGTGCCTGTAGTCCCAGCTACTCTGGAGGCTGAGGCAGGAGAATGGCGTGAACCCGGAAGGTGGAGTTTGCAGTGAGCCGAGATTGTACCACTGCACTCCAGCCTAGGTGACAGAGCGAGACTCCGTCTCAAAAAAAAAAGACCAGATCTGGCAACATAATGAGACCCCGATCTCTATTAAAAAAAAAAATCAAACCGACTGGGGGCGGTGGCTCACGCCTGTAATCTCAGCACTTTGGGAGGCTGAGGCAGGCGGATCACGAAGTCAAGAGTTTGAGACCAGCCTGGCCAACATGGTGAAACTCTGCCTCTACTAAGAATACAAAAATTAGCTGGTTGTAGTGGTGCATGCCTGTAATCCCAGCTACTTGGGAGGCTGAGGCAGGAGAATCGCTTGAACCCAGGAGGAGGAGGTTACAGTGAGCCAAGATTGCACCACTGCACTCCAGCCTGGGCGACACAGCAAGATTCTGTCTTGGGGAAAAAAATAAAAATAAAAAATCAAATCTGGACAGTCAGAAGTCATAGCACCCTATGCCAAAAATGAGCTTCACCATTAGGCTCTAGTATCTGTAGTCATTTAATCTCTGTGAACCTCAGTCTTCTCACTGTGAAAAGTGAATGAGTCTGCCTCACAGCATTGTTGTAAGGATTGGATGAGAGCACACAATAGATTGTCAATATGTGGGGACAGTCCCCACTTTCATGATCAAATGTTAAGGTTCAGCTACTTGGACTTGGAGTCTGGGGGCCAGAGAAAGTTAGCTCTCTGGCTTGGGCCACCTGGGCTAGGGAGAGCGGCCTAGGGGCAAGCCGCCCACAGTGAAGCTGTGTCTCCCTGTCTCAATTTCCATTCCCCAGGAGGCTCACATTTCTCTGCTCACTCTATTTTCGTTGGCCCAGGAGGACGTGCCCCAGGGAAGTCCAGGGATCAGCCACAAGGACTCCCTGTTCCTGTTCCCTATCTGTCCTCCTCCCTCCCTGGGAAACAGGTGTGTCTGAACTGGGGCTGGAAGCAGAGCCTGAGAGCTGGATGACTGGCCTTGGGTGAGTAGGATCCTGTTGTCCCTCACTCACCCTAGAGGTCCCCACACACTCTTCTTTATCTCATGCTTAGGGCACCCCTGCTGTTTTTTCACTCTGCAAGGGTTTTCAAAAGGAGGCCCTGGGTGGCTACTGACAGGCCTCTCATGGTTTCCTGTGAGTGCTGAATCACTCTCTGATGCCTGTAACCATAGGCCCTCCTTCCCCCTAGTGAGAACACAGCCTTTTTCCTCTGGGTATATTGCTCACTCTTACCTACTGGCTGCCTAGAGCTCTTGCAGGCCTCAAGGCTTGGTAGATAACCTCTTCCAAATTGCCCAGATGCTTTCTTCTATTTTTTTCTTTTTCTTTTTTTTAAGATGGAGCCTCGCTTTGTCACCCAGGCTGGAGTGCAGTGGAGCAATCTCGGCTCACTGCAACCTCCGCCTCCCAGGTTCAAGCTATTCTCCTGCCTCAGCCTCCTGAGTAGTTGGGACTACAGGCACACGCCACTATACCCGATTAATTTTTGTATTTTTAGTGGCGATGGGGTTTCATCATGTTGGCCAGGCTGGTCTTGAACTCCTGACCTCAAGTGATCTGCCCGCCTTGGCCTCCCAATATGCTATGATTACAACCATGAGCCACTGCGCCTGGCCGTCCAGAAACTTTCCTTGTGACCCCAAGCTGGACACTGAATTTGTGGGTGGAGAGGGTGAAATAAGTAAGTGACTTTCACAGAGCATGGGAGGTGGGGAGGGCAGAGCAAGAACTAATGTAGTTAAATGTTGACTGTGTGAAGGGCACCATGCCACGTGGTAGTCATTACCTCTTTCTGTCCTCACAAAAACCAGAAGAGGCAGTTATTATTATCATCATCACCATTTGACAGAGTAAGACAAGCTCAGAGAGTTTGACATCATAGCCTCAAATCACAAGCCAATAGGTGATAGATATAAAGCCAGGGCTGACACCAGGGTCCCCCTGTCTAATGTACAGAGCTAGCTTCTCTTGGGTATGCTGGTCACCCAGTGCCTTCTTCAGGGGGAAGAGGCAGGAGTGGCTGGGGCTGCTACCTAGTCACCCTGCCTGACAGCTGGTCTTCTTAATGGAAATGAGGCTGGAAAGGTGGGCATGAGGCAGGTTATAAAGGGCCTTGTCTTCCAATGGTAAGTGATAAATGAGATGGAATTTTGTTAATGCAGGAGGCCCTAAATGGGCAAGGCTCAAACTCATACTTTCAGCTCTTTCAGGCCCACTGGTCGACTGGACTGGCATTTCTGGGGACTAAGGGGACGATTTCCCTGGAGCTCCTGAGCTGGAGGAGTGACCCCTGTCATGAGAAATGCGTGCAATTATACATCCTGTTTCATGTGGTGGAAAAGAAACCAAATACCTCTGGAATGCTCTACTGTGCCCAATCCTCTCTCTAAACTTAGAAGCAGGTTTAGTAATAATAAAAATAACAATAGTAACTCCATTTTATTGTGAACTTGCTAAGGAATAAAAACAGCATTAAGCACTTTAAACATAGTTCGTTTTGGCCGGGTGCGGTGGCTTACGCCTGTAATCCCAGCACTTTGGGAGGCTGAGGCAGGCGGATCACGAGGTCAGGAGATTGAGACCATCCTGGCTAACACGGTGAAACCCCATCTCTACTAAAAATACAAAAAATTAGCCTGGCGTGGTGGTGGGCACCTGTACTCCCAGCTAGTCAGCAGGCTGAGGCAGGAGAATGGTGTGAATCCGGGAGGCGGAGCTTGCAGTGAGCCGAGATGATGCCACTACACTCCAGCCTGGGCAACAGAGCGAGACTCTGTCTCAAAAAAAAAAACAAAAAACAAAAAACCAACATATTTCGTTTAATCATCAAAACAGTCCTGTGGGTATAGTATTATTATTACCTCAGTTTTACAGATGGGGAGATGGAGGCTCAGTGAATCTAACTTTACCTTGACTGGGGTGGCATCAGAACACACCTCATGGGTCATTACCTTGTACTGCCTCTGATTCGCATATCGTCAACCAGCCATTCCCTTAGGGATGTGAGGGACTCAGAACTTTATAGCTATTGTCATTGGGTGATTTCCTTCTATGCTCTTTACAGATATGACTCCTCAGTTCAACTGTGAGCTCTTGACAGCAATATGAGGCAAGAAGTGTATGTTATTATTATCCTCATTTTATGCTTGAGAAAAATGATGCTCATTAAAGTCAAGAAACCTGCCAAAAGTCACACAGCCTGTAAGTGAATGGCAGAGCCAGTTATGGTTTTAAGGTCTCTTGTCTCTCTATAGAATATTTTTTCCTGTACACTGTTGTAGAGGAGCAAAAAATGGACAGGTCAGATGAATGAAGTTTATATAGTGTCCCAAGTTACAGAAAAGAATAGTGGCATGGGGCCTCTGGGGGCTGGTGGCAACACATATTATGGGAAGGTGAGAGGAGGAAATGTCCTGTTATGGAGATAAAATCTCTCAGGAAGTAATAGTTGTCAGCCCTCTTCTTGACACAGATACCTCACTAAAAATGTAGATTTCCTTTGTAGGTGATAAATTTATTTCTACAAAAGGAAGGACAGCTTTTCAGAGCAACTCCTGTATCTGCAGTTTCTCAGCATAACCAGCTTTAAGAAACAAGCCAGAGAAATATATATTTTGGGGTGGCATATTCTGGCCTCCCACAGTCATATTTTGGAGTGGTGAGTCCTGAGCCCCAACAGTGTTTTTTTTTTTTTTTTTTTTTTTTTTGAGACGGAGTCTCACTCTATTGCCCAGGCTGGAGTGCAATGGCGCCATCTCGACTCACTGCAACCTCTGCCTCCCAGGTTCAAGTGATTCTCCTGCCTCAGCCTCCCGAGTAGCTGGGATTACAGGCGCGCACCACCAAGCACAGCTAATTTTTGTATTTTTTTTAAGTAGAGACGGGGTTTCACCATGTTGGGCAGGCTCCTGACCTCGTGATCCGCCTGCCTTGGCCTCCCAAAGTGCTGGGATTACAGGCGTGAGCCACCGCGCCCAGCCAGCCCCAAAACTGTTAAATCCGTACTGCTCTAGCTTTAAACATACCTTCTAGATACAGCAACCCGTGCCGAGCTGTAAGTGACTGCACATGCGCACACGCTAAGCCCAGCTCAGACGGAGGCCAGTGCCAGCCACGTGTTCCCAGGTGCCCACGCGGGCCAAGCGCGAAGGCGAGATCTGGGTAGCGTGGACAGGCGCTAGCGAATAAGAACTGGCTCTTATAGAGTCACGAGACTATATCTGGGAAACTACACTTCCCAGAAGCAGCCTGCGGTGACTGCCTCTGTTAAATGACGTACTTCCTGAAAGCCGGCTCCGGATAGGTTGCTTAGAGGAAGTAGGCGGTTCTAAACCGCCGGCGGCTAGGCCTATTTCCGGTAGGAATCAGTGGACTTGGCGGCAGAGGCAGTGCGGATCCGGCGTTCTCCACTGATCTTTTCCAAGGCTGTACAGACATGGCGGCGGCTTTTCGGAAGGCGGCTAAGTCCCGGCAGCGGGAACACAGAGAGCGAAGCCAGGTAGGACCATACAGGCCCCACAAGTGCTGGCCTTTGTCGCCATGTGTTACCCTTGCCCCAACCCTGTCGCCACCGTGGGATCCGGGTCCAAACTGTATAGTATATAAATGCACGTAAATGTATGTTAATGACGCTGGCGTGGCTGGGGCGGAGCTTCGTGGGAACGAGTGGAGGGGATTTGTCGTTTCCGTTCTAGGAAAAGCAGGGGTGCCCCCCTTTCCTTGGGGATATAAAACCTGCTCTGGAAGATTTCAGTGTGGTGATTGAGTAAGATGTCTGTCAAGTGCCTGGTCTCTTCTGAGGAGTTGAGGTCAGAGCTCATGTAGGCAACAACTGCTGGGCTGAAATTGGATCCCACGTCTAATGGGCAGCTCCGCCTGCTGCATATGGGGGCCCTGACCGAAGAGACTGTGGTTACTAATGTGGTATCATCATCACGCTGGGCTTGTGGTTCATGAAGATCTGCCATATGTGCTTTTTGTTTAAGCCTTACCCCTTAATGTTGGCCTTTTCCATTCCCATTATACAGATGAGGAAACTGAGGTCCAGAGTGGTGACTTGTCCAGTTACAAACACCAGATTCAGGCAGAGTAAACAGTTCTAGGATTTCTATGGTGGGTGTGTCTGTGTAGGGAGGTTGAGTAGAAATAAGCTTATATGCAGAATCAGTTGATACACTGTCAGGAATCCCGTGCTTAATATCTGATTCAGAAAGGCCCTTAGACATACATATGTGCTCCAACTTAGTTTTACAGATGAGGAAGACAGGGGAAAGAGTTGTGCAGCTGACTGATGGGATAGAACTAAGGCCTCTTAACTACAGTTCAGTCTTCCTGCTTAATAGCATATATCAAACTTTTTTTTTTTGAGATGGAGTCTCACTCTGTTGCCCAGGTTGGAGTGCAGTGGCACGATCTCGCCTCACTACAACCTCCGCCTCCCAGGTTCAAGCGGTTCTCCTGCCTCAGCCTCTCGAGTAGCTGGGACTGCAGGTGCACACTACCATGCCCTGCTAATTTTTGTATTTTTAGTAGAGACGGGGTTTTGTCAGATTGGCCAGGCTGGTCTCGAACTCCTGACCTCTGGTGATCCACCCGCCTTGGCCTCCCAAAGTGCTGGGATTACAGGCGTGAGCCCCTGCACCCGGCCAAAACTATCACCTTTTGAGCACTTACTATATGCTAGGCACAGCCCTGCATGTTTTTACAATTGTCTCATGTAATCCTACAACATCCCTCTGAAGTGGATGTTACCCTCATTCCTCATTTTACAAATGAGGAATCTGGTGCTTAAAGAGATTGAATAGTATATCCAAAGTCACAGTTGTAAGTAGTGGAATTGGATTAGCAGAGAAGACAGAGGGCTTTCAGAGCTGGCTGTGGACATGGCATGGCCATGGCTGAGTAGGAACAGATGGCCTGTGTAGAAGAGGTGAGAAGAAGACCATCCTGAAAAGGTGGGTAAACCGTTGACACAAACGTTCCATATTTGGGTAGTTTGGACTTTATCCTGCAGATCCTTCAGTAGGGCAGCAGGGGAGCTACTGAAGATATTTTGTATGGAGGGTGTATGTGTTATTACGTAAACTATTTCAGATACAATACCAGGTTTCCTTTTGTAATGCGATTGTACATTCAGGTGGACATGAGAGATTTCAAGATTTCTGCCTCACCTCATGTTGTTGCTTTTTTGACCCTTTAGCTTGCTTTCTCTACTCTGTTAACCTCCCTTTGCTGTAATTAAAGTTAAAATTATTAGGGGAGGTTTGGTATTATTTTACTTATGTTTTTGAGATAGTGTCTCCCTCTGTTGCCAAGGCTGGAGTGAGTGGGGCAATCACGGCTCACTTCAGGCTCGACCCCCTCACTCAAGCCATTCTTTTGCCTCAGCTTCCTGAGTAGCTGGGACCACAGGCGTGTACTGTGACACCCAGCTAATTTTATTTTATTTTTTTAATTTGTAGAGATGAGGTCTCACTGTGTTGCCCAGGCTGGTCTCGAACTCCTGGGCTCAAGTGATCTGCCCACCTCAGCTTACCAAAGTGCTAGGATTGCAAGTGTGAGCCTGGCCTTAAATAGTTATTTATTGCATCACTTGAAGGATAAAAGATGAGAAAGATGACTGTTAAAAATCCTACCCAAATTATTATACAAGTTTTTTTTTGTTTGTTTTTTTGAGGCGGAGTCTCGCCCTGTTGCCCAGGCTGGAGTGCGATGGTGTGATCTTGGCCCACTGCAACCTCCGCCTCCCGTGTTCAAGCAATTCTCCCAGCTCAGCCTCTTGAGTAGCTGGGATTACAGGCACCTGCCATCATGCCCGGCTAATTTTTGTATTTTTGTAGAGGTGGAGTTTCACCAGGTTGGCCAGGCTTGTCTTGAACTCCTGACCTCAGATGCCCCACCCACCGTGGCCTCCCAAAGTGCTGGGATTACAGCATGAGCCACTGCACCCGGCCTATTATACAAGTTTAAACACTGGAGAAGTGTATGCATTTCCCAAAATGTTAAGATTATTCGCAACAGAAGAGGACTCAGTCTACTGTGATGGCCCTAGGGAGAATGGGTTCTAGTTTTGGCTCTGCTACTTATTAGTTCTGTGTTCTTGGGCATATCATTCTCTAAACCTCATTCCCTTTATGGAAAACTGGGGTAACAATAGTGCCTGTTTCACCTTCTTTCCAAGATTGTGGTGGGGATTAAATGAAATTGTGTAAGGAGCATAGCACATTGCAAGACCCTGACATATACTAAGTGCTCAACAAATGGTAGTATGTAGAAGGATCATACCAAGATTTAATCCTTATACCTTCCATGCTCTCCAAGTCTACGTCAGAGAAAGTACTTTCTGTCATACTTTTTTCTCATACTGAGTACCACAAGTATAATAATAATAGTAAACTCATGCTGGAAAGCTGCTATGTGTCAAGCCATGTGCAGGCATTACCATTAATAGAAGCTCCTTGAATCCTCAGTATAACCCGGAGAAGCAGGTACTATTTTCATGTTACAGTCAGGAAATAGCAGCTCAGAGAAGTTAAGTGACATGCCCAAGGTCACAGATTGTTCAGAGGTAAAGCTTGGATTTGAACCCACATCTCCAGACTCTAAATTTAGCTCCCTTACCACAGTTGCCTCCCTGTTACTATGTTTTCCCTTTGTAGTATTTTATAAACCCTTGGATTAAGTTGGTAGTAATTTTAGTACAACTGGCAACTGCTTGCTTAGTGCCGAGTCATTGTTGCCTCTCTCTGTCCTTAATAGGCCAAGAAACCTACTACAGCAGTGCTTGTGACCTGTCTGGTGCTGGCAGGGTCCCTCTCATCCTTGGGCAGAGCCCAGTTGTGGGGAGGGGAGGGAACAGGGTCATGGGTTAGCTCCAAGGACTGGATTTACTGAGCACTCCAGAGACTCCTGTGCCTGTTAGATGTCGTGTTGATTTGGATATGTGTTTGCGGAGGAAACTAAGCACTGTTGTTCTTTCTTTTGTCTTCTAGCCTGGCTTTCGAAAACATCTGGGCCTGCTGGAGAAAAAGAAAGATTACAAACTTCGTGCAGAGTGAGTTCAGTCTTTCTGGTAGAGGCGCTGCCAAGAAAGCTTACAACCTCCTTGCACTGCAGCTGAATTGCCTGAGTGTCCAACAGGGGATAATTTCCTGCCATTGATAAAATGGCCAAAGCTCTGGCAGCCTGTCAGATAATTTTTTCTGTGATCCTAAATTTCTCTCTTTGTTTAGGCAGATCATTATTTATTTAACTGTAGTTGCATTGTGAATTATTTGTATTATGTTGTTCCAGATCATTTTCTCATAGTGGCTTTGATTTGGCTCTGCCTTGGTGTTTGAGCCCAAAGTTGAATCTTTTTCTCTTTGTTTTCTTGAAGTGCAGGATATAATCTGAAATTCCATTTGTTGAGTCTCTTACATCACCATGTGTGTGATGTGGAATGAAGAGATGTGAAAGATGGATTCATGAGACCAAGCGTGGGTGATAATGAACTCTGAAAACATTTTATAAAACAATTATCCCCATTCTTGTTCTCTGTTAGCACTTTGTTTGCAAAATACTTCTTAATTATTTGTTAGCGATACATGTCAGCTGAGGTCCTTTTTATGCCCCTGGTCTAGATGGTGGTGATGGATTAAATGGGTTTCTGTAGGTCCCAGAGATTTTAAGGCTAATGATAATTAAGTATTGTTATTGGGCCAGGCAGTGTTCTAGGATATTTACCGTTTTTACACTGATTTGTCCCTCCCAACAACCTTCTGGGATGGGTTACTATTACCGTATTCATTTTACAAATGAAATTGGGATTCAGGATGGTTAAATAACTTATCCAAGGTTACTTAGCCAGAAGTTGTCAAGTCCAGATTTGAACCCATGCTGTCTGGCTCCAGAGTCCATGATTCTAGTCATTGCGCTATACTGTACTGTGTAGTTTCTGAATTACATATGGTCATTTGGTGCCCAAGCTTGCACCATATCCTAAGGAGTTTTAATTTGTACTTTGTTTGGTGTCTCCCTGTAATGATATAAATGGCACTGAAACATATATAGGCTGGGGACAGTTAATTTCAGGTTCCACTGGAATAGGAACTGTTGATTAGACTGTGGACCCTGCGAAGACATGAGCTCAGCTCAGTGACAGTGGAGTGTCCAGATCCAGTCAGTGCTTTTGGCTTTTTTGAGTTTCACTCTGTGTGACCTTTTAGATGCTTGTAAAGTTTGCTTATTGTGGGTTTTTGGTTTTTTAAAATTATCTATTTTTTTTTTTTTGCTATGAACCTCATTTAACCTGTCTTTTAGTGACTACCGTAAAAAACAAGAATACCTCAAAGCTCTTCGGAAGAAGGCTCTTGAAAAAAATCCAGATGAATTCTACTACAAAATGACTCGGGTTAAACTCCAGGTGGGTGCCCAATGGCTTGGTTGGTGTTTTGAGCTCCACACATTGGAAAATAAGGACAGGGAGGAGATGGAGAGGAAGAATCGTTGGCCTTAATTTAACCCTTCTCTGGTTACTCCAGGTGCTCTTGGTCAGTGTCCAAGGCAAACCCTCCACTTCCAGAGGAGCGTGCATTTTTACCTTTGAATCTGGGTTGTCTTATACCTGGAGCTGTTCTAGGACAGATGACTGGAGGTGCTACATTGAACGTACGCCTCAGGGGCCTGTGTCTAGGATTGCTGTTAGCATACAGCATTTGGTTGTCTTTTTGTTTTTTTTTTTGAGATGGACTCACTCTCTGTTGCCCAGGCTGGAGTGCAGTGGTGCGACCTCGGCTCCCTGCAACCTCTGCCTCCCGGGTTCAAGTGATTCTCGTGCCTCAGCCTCTCGAGTAGCTGAACTACAGGCACACACTACTGTGCCCGGCTAAGTTTTTGTATTTTTAGTAGAGACGGGGTTTCACCATGTTGGTCAGGCTGGTCTTGAACTCCTGACCTCAAGTGATCTGCCCATCTCGGTCTCCCAAAGTGCTGGGATTACAGGTGTGAGTGACCGCACTTGGCCTATGGTTGTCTTTGTTCTAGCCGTGCACTGTGCCAACAACTTATTAATGATTTTAATCTAATAGGGAATATATCTTTTAAATTTGGATTTTAGGATGGAGTACATATTATTAAGGAGACTAAGGAAGAAGTAACCCCAGAACAACTAAAGCTGATGAGAACTCAGGACGTCAAATATATAGAAATGAAGAGGGTTGCAGAAGCTAAGGTAATTCACTCTTTGTTCTGATTGGTTTTATTGGTTAAGAAGGGAAACTTAAATTCATCAATCTCAAGTTATTCATTAATTTCTTCTGGCATTTACAATCTCACTTGATTGTAATAATGATTTAGAAGTATAGTTAGCATGGTAGAGTGGAAAGAGTTCAGGTTTGGGAATGAGACAGACCTAGGGTTTGAGTTCTGGCACTGCCATAAATTACTAGCCCCATGACAATGGGCAAATTCAACTCCCTGAGGCTCTTCCCTCATTTCTGTCTCAGGCGACTGTTGCAGGGATTAAGTGCGTCTTGGGAAGTGCCTAGCCCAATACCTGATATTTGTTGGGATCCTTTCCTTTAAAAGAATAAAGCAAGTTCTTTGCTGGCTGGCAATAATGATGTGAAATGGTTTAAACTTTTGCAGTTTTTTTTTTTTTTTGGTACCCTAGAAGAATCTAATATAAAGTGAGACCATATTCTGTGTTCTAGAAAATCGAAAGACTAAAATCAGAGCTCCATCTGCTGGATTTCCAGGGGAAGCAACAGAACAAGCATGTGTTCTTTTTTGACACCAAAAAGGAAGGTATGAAATGTTTGAAGGTTTCTGGGACAGTCTACCATGCCAGTCTGTGTCATTTGGTGTTAGAAACCGACAGTGCCTTAAGGATTGTCTTGAATTTTAGTTGAACAGTTTGATGTCGCAACTCACCTGCAAACAGCCCCGGAGCTAGTCGACAGAGTCTTTAATAGGCCCAGGATAGAGACCTTGCAGAAAGAAAAAGTGAAAGGAGTTACCAATCAGACTGGACTTAAGGTAATTTTCTCTGTTGTTCTTCACATGTGAGCTTAGGGGAATCTAGGTGTTTTTTTTTTGTTTTTTTTTTTTTGCTACTGCATTTAAAATAATTTTTAAAATTTATTTTATTTTATTTTTTAGTCAGAGTCTCACTGTCTCCCAGGCTGGAGTGCAGTGGCACGATCTCGGCTCACTGCAACCTCCGCCTCCTGGGTTCAAGCAATTCTCATGCCTCAGCCTCCCCAGTAACTGGGACTATAGGGGTGCAACACCACACCCAGCTTATTTCTGTATTTTTCATAGAGATGGGGTTTCGCCATGTTGGCCAGGCTGGTCTTGAACTCCTGACCTCAGTTGATCTGCCTGCCTTGGCCTCCCAAAGTGTCGGGATTACAAGCGTGAGCCACTGTGCCTGGCCTAAAATAATTATTTATTTATGGAAAACTCATGAGTTCCCTTAGAAAAGTGGATTTGTAGGATGATTTGATGATGGGATGGAAGTGGAGAAGGGCTTCCTAATTTCTATGATCGGAGGAGGTATAGTGGTCAGAAGCTTAGGTTCTGGCCTTTAGACCTGGGTTTGAATCCCAATTCTGACCCTGCGCTTTGTGCTTTTAATACTTGTAACAGATGCCAGTGTTTTGAAAATGCAGAGAAAGGGATTGCTGAAGATTAAAGGATTTGCAATACTTTAATATTGAACCTTTAGCAGTGAATACGCACATCAAAAGGTCTTTCTGTGTTTTTATTTTTCTTGAGACAGGGTCTCACTGTCACCCAGGCTGGAGTGCAATGGTGTGATTATGGCTCACTGCAGTCTCCACCTTCTGGGCTTAAGCGATCCTCCTGCCTCAGCCTCCTGGGTAGCTGGGACCACAGGTGTGTGCCACCATGCCTAGCTAATTTTAAATTTTTTTTGTAGAAACGGGGTCTCGCTAAGTTGCCCAGGCTGGTCTTAAACTCCTGAGCTCAAGTGTTTACTCCCGCCTTGGCCTCCTGAAGTGTTGGGATTACAGGCGTGAGCCACCATGCCTGCCCAAAAGGTCTTTCATATTGTGTATTGTAACAAAAATTTTGTTTTGGCTTTTCCTTATGGTGCTTTCCGTCACTGTAACTGGGTTGTGCAGAAGACATGCTTTTCCTGAAAGCCTTCTGGAGTTGAACTCTTCTGACTGATTCATTAAAAAAAAATGCTGTCAATGTGTTTCAAGCAGACAGCTGTTCTGTTTTGATTTGAATCATTTACACTGCATCAGTTTTGCTTCCAATGTTTAATTTCACAGCAGTTTTCTCTAGCTCAGAGGCAGCTAAACTTGCTTTAGTAATATAAATACCCCTAATTAGTTTGACTATATTGGGTAATCCCATAAATCTGACAGTCTGTGCAATAAAGCGAAAACAAAAGCTGTCTGAAACCACTGCTGTGAGACTGTGCTAGAATCTGTGAATTGTTGAAGTCTAAGGCCCAGTAATATTTCCTTCTGTAGATAACACTTCCAGCCAAAGAGCTTGCTCATGAGTGTTCTTGTGATAACCCTGTTGTTTGTCAATTAGGTGTACTTTTTTTTTTTTTTGAGACGGAGTCTCACTCTGTCACCCAGGCTGGAGTGCGGTGGCGTGATATCGGCTCACTGCAACCTCTGCCTCCTGGGTTCAAGCAATTCTCTTGCCTCAGCCTCCCGAGTAGCTGGGATTACAGGTGCCCGCCACCACGCCTGGCTAATTTTTTGTATATTTAGTAGAGACAGGGTTTCACCATTTTGGCTAGGCTGGTCTTGAACTCCTGACCTTGTGATCCACCCACCTCAGCCTCCCAAAGTGCAGGGATTACAGGCGTGAGCTACCGCGCCCGGCAATTAGGTGTACTTTCAATTAGCCGTGTCACTGACGCTTCTCAAGAATTGTGGTAGTCCCTAAAGAGATTAGTATTCCAAATTCCCATGTAGAATAGTTCACCAGCATAGCTTTTGAGAAGTTAGGGAGGTTTAGATTTTTGCCATTTTTGTCTAGTAATTATGTTTCTTTCTATTTTGTTTACTGCAAAATCATTTTTATTAAGAGACTGCTGGTGGGTGGATTGCAAGGATATTTTGTCTGTAACTTCGAGTGGGTAGACAACCCATGAGTGAGCTTTAGGAGGTCTGAGAAAACCCCCCTTTCTCACTGGTATTTTGTGCAGATAGGTATATGTGCTTGCACAACCTTTTACAAATGTGTATGTACATTTATCTCAAGAAACATCCCATGCTGGGCGTGGTGGCTCATGCCTGTAGTCCCAGCAATTTGGGAGGCCAAGGCAGGTGGATCACTTGAGGTCAGGAGTTCGAGACTAGCCTGGCCAATGTAGTGAAACCCTGTCTCTACTAAAAATACAAAAATTAGCCAGGCGTGGTGGCGGGCACCTGTAATCCCAGCTACTAGGGAGGCTGAGGCAGCAGAATTGCTTGAACCCAGGAGGCGGAGGTTGTAGCGAGCCGAGATAGTGCCACTGCACTCCAGCCTGGGCGACAGAGCAAGACTCCGCCTCAGAAAAAAAAAAAAAAGAAGAAAGATCCCAAAGCTTTCATCAGTTTCTCTGAGGTTGATGATTCCCCAAAATGTAAGGACCCCACTGATCTTTGAGGAGTCATTAGCAGTGAGAATTCTCAGGTGAGCTTCTGCTGAAAAAATTCTTCTGCTTTCTGAGTGGTAAGATTTTCAGGCACCAGCACACTGCCTGGGGACCCTTCTGTTGCCGACTCTTCTGTTGCTCTCCATTCACTTTGTATAGGGTTTCCAACACTGATTCATTCCTGCCATCATCTCAGGTGACTGTGGCACTCACACAAAGGTTGAAGCAGCTTAGTGTAGTAGTGGAAAGATTCCTGGGATTTGTGAGAGGGGGACGGTCCTGACTCTGCTCCAGGTGAGCTGTGTGTCCTTGGACCACTTCTTCTCTGGGCCTCATTTTTCTGCGTTTGTAAATGACGGGTTTCGATAAGATAGTCTACAGGGTTCCTTTTTTAATTTTTAATTTTTTTTTTTTGAGACAGAGTCTCATTATGTTGCCTACGTTGGTCTGGAACTCCTGGGCTCAAGTGACCCTCCCTCCTCAGCCTCCCAAAGTGCTGGGATTACTGGCGTGAGCCACTGCGTCTGGCCCAGGGTTCCTTTCAGCTCCAGAATGTGATGTTCCTAAAATGGGCAACGTTATTGTTACCACGTTATGTTGATTCTGGTGAAAGAAGGGAGTTGATGAAACTATGCAGTTGGCTTAAATGGATTAAGAAACAGTTTCTTACTCATTTTTGTCCTGTTCATTGTTCACTGAGAATGTGTGTGTTTCTTCTCCAGCGAATAGCTAAAGAAAGGCAAAAGCAGTATAACTGCCTGACACAGCGGATTGAACGAGAGAAGAAATTGTTCGTTATTGCTCAGAAAATTCAAACACGCAAAGATCTTATGGTGAGGAGAGAGAGCCTTAGGCCTCTTTTTTTTTTTTTCCCCCTTTTCTTTCTTGTAAAGGTCTTAACTCAGACTAGATTTCAGCTGTGTGTAAATCAACCCCAGTGAAAATGTCTGCTCCTCAGGGGCAGTGGTTTGAGCCAGTGTCTGTTACTCTGACAGTGTTGAAATGCGCCTTGATTAAGGAGGTAATAAGGGGGTTATTAGTCAGTGCTTTGGAACAGCAAAGGGTAGGATCGGGTAGCATATGAACTTTATAGCTTATGAGCAGCTCCCGTAACATTTAAACAGGTTAACAAAACAGTGCATGTCACTCATTGGTGTTTAAAAATAGACAACATTGTGTAGTTAAATAGCAGAGCTGAGGAATATAAGATGCCTCTTTCATATTCTTATCATTCCTCTAAATGTCAAATTCTTTAGCTTTGTAGATCATTTAGGTCAGCCTTTCTCAACTGGGGTTCCGTGAGAGAATTAAAATTATAATTTTAAATGAAACAACTACTTGAACACCTTTCTTCTCAGTTTTCCTAGGACTGTACACAGCTAGTACTTTCTAGATGCCTAGGGGAGAAGTTAATTCATTGCCTACAGTGGATGCCTTGGGCAGTAGGGCTGTGTCCGTTCTCAACTTTGAGAAGGGCTGAAGCAGGTGCTAATAGGTAGTTTATTAACCTTTCGATTTTACAAAACCATTTCCTTCTCTTTACTGATCACCTTTTTACTCTTTTGTAGGATAAAACTCAGAAAGTGAAGGTGAAGAAAGAAACGGTGAACTCCCCAGCTATTTATAAATTTCAGAGTCGTCGAAAACGTTGACGTGTTATAGATAAGCCTTGTCATTCTGTATCAAAAATCTGTTGTCGTTTTCTAGTAACTTCAAATTCCATTACTCCAAATGGCATGGTTTTCCGGTTTGTAACCATAACTAAATTGTCAGTCTGACATTTAATGTCTTTCTATGGACAACATTAAATCTCCCTCCCTTCTGTAATTGTTTTTGGATTGTGAAATTAGTCTTATTTTTATATACTTAATTTTTTTTTTCTTTGAGATAGGGTCTTTGTTGCCAGGCTGGAAGTGCAGTGTGTGATTATGGCTCACTGCAACTTTGAACTCCTGGGCTCAAGTGATCTTCCTGCATCAGCCTCTTGAGTAGCTGGGACCACAGACATGTGCCACCATGTCTGAGTAATGTTTAAATTTTCTGTAGAGACCAGGTTTTGCCATGTTGGCCAGGCTGGTTTTGAACTCGTGGCCTCAAGCGATCCTCCCACCTTGGCCTCCCAAAGGGCTGGGATTACAGGGATGAGCCACTATGCCCAGCCCATAATTTTTTTTGTTATGAAACATAGGATCTCATTACAGCAGATTTGGAAAGTAGATTAATTCATTCCTAATCCCAGTGCTTATTCAATAATAACAAATATTTATTGCATGCTTAACTGTGCTAGGAGCTAGAGCTGTGGAGGTGGACAATTACTGTGAGTAGTCTAGTTGATTTCCTCCATTTTGTAAAACGAGGCATCACTTTTTGTCCATGTTTTTGTGTTTTATAGTTACAGTAAACAATTTGATGTCCTACTTTTTTTTTTTTTTTTTTTGAGACGGAGTCTCGCTCTGTCGCCCAGGCCGGACTGCGGACTGCAGTGGCGCAATCTCGGCTCACTGCAAGCTCCGCTTCCCGGGTTCACGCCATTCTCCTGCCTCAGCCTCCCGAGTAGCTGGGACTACAGGCGCCCGCCACCGCGCCTGGCTAATTTTTTTTTGTATTTTTTTAGTAGAGACGGGGTTTCACCTTGTTAGCCAGGATGGTCTCGATCTCCTGACCTCATGATCCACCCGCCTCGGCCTCCCAAAGTGCTGGGATTACAGGCGTGAGCCACCGCGCCCGGCCGATGTCCTACTTTTTAATTAAATCATTAGCTCTTTCCCAGTTTGTTACATCACAAAAGTTTTTTACAGTAATATATGCTAGAGTAAACGTTAAAATAAATATTATTTTTAATGATTGCATAGTGTTTTATCTAGTGGATAGACTGATTTTACCCTCACTCATTCTTCTTTTATTGGCTATTCAGGTGGCTTCATAAATTATCCAAGGAGGAATTTTTTTCTCTTACTTAACAGCTGCAGATAGAAACTCTTGGAACAAGGAACCTACGGGAGCACCTCTTCCTTATTGATGAAGCTCAAATCAGTATAGGCCTGGCTGTGTCTCTGTCCTCTGCACTCCATGCCAACTCACAATTCCAAGGCTAGAATAGCTTGGTGCAGACCTTCACTCTGGGAATATGGACCCCTGGGTGTGTTGGCCAGCTTCTTTCTCTTCTCTGGTTCTCTCCTTCCTTTGTTTGCCCATATCAGGATTATAGGCCAAGGACAGTAAGGACAGGACTGAACATGCTTAGAGCAAACATGGGAGAACAGGGAGCGGGGTTCTGGGGGGCTTGCGTAGCCCTTACACCAAGGAGGGAGAACAGCCATGTGTGGATTGTAAGGCTTTAAAAGAAAATTGTTAATGCTTAATAAGTGCCCATGACTGTGAGCTTCCTGTACAAGCCTAGACTAGAAGCCTGTTTCCTCAGGGTGTACCCAGTGGAATTTAAATCAGGGGCCCTGGAAAACAGCAAGAAGGGTCAGGAAACAGAAACCAGTAGGTTTTGCCTTCAGGAAGGAAATGCTTCCCATTGTGTGTATGCACTCCCTTCTGGGGAGGTGCTGAGCTCAGTCAATGCTGAAAGTTTTAGAGACTTGAGGATCAAACCAGGGAAGGGACTCATCATAGTGATACTAGACAGGGGAGTGAGCAGACTAAGCAGCAGTCTGATCCTGGGGTCAAACAGCTGGATGCTGCTGCTCCGTCTCTTGCCCCTGCTGGGTGGGAAAGTGGGGGAGAGGATAGGGAATAGACCTAAATGCCTTCTCACGAACCACACACCCACATGAAGGTAGGCTCGCCTCATGGAATCTCATGTTCACAGATGCACAAGGCACATATAACTCAGGCCTCATAAACAGGTACAGGCATACCTACACACCGTCTGGCACAGGAGCACAAACAGTGACGTTTGAAGAGCCACACTCCCAGGCCAAATGGAGCAGGAAAGTGCATCCTTTTGGTGTACTGTGAGTTCCAGGCTGAAGGTAATCGGAGTGCTGTAAGGGGAGCTGGGTGTTCTGAATTGCTGTTACACTGAGTGCTGTCTCCAAGACTCAAGGATTTTAAGCAAAGAGATTGGCTGTCCCTGTGACTAAGCAAAGACAGGCCCCAGCCCCATGTATTCTGAGAATTGGCCAGGGCTTTGCCGCTTTGGTACTCAGTGGGACCCTAGACTCTTGGCTTGTTGGGGAGGGAAGAGTATTGTTTGCTTAGCCGCCCTTTTTGGCCTAGGGGTGATTTGGGCTGTTGGTGGCATACTGCTCTAGCTGTGCCAAGGGGGCTGTGGGCAGCCTATGGAGCTGGAGGGATTTTCTGAGTCAGGACTTGTTTGGCTCAGGTCTCTTGTACAAACCAAGTCTCCAAACAGCAGTTCTATGGTGATGTGGACCCTTCAGGTCTGTCCAACAGAGAATTCAGTAAGCCTGGCTCAGTCTTAGTCTGTTGCTGCATCCTAGGGCCCTTCCCACCAAAGCAGGAGAGTGTCAAGCCCTAGCTTTATTCTTGAATAAGTTCATCTTTTTCTTTGAGACAGAGTCTTGCTCTGTCACCCAGGCTGGAGTGCAGTGGCGCGATCTTGGTTCACAGCAACCTCCGCCTCCTGGGTTCAAGCGATTCTCTTGCCTCAGCCTCTCTAGTAGCTGGAATTACAGGCGCAGAGACGGGGTTTCGCCATGTTGGCCAGGCTGGTCTCGAACTCCTGATCTCAGGCGATCCACCTCTCCTTGGCTTCTCAAAGTGCTGGGATTACAGGCATGAGCCACTGCTCCTAGCCAATCTTTTTCTGATTTCTAACTGCTTCCTGGTGCCAGGGTGGAAAAGGGCCCAGCAGGTGGAGCTGCTGCCCCTTTGCTGGGATTCCTTCTCAGGGACTTGGTGTCCACCCACCCAGCACACTTGTCTTCTTTCAAAAGTGTCCTTGTACTTAGGAAGTACTTGCATGTGTTTGCTTATTGAATTTAATGCTAGGGGGGAGAGCTCCCATGAAGAAATGGGATTTTCTCACCCTGAGTTTGAGATGAGTGTGGCCCCAGGAGGAAGACTGGGCAGGAAGGTGCTTTTCCTTCCTGTTTCTAGTGAGGACCATGCAGGGAGGTCTCTGTCACATAGCCCCAAGTTTCCCATAGGGTGGTTCCACCCAGACCTGGGAGGGGTCTCCCTCCGTGCAGCTTTAAGCATCTGTTTGTCGCTCACTGTCCTCTCCCCCATGCTGCTGACGGTGGGGCACTGAGCAGTTAGAGCTGCACGTCCTCCAGCAGGGAAGGCAGCCAACAGATGCAGACTCGCTCTGCCTACCTGTGGAGGCCGGTGAGGCCAGGGCCTGTTGGGACTTGAAACAGTGAGGCAAGTGGGTGTGTGGTGCTGGGCTCCCCGCTCAAGTTCTCCCAGCGTGCCAGTTCCCGGAGCCTTATGTGCAGGGTGTTGGGGAAGGGCGGGCTGAATCGTGGGTGGGAGTCTTGGCTCAAAGCCCCAGGTGAGTGGAGGAATTGGGGGCGGACCTGAAGTACTGTCTTGAAGTGGACCTGGCAGGCCTCTTGGGCTTGTGCAGCTGCCTCCCCGGGTCAGAGGGTGCGCCCTCTGTACCCAACCAGGTCTCCACAGGTCTGTCTCAGCAAAAAGTGCAGGGAAGGATCAGAGAGAAGCTGTAAAACAAAGGGAGGCAGAGCTTCCCTTCCCAAGCCTACTGCTGAGAGGTTGGAGTGTAGAGGAGGCTGCCTAGTTCATGCTTCTGCCTGTTCTTTCCTCAACTGCTCTGGCCAGAGGGAAGAACGTCTCCGCTGCTTCTCAGGCTCCCTGTAAGGAATTTCCTGGCTCCCTATTCCTGGATCCATCATCATCACATTTAGGAAGTCTTGTCCAGTCTACTCCTAGGTGAAGCATACACCTAGGTCTCCTTGTTCATCTTGTCCGCTTCGCTTAATGCAAAGGGAACAAACTGCTTGGGGCTGGGGTGGTTGCACAGTCCAGCCCTGTGCTCCTGCGTGGTGGTAGGAGAGGCTCGTCCAGAACGGAGCTAAGGACCCAGCTTTTTCTAGGCAAGAGGAATATATCAAGGGAACTGCTGTGTTTAGGGGTAAGCAGAGGATGGAAAGGGCTTCCTTTCCCCTCCCTGCATCTGTCACCTGACGGCCATGCTCAGATCGGGTTAATGAAACTGTGGTGCCCCAGGCAGCTGGGCAGCACCCCCCTGCCCTGAATCAGCCTGAGTCATTTACAGCTTTCTCCCAGTTACCCCAAAGGCTTCTCTCAGAGGTGACAAATGTAGGGGGTTGGTTTCGGGTTTCATGTTTTCACATTACTGGGTGGAAAAAAGAAAAAACACCTTTCCAAACCAAAAAAACCAGCTTCTATAGCAGAAACAACTTGTCCCGAGAGCACTGAAAATTTCCCCATCCTCTCTCCTCATCTGCTCAGAGACACTGAGACCAGTGATGGAGGGGTTAAGGGGAGGGGTTGGAGTCAGGCTGAGTGGAGTGTTGGGGACAGCCCCTTTGGAGGTGGCAGCACCTGCCTTCCTGCTTATAGGCAGGGGAGGACCTTTGCAGGGCCCTGCAGCTCTGAAGCCTGTGGTCTCCAGTGCCCAGAGATGGATTGCCAGGGCATGGGACAGTGAACTCAGGGTGGCGAGGGACCAGGGAAGGAAGGGACCATCTCCCCTCCCTAGCTATTTTGATCCCAGGAGGTCTGGGACAGGTGTCCCTCCCTGGCAGAGGGTTCTTGAGGTGGAGTGGTAGGTGGAATATAGAAGGTCCATCTGGCACATGGAGCCTAGGGGGCAGCACCCCCTCCTCTTGCTGGCTGGTAGCATTGTAGACCACCCCAGCCCCCCGCCAGGGGCAGATGGTCTCCATAGCAGATGGAGACTAGGCTGGCAGTGGCAGGATGGGCTTTCTAGTCTCAGCCTGGCCACTCTGGCTAATAAGACAATCCGGGGGCAGTGACAGGGCTAACTGCTGGTGTGTGTGTGTGTGTGTGTGTGTGTGTGTATGTGTATGTGTGTGTGTATATAGGTGTGTAGGAGAGGGAGCCCTGGCCTTATTGGGCCATTCTGGGGGAGAAGTAAAGAGGAGTCCCAGACAGAGTCAGTGGATCTTTGGGGCCCCCTCAAGTTTGCTATGTAAGCGTGGCAGGCTCTCAGTGCCTGGGCTCCTGAAGCTGCCCTGGTTCTTGTGTGAAGGGGCCGGCTCCTGGGCTGGGAGCCTCTGCTGCAGCTGGAGCCTGGACTGCTTGATTTAGACCCCCTGCCAGGTCCCCAGAGCTCGGCCTGGGCAGCAGCTCCTCCCAGAGGACGCGCCCGTTTATTATGCGCTCCTGCTCCCTCATGGCTCAGGCAGGCAGCGGCCTTCATTAGCGGAGGAGCTGGGGTCTGTTTTGGCTGCCTCATCAGCATCAGTGAACTGCGTCCCTGCGAGATTTGATACAATTTAATTAACCTAATTAAAAGCTCTGATTGCAGAGATGATTGGGGTAGCGCCAGCAGCGACTGCATATTTATAATGAGCTGCAAGGTGTGGGACCGCAGCCAAACGCCACGCATCCTAATGAGCGGGAGCCGGGAGCCAGGGAGCGGGAGAGGGAACGTTTATTTTTGGCAACAATGCCCAGTTCCTCCCTGCCAGGGAGTCAGAGACCCAGGGAGCAGAGACGGACCTGCCCACTGTGCTCTTCCGCACAAGGTGGAAGCAGAAATGTGTGCTCTCCACCGGTTCTAGGGCCCTTGGACGCCCCAGGAGCACACAGTGCCCGTGTTTCTGTTTGTAGAGTAGGGGGCTGGGACCCCAGCCATGCACTTTTCCTGCCTCTCATCTCTGGGAGTCAGGGGCTGCCTTCTGAACCGGGGCCTTGCTGTGAGGAAACAGGACCCAGCAGAACCACCTTGTTTCCAGGCTCCAGGATCCCTGGGCTGTTTTCTCAAACTTGCCAAGGAAGAGACAGGGGCTGGCAGGACAGGCTGAGAGGCTGCTTGGGAGTCAGAAAAGGGGTCTGCATATCCAGGAGTCCCAGATGAAGATCCTGGGCCTGGGACAGAAAGGAGAAACAGGAGGGGCAAACTTCCCACTCATCCTGGAAGCTGGGGACCCCTGTCCCCATCTCCTCACTCCCTTTGAGGACCCTGCCCAGGGAGGCCAGCTGCCCTGGACTCTTCCTGTCTTCTCCCACTGCCTCTGTCTGGGGAAGTCTTGGTTTGTCTGACTCAGCGTTTCCGCTGTAAATCACATCTAATAATACCGAGAGTGAGAGCTGAGACGGAGGTGCTGTGGGTGAAGGGGCACCGGGGAGGAGGGGCACGCCGCCTAGGTGCCAATGGGTGTTGTTCAGGGAGGGAGCTCTGAGGCGGCAGGAATGGGGGCTGGGCCCTGAGGAAGAAGGTGGGAGCAGCCTGCCACCCCTGCCCCCATTCCTGCTCTGGAGCTTGTGTAGGTCATGAGCTCAGCCAGGCTGGCCCAGCCCCCCAGTGCTTTGAGTGCCGCCAGGACAAGATGAGATTTGTCCCAGCCTACCTTGCAGAGTTGCAGCTGTTTAGCTCCCTTATCAATCTTCTCTGTGGGTTTAATCATCTCTCTGTCATCCTGCTGGGGCAGCCCTCCCCTAACTGAAGCCCCCAGAGGGGCTGGAGCTTCTCAGCCCCAGCTTTCCTCCAGTCCCCCTCCCCCAGACAAGCATCTTTCCCCACCTGACTTCCCTTATGGGAGATAGAGGGTGGGCCAGGGCGGCTTTGCTCCAGGTTTAGTCTCAGTGGCAGGGGTGAATGTCCTTGTGTTTGCAAGATGTAAACAGGATGAAGGGTGGGTAGAGGTGGCACTGGCAGAGAATTTGTCCCAGCTGGGTCCTCAAGGTCTTTGACTCCATTCCAGCCTGGGTAGAACAGGGCCTAGAGGTCGGCTATGAGGGCTTTCTGCCCAGAACCAGGAGATTCTTGCGTAGGTGCACGATCCTTCCCTCCTGCCAGCCCCTTAGGAGCTGCAGCCAGCCAGCCAGCTCTGGCCTCCTTCCCTGGGTGGGTCCTGTGGGGCTCAGGGGCCCGTGGGCAGTAACCACGAGCCCACGGCTTTGTGTGCATCTTGGGAAGGAGGGCGCACAGGAGTCAATGGAGCCTGTGTTGTGGTCCAGGCGGGGAGCCAGGGCGCAAGGGGTTTTGGGGCTGCCCCAGTGCTGACGTGCAAGATGACCTTCAGGGCCGCGCTTCGGCCCTCTGCTGTGCTCTCCTTCCCTGCTGAGCATCTGGAGAATGGGCAAGGAGGTGGCATGGGATGGGGTATGTGCCCCCAGAGGGAACATGAGAAAGAGGGCCCTTCTTCCCCTGCTCCCCACTCCTCACCCTAGGCCTTCTCTGTGCAAATGGAAGGCCAGCGCCTCCCCGTTTCTCAGAAGGGGATGTAAAGTCCCAGAGAGGGTTGGGATCTGGCTGAACATCACCCAGCTTGTCCTCAAGGCAGGGACTGTGAGACCCCTGCAGAGGGTCCCTCAGGACGGAACCAAAGGTTCTGGAGGGCCACCAACCAGTCCTGGGCTGGAGGGGGCTTGTTAGGTTCAGCATAAGGCTGGGCTCTGGAAGACAATGGAGTGTTGATGAGGCTTCGGTCCTGGTCTCACATGACCTGACCAGGCAGGGTGGGTGGACTGCACGTGGCTGAGTTGCCTGGGCTGACCTTTGGTCGCTGGCTAGGGAAGAGAGGAAGCCATGAAGGCTCCTGCCCACTCCATGCCCTGGGCACCCTGACACCCCCTCCCCAGGAACTGCCCTCTGGGCACACACTGTCTTCCACCTACCTACCTTCTTCTTTAGTCTTTCTCTTTTCTCTGCCACGTGTAGGAGCATGTGTACAATATGTGTGTATTTGTGTGTGAAAGTATATGTCTGTGTGAATGTGAGAAGTGAGGCATAGGATGAAAGGGAGAGAAGAGACCCTCTTTCTGGGTTCTTCCCTATCAGGAATAAAGACTGAGTTTCAGCCAGGCACAGTGGCTCACACCTGTAATCCTAGCACTTTGGGAGGCTGAGGTGGGCGGATTGCCTGAGCTCAGGAGTTTGAGACCATCCTGGGCAACATGGTAAAACCCTGTCTCTACTAAAAATACAAAAAATTAGCTGGGCATGGTGGCGCGTGCCTGTAATCCCAGCCACTCGGGAGGCTGGCTAAGGCAGGAGAATCGCTTGAACCCGGGAGGCGGAGGTTGCAGTGAACGGAGATGGGACCACTGCACTCCAGCCTGGGTGACAGAGCAAAACTCCATGTCAAGAATAAAAAAGGAAAAAAGAAAAAAAAAAAGGCCGGGCGCGGTGGCTCATGCCTGTAATCCCAGCACTTTGGGAGGCCGAGGCAGGTGGATCACTTAAGGTCAGGATTTCGAGACCAGGCTGGTCAACATGGTGAAAACCCGTCTCTACTAAAAATACAAAAATTAGCTGGGCGAGGCCACGTGTGGTGACTCATGCCTGTAATCCCAGCACTTTGGGAGGCCGAGGCGGGCAGATTGCTTGAGGTCAGGAGTTCGAGACCAGCCTGGCCAACATGGTGAAACCCCATCTCTATTAAAAATGCAAAAAATTAGCTGGGTTTGGTGGTTCATGCCTGTAGTCCTAGCTACTCAGGAGGCTGAGGCAGGAGAATCACAGTGAGCTGAGATCGCGCCACTGCACTCCAGCCTGGGCAACAGAGCAAGACTCCATCTCAAAAGAAAAAAAAATTATCTGAGCATAGTGATGGGCACCTGTAGTTCCAGCTACTTGGGAGGCTGAGGCAGGAGAATTACTTGAACCCAGGAGGCGGAGGTTGCAGTGAACAGAGATCGGGCCACTGCACTGCAGCCTGGGTGACAGAAAAAAAAAAGGCTGAGGTTTTTCCACTGTGGGGATACCAGCATGGATGGGGCCAAGGTATATGTGCGTATGCCTCTGCATGTGTGTGCATGGGAGTGGATGCACATGCTCATGTGGAGGGCAGTGCCCCCTGCTCTGCCTTGTCCTTTGACCTGTATCCTCCTCTGGTGGGAGGGGTGACTTCTATGGTCAGCATCTTCCAGCTCAGGCTGGAACCAGAGCTGTGACGGAACCAGAGCTGTGACAGAGCCAGGGTGTCATTTTTTTTTTTTTAATCTTTTTGAGACAGGGTCTCACTCTGTTGCCCAGGCTGGAGTGCAGTGATGCGATTGTGGCTCACTGCAGCCCTGACCTCCTGGGCTCAAGTGATCCTCCCACCTCAGCCTTCCAAATAGCTGGGACTACAGGTGCACACCACCACACCTAGCTAATTTTTAAAATATTTTGTAAAGATAGGGTCTTGCTATGTTGTCCAGGCTGGTCTCAAACTCCTGGGCTCAAGTGATCTTTCCACCTCAGCCTCTCCAAATGCTGGGATTACAGGCATGAGCCACCATGCCTGGGCCACACTTAGGATTATTATTTTTTATTTATTTTTAATTAATTTTTTTTTTGAGACAGTTTCGTTCTTGTTGCCCAGGCTGGAGTGCAATGGTGCGGTCTCAGCTCACTGCAACCTCCGCCTCCTGGGTTCAAGCGATTCTCCTGCCTAAGCCTCCCGTGTAGCTGGGATTACAGGCGCTTGCCACCATGCCCAACTAATTTTTTTTGTATTTTTAGTAGAGACGGGGTTTCTCCACGTTGGCCAGGCTGGTCTCAAACTCCTGACCTCAGGTGATCTGCCCACCTTGGCCTCCCAAACTGCTGGGATTACAGGCATGAGCCACCGAGACCAGCCCACACTTAGGATTATTGAAGGGGTTTATCTGCCCCACCTCTTCCCTTGACAAGATGCTAAGGTGGATGTAGCAAAGGGGTTTATCTGAAGAGACTCTTCCCCTGAAATCCCCAGAGGGTTGAGGTCCAGGGTCTCAGAGAAGGGGCAAACCAGTGTGAATGACACAGCAGCTGAAAGGAAGCCCAAGGCCCGACTTTGTCATATTACATATATTGTGTGAAGCTTTTCTGGTGAATACTCCTTTGCTGGGAGCACCATCCAATTTTCTCACTAGGGCTGGTCCACCCCTAAACCTTTCTGGTGGCCCTGAGAGTTTGGGGCAGGAAGCTAAGCTCCCGCCTGGGATGAGATGAGGGTGGGGCACCCAGGCATGGGCATGAGGAGGCATCTGGGTGAGGGGACAGCACATGTGCCCTCAAACTCTCCAGGCTTCTCTCAAATTAACAGCTTCAGGTGGTGTGGCTGAGGAGTGTTTCTGGGTGATCCTACCTCCTCCCTTTTGTGTCCTTTGGCTGCCACCCTGCATAGAGTCCTCTGAATCTCCTCAGGTACTGGGGGAGACAGAATAGGAATGGTCCTTAGCAGTGGAGTGGAAAGGACAGGGCCTGAAGGGGCTGGGATGGAGGCTTTGTATGACCCCATGGGGCTGAGTTTGAGGATGGGCAGAGGCCAGGGCTGAGGCTAGAGCTGGGATTTGAAGTTGGAGCCGAGTTGAACGTGGACTAAAGTGAGATGTTGGAGGTTGGGTTGGAAGGGCGTCTCCTTCAGTCTTGACAGGATTCTGAGATGTCTATATTTGGAGTTCAAGGCAGATGTTCTCCCCCAGGTGAAGAGAATGTTTGGTGTCAGCTATCCCCTTGGAGGCTGGGGTGGGACACATCCCTTCCCCCTGCTCACCACAGCCAGGCAGAGTCATACATCACCAAGGGGCTGGGCTCCCTAGATGTATTGCCCTCATGCATCGCTATAGCAACCCTACTTTAATCCTGCATTATTCTAATGTGGTCCCCCTCCCCACTGTGATGTATAGCTGGGGTCTTAGAGCTGCTAGGCCCCTTTTCCGAGAGTCTGCTCCATCCACCCCATCTTGCCTCTCTTCACCCTGTGCATGGGACTCTTTGTGAGGCTGGGTGTGGAGGTGGGTCTGGCCCATCAGCCTACCCGCCTGCCTCCCCAGTGAGGGGAAGTAGGAGGCCATGTGTCCCCGGCCCTGGTACACGAGCGCCTGACGCACCGACCCACGCCAGCTTGCCCAGCCTGGGGACCTGAGGCCTTGGGGTTGGGGGCCAGGGCTGGACAATGGCTGCATTCCGGCTGTTAGCCACAGGCCCCCATTGTTCCTGTGGACACTGCCTGCTTGAGGGCCGAGATTCTGGCCCTCACCCCGTGTGGGGCGTAGGATGCTCCCTGGACCACTCCCCCGCGGACCATAGAGGGGTGATTCATGGGGTGGCCAGGGCAGAGCAGGCCCCAGCTGTGCCCAGATTCTGGGGCTGGGAGGGGGAGGCAACTGAGGGTTGTTTGTGTCAGGGGAGGGGGGTTGATTGAATAGCCAGAGGACTCCAGGCCCTGGACGCCAACCACGTCATCTCCTACCCCGCCTCATGTGTGGGCCGGCCAGAGAGGCCCCATTGTCAGGGGAGCAGGCCCACCCAGGCTGGAAGGGAAGCGAGAACTGAGGAGGACCACCTCAAACTGGGAAAACCCATAGACCCCACAGTCTGCACTGCTGGGGAAACTGAGATTCAGAGAATGGCAGGGTCTTGCTCAAAGTCATACAGCTAGGTGGTGACAGGCCCCAGCTGGTGGTGATATCTCCCTATACCTTCCTGGAGATGCTGCTGCCATTTCTGACAGAAACCGAGTCCCATTGGTGACTTCAGTTTTGGCAGAAGTTATGTTCATGAACTCCTTCCTCTTCCCCACTTCCTTTGAAATCCCTCCAGTTTAGGTTAGCACTTGTGTCCTTGGAGTAAGGAATTGGAGGCTGGGCACGGTGGCTTACACCTGTAATCCAACACTTTGGGAGGCCAAGGTGGGAGGATTGCTTGAGGCCAGGAGATTGAGACTAGCCTGGGCAACCTAGTGAGAGACCCTGTCTCTACAGAAAGAAAACAAAATTAGCCAGCCGTGGTGGCACATGCCTGTACCCTGTAGCCCTAGCTATTTGGGAGGCTGGGGTGGGAGGATTGCTTGAACCTAGGAGTTCAAAGTCGCAGTGAGCTATGATCACGCCACTGCACTCCAGCCTTGACAACAGAGAAAAAAAAATAGAGCTAAGGGGAGTCCTAGGGCCATGCAGAGTCCATATGGACAACACTTTCTGTGGGGCCCTCAAGAAATGAGTGAGGCATGGAGGTTCCCAGTCTCTGACACACAGGATGCATAGATGCAACAATCAACTTCATTGTTTCCTCCCAATTTTTTCATGTAGGCCCTCGTATACCTACCCTATATGACTTCAGAGTTAGGGAAGGGAAGAGACTAATCTAGGAGTGTTCTGAGAACAGAGGGACTGGTCTTATCTATCTTTGTGCTCAACATAAGGCCTGGTTGTTAAATTGGATGATTGGATGAGCGGATGGTAGATGGATGGGTAAGTGGTTGAATAGGTAGTTGAAGCGTGGATGGATGAATGGGTGAGTGGATGAGTGGGTAGATGGATGAATGGGTGGGTGGGTGGGTTGATGAATGGGTGAGTGGATGGATGTAGAATAGATGGATGGAGGAATGAATGGGAGAATGCCTGTTTCATACACTGAGGTCCAGGGATGACAAATGACCCAACTTGGGATGAACAGTGGAGTGAGGCCTGGATGCAGGTACCTGGGCACCACCTTTGAGGCTTGGTTGTGCTGTGGCATGGTTTGGTGGTCAACCTCTGGGCAGAGATGCAGAAGAAGCAGGAATTGAGACTTAAAGGAATCTATAGACAGACTTAGTCTTATGGTGTGTGACTCCACAGGGTCTTTGACCCTGAGTTGAATTTTCTGTGCTGGAGTTAAAGGAGAGGGCAGGGGGCTACTGGTGGAAGGGTCCCGCGAAGGGCAAGAAAGTAAATGAGTGGAGTCTAAGGGTTCAGGCTGAGTGACTTTGGCTCTTTGGGATTAGGCCCAGAGCCAGGACCCCCCTGCACCTTGCCCCCAGGCAAACACTCACTTATTCTTCATGACCCAGCTTGATGGTACCACCCTGCATGAGGCCTTCCCTGACCCTCTGAGTGCTGTCTTCCAGAACCTAGGACAGAACCTTAGTCCATAGAAGGGGACCAGTGCACATGACTGAGGTCATGGGAATGCTACAAAGTGGCAGAAGTAGAGAATAGATTGAGAATCTGTATCTATCGCTAGTTTTCTGGGTTATCTCAGTTAAGGCCCTCAATATCATTGGGCCTCAGTTTCCTCACCTGTAGGCTGGGGATGGGGATCTTGAGCTTTTCTTTCTGGAGTGGTTTTGAGAATGAAGAGAAATAATTCTAGGCCGGGGAAGCACTAGGCATTATTTTTCTGCACTGCTTAAGCTCAGCAATAATATAATAATATATGTTGTACATATAAAATTATTTTTATAGCCAACATTTAATGTGCACTTGCAATGTGCCAGGCTGTCTTCTAAGTGTTTACATATATCATCTCTTATCTACTCCTCACAGCAATTCTACAAAGAAGGCACTATTATTATCTTCATTTACCGATGAGGAAACTGAAGTTTGGAAGGCTTAAGTATCTTGCCAAAAGTCTCAAGGGTAATAGGTGGTGCAGCCAGGATGAATGTCTGGGCAGCTGCCAGGGCCCACATTCTTAGGCGCTACATGGAACTGCGCAGTACATGGAGGCTTGGAGTGGATCAATCAGAAGGGCTTCCTGACGGTCTTGATGATCCCAGGCAAATTACACAACTTCCTTGAGCCTCATGAGATTTAAGTTGAGCACAGAGAAAGATAAGAGCCCTGTGTTGAGCACAGAGATAGATAAAAACGAGTCTCTCTGTTTTCAAAACACACCCTGATAGTGGGGTAGTGGAGGGAGGGGCAGCTTCTAGCCAATGAACCCCATCACCCTTGGTCCCCAGCTTCTCTCCCTGGCCCAGTCCTGAGTCCTGGAACCTCCCCTGCCTTGGGCAAATACCCAAGCACTGAACACAGTGTTTGCCCCAGCAGGGGGTGCCATGGACCTGGGAGTCCATGTCCCAGGTCCATATCCAGGACATCTGAGTGGGCTCTGGGAGTCAGAAAAAGTGGGCTTTATCCCAGCTTCTGTCATTAACAAATCTTGCTGCCGTGGACAAGTCACTCTGGGTACCACTTTCCTCATCTATAAAATACAAATAATTAATGTGAAGTAGTGAAAATAAAGCACAAAGGAGTGATGGGAAAGTATCTCAGAATGCCTTGGACAGAGTGGGGTCCATGGTAAAAGTTCATTACATTATGGTTTTCTTCCCTGTTCACTTGCTTCTGCACAATGCCCTGTTCAGGCCTCACAATAAAACAGCTTTCAGGCTGGGCATGGTGGCTCACACCTGTAATCCCAGCACTTTGGGAGGCTGAGGTGGGTGGATCATCTGAGGTCAGGAGTTTGCGACCAGCCTGGCCAGCATAGTGAAACCTCCCCGTCTCTACTAAAAAAATACAAAAATTAGCTGGGTGTGGTGGCGGGCACCTATAATCCCAGCTGCTAGGGATGCTGAGGCAGGAGAATGGCGTGAACCCGGGAGGTGGAGGTTGCAGTGAGCCAAGATTGCGCCACTGCACTCCAACCTGGGCCACAGAGGGAGACTTTGTCTCCAAAAAAAAAAAAAAAAACCAACAACAACAAAAAACCAGCTTTCATTTATTCATCACTTATGTAAACTCTATATGCATATTATCCCACTTAATTCTCAAAACAACTCTATGATCAGGGAACTGCCTTTGTTACCATACCAGGAAATGGGGGCACAGAAATGTAGGTAGTTGGCCTAAAGTCACAAAACTGATAAGAAGTGGAGACAGGATTTTTGCCCAGGTGTCTGGTCCCAGAGCCCCTGTCTTTCACCATTCTGCTCTCTACCTCCTCGGAGGCGTGGATAGCTTCCGGAGGGACTGTGATGACAAGGGGAGAAGGCAGGTGACCCACAGAGGCTGGAGGGTGCCTGGCCATGGGCTTGGTCTGTCCATGAGCTGCTTGGGTCAGCTCTACCAGCTTCTGTGTGGATGGAGCACTCCCTCCTCTCCAGGCCAGCCCAGCTCCAGGGAAGGCCCAAGGATGGGGACAATATCCCATTCCAGGCCACGGAGCAGTGGTAATGCAGGGTCCAGGTCTGCTCCGGCTCTTGCTCTTGCTCAGAGCTGAATAATCTGGAGCCTTTGAAGAAGGATTTCTGAAAAGCCATCAGGAGTGAATCATTGACTTAGGGAGGCGATGAATCAACGGGGAGTTCATAAAACGGCAAATGAATCGGGTGTGAGAGCGACAGAGCCACTGCTATTCCCCAGAACCCTCCAGGGACAGAGAGCCGAGAGAAAAGAAATAAAAATAACACGGGGCCTTACGCCTGCCACAAACCCCAGGCAGCCCCTCCTTCCAAGTGGGAAGACAGAGTGGGGCAGAGGGATGGGACCCACTGTGGGTGAAGTGGGGCCAGAGGGAGGCTCCCGGGGGCACTCCCAGCTCTCTGGGTCCAGGCTGTGGGTGTAATTAGCAAATGCCTTTTCACTTCTTTTCAGGAGCCCTTATAAGAAAGAACACTGATTTTGACGAACACCCAAAATAATGTGAGATCAGGCACCATGCATTATGCATGAGGTCTGATTTAACATGAACATTATTTCTTGTGTACGAGACCATATGCCTCCGTGCTGTCTCTGCAGCCTAATAATACCCAGACCCACCCTGGTCAGGCTCAGCAGGAGACATGTCCACTGGTGTGTATGTGTTGGGGGCAGGGATTGGAGCAAAGCTCTCCTGGTACTCAGGTCATCTGAGGAGAGCCCACTCAGATGCCCAGGAGCGGGGTGGGTAGTGGGAGGTGGGTCATGCCCTTGGAGAAAGACCAATGTAACCATGTGAACGTGCCACTGTGCGTGCGCGCGTGCGCACGCGCGTGTGTGTGTGTGTGTGACATCAGGGGCCCGTGACTAGGTGATGCTGGGTTCATTGCATAGCAATGTGGGGGCATATGCATAGCTGAGGTTTTACTGCACAAGAAGGACTACGGCAGGAATGGATAGATCTAATTGCTGTGTGTGTTTGTATATATACACGCATATGTATGTGTGGGGGTGTGTGTTTAAAAAATAAGATCACACATACATACAAACACACAGCCTAACTTTAATTATCTGAAAGGAGCCGGAAGAGATCTGGGAGGAGCTGGGACAATGATGGACAGGAATGTGTTTGGAAAGCAGTTTAGGGGCAAGTGCTTGGAAATCCTGAGAGAAGGGGACCAGGTCAAATGTTGCAAAGGATGGCCGTGTGTGCTTAATCAAATATTACATGTGCCAGGTACTCAGTGACTCTCAAGAGCTTAGTGCCAAAGACCAGAAAGCTAGTCTTAGACTGCCCAAACTGTGGTGTGGGTGTGACCATGGGTGTCTTAGCATGCGTGTGAGTGAGCAAGGTGGTGAGAGCCTGGATTGGGGTTTTAACTGGTTGAGGGGAGGAGTGATGGGGATGGGGATGAGTGGAGAGAGAGAGAGAGGAGGTGGTGTATGATCGTGGGTTTCTGAGAGTGGCTGTGTGAATGGGCAGGGTGGAAGATGAGAGGGAAGGGTCATGGATTAGTGTGTGTGTGTATGTATGTGTGTGTGTGTGTGTGTGTGTGTGTGAGAGAGAGAGAGAGAGAGAGAGAGAGAGAGGCAGGCTTGCTTCTTTTGGAGGCTAAAGTTGCCTCTGCTCTAACTGGCAGTCCTCCTCGAACAGCCCACTTGAAGCTGACTTTTTAAGGGCATGCTTAGGTTCAAGGTGGCTCTGGTAACTGCTACCAGGTCCCAGTTCAGGGACCAATAGAGGGCAGTCCTCCCACATGGAGGCCTCAAGAGGCAGCAAGGGGAGCCCTAAATGGCCAAACACCATTTCAACTCCAGAGCCTTCAAATGTGACAGGCAGGGACAAAACGGATGGCTCCTCCAGCTACCTCTGGTCTCAGTCTCTGAGCCAGAGGCCCTGGGTAGATCATCTTGGCTGAGCTTAGGAGAGTAACTAGGCCTGATAACCAGTCTCCTCTCACTCCACCCTCTGCTTAGGTGGGTCTCCTTTTTGGAGCTGAAGCCCTGCTAGGGAAAGTTCCAGGGAGGGAGGCAGCCCGGCCCTGGATGTGTCATTGGAGGCCCAGAGCCTCTCCAGGGGAGGATGAGTTCTAAACGGCTCTAAGTGGGCACCTGCGATTGGGGGTCAGTTAGTCCTATGGACATCCAGTCAAGTCCTAAGGTCAAGGGATGATTGCATAGGACCTAAGGCATGCAACATATAAATTAGTGCAACCTTCTGGGCAGTAGGTGGGGGAGAATATAATGTCGTCACGCCTCAAGGCAGGATACCTTCTGGGTTTGCCTTGATGACCGCAGGTGACTAAGATGACCATTTTCCTTCCTTTTGGTATTGGCCAACCTCCATTCTACAAATATTCTTCCTGCTGAAAGCATTAGCAGTGTAGCCTGGGTTTTCTTTTCCCTCTCCTACCTCTGGGATTGGCTGTGGCTTTGCACACACAACAGCATACACACAAATTCTTACACCAACTTGCAGAGGTTCACATGGGGAGAGAGTTCTAACTACCATAATCTGTGGCCACATCAACATAAACAATAATTTTGTTCAAGTGAGATGCGGAAGGAGATGGGATCAGAAAATTCCCAATATGCTAGGGAAAGCTTGGACTTCCTTGGAGGTTGATGCTAGGGACACATACCTCTCCTGAACAAAAGGAAGTCTGAGGCTCTCAGGCACAAGCAGGTAGATATACATACCCTTGGGACGGAGAGACTGCATCAAGCCCACAGTTGGCTGTGCTTGTCCTAACTCTATTCTATCCAGGGAAAAAGATTTCTCTTTCCTATAAAGTGCTGAGATTCCTACCATGTAGGGGCCTTCTGCGACCAAGGGGTTGATCACCAGGTAGCTATCTCATGCTGGTATCTCATTAAGCCAGATCCTTGCAAAGTAAAAGATTTTCTTCCATCCCTTTTTCCACTTTTTTTTTTTCTCATTTTTTTTTGTTCTACTCCTCAGCTGCTGCTGGTTCTTGGGAGGCTGCTTTGTTTTGCTATTTTTGAGTTGACTTGCTTAAATAATAAACCCACCCTCTTGTAGAGGATTAAGCAGACAATTAGGAAATCAATCAATCAATTGGTGTCAGCTGCAGGCAGAGGCCGGTGAAAGGCCTCATCTTCCCGGTGGCCCTTTCCAACCTCAAAACCTGCTGAGGCTCTGGGCCGCGCAGGCGGCGGGAGCTCTCAGCTTCATTTGCTTCCATTTCAGAGCCTTGAGGCTGGGACAAATCCAGGAATGGAGAAATGAGGGAGCAGGGAGGAGTGTGTGGCGGCTTCAAAGTTTTGTTCTTGGTGGAGTAGGAAATGAGAGGCTGAGGCAGGGTGGTCAGTGGCTCCTGGCTATGCCATTGCCCAGCTGGCCGGTATGTTGCCAGCTTCCTCTTTAGGAAACATGGGAGGGAAGGCTGCCTGGCCCACCAGTGTGGGGAACGGCTGGGACACAGGTGCCAATTACAGGGCTATTCACTCACCTGGCTGGACTGAGCTGAGGAGGAGAAGAAAAAAGGAGCAGGGAGTGAGGGGCTGGGCCTCTAGAAGCCGAGGCAGCCTTTGTACTTGCAGAGACAATTCCCCCCAAGAGTGAGGGCCGAGCGCAGAAAGTCGCCAGGAACTCTCAGCATGGCACAGTCATCCCGAGGCCCTAGCCCCGCCGGGGAGCACCAACTTGGGGCCCTGGGGACACCTCTCTGGACATCCCTGACACCGTCAGCTAGAGCCCAGGCCTCTCACAGGCCTGGACTTGGGCCGCTTCCCTGGCAGGAGGGGCCCCACACGCCCCCTCACTAGGGTCAGCTTTCTCCCCAGCTAAGAGATTGTGCCTTCAAGCTTTGGCTTCACAAAGAGTGAGAGAAACCGCATGTGGCTTCTCCTGAGAGGGGAAAAGAACTGCGTCTACGGAGGAAGCAGGAAGAGCTCTTTTATCAGTATTTTTAAGAAGGGTTGTTTTAAAGGAGAAAATAAGGTCTTGACTGGAACCCAGGTAGTCTGGAGCTCTGCGTCGGGAACCAGATCTGCCCCCAGATACCCTGACTCACTCCAGAAGACAGCATCTGAGGTCTGTGCTCTCCTTCCTATCACTCCCTGCAGTGGTGGCGGTGATGAGGGTCTTGGGTACCCAACCTTGGAAAGAAGATATCAGGTCTTTCTGATGGCACAGTTACCCGTGCCTCCACTTCTCCCCAACAGAAGCTGGGGCAGCGGTTTGTTTGCAGAGACATAAGACCGGCTTTGCCCAAGCAAATTGGCAGGGCTCCCTCCCTAGGCTGACCCAGCTCACGTAGGACCATGAAAGCCACGTCTGTCTAAGCTGTTAGAACTCCCAGTGCATCCAGGGGGGCTTGGGCACCATTTGAGTTTGGGTGGAGAGCCTGCTGGAGTAGGATGGTGGGGCCTCACCAGGCTTCCAGGTGCCCTAGGACTGGGAATGGTAAAGTTGGCTCAGACCTCTCATATAGAGTGCAAGGTGAAATGAAAGTTGGGGGTTGAGGTGTCAGGTGGGGGATTATAGATTCTAGGCTGGTGACCCAGGCCGAGGTGGGCTTCTTTCTTGGTGGAGAAGAGCAGTCGAGTTGTGCATGAACAATGGCTGATCCGAATTCCATGTGGTGTCTTTGGCTCACTGTCCCGGGCCCTGGTTTGGTCTAGGAGAGTCTGTCTACGACAGGGGGACACGAGGCAGCTTCATCTTCCCTAAACTGATGCATCTGAGGCAGGGGCCCAACTGTTGCCCATGTCCTGATATCCACCTGGAAGGTCTGCAGGGTCATCTTCCTCCAAGATCTCTCCTGGTGAGATCAGAACTTCAGGGAGGTGAAGCAGGGGATCCCATCGCTTCACCCCAAAAACCCACCCAGCCCTAGCAGTAAAAAGGACAGGACACAGCCCTGGGGTACATGTTTATGTGAGTAATAAAATATTTACTATAACATAAATATAAAGGGAACTTCCCAGTCTACATTATTTTTTTTTCAATAAAGATACAAAGAGAATGCACCGAAACATTGTTTCAAAAAATAATAAAAATAAAATAACAAAATTTAAATTCAAACCTTAACAAACAGAAGAAGAAACGGAGAAGGGGGAAGCTCCAAACACATCCAGAAAATAAATAGAGATGGGTCAGAAATTCGGAAATCATATTAAAATATCTTTTTCGGATTAGTCAGTGTACAAAATCCTTTAGGGTAGGAAGGAAGGGTAACCCGGAAAACCAAAAATAAAAACCAAGCACAAAATGTTTCTTCTCCCCGCCAGTGTGTACATATCTCACATATTTACATGGTTCCCACCTCACCCCAAACTTGGGGAATTTCTCTCCCGGCCTCCCCTGGCATCCCGCATCCCGGCGGGCTGGAAAGGGAGCAGAGGGAAGCTGCAGGGAATCAGGCGGAGGGTTCTCAGGGAACGGCTTATTTCTACAGCTGGTTAAAAAACAATCTCTCTAACTTTTCCAAGTTTCGTTTGGTGTGGCCAGGAGGGCAGGGCCCCGCGGGGAGCAGGGGCCGCGCTATGCGGCGGTCGGTCTGCAGCAGGGCAGAAGCCCCTTCCCGTCTGGGTGTGTGGGAGCGCAGACCCCTCCGGCGTGGCCGGGAACCAAGCCGGGGCTCGGATGAAACGAAACGAAAAATGAACACTCGAATTTTTTTTGTTAGTTTTTTTTTTTTTTTTTTGCTTTTTTTTGGGGGGAGGGTAGGGTAGGGAAATATAAGGGGAAAAATAAATTAGGCTAGATTAAAGCTTTGGCTATTTCCTGCTTTTATACACAGACGCGGCTCTCGCGACCTCCCCTCCGGGGCCCCGATAAATACAGTATACTGCGATTTAAATTAAGGGCGCGGGCGGAGTTAGAAGGACCCCAGGAGCCGAGAGGCTCCACGAATAAATAAAAACCGTAAAAAACCAAGCCCGGAGAAAGGGGAAAGCGGGGTGGGGCGCATCCTTATAGGAGAGAAGAGGCGTGTAGCGAATAAAGTGACAGCCCCCCACCCTGGACCCGCAGGCTCAGGAGTCCACGCGGGGAGAGGGGATGGAGAACTCTCCTCGCTTCGTCCTCTCTCCCGGGGAATCCCTAACCCCGCACTGCGTTACCTGTCGCTTTGGGGAGGCCGCTGCCGGGATCCGGCCCCGAACAGCCCGGGGGGGCAGGGGCGGGGGTCGTCGAGGGGATGGGGGCAGAGAGCAGGCGGCGGGCAGGATGCCCGGGGTGAGTTGGCGAGTTCCGGATCTTCGCTCCTCTCTCCCGGGGCTCGGGCGACGCAGCCTACCGGGCTGTCTTCGCCGCTCACCGGAGAGGGTCGTCCGGGTGTTTGGTTTTGTTCGAAAGTTTCTGGGCTTTTTTTTTTTTTTGTAAAATCCAAAGCAACCGAACAAAAAGAGTCCAGGCCGCGCGGGCGGGCTGCGCGCCCGCGCCCTGCAGCGCGCCGGCGGGGGCCCGGCCCGCGGGGTCACTGCACTGAGCCGGGCAGTGTGTGGTGGTGGTGGTGGTGCAGCGCCGCCGGCGGGGGCGGTGGGGGCGCGGAGGGTGGCGATGCGCCGCCCCCGCCAGGCCCTAGCTCCCCAGGCGCGTATACATCGTCCATGGGCGGGTGGCCCGCGCCGGCCGCAGGGGTCATGCGCTTCTCCTTCTGCCGCCGGTTGCAGAACCAGACGCGCACCACCTCCTTCTCCAGCTGCAGGCTGTCTGCCAAGCCGGTGATCTCGTGCGCCGAGGGCTTGGGGCACTTGAGAAAGTGGCTCTCGAGCGCGCCTTTGACCCCCACCTCGATGGACGTGCGCTTCTTGCGCTTGCGGCCCTGCGCCGCGATCTTGTCCAGGTTGGTGGGGCTGCCGCTGGACGAGTCGGTCTCCTCCAGCCACTTGTTGAGCAGCGGCTTGAGCTTGCACATGTTCTTGAAGCTCAGCTGCAGGGCCTCGAAGCGGCAGATGGTGGTCTGCGAGAACACGTTACCGTAGAGCGTGCCCAGCGCCAGCCCCACGTCGGCCTGCGTAAAGCCCAGCTTGATGCGCCGCTGCTTGAACTGCTTGGCGAACTGCTCCAGGTCGTCCGAGCTGGGCGCATCCTCGTCCGAGTGCTCGCCCACCGATGAGCCGCCGCCGCCCGCGCCCGGGTGCAGGTGCGCCGCCGCCGCGTGCAGGCCGCCCGCGTGTGCATGTCCGTGTGCGTGTCCGTGGGCGCCCAGATGCGGCGGCGGCGACGGCTCCAGCTGCGCCTCGTGGCCATCCTCGTGCAGCGCGTGGTGCAGGCCCGGCCCCGCGCCGCCACCGCCCGCCGCCAGCATCCCGGCCAGGCCGCCGCCGCCGCCCCCCGGGTAGGCCGCCTGCGCGTACAGCCCGAGCGGCTGGGGCTGGTGGCCCCCGCTGGCCCCGGGCGAGGGCGACATGGCCGGGCCCAAGTGGTGCGCTGTGCTGCCCTGCGCCCATGCCGCGCCCGCGTGGGCCGCCCCCTGGTGCACCAGGCGCGCGTGGAAACCTCCGCCGCCGCCGCCGTCGTCGGCTCGGCCGGTGCCGCCGCCGCCTGCCTTGCCGTGTTCTAGGTGCGGGCCGCCGGCCCAATCGCCGCCGCCGCCTCCTCCCGTGGGTAGCCACTGGGGGTGCGCTAGGCCCACGGGGTGGCCCGCGCCCGCGCCCAGCCACTCGTGGTGCATCAGCTTCTGCACTTCGCGGTACGCGGCCCCTGCATGCAATCGCTCCGCGGCCGCCGCCGCCGCCGCCGCCGCCGCGGCGTCCGGGTGCATAAGCGGCCCGGTGCCCCCGGCTCCGCCACCGGGGCCCCGCGGCAGGTACTGCGCGGTGGTGGCCATGCCGCCCCGCGCCCTGCGCCGCGCCGCCGCCGCCGCTCCGCTCCGTCTGCGGGCCCCGCCGCCTCGCTCCGCCGGCTTAAAGCCCCGACCCGCTCGGCGCTCCGGAGCCCCACCCCGCCCGCCGCCCATTGGCTGCCCGCGGAGCTGCCTCCCGCCTCCCCTGCCCGGCCCCCGCCCCGCGCGCCCGCCCGCCACCCTGCCCGGCCGCCCAGAGCTCTCCATTGGGCGTCGCTCCCGGGGTCCCGCGCGCCGGCCGTGCTGATTGGCCGCTGGGGCTTCATTCACGGCCCCCCTACCGTCCGCGTACACACTCACGCCCCGGGGGCGCGGCCGCCACGTGGGGAGTGGCGCGGGGGTGGCCCTGGGACCGCACCCCCTCTCGTCCTGGCTGTGTGGGCCCCGCTTTCCCCCAGCGCTGGAGACTCCGAGCCCGGCCGGTCCCACATTCCACGCGAGCTGAATTCCCGCCCGCATCCCGCCCGGGCAGCAGGGATTGCCGGCTCCGGGAGGCGCTCGGGCTCCGAGAAGCGGCTCAGCCCCGCGCCCCTCCCTCCTCAGTACCGCTGCCGGCGGACCAGGATTCCCGCGGGTCCTGGCGGCTGCGAGCGCGAGGCGGCGCGGATTCGCGGCTCGGTTCCGGCGCGACTGCTCACCGCGCCCGCCTCGCCTCCCGCGGCTGCCAGCGTGCACTGGGCGCTCCTCGGCGCGTCTGCCCGGCCCGTCTCGGCTTTCCTTCTCCTTCCTCTAGTCCCAGCGTCACAACTCCGCCGACCTCCTCTGCCCTGAGAGCGCGTCCGGTGCGGGCGGAGTCGGACGGACTCTGGCTTCACGCCTCGCGCGGGCACACCTTCTCCCGGGCACTGAGGCCCAGGTGAGTACCGCGCGGGCAGCTGGGGCTGGGACGGCGGGCGGCAGCGGTTCTACAGTCCTACGCGAGCCCCTGGTACCCGGCCGCGCTCCGGGGTTCCAGAAGGAGAAGATCTCGAGGTGGAGACTGTGGCTCCGGGGAAAACGCTGCTGGCAAGGGCGCTAGTTGGGGGTGGACGTTGGGCCCAGGGGTATCTGACCTGCGCCGCTGCAGCCTTCTCGCTCCTTCTCCCAGCTTGAACGGCTCATCGGCTGTGGTCGTGGTGGGATCACGCCCCGGGAGAGGAGAAGGATGGGCTCAGGGAAGGGGCTCGGGCTCTCCAGAAATCCGGCGTGCAGGCCGGGAGCTGTCCAGCCTCGCTAAGAGCCCTGGGCTAGAGTTTGCCCGGACTTGCCTGGAGCTGCTGAAAAGGGAATTGAGATTGAGGAGGCCTTGTTGGAAAGGTGGGCAGTGGAATTTAGCTACCTCCTCACGCCCCAGCCCTTGAGGACTCCCTGAAGGATCTTGAGTGGAGTCGGACCTCACTGCAGTTCCTTTGTGCCTTCTTACCCGACCTTGGGCCCCAGGCTGAGGGTACTGAGCTGTGTTTTCTCCTCTTCCCCACACCGAGGCTTGGGTCCCAGGGAGTCTTCAGCTGCCAGTCCTCCCTCTTTTCTCTCCTGGATCTAGCCTCAAGTGGATTTATAGCTTACAGGGCCCTGGGGTCCCAGATCACAGAACTGAGCTGGGGGCCCACCTAGGGCCCCACTGGGCAAATCAGGTCTGTGGAATAAATCCTTAGATTGAAAAAAGTTGCTGGGGGCTCAGGTGGCAGCTGCCATTGGAACGATCCAGGGCGGCTGGGACAGAGTTGACAGTGACAGGGGTCACCCTGGGCACAGACTTTGATCATGTGGGCCCTGAATGCCCTAGGACCAGCCAGGGAAGGAGTGGGACAGAGCAGGGCCCTTATCCTGCCATTGGCCACTGTCCTGAGCAGGCTCCGTGGTCCCACCCTAGCTGTAAGAGCTGCGATGGAGCTCTGTGTCTGAACCGAGCTAGAGATACTGGGCTTTCCTGGACTCTGGCCCAGGGAATGGTCACCTTGAGGCAGCCCAGGTCTTTCACCTTTCCCAGGCCTGGGAGGTAGGAGGAAGACTGGGAATTCCGCAGTGAAGTCCATGCTCGTGCCAGCCCTAACCAGGCCTGTGTGATATTGAAGCTTGGGCTTTCAACCTGGAGCTGCCATCATCTCCCTGGGCAAGAGTAACTCTGGTCTAGCCTTCCTAGCTCTTGGTTTTCCTTCCTGTATGTTGGGAATAACAGTACTATAGGCAGCCCACCTGTCTCACTAAGGTAGGTCAGATAGTTATGTGAGACAACGGGGGTGTAAAGCTCTCAGATAGGTGTTTACTTTGGTCGTTTCCATTGTTGCTGTTCAGTGACAGGCAAGGCATTCCCCCTCTCTAACTAAATCTCAGTTTCTCCACCTGTAGCGTGGGATTGCAGAGGTTTGGACCAGTCGACCTCTCTGGCACTTCTCACTCTCATGGTCTGTGATTCTGTGAATCTGTCTCAGTTCCTGTTGAAGGAAGTCTGGACAGCGGGCAGGTGTTTTGATTTCCAGCCTTTGGAATTGCCACTGAGGCTGGAAGAACAATGACCAACAGGCACGGATTTTTTTTTTTTTTTTAAATTATACTTTAAGTTCTGGGATACATGAACAGAATGTGCAGGTTTGTTACATAGGTATACATACAGGCACAGTGTTTTAGCAAGTACTTTTACCTGTACCTCTCAGCCCTGTGAGAGAGCACTGAGATTATTATCTTCATTGCCTAGATGAGGGACCCAAAATTTGTCCAAGGGCACAGGACCTGTGAGTTTTCACTCATCATTCCCCTCATTACCGTGGGATGGGGGTCTATGGAGGCAGCAGCTTTGGCTGGCACAGCAAAGAGAGCCCTTGGCCCTGTTTCTGGTAGGTCTCAAGGGCAGGCCAGGGCCTGCTGGGGCTCCTGAAACCGTCTTCCCATGTCTGTGCTGAATTGAGGGGCATCAGCAGTAGAGCAGTAGCGAGGCTTCTAGGTTATCAGCTTGTCACCCAGCAAATCAAAGTCCCAATCCCACCATGTCCTTTAGCAGCCCTGTGACTTTGTGTGAGCCACATTGCCTCTTGGAGCCTAAGTTTGTGCATCTTACAGTGAGAACAATAATGCCTGCTTTTCAGGATTGCTCTGAGGCTCCACAGATGAAATAAGGCATGCAATTTAGGTGCCCTTTAAATGTTAGATGCTGGCCTGGGCTGGAAAGCAGTTTGAAGCAGGAAAGATATAATTCTTTTCTCTGCTTTGGAAATTTTAGACCTTCTACAGGGATATGGGTTTGGTCTTGAGTCAGAATTTTCTTGTGTTTGAGTTAAGTTTCCCCCAGGAAGTCTTGACATCACTCTTAAGATTCTGTGTGGGACACTAGGGCTGAGACATGGCCACTGGTAGAAACATCTGCAGCTGAGCAACCCCTTTGTCCTGCAGCACCACCTTCTTAGGCCCTGGGGAGAACTCATCCTCAGACCCACAACACGTAGGCAGGGTGTACACACAGAGGTCAGACATCCACGTGACCCATGCAGACACAGAGTGGTGTGGGCATGAGAACAGGTGTGCACACACACACACACACACACACACACACACACAGATACAACCATGCAATTTAGCACAGGACTGAATGTACGGATTCACAATAGGAACACACAAACTTGCACCATTAGGCTGAATATTGATAGTCACACAAAGCAACACCCAGTGGTAAATACAGGCATGTGTCTAAATGGGGAGATACACAGAACCCACACATAGGCTGAAATAGGCTGAAGTAGGCACTGCTTTGCTGACACAGAGATACATGAAACCTAACAGGCTCTTGGGGCCACAAACATGGAGACTCTCAGCTGGTGTGCCGAGTCACACACATAGGCATACCATCATACTCACACACAAGAGCACGTGGAGCCAGCCATGCACACCCTCTCACCCAGATGCACAAAGAGGCTTACCCCACACATCACAGAGACACACAGACATATCTACCCACACCCTGTAAGAAATAACAGATCCGCTCAGGGGATCAGAAAGCAGAGGAAAGGGCTGTGTCCAACCCAGAGTTTGGTCCACATGGTTTGGTTGCAGCGCTAGGCCCAAGGCTTTTCTTTTCATATTTTTTCCCACTCTCCTTTTCTGTGGAGTGCAGCTCCCAGCCAGGCCGCCGCCAGTTTCAGAGTCTCCCGGGCCTCCCTCCCCAGTGGGGCCTCTGCCCAGCCCGCCCCCAGGCAGGAGCTGCTTGGGCTTTCCCAGAGCACAGCAGCCTCCTCCAGGCTCTGGAGTGTGACCGAGCGCCTACTCATTTGACACAGGTCACCGAGCCTCCAGCAGATGGGGCCCTCGCTGTGGGGGGTCTCTGAGCCGGGGGCTGTGGGGGGCTGGGAGTAGGAGGGAGGCTCTGCAGGGATGGACAGGCTACACAAGCTCCAGCTCCTTATACTCTTTCTGCAAAGCCCCGGGTTACAGACGTGGGACCTAGAATACAACTATACTCACGAGTCAGTCGTCATCAGCACCCTGGCGGCCACATACACAGGGCAGTATTCCAGACACACATCCCAGGTGTCAGGGGGCCTAACAATGGCACGCCGAGCACAGCTTTGGGAAGGAGAAAGAGGAAGAGCCTTGCTCAGCGTCTCCTGGAGGCAGCTGGGTCTGGCTGCTTTCCCCCTTTGGTCTCTGAGCCCCCGAGCTCTCTTCTGTGAGTTGGTCAGTTGGTTAGGAGTCCAGGATGGGTTGAGAGCAGATGCAGTTTCAGACCTCAGGCCTTTTCAGTGCTGGGGGAAGACAGGCTCCAGGATGCTCCACCTGGATTCCTCACAAGTCAGGAATGCTAAGAGATGAAGAGGAGAGATGGGGCCCATGGGAAGTGCTGCCGGACAGGCTGTGTATCTTAGGATGCCTCCCGCATGCATGGACTTTGAGTCTTTGAGGCTGGCTGGACCGGGGCAGCACTCGCGGGCCACTTCCTTTCCCTCCTGGCAGTCTCCTTATGCCCTGGATCTTGCCTTTTCAGAGTGGCCTGGCTTGGCAGTAAAGGGTCCTGGGTTCCATCTTGGCCCTGACTCAGGCCTCATTTTGGGCCAGTGTCAGCCTCCTAACCCTCTGTATCCTCATCTGAAAGTTGGGCAATATGGTCTCTGTTGGCTGCTTGAGAAGATGGGGGTGAGATCACTGCTTGAAGAAAACTTGGAAAGGGAAAGTGTGGCTTGATTTCCCTCCCTGGCCGGCCATCTGGGGTGGGTAAGAGGCTGTGTGAGCAGGCGTGGAACCTGCCTGCTCCCCTAACCAGTTCTTGCTAAAGAGTGTCAGGAGGGACCACGCCCACTGGGGCTTGCTGCCCGCGCATTCTGAGCTGCAATGTGGTTTTGACTGGAAGAGTCTGGCAGGGTCCTAGCTGTCATAAATTCCCAGTCTTAGGAGGGTGCCAGGGTCATCTTATTGATCCACTGCCTTGGCGAGGGTGGGTGCCATCTAGACAGATTTGTAGTGCTTGCCACCATCCTAAAGCTCTCCCCGCATAGGATGAGCTCACCCTTCTGAGCCCTCAAAGCCCCTACGTCTCTCCCTCTAAGCTCAGCCCCTTCAGGTGTCCAGTTCTTCTGTCCTTCCTGTAATCTTTAGAGCCCAAGGCAGAAGAGAGGAGTAGTAGTAGGGCCGTCGCTGCCTTTGGCAGAAGAGAAAGGAGCGATCTAACTTATTTAATCTCAGGTCTTGGTGAAGGGAAGGAGGGACAGAAGGTGAAATATCTCTTTGGGAAGAATCTTTCCTTGTATTTTTGTTTTCCTGCCTCAGCCCCTAGGCTGTGGGTGTGGGTAGGGGTCCTCCCAGAGTGTCAGTAGAATATTCAAATTAGGGGTGGTCAATTGCTCTTGAAATTTACTTTCATTTTTAGCAGAATGTCAGCCTTTGAGCTGGTGTTAATGCCCACAATCCGGTTATGCAGAACACGCTCTCTGCAAATCGGTAAATCATTAGTGGGGATTAATCAACTCTGAAAGGCTGGGGCTAGGCTTTAGTTTCTTTCTTTCTTTCTTTCTTTTTTTTAAAACATACTTTTTATCCGGATGGCTGCAAAATTCACCATCACAGGATAGGGTGGGAGCAGGGGATGATAATTTAAGTCCTTGTCACCATCATTAGAAAAGTGAGATACCTTTCTGGGCCTTGGGTTGACTTTGTAGTCCAATTGAAGGGTGGGAGTAGGCAGTTTGGGTGGGGTGGGAGGAAGGGAGGGCAGTTCCCTTGTGATTATATGTGTTATGATGTTTATAATAGTGTGTAGGTGGCTTGGTGTGCTTGTATATATGGTGACTTTATGTTAGCATGCTTGCATGAATTCATACGTTTCTACTTTAGAGATGCCCATTTATGTGCTTGTGTTAGGGTGCTTTTGCTTGGTTTGTATTAGTGTCAGACACTTGGTTTGTAATTGTGTCAGACAGTACTTCCGTTTGAGAGTGTTTTGGGATACTGTTTTATTGTGTGTGTGAGTACTTCCCCTCTGGTGGGAGACCACATCTCACCCTCCTCAGCCTCAGGGTAGCTCCCTAGGGGAGGAAGGTAGAACAGGAGGGCAGTCCCAACCAGCACCTGCTGGGGGGGTGTGGCTCAAGGTTGATTTGCATATTCATGAGCTAGCTGCCTGGTGGCTTGGGGAGCTCTCCTCTTGAAGAGACTCAGTCTGAGCCCAAGTGGGAGACCTCTTAGGGCAGATAGGGAGGTCAGGCTCTCACTGTTAACACCTCTTACTCCCCAGTCTCAGGTATAGTGGCTGCCTCCACCCCATGGCTCAGGAACCTCCAAAACCCGCAGTTCCTGAAACCTGACCTCTGCATAGCCACAGTACACATAATTCTAGCTTCCAATAGGGATAAGAGTGATGTGGCCGCTCCTATCAGGAAGCTGTCAGTTCCTGGACGCTCCTGTGGGGGATCTTGGGGAAGGAAGCTTATTCTTCCAGCCAGGATCAAGCTGATAAATGGGACCATCTCCCCATTCTCTGTTCACACTGGATCAGCCTCCTTATTCCTCTCCTTCTCCCTAGCTTAATGCAGCCCAGCTTTGGAGTAGTAATTACCTTCACATGACCCAGTAATCATATTCCCTGGGTGTTGAGCAGAGCATGTGTGTACGGGGATGAGGTCACAGGACTTTCCCTTCCCCTCTAGTCACAGAGTGTGAGGTTTGAGGTGGGATTTAATGGGCCTGGTCCTTACATCAACCCACATTTTCCTCTAACCACCCCCACCTCCCTCTCCCAATATAGGGTCAGCTTGGCTAGCCTGGGCATCACCGTTTGCTACTCCCCAGATGGCACAGGTGCCCTGTACTCCTGTACATGTGCCTCGTTCATCATCCCACTGTATGTCTCCCCACGCCTCCAATGTAGTAGTCTAGCTTGTAGTCAGGGGGAAGAATGGAATGATACAACTACTTGGCTTTTGCAAGGTGGGAAGGTCTGGGGAGAGTTGTCTGGGCTCATTGCTGACCTTTCTCAGCTTTCTTGGGGGGTAGCAGGTGGAGGGTGGAAGTGGTGAAGGAGGATTTAGGAATTATATTTTCCCAGGGACCTCTCAGCATCTTTATATATCTCTCGTGGCAGACATCTGTCTGAGCTTAGGGTAGCATCTGCCTAGGCTAGGGACAACATCTGTTTGAGGCTGGGACACCTGGCTGAGCCCAGCACATTATCTGGCCCTGGGACAGCTTCTGTCTGAGCTCAGGACATGTGTTTGAACCTGGCACAACATCTGTCTGGGCCTGGTACATCATCTTCCTGGCCTGGGGGCAATGTCTGTTTGAGCCCTGGATGTGTGTTTAACTTGGGGACGTCTGCTGGGCCTGGAACAATACCTGTCTGAGCCTGGGGATGGACTTGTCATTGCAGATAAAATCACCCCTGAGCCTCAACTTTGGTTTGTGGCTGAACACAGAGTGTGTGCAGGGCTCATGTCCCTGTTCTCCTTTCTACCGAGGAACGGGATCTTAGGTGGAATGCCTCAGTTTACCTTCAATTGTAGGTCCATTGGCCTGGTTGCTCTGGGTACCTCGAGCACTGGACAAAGCCTACAACCCCAGTGGCTCTGGGAAACCAAAGTCAAAAGAACGCATGAGGGGATCGATAGGTTATAAAATCCAGTGACCGGTCTAGGATGATTCTCCCTTTCTCCAATCCCTCATCTAGGTACTTGAGTCAGGTCACAGTGTTCCCACTAAGACACAATTTGGACATGTCACTTTGCACTTGGCTCCTGAGAACCCTTCTATTTATTTATTTATTTATTTATTTATTTATTTATTTATTTATTTTTTGAGACAGAGTCTCACGCTGTTGCCCAGGCTGGAGTGCAGTGGTGCAATCTTGGCTCACTGCAACCTCCGCCTCCCGGGTTCAAGCTATTCTCCTGCCTCAGCCTCCCGGGTAGCTGGGACTACAGGCACCCACCACCACACCTGGCTAATTTTCCTGAGAACACTTCTATTGCTCCCTGTTATGTACATCATCAGGCCCAAAGTCCCTGGTAATCCTGTCTCTGCTGACCCTCTGAATCCAGCAACACTGAGCTCTGTTCCTGCAAACACACGGGGCCCTCCGAGACCCCTTATCTCCACACACATGGTTCCCTCTCCTGGGAATGTCCACCATCTCTGCTTTACATTCTTCAAATCCCAGCACAAGGGTCACCAGCCCTGGGAAGTTTTCCCCTCTAGACTAAGCCACAGCCTCTGTCCTGCTTCCACAGTCCATTTGTGCATTAGCATTTACAGGCCTATATTGTCATTAATTCTTTGTGTGTCTGTCTCTCCCATAGGACTGTGAGCTCTGGGGCTCCGGGACTGGATCTGCTTCACCTCTATCCCCCAGCACCCAGCTCAATTCCCGGTCTATAGTACTCACCAATAAAGAATGCCTGTTGAATGACCATAGGTTGTGCCCCTGTGATCTCATTTCCTTCTTTTTTAAAAATGAGGGCTTAGAGGGATACTGTAGACACTGGTTTGCAGTCTCAGAAGAAGTGGGCTTCAGAGAAGAGGGCATGTCTTTTTCATACCTGGTTGGTTGACTGTAGCCAAAAGCGCTGGGTAATGGACCCAGAGTGCCCTGGACAAGAGCCTGGTGGAGGCTTGTCCTGCCCAAGGTTCTTTATCGGTGAAGTGAAGTGAAGGTCAGGGGGCAGCAATGAATCCAGACATAATAGCCTCTCTGTGGGCTGCAGGGATGGGACTAAGTCTAATAAGGAGGACTGTGTCGGGCAAATGTCAGGACCTTGACCTGGGACCAAACCCAACTCCTTGGGGGCAGGTGGGAGAATAGAGGCCTGGCTCAGCACGAATGGAGAAGTTACAGGGTTCCTAGGTATGCTCGTCTTGCCAGAGAGAGAAAGTCACAAAAAGTTTTATCAATATCAACGTTGTATCCAGAGCAAGGTGCTCTCACTGGTCAGGACACCCTGGCACCTGGCCAGCTTCAGAGGGACATGGATCCCTAGGAATGTGTATGGGGAGAAAGGCCAGAATAGGGGGGCATGTGGAACCATGAAGAGGTAGCTGAGAAGTGAATGTTCCGAGGACATGGTCTCTGCTTTTGTGTCTTTTATTCCACCAAATAGGAATATCTTTATGTTTTTGCTGATGATAAAAACAATACAAGCTCATTTGTAAACACTAGAAAAGTAGTATACAAAATAGAAAATGGAAGTCCTCCATCAGCCTCTCTGCCTCATTCCTCATAACTACTCCTGGTGGCTATATCTTTCCAGACCTTTTTTTTGTGTGGACACACAGTACTTAATAATAGTAGCTTAGGTTTATTGAGGGTTTATGATGTGCAGGTACTGTGCTAAATGCTTCTACCTGAATTTACGCATTGCATCCTCACAAAAACATTATGGGTTAGCTGCAACTATTATTCCCATTTTACAAATGAAGAAACTGAGGCTCAGAGAGTTGAACTCAAACTTGCCAGGGTTATCCAGGTAGTAATCTATATCGTTATCTGTGGATCTATTATGTACAGATATATAGATAGATAGAGATATGAATTCTTTTGGCAGAAGATGGGACCACAGTGCATATAGTGTTTTATAGTGTTTTGTAACTTGTTCTTTTTTGTTGTTGTTGTCGAGACGGAGTGTTGCTCTGCTGCCCAGGGTGGAGTGCAGTGGCGCAATCTTGGCTCACTTCAACCTCCACCTCCTGGATTCAAGCAATTCTCCTGCCTCAGCCTCCCGAGTAGCTGGGATTACAGGTGCCTGCCACCACACCGGCTAATTTTTGTGTTTTTAGTAGAGATAGGATTTTACCACGTTGGCCAGGCTAGTCTCGAACATGTGACCTCAGGTGATCCGCCTGCTTTGGCCTCCCAAAGTGCTGGGATTACAGGCGTGAGACACCGCACCCGGCCTGTAACTTGTTTTTTTAAATTAACAATGTTTTTGGATGTGTGTCTATTTTTTAATACATCTTATCCACTTTACCCTTTTGAAATGGCTGTACAGTATTCATTGTGTTGATGCACTGTAATTTCTTTAAAATCTACTGATGGACATTGAGATTGCAGCTTCTGCCTCTTGTCTGCAGGGCTGTCCTGGGTCCCAGGGAGTAGATAAACTCTTTGTGACCTGAAGGAGCAGAGTTCAGATCAAGCCATGGACATTTTAGGGAGCCAGTGTTCGGGTTCCCCATTCTAAGGACCACCTTGTCAGAGACTAAGCTCCCTGACTCTGGAGGAATTGAGTAAAGGCAGAGTAGCTGCTCTCAGAAATGCCGCAGGAGGATTTTTGTATCAGGCTATGCTTTGGGGGGAGCGTGGGTGGGGCCTGAGGTATAGGGAAAGGAGCGCTGGTTTTACAGCTTGGAGACCTGCTCAAGTCCCTGTTCTGGCTCCTGGCAAACCTCCCAGTGCTTCAGTTTTCCCCATCTGTAAAATGAAAATAGAGTACCACAGTAGTTCAGATCATGGGCTTGGAGCCAGGCAGACCTGATTCTGAGTGTAGGTGCTGCCTCTTACCAGCTGTGTGACCAGGGGCAATTTGCTTAAACTGTCTTAGCTATACTTAACTTTAACCCAGGAATACAATACAAATAGTTGTGTGTGTGTGTGTTTTGAGACAGGGTCTCGCTCTGTTGCCCAGGCTGGAGTGCAGTGACGTGATCACAGTTGACTGCAGCCTTGACCTCCTGGGCTCAAGCGATCCTCCCACCTGAGCCTCCTGAGTAGCTGGGGACTACAGGTGCATGCTACCACACCCAGCTATTTTAAAAAAAGATGTTTTGTAGAGATAGGGCCTCATTATGTTACCCAGGCTGGTCTTGAACTCCTAGGCTCAAGCGATTTTCCCACCCGGGCCTCCCAAAGTGTTGGGAATATAGGCATGGGCCACCACACCAGCCTACAAATAGTTTGTCCTTACATTTCAACTAATTTTTTTTTTTTTTGAGACGGAGTCTCGCTCTGTTGCGCAGGCTGGAGTGCAGTGGTGTGATCTCGGCTCACTGCAACCTCCGCCTCCTGGGTTCAAGCAATTCTCCTACCTCAGCCTCCCAAGTAGCTGGGATTACAGGCGCCCACCACAAGGTCCAGCTAATTTTTTTATTTTTATTTTTAGTAGAGATGGGATTTCACCATGTTGGCCAGTCTGGTCTGGAATTCCTGACCTCAGGTGATCCGCCCGCCTTGGCCTCCCAAAGTGCTGGGATTACAGGCATGAGCCATCGTGCCTGGCCTCAGCTAATATTTTTTATCACCTGTTTTCGCCCAAGCATTGAGGATATAGCCATGAAAAAGATAGACAAAGCCACTGTCCTCAGAGAATGTACATTCTAGAAGAGGAGGGAAGAGAATCAGACAGGAAACAAATAAACAGTTTCACAGAAGATGACTACAGATTATACTAAGAGTTTTGAAGAGACTGCATCGGATGCTATGATAGAGTTGCTGGAGGGGCCCAGATGCAGTTGGTTGAGAAAACCCTCCCTGAGGATGTGACATGGGAGCTGAGGCCTGGGGATGAGAAGGGCCAGTCACACTGAGAGCCATGGAAAGAGCGTCCTGGCAGGGAAGACTGTGAGGTGCCAAGGTGTCCTTGTGTGTCCAAGGAACAAAAGGCAGCTGATGTTGCTGGAGCAGAGTGGCAGAGGAGAGAGCAGCTGGAGCTGAGATCCAAGAGGGAGGTGATGCAGACCTAGCAGGCCCTTGTAGAACGTGGTCAGGAGTCTGATATCCTGCTAAGGGTGAATTTCTACCTCTTAGGGTTCTCATGAGGGTTCAATGAGATATGCATGTTTGGGTTTCCCCAGAAGCAGATCCCAAGATAAGGATTTGAACACATGCAGGAAAGTGATTCCAGGAAATGCTGGTAGGGAGTGGGCCTGTGAGACTGGGAGGGGAGGAAGCCCACAGAGAGAGCCTCTTGGAGCAAGTTGCAAGTTACACTATGGGTAACTGGACCACTGAGGATCACTGGGCGCCTGTGTTGAACACACTTCTGAGAGTTACCCCACTTGCTAGATGAGGAAGCCAGGTCATTTATCTACTGTCATGTCAGTCATTCTGGGGGTTGGGGTGAAGGTTAATTCTCTAGCACTCTGAGCCTGCCTTGGGAGGGCAGAGCAGGCTCCTGGAGACCAGAAGAAGCCCTCAGGCAAGGATGCAGCTGCAGGCAATTTGAAGTCAGGCTAGAGTACACTGAAATGGTAGGGCCTGGAGGAATGGGGGTGGAGCGCCAGCACTGTCTGCTACTCATGGAGAGCTTGTGGCATAGGAAGCACCCTATCGATGATAGTAATTATTGCTGATAATATTAATGGTAGTTTTACTAATGATTATTGTCATTGTGAGGGTTAAATTGGAGGATATTAATCATAGCTCACATATATTGGGTTCTTATAGGTGCCAGCAGTAAGCACTTCTAAGCACTTTACATGCTATCTCATTTCATACCTGTAGTAGCTAGTATGTAGGAGAATGCATGATGTGTGGCAGGCAGTCAGTAAATCGCTGTTTCTTCAAACTTGGAAGTTCTAGAACTTCAGGTGATGAATTTGGGACTGTTCAATGGACCCCTAGATGCTGAGGGTTCTTGTCCCAAACCTCCTGAGCTACAGGCAGCCTCCCTGGTGCCTTGAGATGCTGACTCAGCAGAGAAAGATGTAAATTCCTACCTTGGTTTGCATACAATTTACACATATTTATTTATGAGTGTCTTTGATTAATGTCAAAGTGCCTGTGTGATTTTTCTGCCAGGCTTCTGGGCCCTGCAAGGGCATGGCTGGCATCAATGTGGCTGCAGGCTCCGTGTGAGCATGTGGGGGTTCTCGGGTGGCCTGAAAGTGACAGCCATGGGTAGTGGCTGGCAGCCATAGGTAGTGGCTGGCAGCCATAGAGGGCGTGGTGAGCAGCCTGGAGCCTGTTATTCTAGCGTGATTTGGGCAGCTGGTGTGAGTCGGGGATGTCTGTTAGCATGTGGCAGGGTCCAGCCAAGGGACTGGGGGCAGGTCAGGGCTCCAGGCACTGGGGTGAGTGACTGTGGGCCCACAGTTGGCCATGGTCTTGGAGGAGCCTGGGTGGCGGCCACATTTTCTGGGTGGGAACTCAGACCCAGGGAGCCAGGACAAGCTCAGGTTCTAGGACTCATGGTGGTGGGAAAGGCTTCCAAACAAGGCAGAGCTCAGAGGCTGTCTCTGCAGAGTGCCTGCCCCCCGGGGCTGCCCAGGGCAGGAATCCTCTGCTTAGAAGCTCTGAGAAAGGGAGTGCTCTCTGCAATCAAGGCCTGGGACAGGAATTGAGAAAATCTGCCAATCAGCAAGAATTTTCTGTGTGCTGGCAGTGCCCAGCCCTGTGTCTGGAACTGTGGAGAAGATCAGTCCTAGCCTGTAAACTTTGGCAGGAGAACTGGTGAGATAAGGAGGGAAGGGCAGACCCCGACCTTGGTGGAGGCTCTGTGCTTGGCACCATGCGGTACTTACACCCATTATCTCCTTTAATCCTCACAAGAGCCCAGACAGGCAGTTAATGTCATGTCTCCTCATTACAGGGGAGAAGCAGGGATCAGAGAGCTGTAGTAACTTGCCCAAGGTCACACAGCAAGTAAGTGGAGGAGTCTAGATTTGAACCCAGCTCTGTTTCATTCCAGAGCCCAAGCACTTGACCAGTTTATTCTGCCTCAGCTAGGTGTAAAATAAGGATAAAACCAAGATCATTTAGTTTTTGTGAGTTAAATGGGCTCAAGTGTGTGGACAGCTTAGCATGGTGGCTGGCACACAGTAAGTGCTCAGTAAAAGTGTTTTTTTCTTAAGTGGTACAGCAAGGATTCTTAAATCCTGGTTCATTGCACCCTCGTGTTTGCATGGTACTGTGGTTTTTGCCAAGGCCAATTGGGAGGGCAGACGGTTGGGAACAGAGCATGACCTCTGCTGTGAGTTGAGTGAGCCCTTGTCATGCAGGGACACTGACAGCCATCAGCAGATGGGTGGGACCACCTGCCAGGCCAGATCCTCTGTTGGCTCAAGGCCCAGCCCTGGATAGGGTAGGGACACTGAGGCTGTCTAGTCAGGATGGCCTGGATATACGTGTGTGTGTGTATGTGTGTGTGTGTGTGTGTTTATGGACTTGGTGAGGGTCCTGGACTAGAGAAGGAGAGACAACTTTGGGAAGTGGGGAGCTCTCCCAGCAGGCAATGGTCAGAGCCCTTTCTTATTTCCAGCTGCAGAGATCTAAATCAGGTGAGAGCCTGAACCATGTGAAAATGTGTGGGAAATCACTCCTGGCAGAGGGAACAGCAAGTGCAAAGGCCCTGCGGTGGGAATGAACTTAATGTGTACATCCACTTTCCACAGTAGCTGTAGAGACAATATTGACTCCAATTCTCCAGTATTTGATGTAGAGGAGCTAAGTGGGGGCAGGATTCATTTATTCCTTCAACAAACATTTAGTGCCTGCTTTGTGCCAGGCACTATCCTAGATGCCAGTGGCTAACACTTATTTGGTGCTCACTGCTTCTAAGCACTTTATGTATATTATCTCATTTAGTCTTCACAGCACCACATTGAGTTGGGGAAGTCTGGGGAGACAGCTGGTCCTCCTCTGTTTCCTCTACCTTCTTCCCATCTCCCAGCCACCTCAGGTACCCAGTATGTGCCACCCAGGAAGACCAGGATCTCCACAGTGGGTGAGGTGGGGCAGTTCTGAGAACATGACTGCTGCAGGGTCTTTCCCGTCCTGACTGGGCCCTGCCTAAGCGCAGGCTGTTAGCCTCCTGGGAGCCACCCAGTGACAGGCTAGAAAGGGTGCTCTCCAGTCAGGCCTGCCTCAGAACATCCCCTCCCAGGGGGCTTCCAGTTGTACCTTCTCTGTTCCTTCTCTACCACTCAGCTCCTGGCCTCCCTCCAACCCATTTGTGTAGCTTAAGCCCTGTTTTTGGACTCTGCCTAGGGAGCCACGTTCCAGTTCAGGGCTGAGACTGCTGGCAGGGAGAAAAGAAAAACTTCCATTTTCTGATGGGGCAGTCCCCGAACACTCCCTGTGGTTTCACTAACTCTGCTGGAGGCAGCAGGGCGGTTCACACTGTGCCCGGCTGACTCTGTCCTTTCCTTACGATGATCAGCTCACAGGGCCTCAGCCAGGGCAGACTTTTCAGTTCCTAACTGCCCACCTGTGCCTGTGCACCCAGCTTGTGCCCATGACCTGGGCTCCTCACCCTCTTCCGGAGGAAAAGGGGCAGAAAAGATTAAATAGAAAATTGCTCAAAATTCAGAGGCCGTGGAACAGATCTGACAGTTCCAATAGACTTTGGTGAATAAATAAACCTGGAAAAAGGGGGTTTTCTGGGTGGGGTGAAGGAAAAGGAAGGTCTTGTATGATGGGCTACGCTAACCTGGAAACCATGGCTCCATCTGTCATTCCATTCATCCGTCTATCCATCTATCCAACCATCCATAATCCATCCTGCCTGCCTGCCTGCCTGCCTGCCTGCCTTCCTTCCTTCCTTCCTTCCTTCCTTCCTTCCTTCCTTCCTTCCTTCCTTCTCTCCATCCATCCATCCATCCACCCACCCACCCACCCACTGACTGCTTGCCTGATGCAGCCACCAGCTCAGTTATGCTTGTGGAGTAAGTGTGCTGGGAGCTCGTCAGTGTTTATGCTTTTATGACCCCTCTGTTTGTGCATTTCCTCTCCTCACCAGGTTTGTAGAGAGCTCCTTGTGAAGTGAAGTCCCTCCATCTCTGTAGAGCCAAGAGGAGGGGCTCTGTGTTGGCTGTGGGGTTGGCAGCAGCTGCCTGGCTTGGGCACCCTGGTTAGTGGGGAATCTTGCATGCTGCTGCCACTCCTGCTGCACCAGGCCTATGACCTTCAGTCCCAGCTGTGGAGTGTGCCAATGTGGTCGCCAGGTGAGCAGGGCCAGGGCTTTGCACTGCTCCAGGGGCAGGGCCTTGTTGCCTGGCAGCCTGCCCATGATGCTGAGGGGCTGCTGGCCTCCAGCCAGCACCAAGCTTTTAGAGTGATACAGTTGTATTGCTGCAGAACCTCTCCACACTACTATAGTAAACAAACAGTCTGGGGCCAGGCATGGTGGTTCATGCCTATAATCCCAGCACTTTGTGAGGCTGAGGCAGGTGGATCACCTGAGGTCAGGAGTTCGAGACCAGCCTGACCAACATGGTGAAACCCCATTGCTACTAAAAATACAAAAAATTAGCTGGGCGTGGTGGCACATGCCTGTAATCCCAGCTAATTGAGAGGCTGAGGCAGGAGAATCACTTGAACAGAGGTTACACTGAGTGGAGATTGCACCATTGCACTCCAGCCTGGGCAACAAGAACGAAACAAAAAAAAAAAAAAAAAAAAAAAGTCTGGGACTCTGGGCCTGCCTGGGAACCAGGAAGGATTGGGGTAGTTGCCATCTCTGTTCTTGGAGGGGTGGGTGGGTGGGCGAGCTTTGAACCCAGCAGCTGCTGTGGGCCTGAGAGTTGAGGCCAGTCCTCCCGACCCCAGCCAGACCTGGCTTGGACAGCAGATGTGGGGCAGCACACAGACTAGGCGGTGAGCTGTGTTGGCTGGAAGTGAAACTGCAGAGGGCCCAAAGGCAAAAGACCCAAATCAGACGGAGATAGAGATGCAGATAGAGCAGAGGGATATGGAGATTGAGGGGGTGAGGGGGGAGTGGGGGAGAGAGAGAGAGAGTCTCAGAAAGGCAAGACAGAGTCAGTGAGAGAGGGAAGATTCAAAGGACTGAGAAGAGAAGGATCAGGGGAGGGGAGTCCAGGGCAAGGGAAGAAAGCCGGTGTGGTGGGCTCAGGGAAGCAGGTCTTTCAAAGGCAGGGGATGCAGAGAGTAATGATAGCTTAATAAAAGCCCCCTCCTGTGTGGACAGCACCCTACAGCGAACAAACTTTCCCACTTGCCAAAACTCATTCAGGCCTCCTGATAGCCGGGCTGAGATGGGGTTGGAGATCTCCACGCTGCAGGATGGGGCGGGGAGCTGGAATTGGAACTGGGACTGGCTGGAGTGGGTAACACAGGGTGGGGGTGGTGAGTGGCTTAGAGACAGAGCCCCCAGCTGGGCCCAAGTCCCTGCAGTGACTGAGACTTCCCCAGCTGTGTTCCCGGGCCAGGCTTGTGCTCGCCATTCCTGCCACCATGACAGTGCTGCTTTGTTTCCTGGGAGGAGGTGCGTCGCTCTCAAGTCCCGGCTGCTGACTGTAGTGGATGCTGTGGTGCATGCTCAGATTCCCCTTCAGGTCTGAGGCGCTCGCTCCCCAGCTTCTGGGTGTGTGGGCTGTGGATGACTCACAGCTGAATCCGTCTCAGGGAATTGCCTTTGATGGAAGTGGGGGGAGAACCTTGCCCAGCGTTATTCCTCCTCCCTGGGGGCAGCCTGTATCCAATGGCCTATTGATTGTAGGAGTGGGGGAGTTGTACAAAGGCCAAGTCCCCTTGCATCAACTTGTGACACTACTGAAGGGCCATCCCAGTTCCAGAGGTCCTTGGGAGATTGGCTGAGGCCTTTGGTATGACTGCATGGCAGATCAATTTCTCCATTTGCCCAACCCTGCTTCCCTCGCTTCCTGTTGTTCTTGGGATTACTCCCCAGTAAACTCCCCCAGAAACGGTGAGGCTGTGAGATTAGACACCCAAGAAGGCCAAACTCTGGCCCCTAACAACAGAACTGGTGGAGAGATGTGAACTTGGAGCAGTTGTCACCTCTGAGACAACTCAGAGGTGGTACAGCTTGAGTGAGCAGAGCCTCCCTGGCCACAGATGCCATGTCCCATCCCCTAGCCATGGACCCCAAGGATAGGGGAGAGAAGAGGCTTACCCTGTGGGGCTGAGGATTGATCCTTGAGCCCAGCTTTGGAATTGGGACACCAGAGCCTGGGTGTTTCTCAGCCCAGAAGCCTTGCGTGACCTTGGGCATGCCCGCTCTGCCTTGCCAATGCCAATCTCACAGTCTCAGAGTATTTCCAGGGATTCTGACCTATGACACTAATGCTAACCATTGGACACCAGCCTGGACTCAGCTCAGCTCCCCTCCCTCACATCCTTGTTTTCTTTCTAATTCTTATTGACATCAGACAGGTATCTGTGTATCAGGGAGAAGTCGTAGTAGGAGGGAATGTTCATCCAGCCCTCCCCACCCTGGGCAAAACCCCTCTGTGCATTCCCAGAAGAAAATTCATAGAGAACTCGTCCCCTAGCGGGTAAGCTCAGAAGGGGCAGGGCCCTGTGCTGCCTGGCACATGAAAGGTGCTTGATGGTTTTGAGTGATGATGACTCTGGCACCTTTGTGCTCCACCAGAGAGGCAGGAGGTGTGGTGGTTAGGGTGCTGGAGCCAGACTGCCTGGTTCACATGCCAGCTCTGCCTGTCAGAAGCTGGGTGACCTTGGGTAATAAGGACAAAATGGGTTAATCTATATCAAAGTACTTAGAACACAAAATGGCCTGTGTTAGCTATTATCATTATTATTATTTTTTTAGTTGTAAGATAACACCTGATCCTCCAGGTTGTTTGGGCTGTAGATCCCATGTCTAAGAGATGCACACACACATAAGGAGTTATTTCCTTAGTGAACAAGGAGTCTCATGTGTTGCCCTGTATCCCTATAACCTCATGCAGTGCAAGCTCCTCACTTGGAAACTCTGCAGACAAGGCAGAGAGGGCTGGGCCAAGGTCATACAATGCTCTGGGCTGAGGAAGACCCAGGCCCTGGTGTCCAGTTCCCAAGCTGGGCTCAAGGCTCAATTCTCAGCCCCATAGCCTCTTCTCTCCCCTCTCCTTGGGGTCCATGGCTAGGAGACGGGACGTGGCATCTGTGGGCAGGGAGGCTCTGCTTGCTTAGGGATGGATTGTCTCAGAGGTGACAACTGCTCCAGGCTCATATCTCCCTCTGTATACCCAGTTCTGTTGTTGGGGGCCAGGGTTTGGCCTTCCTGGGTGTCTAAGGGATCAGATGAGAGGCCACTGAAGTTCGGAGGGTTAATCTCTGGCACTGTGCTTGCTGCACAGAGATTGCAGTGGTCAGGTAACTGTAAATAATAATACCAAACCATAACATTCACCCAGCACTCTCATTCCCTTCCTACCTCATTTACCCCCACGATGATCCCACGAAGTAGGACTTGCCCCTTCCACTGCTGCTAGCAGGGGCGGGACTCTAAGCCCTGCCCCTCTGCACCTGGGAACTGCCTCTTACTTGGTCTTCCTGCTGTCTCACTCCTGCCTCATTCGAGCTGTGCTATTTAGTACAGTCCCCACATGTAGCCAGTGGGTGCATGAAATGTGACTAGGTCAACTTGAGATGTGCTGTAAATACAAAATATGTACTGGTTTTTGAAGATGTGGTATAAAGAAACCAATGTAAAACATCGCTAATAGTTTTTTTATATAGATGACATGTTGAGATGATAATATTTTGGGTGAAACAAAATATATTATTGAAGTTAATTTCACCTGATTCCTTACTGTTTTTCATCTGGCCACTAGAAAATTTTAAATTATGCATGTGGCTTGAAACATATTTCTGTTGGACAGTGCTGCTCTGAAGTCTGTTATTCACACAGCAACCAGGGTTATCCTTTAAGATCTTGGTGATTATGTCCCTTCTCTGATCACAACTCTTTATTATTATTACTTTTCTTTCTTCCTTTTTTTTTTTGAGACAGAGTCTCACTCTGTCACCCAGACTGGAGTGCAGTGGCGCAATCTCAGCTCACTGCAACCTCCACCTCCCAGGTTCAAACAATTCTCGTGTCTCAGCCACCAAAGTAGCTGGGATTACAGGCGCACGCCACCATACCTGGCTAATTTTTTGTATTTTTAGTAGAGACGGGGTTTTACCATGTTGGTCAGCTGGTCTCCAACTCTTGACATCAGGTGATCTGCCCGCCTCAGTCTCCCAAAGTGCCGGAATTACAGGCGTAAGCCACTGCTCCTGGCTACTTTTCTTATTTTTAAGAGATGGAGGTCTCACTGTGTGGCCCAGGCTGTCATGCAGTGGCTATTCACAGGCGGGAGTATAGCACCCTATAGCCCTGAACTCCTGGGCTCAAGTGATCGATCCTCCTGCCTCAGCCGTCTAAGTACCTGGTACCACAGGCGTGCACCGCCATGCCCATCTGCTCACAACCCTTTACGAGCTCCTGTGACACAAGATAAAAGCCAATTACTTACCATGGCCTTCCAGACCCTTTGAAGGTGATTCACCCTCTTGCTTCCTTACAGATCTTCCCTCCTGCCATGTGTGGCTAGCACGTGCTCCTATGTTCTAGCCACACCGTAACTCCTTAAACTTGCTAAGCTTATTTCCACCCCAGGGCCTTTGCTTGCTGTTCCCTTTGCAGGGAGTGATTTGCCATCTCTCCATATGTTCACTCTCTCACTTGATTCTGATTTCTGCTAAGATGTCCCTTCCTCAGGGAGGACTTTTCTGTCCATCATAGCCAAAACAAATGCCTCTGTGCTCTCTAATCCCTCGGGCAGAACATTAGCTCTTATGTAACATTACATACATGGCCTAGGGTTTTTCATCCTGTAGTCATGAAAATCCCGTTGGCACTTGGGAAGCTCTTAGAGATACCTAGCTCAATCCTCTCTTTTTATGGAGGGGGAGATCGAGGTCCAGGGAAGGAAGAAACTTGCCCAAGTTCATAGGTATAGAAATAATAATAGCCAGCTGCCATTTATTGAACATCTGCTCTATGCTAGGGGTTTCACATCCATTCTTTTGTTTATTCCCATTATTTTCTTAGTAGTCTCTGATTTTGCAGTTGAAGAAGCTGAGGCTCAGAGAGGTTAGGTGATTTGTCTGAAGTCACATAGCAGGAGGGCATAGACTGGGATTCAGACCCAGATCTGTTTGACACCAAAGATTGGGTTGTTCCTCTGGCCTCTGTGGGTTCCCACATTCCAGGACCCAGGTCCTGTGTCTCAGGCCAGAAGATTTTCTATATTGGCTGGAGCTTCTGTGGGATGCAGGCAGTGGATGAGAAGGGAAACGACAGCAAATAGAGGAAGCACAAGTCTCTGGCCTCAGTGTTGGGTGCACACAAAGCAAATGGGAGAAGGAGGAGAGGGGCTCCCTTCCCCTGCCCCAAGGCCCAGCCAGGCAGGCCCCCAGCAGCCTGGCTGTCTCCCTCCCTTGCGGGCTGGAGCTGCCTCTCCGCCTCTGCCCGCCTGATCGGGGCAGAGCTCGGCTTCATGTATTATTAATAGCACTGCCAGCCTTCCTGTTTTCACGCTGATAACCTGCAGGGGAGGGCTGGTGGGAGGGAGGGAGCAAGGTGGCAAACCCTGGAGCTTCTAGGGTCCCTCCCCCCTCAGTAGAGCAGCTCTGCGGGGGTTGGCCCCAAGTCTCTAAAGTTGGTTTCTAGAGCCTCCCCCATCCAAGCCCACGGGAAGGGACCAGGGCCTCCTAAAGGGAAATCACATGGGAGGTTGGAACGTGGGGTCTGGGAAGGGCCCTGTTACTCAATCCATCTAGGACACCAATGGCTCAAGTCACCTTGGCCCTCCCCAGAGGCAGAAGTGCCCATGTCTAGGGCACATGGGGCTCAGAGCTGAGGATTCAGGGGTGTGTGTGTGTGTGCATGTATGCACGTGTGAATGTATGTGCGTGTGTGTGTGTGTGTGTGTGTATTTGAGAGAGAAAGAGAGAGAGAGAGAGCATGAGAGAGTGAGTGCTTGGCTCCCAAGGTCCGCTGTGATAAGAGATCTCTGAGGTCCAGCCACACATAGACTTCAGGCCATATCTGAGCTGGCCTCTGCCTGCCCCCGCTCCCACGCCTAATCTTTTTCCTTTCTAGTGCCCAACCTGGAGGCCAAAGGCAGGTTACAGATGGAGCCACCATGTCCGGGACTCTGATGGGTGGGGTGGGTAGGGGCCCGCCCCTTCGATCTGGCCCATAGGCTGGAGGTGGCTGTAGGGGATAGCAGGTGCCAGCTGTGCATCTCTTTCCAACTTCTTGTTCAGTGATGTCACATTGGTTGTTTGAAATTGGTCATGGTGGGAGGATTTACATTACAAAAATCAGCAAATGCTACAAATCAGGGTTCTGCACCCCTAGAGCCAGTTGTTAGACATTTAGTAGCACAGCTCTTGGACCAGTATGGAAGGCTCTGCTGCATCTCATCTAGAACATGCCTATACCTTTTTTTTTTTTTTTTTTTTTTTTTGAGACAAGGTCTGGCTCTGTCACCCAGCGGGGAGAAGTGCAGTGGTGCGATCTTGGCTCACTGCAACCTCTGCCTCCTGGGCTCAATCGATCCTCCCACCTCAGCCTCCTGAGAGGCTAGGACTACAGGTGTGCACCACCACACCCAGCTAATTTTTGTATTTTTTGTAGAGATGGGGTTTCGCCATGTTGCCCAGGCTGGTCTTGAACTCCTGGGCTCAAGTGATCCACCCACCTTGGGCTCCCAAAGCACTGGGATTATAGGCATGAGCCACTGTGCTCTGCCACGCCCATACCTTTTCTATCTTTTACCTCTTCCCAGACTGCTCCTGTGAAGTCTTTCCTCTTCGCTCTTGCCTGTTATTTTTCAATAATGTAATAAGAGGAGTCATGATATTGGCTAACATTTCTTACGTGCTTGTTAATTATTTTCTGGGTCTGTTGGAAGAGCTTTACAAGATTCACTTCATCTTCACTGTCATCTAGTGAGTATTATTTCCAGTTTACAGATGAGGTAACTGAGGCACAGAGAGGTTAAGGAACACTTGAGGTCACACAGCTGGTAAATGGCAGAGCTGGGACCCAGCTGGGACCCCTATCTGGCTCCATGGCTGCTGCTGACAGATACTATGTCATCCCTGCCTCCCTGCAAGGGCTGCATGTGGGTGCCTCCTACAAGTCTCTGTGACTGTCCTGGCACTTGGGCCTCTCTGACTTCCTTTGCTGTCTCCCCGGAGCTATGCACTTGGAATTGTCCTTACTGGGCCCAGGTCTCTCCTGCCCCCCCAGACTGGGAGCTGCTTGAGCTCAGTATCTGGGTGTGATTCTTCTGGTGCCTTCAGTACCTGGCCCAGGAATGAGTGCAGAGAGTACTTGCTGAATGAGCCGCTAGTGGGGGTAACCATGTGGCACAGCACCTGGCACCTGGCACACATGCCTGTGCACAATGCCCAGTAAGGGGCAGCTGTGCTTATCAGAGCCTGGGCTCCATCTTCCAGCACATTTTGATGAGTGCCTTTCATATGCCAGTCCCTGTTCCAGGAGCTGGGGTTTATCGTGGTAAATAAAACCGACAGAAACTTTGTCCTCTTGGACAAAGCTTATGTTCTGGTAGGGGAGACATCTAATAAACAAGATAAAGAATGAAAAGGTAAAGCATTTAGGGATATGTGCTCAGGGGAAAAATAAAGCAGGGAAGAGGCTAGAAAGTGTCCAGGGAGATTTTGATGGGTTGGTCAGGAGCCTGTCGGACTTCACTGAGAAGGTGCCAGTTAAGGAAGTGAGGGAGTGAGCTATACTGTTTACTGGGGGAAGAACATTCTAGGCCGAGTGAAGTTCCTGGGGCAGGAACTTGCTGGACATGTTTGAGCAACATCAAGGGGGTCAGTGTGGTTGGGGTGGGCAGAACAGAGGAGAAAATCGGTCAAGGAGTTATTGGAGTCAAGAGAGGCAAGTGAGGGAAAGAAGGGGCTAGTGGCAGTGGTGGTGTAGGGTGGGCATGGGGAGGGTTATGAGAAGCAACAGCTTTTCCTTCTGCCCTATGAGGAGCAGGAGAGGGACAGCTTCGAGAGGAGGGAGACTGTTTTCTGTAGCCGAAAACAGTCTTGCAGCTCTTGACTGGGTCTTTGGCCTCTTGTAGACCCAGGTGCAATGCAGAATTGCCTCCATTTCCCCTCTAGACTCCTACCAGCTGCTCCCCTGTCCTGGCCACAAGAAAGTCCTGCCCTAAGGGCACTGCTGGTCTGGAATGGCATCTTCCTTGTCCTCAGGTTTCTGCTGCCCTCTCTGCCTGCCCCTCACACCTTAGGGAATACTGACTCCATGGTCAGGCTCCTGAAGTGCTAACTGTGGACTGGCCAGTCTTGGAGCTCCTGTTTTCCAGCCCCTTCCCTCCATGTTCCTGAGGTCCAGCCTCCAGGCACAACCTGCCCCAAGAACAATGCAGGAGAGACCCAGGGCCTGGAGCGGCTGGCCGTGTAGGGACAAGGTGGCAAAAAAGGAAAGAGATTGGGAAGATTGTGGGTTCAGTGGGCACAGGGGGGCTGGGCAGAGGTCTCCTACCCAGCAGGAGTCTAGGACTGTGGATCAGAGGTGGTGCCAGGGCAGGTGATGTCTGGGCTGGGAGCGTGTGGACTGGATTTATTTGTCCAATGCCACACCCCACCCCAGAGCTCTAAGTGCTCAGCATCATAAATAAAACTCACCTAATAAATCTCCCCTGTAAATTTTCTGCGTAGAATTTCATTACTTGTCTTGTTTCCAGTCATTAGGTTTTAGTCCAATTCGGAGTTGTCCCGATGGCTGTGTAAATCATGCCTGCACCCTGGAGAGCGTGAACTGCAGGGAGAAATCACGCCTGGGCCTGCAGGGGTGACAGCTCAAGCCTGAACAGCTGGACCCTGTGGGGAGTCGGCTGCTTGCACTGAGCTCCTCCTATTCTCCTTGCCCTGGATGGGGAAGGAACTATCATTAACTGAGCACCTAACGAGTGCCAGGAACTTTATAAACATCATCCTGAATCCTCACACCAGCCCCACAAACTAGGAATTACTATCACCATCTTAAAGAATGGAACTGAGGCTGGAAGAAGGGAGGTCATTTGCCTGAAGTTACACAGCTCAGCTGGTTTGTATCTGACACAGTCTGGCTTTGAGCTTAGGTTTATCTGGCTCCTACTGCATCTACTGCCTCCTAGTGTCATAGTTAGAAGAGACTGTAGAGAACTTAGCACAGTGCCACCCCTTCCACAAGCATTCCTTGGTTACTAGCTAGAGTCAACCCCTCTGTTGTCTGTTTCCTGTACTGACTTTGAACCACTTAGGAGGCTTTGCTCACACCCAGTGGCCTTCCATGACTCTCTACCTGCTGTGCTTTCTGATACATGGCTCCTTGGGCTTTTGCACACTCATAGCTATGCATCTAGTTCCAGGACTATTGAGTTCTTGTTTTTCTTCTTTTCTAAACCATAAGCTCCGTGAGGGTAGCGGCTACACCTGCTTGATTCGCCCGTGTATTTCCAGGATCTAGTATAGTATACAGCACATAAAGGTGATGGATAAATTTTTTATCGAGTGACTGGATGGAATAATGAATGAATGAATGTAGTCACACCAGGGAGGAGAAGGAGGAGATGTCAATATGGCCACACCTCCTCTGTGCAGGTCAGTTACATTCCCAAAGCCCAGTGGAGGTCTGAGTGGGTAGGGAGGATTCTGGAACCTCATGTCCAGGCCCCAACTCAGTGCCAATCTTAGCTTTCACCTCAACATCAAATTTTAGCCCTTGACCCAACTCAAACTCCAAACTTAGCCTCAACTCCTAATCCATTTCCAACTCTGATCTCAGCCTCAAGTCCAAACTCAACACCTGACCCCACCTCAGCTCCAACCTAATCACAGCCTTCACCTCAGCTATAGCCCCACCCCTATTTCCATTTCAAAATCAGCTTCTATCTCAGCCACAACTTAAATACAGATCCAACTTCCACCTTAGCCCCCATTCCAGACCTCAACCCCAGCATCACTAGTCAAAAGCAGTAGCTCCTCCTCACCTGTGAGCAGGGAGCAGCCATGGTCCTCAGATGTTGACTGTCCCATAAGCCTGTCATCCTTTCCCCCACCTGCCTTACAGCTTGGAGAGGGGAGGAGTCCTGCTGGCCTCTTGTGAGAACTCAGTAATATTTTTCCACACCCGTCTCATGGTTACAGTTCACAAACCACACACATGTCCATCAGCCCACCAGGTAGATCCCCTAACCGCTCAGGGAGAGGTCTGCATTTCTTTATGTTACACTGGCAGAAATGGAGGTTATTAAATGCTTTGGCTGGTTTGTGATAAAGGGGGTGCTCTAAGCCAGCTTTTCTAAGTTTCATGCTGTCCCTAGTCTCCCTGACCTGGGTAGAAGATGAGAGGGGCCCTTGGTTCTGTGTGTGTGGGTGTAACAGCAGGGACCCCTTACCCCCAGCCCTCAGCACCCTTGGGTGGTCTCCACTAAGGGCTATGACAGAAACATTCTGAATGTTTCCCACCCTGAGCTCAGGAGAGCTTGTATCAAGAGAGAGGCGAGTGATACAGGACTAGTGAAGTGTGTGGTGGATTTGAGGAGTGTTTGGTTAGGGGCCTGGCAGCAAACAGAATCTACTCCTAATGGTTTCTATGCAGCGACTGTGATGAATGGGCTACCTACAAAGGCCTGGGTGAAGATTTTAGGAAGCAGCAAGAGAGGTGGGGCTCCAGGGACTAGCAACAGTCAGAAGCCCTTACCACCTCAAGGGCTGATGAGACGAGGGGAGGGAATGGTGTTGTGGAGGAGGGAATGCCTGGTGCAAGCCGTAGTCATGGAGAAACACAGCCACTGCTAAAAATGTTGCCCAGGAAGGAGGGAGTGAGGAGGGAATCCCTGACCTCCCTCTTCCCCTTCCCTCCAACTTCTGCCGGTGCCTCCCACCAGCTGAACCCAACCAGGGGCACCCAGGCCAGGCAGTTCCCTGGGGTCAGTCTCCTGGGGCACAGCTCAGGGCTGAGAAGGGCAGGGTGTGAATCTGGGCCAGGGGATCAAATGGAGAATAAACAGCATGGGGAGAAAGCAAGAGCAAAGGGCAGGTCTTCCAGGAGAGACAGACAGACAAAGAAAAAGCAAGGGAGGTGGAGAGTGTGTGAGAGAGGGAGTGAGAAAGGGCTCAGCCATTTGTCTGGGCAGGTCTGCGGAACTCAAATCCGGCTCATCTGCATCTCCTCAAATAAACTTCTGGGAAGTGAATGCCTGAAGCAGGCAGAGTGCAGAGAAGTCAGCAAATATGTGCGTAGTGAATTCCAAGCCTTCTGTTCCCAGCTCCTGGGAGGGGCCGCAGTGCCTTGGGGTGTCCTGCCGTGTCTCCATCGGGTCCCCTGCCTGGCTGCTCTAACCCTGAGGAATGGCCTCCATTGTGGGCCTGTGGAAACAGGGAGAAGAATCTCTTATCCAGCAGGTCTGAGGGCCACAGGAACATAAGTAACACTGAAGAGTGAGGCTGATCCCTGGGGTTTGCGCGAGCCTGCAAATGCATGATTCAACAGCACTCGCCTGGTGCCTCTGGGAGGCAAGCTGGATGAGGATGTTGTTCCCATTTTATAGATGAGGAAACTGAGGCTCATTGGGAAGGGACTTTCCCAAGGCTATGTTATGAGTTAGTTGCAGAGCTTTGAACTTGGGCCCAGACTGAGCCTGAAACCTGACCTTACACTGAGTCCCAGCCCCAGTCCCTGAACATGGTCTCTGAACATGGCTCAGATTTTGCCCCAAAAGCATCTGGACCAGGAGGTTGGAGCGGCCTGGGATACCCCCTGAATACTTTCATACTAATTCTGCTATGGACAGATGCCTGCAATCCCCTAGAGGCTTGGACATTTTCCAAAGGAAACTTTTACTGAAGAAAGATCATCTTTATTTATGAAATACTTATTCCGTGCTGGGCACCATGCTAAGCACTTTGCATGAATTATCTCATTTAATTCTCTGAACAATTTATAAGTTTGAAACTATCATTATCCTCGTTTTACAAATGAAGAAACTGGGGCTCTGCGAGTAACCTTTCCAGTATCCCACAGCTAGTACATAGTGGAGCTAGGATTCAAACCCAGGTCTCGATGCCTCTGTAGGATTTCATTGTTAAGCTGCACTGCCTAACAGGGACCAGAAATTGTAGTTTTTCTTCTTCTCCTAAAAGCAAACATCCAGGCTGGGCACAGTGGCTCACGCCTGTAATGCCAGCACTTTGGGAGGCAGAGGTGGGCGGATCATGAGGTCAGGAGTTTGAGATCAGCTTGGCCAACATAGTGAAACACTATCTTTACTAAAAATACAAAAATTAGCTGTGCATGGTGGCGCACACCTGTAACCCCAGCTACTGGGGAGGCCGAGGCAGGAGAATCACTTGAACCTGGGAGGTGGAGGTTGCAGTGAGCTGAGATTGCACCTCTGCACTGCAGCTTGGGCGACAGAGCGAGACTTCCCCCCACCCCCCCGAAAAAGCAAACATCTTACATATCCCTAACCAGGAGGGGCCACAGGTGGCCTTGATAGGCACAACTGCCAGGTCTTCCAGCCCTGGCCTGGGCCACACCTGGGCAAGGCCTAGCCAGGCTGTGATAGAGGAGACCAAAGAGTGTGCCCTTCCTCACCATGGCCCAGGGGAAGGAGAGCAGATCCAGAAGATCTGTGGGCCATGGAAGGAATATCCTTGGTCTTGCACAGGACACAGCATCTGTACTTATTCCATACATGGGTACGGTCCACAAGGTATGGGCATGCTCCACGCTTGTGAGCGATGTCTGTCTGCCTGCCAAAAGAAGCTGCTGGATGCATGCAGGGAACTTTTCCCTATCTTCCCAGTGCTGTGCAGTGCTAGGCCTGTGAGAGATCAACCAAAGCCCCAGCTCAGAACTATGGGGAGGAGAGATAGGCAAAGGGCACCTTCTAGGAAGATCTGACTAGGGCTGTGCCCCCAGGGAGAGCCCAGGTTTCTTGCTGCCATCTATTCCCCCAAGCAGACCCCTCCTGGCTCTCCCTGTACATCAATAACTCTCCTCTTGTGTCCCATCCCTAAAGGTTCCCAGGAAGGAAGAGGGGACCCTGGATCCTGACCTTACAATCTGTGGATCATGAGGTGTGCAGATGCTGTGCCTGGGAGCCAGAGACATGGCATCTTCTTTGTGATTCTGGGCAAATCCCTTGGCCTCTCTAGTCTCCTTTCCTCCTATGCAAAGGGAACTGGCTGGCTTCAGTGATCTCTGGGACTCCTTCACACGAATTTTCCCACTGACTCTCCCGCTCTGAGCCCTGAAGCTTCTCTTCAGCCTGTCCCTCCCCTCCCCCCTCCAACTTCTGGGCAGAGGCTCTGGCCATGGTGCTGAAGGTGGCCATGGCCTCTGCAGGGTCTTGGAAGACCGGAGGTGAGCAGGGTACCCACCTCAGGACTTGTGAGGGCAGAGGAAAACTACCCTAATTAAGAATTTACTATGTACTAAGCCCGGTGCTGTTCACTTTACATGCGTTACGTTGACTGATTACAGTGTCTCTTGGAGGAAGAGATTATCATGGGAAACTGTTTCAGGAACTGTGGGTTCTACACCTTCCAGGAAGCAGAAGGCTGTTCTGACTTACTTAGGATTTCAAGTAGCCCTGGCTCCCAGAGATGGTCCTGGGACAATTAAGGGCAGCTGAGAAAACAGTGACATGTAGAAATGGTTGATAAAACTGTGAGGGAACGTCTGTTGACACTGATTCTGAGCCTGCGGCCAGAGATGAATGATTGAAGCACCAGGCTTGTTAAAGCGAGAGCACGTTTGATTTCTCTCCCCTGCACTGCATGCGATTTTGCTGGAGGGAAGTTAGCAATCAGCTAATTGACATTGAATTAACCATGAAACTCAGCCCCTGCCTTCTCTCTGAAGCGCTCTCCAGCAAGACTTTATCAAGGCTTTGAATTATTGATTATTACTTATAGCTCTGATGGGGTGATTTCCTTTTATTTGTTTTCACATTGGGTGTCCTTCATAAGTGTCCCTGAGAGTGGGAGGCACCCAGATGCAGAGCTTCTTACCAGAGGAGCAGAGGAGAGAAGTCTAAGTCCAGGGAGGACAGGTCTGGACAGTCCATCCTGACCCAGAGAAATAAATCTGTTATCTGTTAAGCCACGGAGCTTTTTGTTTTGCATTTTTGCTGCTGTTACTGTAGTAAAGCTTAGCCTAATCTGACTAACAGGGACTCCGGAGGCCAGGTCCTTTCTGATGCCCCATCATGCCAAGCTTATAGGGTGTGAATGTGGCTGTGCTCCCTGCCCTGCCATTCAAACTCTATCTGTAAGGATGCTTACTCGATGCCTACTGCAATTCCTTCAGATACAGGGATTCTTCCACAATATCCAAACCAAATGGCGTTCTGGACTCTGCTTGCATATTCCTGGGATGAGAGTACATGCTGTCCTGAGGCAGTAAAAGTGCTCAGCACCCACCGTCCCCTTGGCATCATCCATGTAACTTCTACTGGTTTGGGCTCTGTCCCATGGAGCCCCACAGAGTAATTTCTTTCTTTTTTTTTTTTGGTCCCATGACAGCCTTACAAGAATCTGGAAAAAAAAAAAAAAGAATCTGAAATTAGATATCCAAGGCCTCCTCTCTTCCAGGAAACATCATTTCAACTCTTCACAACACTAAATTTCAAGTCCCATCCCTAACTTGGTCTCTTCTTGTATTGGGAATCCAATATGTCTAGGAGCCTCTGGAAATACAATATCTAGAACTGGATTTAACACTCCAGGTATGGCCTGAGAGTGATAGAGCCTAACAGACCCATCACCTTCTTCAGATTGGGCATTAGACCTTTAATGATGCAGCCTGACTGGGATGAATAGCTTTGTTCTATGGCAGAGACACATACTATTTATTGAATTCATGTGCTCCTCATGTTTCCCAGCTTCCTTGTGGCCAGGTGGGGCCATGTGACTAGTCTGGCCAGTGGCCTGTGAGCTGAAGTGATATGTGACACTCTAGGATGACACATTTGAGAGCCAGTGAGTGATGTTCCAGGCTCCCCTTCCTTGCCCTGGCGACCTGGAAGCCAAGTATTCCAGATGGCATTGCTATAAGACACAAGCAGCCTGGATTTATGAATCACCACTGGGAAGGGAGCCACCCTAAAGAGTTGCTGGACCCACAGTGAACTTTTTTTCTTCCTTTTTTTTTTTTTTTGAGACAGAATTTCACTCTTGTCGCCTAGGCTGGAGTGCAATGGCGCAGTCTTGGCTCACTGCAACCTCCACCTCCCAGGTTAAAGCAATTCTCCTGCCTCAGCCTCCCAAGTAGCTGGGATTACAGGCAGCCACCACCACGCCCTGCTAATTTTTTGTATTTAGTAGAGACGGGGTTTCACCATGTTGGCCAGGCTGGTCTCGAACTCCTGACCTCAGGTGAACCGCCCACCTCGGCCTCCCAAAGTGCTGAGACTACAGGTATGAGCCACTGCACCTGGCCCACAGTGAACTTGGTATGAGCAGAAATAAACTTTTATGTATTAAGTCACTGAACTTTTTGTTGCAGTAGTTGCTGTTACTGTAGCACAGCCTCACCAAACCTAACTGATAGGCCCAGCACACTCCTCACTCACATTGGGAATTGATTCTATTTCATCATCTGTGTAGTGCCCCATGTTAAGCCCTGTCCCTCCCCAGCTAGACTTTGCTGTGATTCTTATTTATTGGCTTTGAGCTCCATAAAGTTAGTGACCATGTCTTACTCTTTGTATCTCTCCCAGGGCCTAGTCTGCTGCACAGAGGATGTTCACATTTGTAGAGGAAGGGAGTAAGAAAAGGAAATTCTGAGTCCATCAAGATAGAAGCAGAAAATATTCCCTAGGATATTTCTCTGGAATGAGGCAATATGGACTCAAATCTCTAGTTCCATCACTGAACAGCTGCATGTCCCTTAGCCAGTTACTTATTCTCTCTGCGTTTCTGTCAAATAGTGGTAACAGTCCCAGTTTCTCAGAAGTTGAGGATGTAATCATATATTTTATAAAGACTGGCTGGCACATTGTGTTGTAAAAAAATGTCAGATGTTGTCATCACCATCACCATCGTAGTTATCACTGTCATCATCAGCGGGAACAGGGGATATTGTTGCCCATTACATCTAGGAGGGAAGCAGAGAAGAGAGTCATCCAGGAAGGGTCTCAGCCCCAAGGCAGTCCCAGACGGAGGACTTGGCAGATGCAAGATCACGTAGATGCTCTCTGGCTCACGGTCAGATATCCTGGGCCCAGCCCTGCAGCACTGTCCTCCAGAGGATGCACACCTACCCAGGCCTCCTTACCCTTCCTCACTGGACTTTCTCTCAACACATGTGTTTGGCTTGAGATGCAGCTTGTCACATGTGTCTGGCTGATTCCACTAGGACAACTCTGCTTGCTTCTGGCAGAAACCTGGACAAGGCAATGGAATATATGGGAGTCATGTCTCTCTGCTAACAGGCATTCTGTGTGTAGAGGAGGGAGGATGGCCTCTTCGAGGTGGACTGCACACATGGGCAGATGTCATCTGAAGATTTTGAAAAATTTTTGTTTGTGTACCCTACACAGTCCACCACAGACACATGTCACTGTGCAAGTGCACACCATTTTGGATGCCCAATGTCATTGTGGAAGAGAGGGAGCCTACATTTTTTGAGCACCTATTATGAGCAAGCTGTAACTGATACCAAAATTAATCCTCACAATTCCATGAGGTAGAGTTTATTATTCCCATTTGAGAGGTGAAAAAACTGAGGCCTAGACAGTGTTTGAACTGGGGACTTGAATCCAGGTTTGCCTGACTTCAGAGCCTGCCCCCTTTTATTTATTTATTTATTTTTTGGTTTGTTTTTTTGGGACAGAGTCTCACACTCTTGCCCAGGCTGGAGTGCAGTGGCGTCATCTCGGCTCACTGCAGGCTCCGCCTCCCAGGTTCAAGTGATTCTCCTGCCTCAGCCTCCCGAGTAGCTGGGATTACAGGTGCGTGCCACCATGCCCAGCTAATTTTTGTATTTTTTTTTTTTTGAGATGGAGTCTCGCTCGCTCTGTTGCCCAGGCTGGAGTGCAATAGCACGATCTTGGCTCACTGCAAGCTCCACTTCCCGGGTTCATGCCATTTTCCTGCCTCATCCTCCTGAGTAGCTGGGACTACAGGCGCCCGCCACCACGCCGGGCTAATTTTTTGTATTTTTAGTAGAGATGGGGTTTCACCGTGTTAGCCAGGATGGTCTTGATCTCCTGACCTCATGATCTGCCTGCCTCGGCCTCCCAAAGTACTGGGATTACAGGGGTGAGCCACTGGTGTCCAGCCCCTGCCCCCTTTTAATTTATTTGTTTATTATTTCTTTTTCAGGACAGTGGATACTTTTTTTTTTTTTTTTTAAGATGGAGTCTCATTTTGTTGCCCAGGCTGGAATGCAATGGTGCAATCTCAGCTCACTGCAACCTCTGCCCACCGGGTTCAAGCGATTCTCCTGCCTCAGCCTTCTGAGTAGCTGGGCCTACAGGCACCTGCCACAATGCCTGGCTAATGTTTATATTTTTAGTGGAGACGGGGTTTCACCATATTGGCCAGGCTGGTCTTGAACTCCTGATCTCAGGTGATTGATCCACCTGCCTTGGCCTCCCAAAGTGCTGGGATTACAGGCATGAGCCGCCGCACCCAGCTAGGTTTTATGTATTTTGGAGGACCCTCATCCAGAGTCTCTTCAGATTTGTCTCTTTGGGTTTCTCTTCATTAAGCGTCACACTTCTCACTTGTTCAAATACTTTTACTTTCGGTACCTTTGAAAGGCTTACTTTCAAAACAATGGTTATAGGCTGTAACCAAATGATCCTAATTAGCTGCCTTGGCCACATTTTTAATGTTTTCTAATAATTCCTGTTTCTGCAAGAAACGAATCTGGAGCCATGGTCCTGCAGAAACTTGATAATGTCTTTCTTGGGCGGTAGCTCACTGTGCAGCTGCTCCACGGCCCATGTCCACTGTGGAATGGCCGCTGCCATCTGCCCCCGCTGCCTCTTCCTGTCTTCTTTTTAATACACTGCCTACTCCCAAGACTTGTCCTCTGGCCCGATCTTCCACTGCCCTCCACCTTGACAAATGTACACTTTCCTGTCCTCCCTAAAATACATACACACACACACACACACACATATACATATATATACACATATATACATATATATATACATATATATGTATATACATATTTTTGAGACGGAGTCTCGCTTTTTCGCCCAGGCTGGAATGCAGTGGCACGATCCCAGCTCACCACAACCTCCACCTCCTGGGTTCAAGCAATTCTCCTGCCTCAGCCTCCCAAGTAGCTGGCATCACAGGCACCCGCCACCATGCCAGGCCAATTTTTTGTATTTTTAGTAGAGGCAGGGTTTCACCACATTGGCCAGGCTGGTCTCCAACTCCTTGCCTCAAGTGATCTGCCCGCCTCGGCCTCCCAAAGTGCTGGGATTACAGGCATGAGCCACTGCGCCCAGCCTAATATTTTATAATCACCAGGCACTGTGGTATGTTCTGAGCCTTGGCTTTCTTCCCTGAAAATGGTACCTGTCTCTTGGGACTGTTGTGAGGACTGATTAATATCCACAGAATACTTAGCACACTGCCTGGCACAAAATTAGCATTGAGTGTTTGTTATTAATATAATAATGGCTGACATATATTGAGTACTGTGTTTGTCATATTCCATGGTGCTAGGTGCTTTATGCAGGATATCTAAATGCTCAAAACAATCCTTGCAGTAAGTGTTAGTACCCTCATTTTCAGTTGGGGAGATTGAGGCTTAAGAGAAGTTAAGTAGGCTAGGGGAGGTGGCTCATGCCTATAATTCCAGTACTTTGGGAAGCTGAGGTGGGAGGATCACTGGAGCTCAGGAGTTCAAGACCAGCCTGGGAAACATAGTCAGATCCCATCTCTACAAAATAATAAAAATAAAAATAGAAACATTGAGAAAAGTTAAGTGAATTACCCAAGTTCACAAAGTAAGGAAGAGGCAGTGTAGGGATCTGAATTCTGATCACCTGACTCTAGAGGCTGTGCTGTGGCTGCTCAGAACCAAGAACTAATAATAATTAATAATCTAGAATAATCACTTCCATATATTGAGCAGTTATTATGTGTGAGGGCACAGCTCTTATCTATACCTGTATTTATATCTATGCCTCAATTTTTAAAACTGTCCTCTCTGAGGCAGATTCTATAATTAGCTGGATTTTTTTTTTTTTTTTTTCCTGAGACGAAGTTAAACTCAGTCACCCAGGCTGGAGTGCAGTGGCACAATCTTGGCTCACTGCAACCTCCGCCATCTGGGTTCGAGCAATTCTCCTGCCTCAGCCTCCAGAGTAGCTGGGATTATAGGCATGCTCCACCATACCAGGCTAATTTTTTGTATTTTTCCTTGCAGTGAAACCCTCAGACAGGGTTTCACCATGTTGGCCAGGCTGGTCTTGAACTCCTGACCTCAAGTGGTCCACCTACCTAGGCATCCCAGAGTGCTGGGATTACAGGTGTGAGCCATCGCACCTGGCCAATTAGCTGAATTTTTTACACATGAGACTGAGAGTAAGAAGGATTAGGTAACTTATGCAAGACCTCAAGCTAGGGAAATGCAGTGTGGGGACGGGAACCCAGGCTGTTGACATGGATGTGACCACTGCAGTATATCACCTTCATAGCAGGGAAGATATATGTATTATATATCATTTGAATGTGGTGTAGAGCTTGGATTAAACCATTGTTTATGCAATACATACTGAAAACAAAAGGATTCACGATGTTATAAGAGAAAGGGACACATAAAGATATACTAGGCAAAGGCTAACACTAAATAAATAGAGGTCAAAATTGGTGGCCTTCCAATGACTCCAGATGACATGAGCAGGCCACAACCAGTTTGATTCAGCTTGATCCCATCTTGGCCAGCCCCACACATTGTGAGCTGGCCCCAACAGGTCTGGTTTGATTGGTGCCAGCTTGAATCAGTTAGTTAGATCTAGTTGCAGCCAGTTGGGACCAGCCTGAACTGGATTGACCTAGTTTAAGTCCTTTTGTGTCTTCAGGCTGACTTGCCTTTCAGTCTTAGAGTTTTGGGGCTCCCTGTGGAAACTCTTCTCTTGGAATCCTGGCTGGATGGCTTTGCTTCAGACACTAGCGAGGGGGAGAGTGTAAGTAAATTATTAACCTGACAGGATCCAGCCCTTGGACCCTTGGGGGTGTAACAGCTGGAAGGCCCCATCCTGTGAACCCTGGCTTGGCTCACTCTGCAAAGTCCCTCCTACTCAAATTCCCCTCCAAAGGTCCCTGTGGAATCCCCTCGCTGCTTGCCTTCCCCGCACCCTGTCCAGCCCCAGAAGTAGATTTTTCCTTCATTTTCTTTTTGAAGGTGCAAACATAGGGGGTCCATGTGAGCAGACCTAGAGCTATCCCTGAGCAGTGTGGCTTGTCTGGGATGTTAGGGCTGATGTGTGGGTGGTGCCCCCTGTGTTGGGTGATGGTTGGTGTTGCTCACTTCATTTCTAGACCCCGACAAAGATGTGACTTGTACTGCTACACTGACAATGTAACGAAGCATTGATGTGCATGGAGACTGGGAGAGGAAGGTGGGCAGAAAGGGCAGGTGCTGGCTAATGGGATGCCACATCACATTATCATTGTGCAGGAACCATGCCCCCTGCAGAGGATAACAAGGGCTGGAGGTAATGAGTACCAAACAGGCCTGAGGAACGCCCCCCGCCCTGCTGTGCAGGCTGGACTCCTACCCTGGGGCTTGCTGCTCCATTCCCAGCTGGACTGGGTTGCAGGGAGCGGTGGGACTGATCAGACTCAGGAAGCGTTAGAAATCCAGCACCAGCTGTCTCCTGGAGGCTGAAAATCCCCTGGGACTGGCCACCTCCTCCTTTCTCATTCGTGCCATGCCTAAGGTTATGCGGATGTTGGTTAGAGGCCTGGGGATGGCCACCCAATTGGAAGAAACCTGTCTAATGCACTTACCCACGGCCACAGGGAGATCAGTAGCTGGCCAGCCCATGCTCCTTTGAAATGCCTGTGGATATGTGCTGCATAGACAGAGGGTAGTGCAGAGAGAGAGGCTCCTTTCTAGTGTGGGGTACAGCCCCCCCCACCCCCCCACTGTGGAAGGCAGACTGCTCCAGAGGACACCTGGTGGGGGCCAGGCCTAGTTCTCTCCCTTCCAGTTCTGGAGCAGAATGCCTGCCCCCTCTACCTGCCGTGAAGCAGGCCATGCCAGGGCTCCTGGCACTTCAGAGGATGCTTCCTATCCCTTCTGTGGGTCTCAGCTCTCCAGGTCCTGTGGAGGGACTGGGGCCACAAGAGAGTTGGCGATGGGCCTATGTGTGTTAATTAACCTGGGGTAGTCTTTGTGGACTGTGCCCTGAGGTCAAGGATGGACTCTTCCCCAGGGACTGACTGCCTTGGGGACCAACTGAGCCCAGAAACAACTGTGCCCAGGGACTGACTGCTGACTGTGCCCTGTGCCCTGGGGGACCAATGATGCCCAGGAATCAGCTACATCCAGTCACTAACTGTGTCCATGGAATGACTATGCCCAGGAACAACTGTTCTCAGAGACCCTTTGAGGGCTCACTGTGTCTGGGGCTCATCTGCACCTAGGACTGACTTTGCCCACTGTCACTATACCTGAGAGCCAACTGGACCCAGACTCTACCTGTGCCCAAGGATAGATTATGCCCAGAGAGTATCTGTGACCAGGGACCATAGAGAGTGTCTATGTGCCCAGAGACAGACTGTACACAGGACTGACTTTGCTTAAACACTGTTTCTAGGGACCAACTGTGTCCTGGTACTAGCATTTTCCAACAATCAACTATGTTCAAGGACAGCTGTACCTGGCAAACAGCTGAGCCCAGGCACTGGCCCTGCCGAGGGCTGGCCTAGGCCCAAGGATAGATTCTATCCAGGGACCTGAGGCCTGCTGTGCCCAGGGACCAGCTGTGTCAGGAAACAAGCTGTGCCCAGGGACTCTGGATAGGGGGAAGCTGGGGACAGAGACTCTCCCATGTGGGCATAGACTTGTGTGCCTGGCATACAGGCTGCCCAGCTGCATGCCACATGCCTGGTGTGAGTGCCTCTGGCAGCAGCTCTTATTCTGGGACAGTGGGAGGAGGGCCCCTTGCCCTTTGTGGAGGTACTCTCAGGCTCCTTTCCCATTTTGGCACCTAGTGAATAGGGAAGGAGAAAGAGCACACAGAGGGCTGGGCGCTGAGGCTCATGCCTGTAATCCCAGCATTTTGGGAGGCTGAGGTGGGTGGATCGCTTGATGCCAGGAGTTTGAAACCAGCCTGGCCAACATGGTGAAACCCCATCTCTACAAAAAATACAAAAATTAGTCAGGCATGGTGGCACATGCCTTTAATCCCAGCTACTCCAGAGGCTGAGGCACGAGAATCGCTTGTATTTGGGAGATGGAGGTTGCAGTGTGCCAAGATTGCACCACTGCACTCCAGTGTGGGTGACAGAGCAAGAATCTGTCTCAAAAAAAAAAAAAAAAAAAAAAAGGCACACAGAGCTATTGAGCACCTGTCCTGTCATGTGTCAGCACATGCCTGGTCCTTTCTTCCCCATATGTCATTTTGTCCCCAGGACTACCCCATGAGGCAGCAGTTATCATCTTCATTTACAGATGGAAAAACTGAGGTTCACAAAGATGAAAGTTCTTTCCTGGTCTTTCTGACTCCAAAGCTCTTACCTGTAGTGAGGTCTGCCTATTTCCACACTGCACGTGGGTCTCCCTGAGTGGAGGGAGAGGCAGGGGCCTCCCAGCATCTTACAGAAGAGGAAGCTGAGGAAGGACCAGATCCCAGGCATCTGGTCTGCAACTGGCACACTAAACCTGTTCATGCCAGTGGCCCTGACTTCTCAGGAGAAGGGCACTTGGCTGGCCTGGTAGGAAGGGCTTCCTGGAGGCTGCATTCCTGGTTGCTGTCTTGGAGGCAGGAAGGCCAGGGTGTGGAGGCCGTCTGTCCCATCACAAGCCCCCTTTCATGATGCTCAACAAGGCTCCTTCAGAGGCCGGACTCGGCTGTGCAAACACGCACATCTGGGCTGCTGGCTGGGGCGGGGTGGCGGAACTCCCCCACAGCTGGCCAGCTGCTCCTGACCTTCTGGACAAAGGGAGCTTTGGCCCTGTGGGGGTTCCCGGGAACTTGGAGCTCTGGAGGGTATAGCCTCTACCCAGCCCTCCACGGGGGGCAGTCCTCTCTGGCTGCCGCCTGTCATTTTCATCATAACTGGAACTCTGCCTCTGACAGCATTTCCTGCTGAGGGCATGCCCTTTCCCTCCCTCGAGGGCCTGCACCCAGCCAGAACTGAGGAAAATAGAACAAAGGCTGCAGGCAGAAAGAAACTCAAGCGGCAGGCAAAGAAGCATCTAAGCAGCCATCCCAGTCTAATCCCCATCCTCTTGGAGCTTTTAATTTCGTGGAGGAGAAAGACACAAGCCAGATAATCGCGCACGCACACACACACACACAACTGTAAATAACAACAGACTATGTAGTGTCCTTCAGGTTTTAGGCACTGGCTTGGTGCTTTACATATTTTAACTAATTTCGTCCTCACAACAACCCTATAATAGGGAGATACTATTATTATTCCCATTTTACAGACCAGGCAGTTGAGGCACAGAGAAGTTAGGTGACTTGCTCAAGGTTACACAGCTAGTAAGTGGCAGAGCCAGGATCTGAAATTAGGAAATATGCATTCTTTTTTTTTTTTTTTTTTTTTTTTGAGATGGAGTCTTGCTCTGTTGCCCAAGCTGGAGTGCAGTGGTGCGATGTCGGCTCACTGCAACCTTCGCCTTCTAGGTTCAAGCAATTCTGCCTCAGCCTCCCGAGTAGCTGGGATTACAGGCGTGCACTACCACACCCAGCCAATTTTTTGTGTGTTTTTGGTAGACCACGTTGGCCAGACTGGTCTCAAACTCCTGACCTCAAATGATTCGCCCACTTTGGCCTCCCAAAGTGCTGGGATTACAGGTATGAGCCACCACCCCCCGGCCACGGAAACATGCATTCTTAATGATGCACATTTGCAAACCACCGTGAGGTCCATCTCAGGAGGAGCTTGGATGGGGAGTGGGGAAGCCACTGGGGAGGGCAATGGGATTCAAGCTTCGAGAAGATCACTCTGGCTGCTGGGTGGAGGGCAGATGGGGGTCCAGACTGCAGGCTGTCAAAAGAGACCTGGTGAGAGATGACAGCGATGCGGCCTGGATTAGGGCAGGGGCAGTGGGCACCAGGAGAAGAGGGCAAGTTTGGGAGAGACGTAGGGCCTAGAATGGTGGCACCTGGTAGGTGAGTGGGTGTGGGAGGGTGCCTTAAGGTGGGGTTGAGGACTCTACCCTGTGTTTGGGAAGTGAGCCAACCAGCTGTGTCTCAGGTGCTCTCTCCACCTGCCCGGCAAGCCCACCTCGACTCTCCTGCTTCCTGGGGGAAGAGGTGGCCTGGGAGGCATGTGGGAGGCTTTCCATGACTGCTGAGCCCTAGCTTCCTGGAGCATCCCTCAGGGTTCGGGGAGAGTAGGTCACTGGTAAGTGGAGGAAGCCCCGAACCTGGCCTCAGACACAGATTTAAATCCTGACTCCTCTGATGAGCTGTGAGACGTTAGGGGAGTCACATATATCTCTGGACCTTAATTTCTTACGAAATTTGGGAAATGATGCCTGCCTCACTGGGCCTGCATACGACAATTAATATGGAAGTGGACTATGAAGGTGAGGGTGGAGGAGCTGTTTTGTTGTTGCTGTTCAATTGTATCATTTGAGGCTTCTTTCCACGTGGCAGGAGAGGTGGGCTGGTGGGAGGCTCGGGAGGCCTGGACGCCAGCCTCTAAGAGGTCACGGGATGGTGGACATGATCCCATGATGGGCCTCAGTCTCCGGATCTGGGATGTGAGCCCCCGATGGGAGGCAGAACAGCCAGGGTGGTCCTGCCAGGCAGGTGGAGAGAGTGCTGCTGCAAGAGTTAGGCGCTGAGACAGAGCTGGCCAGAAACAGCATCCCTCGTTCATTCCAAGTTCATTCACTCCTTTAACAGACATGCCACTGAACACCTGCACAGTGTCAGGCCCCATCCTAGGGGCTGCGATATGATGAGGAAACAAGGTCATTCAGGTTCTGGCTTTCTAAAGCTCATCGTACAGTGGGGGCAACAGATAGTAAAAAAATCAACAAGGAGGGTTGAAACAGCAAAATGTTCTATGAAGACAAAAAAACCAAAACCCAAACCCTGGTGATGTAAAAGAGGGTGAGGGGGAGAAGGGCTCCTTCAGATAGGGCGGTCAGGGGCAGTCAGGGGAGGTCTCCCGAGGTGGTGACAGGTGAGCTGAGGCTAGGCTGATGAGAAGTTTAGGGGAAGAGCGGGCAAGCTCAGGTGACTAGTGAGGAAGGAGGAGTGTGACAGGAGAGGCATGGAGAGATGGGAGAGAAGCCAGGTCAGGTGAGGCAGGAGAGAACGCGGTCATGCCAGGCTTTGCAGGCCCTTCTAAGGAGTGTGAACTTTGTTCTGAGAGCAATAGGAAGCCTTTGAAAGGTTTGAAGCAGGGCGTGACATAGTCTGATCCACTGTCTGGATGACTCCAGCTGCTGTGCAGCGAATGGATTGAATGGTGGGAGGGACTGTGATGCTTAGCGACCTCTGGCTGTGACGCCTGCCCCAGCCCTGCTGTGAGGATGCTCCACTCTGTCTGCTTAGGACTTACTTGCCTTCCACACTCTCCCCAGCCCTCTTCTGGGCCAGCAGCTCCAGGCTGTGCCAGAGTTCCCAGAAAGCACCAAGAATCTTGAGGCAGAGGACTGACTGGCTGGCCTGGGGAAGGCTTGGCAACCCAAGTGCAGGTACAGTGGGCATGGGTGTGGCTGCCCTGCCTGCCTCCACCCTCCATGCAGGACAGGTACCCCACGCCCACCCCCACCCCTCATGGGGCTTTTGAATTAAAAAGTCTTAACTTTTTCTTTTAAATGGCAGCTCTGTGTACTGTACATGGTAATTAATACATTAGCATTTATGCAAAATACCATCACAGCCGGGCTGGTATGTCAGCTGCCTTCCTGAGCTGCAAAAATGTGAGCGCCCCGAGGTACCTCAGACAGGCCCCCGCCCCTAGCAGACAGCTCTGTTTGACCTGCATCATTCACTAACCTGTCTCGGGGAGCCTGTCTACATGCACACATCTGTGTATGTTGGCCAATGTAAATGCTGCTTCTTGTGAGTGTCTGTGGTATGCATATGTGTCCTTGTGTGTGGATGCACACGTGCTGCTTGTGTCTCTACAAGCAGATACAAGGATGCCCTTGTACACAACACACGTGCTGCTTGTATAGACATGAGTGTTGTCTACGAGGGCATCCTTGTGTCTGTGTGTGTGCCTGTGTTGGTCTGGGCATGAGTGCATATGAGTCTATGGTTTTATATGTGTACATCTCAGAATGTGTGTGTATGTACATTTTGTTTTTTTTTCTTCCAGGTTGAAGCGATTCTCTTGCCTCAGTCTCCCCAGTAGCTGGGATTACAAGCACCTGCCAACACGCCTGGCTAATTTTTTAATTTTTAGTAGAGATGGGGTTTCACCATGTTGGCCAGTCTGGTCTCGAACTCCTGACCTCAAATGATCCGCCCACCTTGGCCTCCCAAATTGTTGGGATTACAGGCGTGAGTCACTGTACCTGGCTGTGTATGTACATTTCTGTGTGCCTGTTGTGCTTGTCTGCCGGTCTATGTATTTGTGACTGGGTGTGTCTGTGTGTTTCTGTGCATCCATGTGGGCTGTGCATGCATGTGCATATGTGCATGGATATGGATGTTCATGTTCATATGTGTATATCAGTGGCTGCCCACGCTTGAATGCCTCTGTGTGGGTCACTAGGTATGTCTGTGGGATCTGCTATTTGTGTCTGTGCATCTGTGTGTCAGTATGACTATGTGTGTGTCTCTGTATGTGCATTCCTATGCATGTCTCAATTTGTGTGTGTGTGTGCGCATGTGCGTGTGAAATGCTTGCTAGACTGACTGTGAAATGAAGTTGCAGCACAGTGGAAAGAACAACTCACTGGAGACAGTGACATGCGTATTCTCTGGACCCTGGGCACCCTGCCGCTGATGGGCTCACAGGGCAGTGGGAGAGATGAGCCCTTCAGTGGGCAGTGAGGACCCGGGTTACTGGTTGATGGCAGAGGCCAGCGCAGGGTGCTCCTCGGAAGCTCAGTTGGCCCTGAGTAGGAGTAGGGGTGAGGTGGGGTTGGGGAGAGTTTCTGAGGCGGCGGCTGTTGAGTGGGATCCTGGAGGGTGACTAGGAGTTAGCCAGATGAGAAGTAGAGTCTGAGGAGCACGGATGTGGCACTGTGACAGCACCTGGCCTGTTCAGAGAGGCTGGAGACCAGGAAGGAGCTCATTGTCAGGAGTCGGGGTAGCTGGACTAGACCACCCAGGGCGCATATCCTGAGGGAAGCGGGACTCACTGGAGGCCTTCAAGAAGGACAGGGTCATGGTCAGGGTAGAAATATCACTCTGCTTTCACAGTGAGGAAGGACTCAGAGGGATATGCCAGGAGACAGAGATTGGAGCCACGGCAGCAGGGGGAAAGGAAAGGGGATGGAATCAGAGGGTATTCCCGAGGTAAAACGATTAGTATCCAGAGATTGATTAGACAACAAAGTGAGGGGAGGGAGAGGGAGGAGCAGGAGTTGGGGGACATCCAGTTTGTGGCTGCAGAGATTGGATGGTTGATGAGGATGTTCACGGAGACAGTGAACACAGAAGGGTGAAGGGAAGAGTTTTCTTTGGAGGGAAGGTGATGAGTTTTAGACATCTTGAGTTTCAGATACCTATGAAATGTAATTTGTTCATTCATTCTTCATTCACTCATACATATACCATGTATCAGGCATTTGAGAAACCAAGATGAACGAGACAGAGAGACAGTGGAGTTTAGAAAGAATTACAAAGGCTCCGGAAGCTGGGACCACTGTAGGAGAAGGGAGAGAGGAGAGACCTGTCATGCAGAGGCCTGTGGGTGGGGTAAATAGGTTAACCTTTTAGGGAAGACAGTGGGAAGGCATGGAAGGATTGTGCAAGTGTGGGGGCTGCCATGTCAGGTGTGTACTTTAGAAAACCTTTCCTCTTCTTGCACATGTCCATTGTCAAGGGGTCCCTGGTTTTCTAATCTGTAAAATGGAGCTGATGATCTGGGCCGTTGCCACACAGTTGCACAATTGTGAAGTAGATTAATGCTGGGTCCTGGTAATGTGTCCCTGCCCTCAAGGAGCTTACTGTCCAGTGTAGAAGCAAGCACAGAAACAGACACTACAATGTGGTAGATGCTGTGATGTGGCCAGCACATAGTAGGTGCTCAATAAATATTTGTTAAATAAATGATTGATTGAATGGATAACAGCACAAGGATCCGTAGGAGCTGAAGGAGGTTTCTCACTCACCAGGAGGTAGAGGGGTTAAAAAAGACTTCCTTGGTGAGGTGCTGCACAAGCTGGGTCCTAAAGAATGATTAGGAATTAGCCAGGGGAAGAGGGGAGGGAGCAGCACAAAGGCTGGAGGTGGAGGAGGTGCGACAGGACATCATTTAGTGTGGCTGGAGCAGAAGCTGCACAGTGAGGAGAGGAGGGGTGCAGTGGGATATGACAGAGGCCATATCACAAAAGATCCTGAGTGCCAGGCCAAGGAGCTTAAGTCCTCCACTCCCCCAATAAAGAACGTGGAGCCACTGAAGGCTTTTAAGCAGAGGAGTGGCTGATTAGTTTTGTGTTTTCTAGAAAGCACTCTGGCCTCTTGGCAGGGAGGTTGGTGATGGAGTCTTTTGTGGCTTAGTTGGGGTAATGATCGTGCTGCTGTACGTCTTGGATTTATCTTAAGGGATAGGGCACCAAACTTTTTTTCTTTTTTTTAAAAATTTATTTGTGACAGGGTCCTGCTCTGTTGCCCAAGCTGGAATGCAGTGGTGCAATCATAGCTCACAGCAGTCTTGAACTCCTGGGCTCAGGGGATCCTCTGACCTTGGCCTCTCGAGTAGCTGGGACTACAGGCATGCATCGCCCCCCACCCCCACCCCCGACCCCAGCAAATTTTTGTATTTTTTTTTTTTGGTAGAGACTGGGTCTCACTATGTTGCTCAGGCTGGTCTTGAGCTCCTGGCTACAAGTGATTCTCCTCCCTCAGCCTCCCAAAGTGTTGGGATTACAGGCATGAGCCACTTTTTAAAACTGTTTTAAAACATAGATTGAAGCATCTACAGACCAGGCAGTGGGAACCCTGGCTTCTACACTTTACCCTGCTGTTCTCTGGCTCTGTGACCTTGGATTGGTCACTTAGCTTCTTAGGGCTTTAGATGGTTCTTGGGTAAGGAGACACAGTTAGAAAAGGGAAGGACATTGGGAAGGGCTTTGCGTGGCTTCCTGGGATATAGGGTCCCCTCAGGGCACAGGAGGCACACTGGGATAGGGGGCAGCTGCCTTCCTTCTTCCTTCTCCTTGACAGGAAGAGGAGGAGAAGAGTGAGGACAAGGATGAGCTCATGTATTTTCATGCTGTGGCCTCGACACCCAGCCCCTTAGTCCCAGCTCACAGAGGCTGGGAGGCTGCTCTGGAGTGGGCTGACCCCTCCCGCAAGCAGGCACTCTGCTATTGTTCAAAATGGAATTGGTCCCAGGAAGCTTGGAGCTTGTGAAAGCCGCTATGAATTTTGCAAAACAGCTCTGAGGCGGTAAAGCATGTCAGGAAAATCAAATGCGGAAATCCCTATTTAGAAACCCCACTCTGGACAGGCATGGTGCGCCGGGAGGAAGGACTGGGTAGGGGAGGGGTATGGCCTAGATGCCCCTCCCCTGTAGCCTGGGAGGGTGCCCAGCACAGCTAGGAGGGGAGACCCCTTGGCCCCACCTTCTTTCCAACTTACCTGGTTTCCCAGATTTGAGGCCCTCACAAAGCACCCCCAACCTTTTCCAATGCACCTATACTTTTTTTTTCTTTTGAAAGCAGCTTTATCATTTTGCAAAAAAGGATACATATGCTCATTGCAAAAAATTCAGACAATATGGAAAAGTTCAAAGAAAAATGTAAAAACCACCTCAGATTTTACCAGCCAGAGATAACCACATAACATTTTGGTGAACGTCCTTCCAGACTTCTCTCCTTGCATAAATATACACAAATAGATTTCACGTATGCAACTCCACCCTGAGTGAAATCAGACGACACATGCTGTTCTGTCACCTGTTTTTTTCCTCCCCACTCAGCAATATGTCATGGACATCCTTCATGTCAATTCATACAGATCCACCTCATGGTTTTAATGCCTGTATTATGTGTATGGATATACCAGTATCTGGATATACCTCACTTTACTTACTCAGTCCCCAGCTGATGGAGATATATGTTTTTCCAATTGTCTTGATCCCTGCAATGAATATCTAGGTGCATATATCTTTGCATGTTTCATTGATTCATTCATGCTACAGATGTTTTTTGAGTGTGTTCTGTGTACCAGCCCAATGCCAGGTACATAGGAAATGTACCAGCCCAATGCCAGGCATAGAAATCATGAATAAAACAGACATGGTCAGTCCTGGCTGTGGTGGAGTTTATGATGTAGTGGGGAGACACGGTGTCTGGCCCCTGCCATCAGGAAAGACAGCAGTTTTTTGCAATGAGCGTGTGTATTAAGCAGTTACACAGATACTTATCCAATTAGCAGTTGATCTGTAGTACGAAGGAGAAGTACACATAGTACGAAGGAAACGTACAGGCTATGACAGAATAAAACAAGAGAAGCTAACCTGAGCTTGGGAGTCAGGGAGGGCTTCTCTGAGGAGGTGACATTCAGCTTGAAAGATGAGTGGGCAAAAGGCAGAGTCAGGATGAAGAGGAAAGCACTGGTGAGCATGGGAGGGGGACAGCAAGAGGGTTTCACTCAGAAGGAACAGTGTTTTTAATTATTAACACACGGGAAATTCCTCAAAATGAAATTGCTGGGTCGGAGGGTAAGCAGATTTTGCATTTTGTCACATATTGTAAACTGCTTCTCACCAAGGTTTTACATGTGTTCCATCCCGTAAAGGGTATGCCACGAGGTTGTTGTGAAGGTTCAGTAAGAGAGTGAGCGTGGAGGGTTAAGCATAGCGCTGTCACATAGGCAGTGAGCTGGCCACTGCTGTTGCCATTATTATTATAATTATCTTTGCCAATCTAATCGGTGAAAAATGATATCTCATCTTTGTTTTTAACCAATGTGTCTTTTTTTCGACTCCACAGGAAATTGAGCCCTTGAGGGGGAAATGAACCATCTTTCTTTCTTAAGCCACCTTTGTCAGGAACCTTCCTGTGCCCCTTGGGGAGGCAGGAAATGTCTAGGATCCCTGGCCTGCAGTCCCATCCTCACAGCAAAGCCCCTAGGACTTAGAAATGACTCCAAGTCCCACGTGGCTCTGGGCTTCCAAAAGCAAGCGCCAATCAGAGAAGGTGGAGAGGAGATGGGAGAATGGTTTGGAACCTGTGTGGGACGGTCGTCCCGTGGAGAGGGGCAGGCAGAGAGGTGGGGGCCCTGGAGGCAGAGTCCCATGCCATTAGGAGTGCTTGGAGATCCCAGGTGCTCCTGAATGATATTAATGCATCTATATGAATATTAATAGCATGGCCATTAATATTAATGACAATAATAAACAAGTGTGAGGATTATTTTTAAAGAGGGCTGCTGCTCCAGCTGTTGCCTCCCTTCATTAATAAGCTGCTGAGATTCTCAGCCATCCTTTCCCCAGACCTCTGGCAAGACTCAGTGGCATCCTCAGGACCTCTGTCTGGGTAGGGGTGAGCCGAAAGAGCATTTTCCCAACATTTTGGATGGAAGGAGAATCAATGCAGGAAACCCTGAGTTTCCGTCCAAGGAGGTCCGGGCCATGTGAGTGGGCATGGGGCAAAGGAGGGATGAATCGGCTTGTGTATGGGAGCCAGCTGTGAGGACCCTACTTCCTTCTCTCGCAGGCCTGCGGCCCCAGCCGTCTGCATCCCCAGAGGAGGCTGGGCCAGGAGGGGGTTTGCAAGGGACCAATCTCTTGCAAAGGTGGTGAGAGGAATTACCCTGCTAAAGTGATCATGAATTATAGAAAGGAAGAGGGGGGAGGAAGGCCCAGAATATCATATGTGTAAATAAAACGGAGTGGCGGCCAGACATGAAAGCCAGCCACCAAGCTCTTGCACCCACAGAGCCTCTTCTCCTGTGGACCCACCTCCTGCCAAGTTCCACCGCAAGTCACTTCCAGCCTCCTTCTTCAAAGGATTTGTTAATAAGTCAATGACGGAACATCTAAAGGGGAAAAATATTTCTCTTTATGGTTGAAGATAATTGTCCCAGGAAAAAAAGAAAACAACAAACCTTTAATTACAACTCACATGGAGAAAGCTTGATTTGTGGGCAGAGCCCAAATGCTGAGGAGCTGGATGTAAAATATTTGTAATATTTAGGGAACCTAGAGTTTTACATAAAAGTAAACAGCATTGCCTGAAGGCACAATTTCCAGCAACACAATAAAATGTGCAGTGAATTTATGGCGGCCATCCATTAGCTCTTACCAAGGCAACGTCGCCCCTATCTGTCGTCCATCATTATAATAGAGGGTTAATGCACCGAATTTACATAAAAAAGTCATATTGTCTGCATGAATTATTTACACTTGAAGCTGTTTTTACAGCTTGGTTTCAAGCTGGATTCTGGGAGAGATTCTGCCAGTAAATTACTCTGTGGAGACCTGGTTCTATAACTGTGCGCAGAGCCGGCAATGAAAAGAAAGGAAAATGGGCAGGCCCTGGCGGGTCGTTGGTGCTGACGCCTCTCGGGTGGGGGCTGGAAGCAGTGGTGGAGGCTTCTGGAGGTGGTTGGATGTTGCTGCAGATGGGACTCTGCCTCTGGGCCTGTGGCTTCCTGGTTGCCACTCAGCTGCCCGTGTGGCCAAAGTGAGTTCAGGCCCAGAGAACCATAGCAGTCCTCCAGAGGTGTCTGAGGGCTCTTGGTGGCCAAAGTCTAAGGCCTTTTAAGGATCAGGGGGATCCCTGCAGAGGGAGAGAAGCTGCTGCAAGAGTTGGAGCAGGAACCCAACTCAGCAGTGTGAGCAAGACCCATCATCCCCATTGTACAGATGGGAAGATGGAGGCCTCAAGAGGCACCTACTCAAGAGGTGGGAAGTCTATTCATCCCAGGTGGGCCTGGGGACTGTGGGAGGTACATGCACTTCAGACCTGGGGGGTGGGGGGGCTGGCACGGAGCATCTTTGGGACACACAGAGAAAGAGAGTCTCCATGCCACGCATCTCAGCCCTTATTGTTTTCCGGGACCTTTCCTTAACTGATGGCAGTTTTAGTGGTTGGGCTGGCGTGGGATGCACTGATGTGTGCCACTGGGTTCTTAAATCTCTCGAGGTATGGGGTACTGGGGAGAACTGCTCATGTTTCCAGGTGATGTGGAGTTATGGGGAGCTGGTCATGCAGTGGAAAGACCTGGATTTTTATTTTTATTTATTTATTTATTTATTTATTTATTTATTTATTTATTTATTTATTTTTGAGATGGAGTCTTGCTCTGTCGCCCAGGCTGGGGTGCAGTGATGCCATCTCGGCACACCACAACCTCTGCCTCCTGGGTTCAAGTGATTCTCCTGCCTCAGCCTCCTGAGTACCTGGGATTACAGGTGTGCACCATCATGCCTGGCTAATTTTTGTATTTTTAGTAGAGATGGGGTTTCGCCATGTTGGCCAGGCTGGTCTCAAACTCCTGGCCTCAAATGATCTGTCCACCTCGGCCTCCCAAAGTGCTGGGATTACAGGTGTGAGCCACTGCCTAGATTTTTAATCAAGTGTCAGCTGTGTGGCCCTGGGTACGCTTTGGGCCCTCAGTTTCCTCATCTGTAAAATGGGATTTCTAATCTTAACCCTCCTAGACTGTCCCAAAGGAATGGTGAGAGGCACCAATGGGATACAATACTCGGAAGGTGTCTGGTGTGTTAGAAGCAAGGCCACAGGTGACAGGGTTGGCAGAGGGAAGTGCTGAGGCCTGGGCTGATAGAGGAACTTGAAAAGAAGAGAGTGAAATGGACACAGAGAGACAAGGCTAGATAATCAGACACAGAGAGGTGAAAGAATCATAGAGACAGAGAGAGAGGGAGAGGGAGAGACAAAGAGCAAACCCACAGAAACAGAGAGAGAGAGAGAGAGAGAGATGGGGGTGGTGTGGGGAAGAGGCTGTGTTCCAGGAGAAAGAAGTCAGAGGCAAGGTCAAGCTGCTTAAGGCTCCAACTGCCTGGAGTCCTGTGGATGCCTTTCTGGCCAGTGAAGAGGTTGGCAGGGCAGGGCCCACCGTGGGGCCCGTGCCACCCCTTGCCTGGACCCTCTCCCTCCTTCCAGGCCAAGAAGTGCCTGGGCTCCTCTCTGGCCTGGGGGTTCCTGCCTCTTCTCCCTTTGCTTTCCTTACAGCACAAGGAGGCCAGAGCCGGATGCCAGCGCCCTTCCTCCCCCATCCCGCAGCACCTGGGATGGGCGTGTGCTCGTCGCTGTCGCCGTGCTCTCGTCTCCCACTCCTGGAGCAGCCACAGCAGGTCCCAGGGGCCTGGAGACAACAAATGGCTCCCTGCTGATGGGCTGCTTGCCGCCTCCTGTCTGCCAGCCAGTCCTGCTGCACACCGGCAGATAATCAAGTAGGGCAGGGGAACCTCTCCTGCCCACGGTGGTGTGATTTAAACCTGAACTTTGCTTTCTTTCATTCCCTGGAGAAACAGGATTTAGATTGTAAATCTCTTTCTTCCTGAGAACATGCGCATACACCCAGGTGCACACACACTTGCATAAACACATAAAGGTGTTCACACACTGCAAACTTGAATACTTACACGCAAACATGTCCACCCGTTTCCACACCACACATGTAAGCAATCACGCACGATGCATCTGCATGTGCAAACAGCTCACGGCCACAGGTAAGGGCAGGAGGAAAATTTGTCAGTGGCTGGAACGGCTGTGATGTGTGGGGTGGGTGGAAGCTGGTGAAGTGGACAAGGGATGCTGAAATTGCAAGAAACTCTCTAGACCTCACCCCGCCTTGTTACATGGGAGAGGAATGAGGTTTGTGCTGTTGCATGAACATGTGTGCCTCTGTGTGTGTCCCTGTGTGCAAGCGTGTGTGTGTGTTTCTGTGAGTGTTTTGCAAGCGTAAGTGTCTTTGTTGAGTGCTGAGGTTGACAGTCTATGGATGGGGTAGTGTGTGCTGCATCGTGCTGGCCTTGGGACTGGACTCAGGACCGGACTGGTGTCCATAGTGCCATGGCCATGCTGTAGGCCTCGGGCAGGCTGTCGCTTTTCTCCGGGCTCCAGCTTCTGCTGGTTCCCCAGGGTTCTGCCAGTTCTGACTGTCTAGTTTCTCTGTGTGACCTTGAGGGTGTGTTTCTCCAAGGCTTGAATGAGCCGGGCTTGGGGTGTGCGTGTGTGTTTGGTGAGCATTTGCGTGTTTATGCTGGGTATGTTTGTGTGCATGTTCGTGTGTCGATGTGTTGTAGGTGTTTGTGCATGTGTTTTTGCCTGCATGTGGGCGTATTTGTATGTTCAGGTGAGTGTACTTACAGCAGCGAGGATGCCATGCACCTGTGTTTGTATTGTGAGTCTGTGTAGAGTCTGGCGTGAGCGTGTGTGACAGTGAGCTTGGGAGGTGATCTGTGGGTGTGTGTTTGCCTAGTGGGAGGATTTGTGAGGGTGGATATGGGAGGCTCCCCGTTCTTACTCCTCTGCTTTCATCTTCTCCGTAACATTGATCACCATTGGACACACTGGGTATTAGTAGTTACTTCTTTGTTTATGGTTTCTCTCCTGAAAGCTAGAATGCAAACCCCATGAGGGTAGGAGTTTTACCTGTTTTGTTCATGGCTGTATCCCCACTATTACAACAGTCCCTGGCACATGATGGTGTAGCTGATGTCCAAGAACATTCACTGAATGAATGAATGAATAACTTAATCATCTCCTTCAAGAGTTCCCTTAAGTGTCACTCTTAATTAGTGTTGACCTCCACTTAAAATTTCTGCCTGCCCCAGCGGATCATGAGGTCAGGAGATTGAGACCATCCTGGCTAACACGGTGAAACCCCGTCTCTACTAAAAATACAAAAACAAAATTAGCCGGGTGTGTTGGTGGGCGCCTGTAGTCCCAGCTATTCAGGAGGCTGAGGCAGGAGAATGGCGTGAACCCGGGAGGCAGAGCTTGCAGTGAGCAGAGATCGTGCCACTGCACTCCAGCCTGGGCAACAGAGCGAGACTCCGTCTCAAAAAAAAAAAATTTCTGCCCTCCCCTCCCCACAGCTCTCTAGTTCTTCTTATGTTGTTCTCATTTTTCTTTTTTAAATTACCTTCCAGTATACCAAGTGATTTACTAATTGTTGTTTACTTTTTATTTTTATTTTCTGAGTGGGAGTTGCACTCTGTCACCTGGCCTGGAGTGCAGTGGTGCGATCTCAGCTCACTGCAACCTCCGCCACCTGGGTTCAAGCAATTCTCCTGCCTCAGCCTCCCGAGTAGCTGGGATTACAGATGCACACCACCAAGCCCAGCTAATTTTTCTATTTTAGTAGGGACAGGGTTTACCATGTTGGCCAGGCTGGTCTTGAACTCCTGACCTCAGTTGATCCACCTGCCTTAGCCTCCCAAAGTGCTGGGATTACAGGCGTGAGCCACCATGTCTAGCTTTGTTTATTTATTATGTACTATCCTAAGTTTTTAAAATTGTTAGTATCCCTGTTAGAATGAAAGCCCTCACAAAGAGTGGAACCTTTGTTCAGTTTGTCCACTGATGTCTTTCGGGTGCCTGGAACAGTGCCTGGCAGCTGGCAGGTGCTTAATTGATATTTACTGAGTGGATGGATGGGCTTCTGTGTGTCATGCGGGCATGAGTGGGCTTTTGAAGTGTTTTCTGTGAATGTGTTTATAAAGTGTGTGTGGGTGTGTGATAGTCAAGGACTGCATTTTTTTTTTTTTTTTTTTTTTTTGAGATGGGGTCTCACTCTGTCACCCAGGCTGGAGTGCAATGGTGCAATTTCTGCTCACTGCAACCTCCACCTCCCTGGGCTCAAGTCATTCTCCCACCCCAATCTCCCTATTAGCTGGAATTATAAGCGTGAGTCACCACACCTGGCTTTTTTTTGTATTTTTTGGTAGAGATGGGGCTTCGCCATGTTGCCCAGTCTGGTCCTGAGCTCCTGATGAGCTCAAGTGATCCACCCACCTTGGCCTCCCAAAGTGCTGGGATTACAGGCGTGAGCCACCATGCCCAGTCAGGACTGCATTTTTAATGATGTGGGTGACTGTGTTTGATGATGTGGGTAACTGTGTACTTTGAGGCCCGAGGGCAAGTCTCTGATAGAGCTTTCAGGTTTGGGGCATCCTGCTTGGGTATTGTCAAAGATTTGCAAACAGACCCATGAATGGCTTCCCTAGGAATGTCTAGGAATCTTTTCCTTGGTGGGCTGCAAACCTGGTGGCCACAGGCCTGAGCCCTGTCCCTGGCAGCCTCCTGGGTCCACCCCTTCCTTTGCCTGTGGGCACATCTGGGCCTCATGCTTAGGGAATTCCCTCACCCTATAGCACAGTCTGAGCCCTGGGCTGGGAGGCATCAGGAGAAGGGCAAAGGCTGTAGTCAGTGCTGGAGGACAGCCACATGAGCAGCAGCTGGCCTCAGCACCTGGACAGTCTGGGAAGAGGGGCCTTGGGGTGCCACTTGGACAGGGGGTAATCCTGGCACCAGGGATTCAGGAGGCAGTGGTCAGTTCAGAGGCATCAGGGTTTGGTGGCAGGTGGCTAAGCCCTGATGAGGGGTTGGGAAAGAGGGTCCAAGCTGGCCCTATGCTTGGGCTGTGGGGGCATCGGGGGCCCAGGCATCAAAGAGTTTATGGTGTGATGTGGGCTTGGGGGCCAACATGAAAAGCCCACTGTTTCAGTCTTCAGGGAGTGGTGGGGTCTGTGCCTCAGTCCAGTCCCATTTAATATGAAGGTGGTGGGCACAGAGCGGCTGGGAGGTGGGGTGAGGGGAGGCCACCCTGTGGATGACAGTGTCAGGACCTAGAAGGCACTCAACCAAGTGAAACTTTGGGCTGAGGCTGAAAGACACATGCAGCAAGGCCAGAGACAATATGCCCCCTTAGGCCAGCATTTAGGAAATATTCTCTAATGCGTGAGTGTGGTGGTCAGGGTCAGACAGCTGCACTCAGCTTTCACAATCTCCAGCTGTGTGACCTTGGGAGGGTTATGTAACCTCTCTGAACCTCAGTTTCCTGACAGGCACAATGCAGATACTTTAAAAAAAATTTCATAGTGAGATTGGAAGGATCAAGCTGTCATTACTACTGTTATTCTTGTTATTTAAAAAGCTGTACAGGTCCAGGAAGGAAGGACTGTCTTGACAGGAATTCAGACAAAAAAAGATCCAGGGTTTTGGCCGATCTCAAATTAGTATGAGGGTCTAATATGGATGGTGAGATCTGTGACATACAAAAGAAGGCAGTGATCCCTGAAGCCAACATGGGTTCACCAAGACCGGGCACAGCTCTTAGGTTCTTGACAGCTTAATGACTCGTGGGTAAAGAAAACGAGCCAGCATGGGTGGAGAGGAATCTGTGATTTATTGAGCACCAACTGTGTGCTGGATACTTCACACGCATGGTTTTATTTAATCCTCACAAGCTTGTGGATTAAACAAGACGTGACAATCTCCATTTTACTGATGAGAAACTGAGTCTCCGGGAAGTGACTTGCCCAAGGTGGGTGGAGCTGGGATTCAAACCTGGGTCTGTCTGACCCTTTCTGCCATATCACACTGTCTCCTAAGATGTTGGGTAGAGTCTCTCGTGACTTTTGAGGACATGAAGGATGTCTGAGAGGGCGCAAAGAGGGCTCCCATTGGGCCAAACAACAGCCATGAAATGTTCACGTAAGTGTAACCAGGTCAGTCTACAGAAGGCCTCTAGACACTGCCATGGGGCTGTCCACCCTGCTTTGATCAGTCTATGCCAAGGACCTATAAGAAGACATGGAGGATACAGACTTATAAAAGGTGGAGTGGTAGAAAGCTCCAAGGGACAGAGAAAACCTCAGCAGAATCAGGATTTAGAAAGATCTCGACAGACTGGCGTGGCAAGGTGAATTTAGCTGAGGAAATATCACAGGGAAAAAGGCTGAGGCCCATCTTGACTACAGGAAAAATTGTAGAAGGGATGGGCAGCTCATGAGAAAGATTTAGAAGCTCAAGTGCCAGTAAGTTCAGCATGAGTCAGTAGGCTACATTAATAGAAGTATGGTGTTTGGGACAAGGGAGGGGGGCCTCTCTCTAGCCTCAGTTTACTCTCTGCCCTGGGGCAGTTTGTACTGCAGGTATTTGAAGGTCATGTGCTATTTTCTGTTTTTCCAGTTCTCTCCCTTTCTTTTCAAGTTATTAGGGGAGGCAGAGTCCTTCTGGAGTTTGACCCTTGGATTCCATCCAGAGCAGCCTCCAAAATGACACCTTTGAAGGTGGGAAAGACACTGCATATTCTCTGGGTTTTTGTTTGAGGTCTGTCTTGGATTTGTTCTTTATGCCCAATTACCCTAAGTCAAGGGAGAAGAAAGTGCTGGTCTCTGAATGTTCTGGAACGGGGAGAGCTCCTGGTTCCCTAGTTCCTACTGGCCAGGTGTATCCATTCCTTTTCCAGCTGTCTCCTTCCCTTCTTAGAGCCCTTTTTCTGGTGGTCAGTGGCTTGCCAGGGCCTGGCCAGGCTGGTTCTCCTATGCTGGAGGAGGGGCAACAGGAGGGAGCCTTGCAGCTGCTCACATTGGGGCTGGATCTCTGCTTAAGCTGGGATGTCACCTGCCAAGCTGAATTCGGCACAGGAAGCTCCTGGCTGGAAGACGCGCTGTTTAATTTGGAGATTCTGTTCCACTCTGAAATGTGCTTCTCCTGGCAGCTGCAATGAAGTGAAGCTGTTGAGCTTCCCTCTCTTATGCCAGAATCACAGCCACTTTTTCCTGAGAAAGAAACAGAGCTACAGACAGTTTTACTCATTAAATACTTTTTTTCCCCTTAAATCTGTTTTTGTAATTTTTTTTTTTTTGCGTGAACGGAAAAGTAAAACGGGTGATATTGAAATAAACAAGGCATTTGTGATGGGAAGGTTAAAGCAGATTGTTGGGGGTGGGGAAGGGGGTTGGAAATGCCCCATGTGTCTGTATGCAGGCTGCTCGTAGCCTGTTGAGGATGAGAGTGAGAGAAAGTATTCATGAGGCTGCCCCTCTCCCAGCCCAGAGGAGTCAATTTCTCCAAGTGTCCTGGGCTTCAGTGAGAAAGGCAGTGGAGAAGGGAGCTCTCGTTTATTAAGGGCCCACCAAGTGCTACGCCTGTAATATGGGTGAGCTCATTCAGTCCTTATGGCAACCCTGGGTGGTAGGAGCTATTTTACAGATAAGGAAGGTTGAGGCTCAGATGACTTAAGGTCAACCCTGCAGGGCATACAGAGCTGGGATTTGAACCTCCATCTGTCTGACCTCTGATGCTGTTTTTGGCTATACTTTGCTACCCTGAGCAGTTGTGTATCGAGCTGGGGGATGTAAAGGGAGGAGAAGAAAGAAGATGAAGAGATACCAGCCAGCCTTAAGGAGTGGACATCCTGCCTGGTGAAACTGAACAAGACACCTACCGCATGTGAGTGAACCAAGCCCTAGTTGCTGGGCTCCGACAAACATGGCTGGTTTGGGGAAGGGTATGTAAGAGTGGGTGTGGAGGGTTTTGGCCTGATAATGAAGGTAGGCTTCTTGGAGGTAGAGGACCCTGGAAGTTGAGTGGAGTTGAGGGAACAGCCTGGCAACATCCTGGGCCAAGGCAGGCAAGGTGTGAGTATGGCTCTGGTGAGAGGAGGTAAGTCTGAGTCGGGTAGTGATGGTTGTGGTGAGAATATCCATGTTGGCAGAGGAGGATCAGGTTGGAAGATGTAGTGCAAAGAAAGAGCCCTGAGCTGGGAAGCAGGTGCCCAGTTCTTGTCCTGGCTCTGCCATTGAGTTGCTGTGTGATCTTGGGCTAGTCCTCTTCCCTCTTTGGGTGTCCAATTTTCTGTCTGTAAAATGGTAGAGTTGGATTACAGGATCCCTAGAGACCTTTGCAGGGTCCTAAGGAGAAAGAAGGTGACTATAATATCCAGAGGACCTTGAATATCAAGACTTGGCATTAGAATCATGAAATGTTAGGATTAAAAAGATCTCCAGGAATCATCTACTTAAACTATCTTCCTTTACATCCTACAGGATGAGTAGGAGTTATCAGGCAAAGGAAAGCAAAAGATGGAAGAGGGAAAAGAGGGCATTCCAGGCAGGAGACATAGTGTGAACAAAGGCATGGGTGGAGGCACGGTGCAGTGAACATTAAGCAGGTTGACATTGAAGATTAAAGACCAATGTGGCCGAGTGCAGTGGCTCACGTCTGTAATCCCAGCACTTTGGGAGGCTGAGGTGGGTGGATCACCTGAGATCAGGAGTTTGAGACCAGCCTGGCCAACATGTATTTTGTAAAAATACAAAATTTAGCTGGGTGTAGTGGCGCACACCTGTAATCCCAGCTACTTGGGAGGCTGAGGCAGAAGAATCACTTGAACCTGGGAGGCAGAGGTTGCAGTGAGCCGAGATGGCACCACTGCACTCCAGCCTGGGTGACAGAGTGAGACCCTGTCTCAAACAAAAACAAAAACAAAAACAAAACCACAAAAGACCAATGTGGGGTGTGGGAGGAGGCGAGTCATCAGTTAGGAGAGGGAGATGGGACCAGACCTCGGGAGGACCAAGGGGGTTTGACTCCATCCTTTGGGTAATGGGGACTCATTGAAGCTGTGGGAGTGACATGCTCAGAGGTACAATTTTGAAAGATGACTTTGGCAGCTTTGTTGATCATGGATTTGATAGGGGCTGGGAGCAGATACAGGCCAAGGATACGTGCTGACAAGACAGGTCAGGAAGCTGTGTGTCAGCTCAGCAGGAGGTGGTGATGGTCCCAGTCAGGGTGGCAGAGTGGGGACACTGAGGATAGCACCTGTTCACAAGGTATTTGGGAAGTGGAATAGATAGGACTTGTTGATTGATTGGCTATGGGGAGTGGAGAAGAGTGAAGATACAAGGACTCTCAGGTTCTGGCTTGGTGATATTCACTGAGATGGGACACACAGGAGGAGAGAGGGATTTTTTGGGAACAAAGATAGCTGAGTTTTAGATCTGGTGAGTTTGAGGTATCAATGGAACAGTGTGTAATGTCTCATTCATTCATTAATTATTTACTGAGCATTTACTATGTGCCAGCCATGCCTGGATACTGCTTTTCCGTAGCTGTCAGCCTAGAGGGGCATTCAGAAAGTTCTTCTATACACTGAATATTGAGCAGCTGAACTTTTACCCATTGGCCTTCTTCTGCCCTTCAGGACTTCACTGGCGTCTACCCTCCTTCAGAGATTAGAGATCAGTGATTGTGGTTCCTTGCATCATCTTTGTTTCTGGGAACATGGAGCTGTGGAGGGAATGTGGACTTTAGAAAATTATAAAGGCATGGATTTTAGCCCAAGCACCTTTTGTATGATCTCATTTGTTAAGTGGGTTTAACGACAACTTTTGTTTTTGTTTTTGTTTTTTTTTCAGATGGAGTTTCGCTCTGTCGCCCAGGCTGGAGTGCAGTGGTGCCATCTCGGCTCACCGCAACCTCCACCTCCAGGTTCAAGTGATTCTCCTGCCTCAGCCTCTCAAGTAGCTGGGATTACAGGTGTGTGCCAGCATACCCAGCTATTTTTTTTTTTTTTGTATTTTTAAAGAGACAGGATTTCATCATATTGGCCAGGCTGGTCTCAAACTCCTGGCCTCACTGATCTGCCCATCTCGGCCTCCCAAAGTGCTGGGATTACAGGCATGAGCCACCACACCTGGCCTAACAACACCTCTGTTACTGACAGTAGAGTGCTGGAGTGGGTTCCTACTGGCTAACAGAACCCACTGGAGTGGGTTCCTACTGGCAAACGTTTGGGCATCTCTTCCCAATTCTGCATGCATTGACATCCCATTGGTAGCTTGAAATTGACCATCGTGGGAGTATTTACACCACAGAAATTGGCAAATGCTACAAATCAGGACTCCTTTTTTCTTTCAAAAAGCTGGTTGGTAAGTATTTACCAGCTAACAGTAAATATTTATGGCATATAGAGTTGTGGTTTGGATGATGGACGTAGAGCACCTGGCACATGGTACCCAGATATACACATATTGCTTAGCACAGTGGGTACCTAAGTGTGACTACCTTTTCCTTTGATGTTTCCTCTCTATGGGAATACTGTTGCTTCATTTGCTCACAATAACAACCTCCCTTCCACCAGGGCCTGCTCCTCTCTTTTCTCAAACAACATGGTCCCAAGTGAAGCTGCCATCTTCTTACTCCTCTTGGCCTCCATAATGGGGTAGAGTTAAAAGGATGGGGATTTTGGAGTCTCATGAGACTAAATTTGAATCTTGGCTTTGCCTCCTACTAGCTGTGTAATGACCCTGGGCAAGAAATTTAATCACTCTGAGCCTCAATTAAGTCACCTGTAAACTGGGGATGGGCATGCCTCCCTCATTAAGTTGTTGTAAAGATGAAATGAGGTAATGGGTACATGAGGGCCTGGCATTGAGGCGGCAGTTTCAGTGAGAGCTTGACCCATGCTGGTCTCCTTCCCCTGAAAAGTCCAGTGTGGACTTGGGAAACAGCTCTGATGATGGGGTGGGGGGTGGGAGAGGGAGGAACTGGGGCTGCAGCCTTGGGAAGGATGGTTTCTGGTGGAACATGTAGGTCGAGAGAGGCTGTGGGCCATAGGACCTTCCAAATGTATTCTGAGTGCAGTGGAGGGGAACTCCCCTGGCCACAGTTCATGCTTCCAGGGCCCTCACCTGCAGATCTGCAGATAAACTCCTATCATCAGCTTGGCTCGTGCGTTTCTGGGGCGGCTGTGGCAGCCTGGGCTGCCCTGATTTACCACCCCAGCCCCAAGCAGATTAAATCACCCAGAGTCATTTGAATTTTACTTGGCCTTGTCACACAAATCTTAGAAACTGCTGTCTGGCAAGAAAACTTTCCCTGTACTTTTTGGAGGAAAACTAAGAGCTCTAGAAATTGAGGTGAAGTGGAAAAAGGAGGTGGTTCCAGGGGGGTTTCTGCATCTTCAGATCAGACCAATGTTGCAGGTTAGAGGAGGGATTGTGGTGTGTGTGTGTGTTTGTGTGTGTGTGTGTGTATGCAATTGCTGCAGAGGCCTCTGGGACAATGTTGTTTCTGGCTGTGTGACATAGGGCAAATCACTTAACCCCTCTGAGTCTCACAGGACTGTGGTGAAGGTCAAAGGGGCTAGCTTGTGGAAAGCATTTTGTAGGCTTCAATCAGTTCTGTGACTACTAATTGGAAAGATGAGACAAATGACTACATAAATAAATTATATATGGCAGTGGTTACTATGCGTCAAGCAGAGTAAGAGCTCTAGGAGCCAAATGGAGGGGCACATTGCCAGAGGTCTGGGGCTTGACTTGGGCCTTAAAGGAAGCCTAAGTCCCAGGGAAGAGAAGTGGAAGAGGCTGTAGTGCAAGTGAGGTTGTCGACGCCACCTCTGTCTCCATCAGTGTGTGTGGCTCTGAGGTGGATCCTGATTGGTTTAGCCAATTCAGATAATGCCCCCTTCTCTGACCTTGGCACATTGGCTGGTTCCAAACCAACCATACATACATTCTCCTAGTCACTGGAATTGATTCAGATTGGCCCCATCAGACAGAAACTCGGGGTTTTGGTGAGATGGCTGGGGAAGCACGTCTAATCTCTTTGTATCTGGATTTGAATGAGGAAACATGTGGGCCTAGTTTCTGGCAGGCATCTGGTGACTAGGAACACTAACCTGAGAATGTAGCCAACATATGGAGGTGGGAAGAACCTGGAAAATCACAGAAAAATGGAGTCCCAGCCCCAGTCAAACTATGCCTGATGTTTGTTGCATCTGGAGTATTACATGAACTAATCAATCTGCTTTATTAGGCCAGTTTGGATACAGGGGCTGATACGGGGGCTGATGGAGGGATCTGAGTAGGGAGCCGAGAGTCTACTTGGTGTTAGGCAGCCATGAATGAGGAGACCCTGTAGGCGGGAGTAAAGGGTGGGTGAGGGTGCGTAGTGGGGTGAGGGTGGCTGAGGTCTATAGGAAATGAGACTAGAAGAAAGTCTGGGATTGAATAATGGAATGACTCAAATGCAAGGTTAAGAATTTGGGCTTGATTTTGTAGGCAATGGGGTGTAGCTTCAGATTTGTGAGCAGAGGAAGGGAAAGGATAAGTGATGTGAACACAGTGATATTTTGGGAAGATCAACGTAAGAGTGGGATATATATATATATATATATATATATATATATATATATATATAGGATTGGAAAGAGAAATTGGGGGCTGAGACTTTAAAAATTATCATTTATGGATGCTACACATAGTTCATGTATTATCTCACTTAATCCTTAAAAGAGCCTCCCCCATCCCTCTTTTTTTTTTTTTTTTTTAAGCTGACTTTCCAAAATCTTGCGTAACTTGACTAGACCACATAATTAGCAAATGGTGGAGTCAGGATTTGAACACAGGTCATCTGACTTCAAACCCTGTATCCTTATTCACCATATTTATGGTAACACAGTTGACAAATTAGGATGGGCTAGATAAGATAGTGGCTACAGAGGTGGAGAGAATGGAACGAGAGATATTAGGTTGGTGAAGTTCTAGATGTTTTGTCATTAAAATCAGAAACCAGATCAGGATAACCATTGTTATCAACATTTAAAAAACTCTTTTCCAAAAGTGCTAGGCATTGCAATTAGATAAGAAGATGAAACAGAAAGTATAAATGTTGGGAGAGAGGAGTAAATAATCATAGTTTGCAGATAAGATGATTATTTATCTGGAAAACTCAAGACAATATTCTGTAAAACAATCAGAAAAAATAGAGTTTAGTAAAATGGCCAGTAACAAAAAAATTTACACAAACTAACAGTCTTTCTATTTATAAAATGACTATCTAGAAGGTAAAATAAAAGCTCCATCCATACTGTAAAACACAAACACAAAATACTCAGAAATAAACTTTACAAAAAAGTGTGTAGCATTACATGAAGAAAACTCTTCTGAGTTTGAATAAATATGGTATATACCTAGTTCTTGAGTAGAAAGATTTAATGCTTTAAGGATGTCAATTCTCCTAAACAAATGTGTGAAATTAAGATAATCCAATCAAGATCCCAACAGGATTAGAATTTTTTTTGACAAAATAATTATGAAGCTAATCTGGAAGAATACCAAATGAGAATAAGGAAAATTCCAAAAAAGAAAAATGATGAATATTTACTCTATCAGATATTAAAATGTTTTATAAAGGCACAATATAATTAAAATTCTTGTCTAGGAATAGACAGACAGATCACTGGGACAGACTAGAGTCTAGAAATGGGCCCAGATATTTAAGGGAATTTTTGTTTGTTTTTGGAACAGAGTATCACTTTGTTGCCCAGGCTGGAGTTCAGTGGTGTGATCTTGGCTCACTGCAGCCTTGGCTTTTCGGGCTCAAGTGATCCTCCCACCTCAGCCTTCTGATTAGCTGGGACTACAGGTGCAGGCTACCACACCCAGCTAATTTTTTGGATTTTTTTGTAGAGATAGGGTTTTACCATGTTGCCCACATTGGTCTTGAACTCCTGGGCTCAAGCGATCTGCCACCTTGGCCTCCCAGTGTGCTGGGATTATAGGCATGAGCTATTGCACCCAGCCTTAAGGTATTTTTATATGATAAAACAGCATTTTAATTGAGTTGGGAAAATATGGGCTATTTTATAAATGGCGTTGGGATAATGGGCCAGCCATAGCAACACTCCTTATTGGGGTAAGAACTCTCTGACTTGGTCTAATAAGCTCAAGCCATGAAGACCACATGGCATAAATATGAGTGAATATTTTGATCATCTTAAGGTGGGGAAGATTCTTCTAAGTATGACGTGATATTTGAAATCATAAAAGAAAAGATTGATAAATTTGACTATATGAAAATTAAACATTTAAGTACCTTAAAGAACATTATAAGAAAATTTTAAAAGAGGGGTATATACATATGTATGTGTATATATATATATATATATATATATGACAACAGTTTAATTTTATTTCTAATGTACAAAGAGCTCTTACAAATCATTAAGAAAAAGATAAATATCTCATTAGAAAAATGGGCAAAGGACATGAACAGGCAATTCACAAAGAAAATAACTACAAATGCCTGAAAAAACAAAAAGACATTTATTTCCCCCTCCCTATAATCTTAGCAATGCCAATAGAAACAAGCATCATTTGCCTTCTGTTGATCTGGCCAAACATTAAGGCTGACAAAACCCAGGCTTGATGAGGGTCTGGACTAATGTGTGGGCACGGTTGATGAGAATTTTGCTGTTGTAAGCTTTCTGAAGGACAGAGTGGCAAAATAGAAATAGCATACCCTTAATTGCAGCCATCTCATTTATTGGATTTTATTCTAAGGCAATTGTTGCAAAAATGAGCAAAGAGAATATGCACAAGGATATTTATCACAACATTGTTTATGAGAACAAAATTCTCACAACATCCTTAAATGATCATCAGTAAAGACCCAGTTAAATAAAGTATGATACATATAATGGACTACTATGAAGTAATTAAAATAATTTTGTAGAGCTCTATTTATTGACATAGAAAGATGTCTAGGACATATTGTTGAGAGAGAAAAGCAGGTGTCAGCGAGAACAGTATGTATAATACAATTCCTCGTCTATAAAATTATATACATAGATCTCTATGTGTATATATGCATAGAGATATGTCTGGAAGGCTGTTCACCAAAATGCTTGGAGTGGTTGTATCTGGGAGGTAGGATTTTTACTTTCTTTTTTGTACTTTTAAGTATTGGTTAGATTTTTTTTTATAATGAAGATATATCATGTTTTTTAATCAGAACAAAGAATAATTCTATTTGTTGTAGCATTTTGGAAATAAGGCAGATACTAAATAGGAGGAATCAGCATGTGGTGATTTAACAGATGTGGATAAGGAGTCAAGACATAAGCCAAGAATTTGCCCTTTGGTGCCCGGAAGCTTCATGCATCATGGCAAACCCAGAGCAAGAGTTGATGCTGGAGGAAGAAGGAGGCCCTGGGTTTTCAGAGCTTTGTTCTGTGGCAGTGGCTGGTGGGCAGTATGGCTGCCTCTTAGAAGGGGAGGGCTGGGGTGGGCTTTTCCCCAAGGACAGAGCTAGGGATGAAATCTCAGAGGGAGAGAGTGCATCGGCAGGTGCAGGAGAAAGCTGGAAACTGAGCCTGGAACACAGCCATGGTGACAAGACGGGTGAAGAAACAGGATGCGTGGTCAGGAAGGCGCGGGGCTACAGGAGCATGGAGTGTCTCAGGATTCCATGGGTGTGGGGGCGAATTTCTAGGGAAAGGTCAACCATATCTAATGATGCAAAGGCACGGAGGCTGGGGAAAGGGCACAGGACTTGACAAATAGGACCTTGTTGATGACCTTGGACCGAGCAGTTTCAGTGGAGGAATGAGGCTGTGCATTGTCGTGTGTGGGAGTAAGGGAGTTTGTTGTGGGAGAAAGGAGGATTTTAGCTTGGGGGAGCTGATTTAAGGGAAAGGGACTGAGCCTTGAATAGAGATGTCAATAACTGGCTCGTGTGCCTCCCTGCTCACTCCCCAGCCCTGGCAGGCATCACTAGTCATTCTGCCGAGCCCAGATGAAGCCATAAAATCTTTCTCCTAATAGCCAGCTCAGGGAGCCGCTACCAGGTTCTTGGAGTTGGCTGCTGAGATGAACCTATTTTCCATGCCTGGGCTTGAACACACGCTTGCAGGATGATGAGAAGAAACACATGGAAGGGGCGACGGAAGGAGCAGGAAAGCCGAGGCCTGGTGGAGCCAGGGCCTCCCATCCATGCAGGCATAGACGGTGAGCTCAGTCTGGTGAGACTTCCAGGCCAGAGCCTGGATGAGTGGAGCACTCTGCCAGTGAGTCTGAGCTGACCAAGCACTAGAACAAGAGAACAAGTTCGTCCTTTTGGTGATGCTGTGAAAAAGCCCAACTGTGTGTGAACTACCAGTTGGTGTACAGATATTTGAGGACTCACCACGGCCCACCATCTGGCTGTCCAGAGAAAGCATCGTCAGCACTCTGTTGTCTGGAACACTGAGCATGGAGGGGTCTGCCTGTGGGTTCCAACTGCAGTGCCCGAGAGCAGAACAAGGAGTTGTGGCTCAGTAGTGGCTTGTTGGGAAGACTTTTAAGGAATATACTCAGTGTGATTCGGCTGCTGGGCCTCTAATGGTGTTTTGATTGCATCAGTGGGAGCATGGGGTTCTGGATAGTGGAGATAAATGCTCTTTTGGACTCTCAGTGGCCAGAGCTTCTCTGGAGCAGTGGAGAGAGGCAGACACGCGGGCAGAGCTCACCCACAGAAAATGACCAGGGTCAGGGGAGGCTGGGCATCATGCCCATCTAGGAGAAATGCTCGAAGGAGCTCAGGCCAAGGAATTAGATGTTTGCTTTTAACCTGCCGAAGCAGTGCTTTCAAACACATTGTCCTTGGAATTTTAGTTTCTTGCAGTTGTTTCACAGAAAAGGGTTCTATGAGCAGATGTGTTCAGGAAATGCAGCACCCACAGCTCAGTGCACGTGAGTACAGTAAAGGCTTTGAGAAGTCCTGCAGCGAAGAAACTTGTTTAATGTAGCATTTTCTCAAGCTTATTCAACTACAGAAGCTTTTTCAGTTCCATATCGATTTGCCTCCTGCAGGACTAGTGACGGACCTGGGGCAGAGGGAGCAGCGCATCCTGTGTGGTCCCAGACATACAGAATTGTTTGGGCAAATGTAAGAATGTTGCAAAGAGGCAAATTTTGGCTCAGTTCAAGGAAGAACTTTGAAAGCAATTGCAGATGTTTAACCCATGAAGGAGGTGGTAGAGGAATTTGAGTTCCCAGAGGCCTCAAGCAGAATGTGGACTTAGCAGGAATCCTGCAGAAGGAAGCCAGGTTCTAAGGGGTTGTCATCATAGATTTCTGTGGTTCCATGAGTCCTGGAAGAGGGGCTCCTTGGCTGCCCCATAGTGGTACTCCTCCCTCAGAACCTGTGGCCTAGCTTGTATTGCTGTGTACGGCAGCCAGGCGGACTTGGAATGCTTGAAATGAGCAGTCTGCGAAGGTAAGATGTGAACACACGAATATCCTCATTAAGTCCCAAATACACATCCCAAACTTTACATAACAGGAGCAGCAGCTGGAGACGCCCACAGCCCTAATTGCTTTTCTGTACTAAGAGAACGTCTTCTCTTCAGCTCTGCTTCTCCCATTCATTTAGGTAATTACTGGAGGGAGCCAGCTGTGGAAGGCTGGCGGGCAGGCAGGCGCATTTGTGACACCACCTAATGGGTGCCGCCATGAGGATGGGGTGCCACGGGAGCTGGAGCCTGTCCGTGCTCTTCATGGGGAGTAGGGTGCTGAGGATGGGAGGCCAGCTGCTCGGCTTCAGTCCTGATCTCAGTGGGCCCAAAGTGAGCTGCCGGGATGGAATGCCTCTCCTCCCAGGGACTTGACAAGCACGATTCCAAGAAAGGACAGATCCAGAGCCAGGTACAGGCATGGGGAGGGGAACGCATGGAAGAATCGACTCTGCTCAACGAATTGCTCAAGGTGCTTTCTCTGAATCTCATGTTGGGCTGGGGCACTGAGGCCGATCAATCAGGAAGAGCCCACTCTCTAAGCTCACAGGTCAGGGGAGGAAGCAGTCATGGGCCAGAAAGGGCTGGGATCAAAGGAAGCTATCAGGACTGGGGTGTGCAGAGGACACAGAGACTGACTCTGTCTTGGTGACAGGGAATCTGGGAAGATGTCTTGGAATAAGAGATAGTAGGATTGGGCCTTGGAAGTGTGTATGACCCTGCAGTTGGTGATCCCTTCTGCAAAATGGGGCCAAGGAAAACTTCCAGGCCCCAAAGTGACATCTGGTTTGTCCCCTTGCTTCCTGGTCCCTAGTAACAACCTGGGACTCATGAGGATCCTCTTGAGGTTTCTTTAAGGCAGTCCTGAGCATGGGGCTCGCAGCTGGAGCCAGCCTGGAACCTGGGCCCTTGGTGGTTGGCCAGGGTGGGTGCCCTGGAAGAGTCAGCTTTGAGCCTGTCTTCAGAGGGGCCCTAGGGAGGGCTGTGGCCTAGGCGCTCTGCCCACCAGGCTTCCTGTGGGTGGCAAGTGAAACTTTTCCTCTTGGTTCTCTCCCAGAAGCCAGCTTCATTCCCCCAGCCCCAAGTGGCGGCTCCTTGGGCCGGAAACAATGTGCTTTCTCCACGCCTTAGAGTGGAAGTCAGCAGTTTGGCACCGTCTGGCTGGCAGCCTCCACCGGCTTCCTTTGGCACTTTATTGGCAAAGGCGGTGACATTTCTTTCAGTTGGGTGGGTGGAGCTGTTATGCAAACTCCCGCTCTCCTCATTCGCCAGATGAATATTCATGACTCAGGCAATCTGTACCAGCCAGACTTTCCTGAGGGCGGCAGCTTTTCTTCTCTTCCTCTCTCTCTTTTTCTTTCTCCTTCTCTCCTTCCCAGCTCTTTGGAAAGCTGAAGTGCAGCTATATTTAATTTACAAATACAGAGCCATTTAGCTTGCCTTTTGAGATGCAGGCACTGGGGAGGAGGTGCTGGGGAATGGGAACAGTGGTTGAGGAGTTTGGTCCTGACCCTGTGCCTCTAAGCTCCAGTGTCCAGCCCCTGGGCCCTAGATCCTGGGAAGCTTTGGGAGTCTGGAGCTTCTTTGAGCTTGGCCTCTTGGGGCCTTCAGGGATGAAGGTACAGCAGCTCACGCCACCCCATTCCACACTGGCCTCTGAGGTCAACATGGAAATTCTCAGGCAATGATGGTTTCCTGCAATTCATGGCCTGGGACCCACCAATACATCTTCTCCCGCTCTGCTCTCCCGTTTGTCAAGGCCCACCCAGATCCTGCTCCAAGCTCTAGGTGGAAGCCCAGAAGGCACTGGAGCATTTGCTAGTCATTGGCTTTCCGGGGAAAGAAATAATCCTTGTTTGGGGTCCAATTCCTTGGGGACACATTACTCCCTTTCTAGGAAGGACAGGTCCCTAGTTTCCTTTGTCTCTTCCCAAAGAGGCACCAAGAACTCTGGCAGAGGGGTCAGAATTACCAGAATTTGCCAGGAAATGTGGTCTTAGCAAGGATGTGCTTGCGTGAGCACGTCTTGTGTGTGTGTATGTAAATATTTACGCACAGCTTAAGTGAGTCTGTGTGCCTACATCTATGTTCAAGTGTCTGAGTGTGTGTCTGTATGTGTAAGGGCGTGAATGTGTGTGTCGCGGGAAGTCTGGGAATGCTTGCATATGTGCGAATGTGCCTCTCCAGTTCGCGTTGCGTGTGTACCTTTGGGGGGACTGGGGATATCGTGTGTAAATACGGGTGTTCCTGGGGGGCCCAGACGTGTATGCGAGTGTGTACGTCTATTAAGTGAATTGTAGGTGTGTGTAAAATGAGAGTCTGGAGGAGAGAAAGAGAGAGTGTGCATGTGTGTGTGTGTGAGTGTGTGTGTTAGGGTGTGTTTCCCTGACCTCCATTTCCTCCCAAACCTTTTCCTCTCCAGGAAGGTGGAGGGGGACGTTTCCCCCTTTGCAAGTGTTACAGATTCTATCCGAGGACGTGAACAGAAGGTTTCCCAGCACAGAGCGTCCTGAAATTACTTTATATTCCCCCCCTCCTTGTTTCATCTAATCAAAATAGCAGCATTAGGCTCACCCATTCTCCCTGCCCACCCCTCAGCCCTGGGGGAGGGAGCGAGGCGGGCGGGCCATCTTGCCTGACCCCCTTTGAGAGCACCTTGCAGGCCTGAGCCAAGGAGCTGTCTTCCAAATCTCCTCTTTCCTCAGCGGCCCATGCTTCAGTGGCAAGAGCCAGCTGCCTCCCTGCCTGCCAGCAACTGCCAAGCTCTTCCAGAACCCACATCTAGGCCCGGCCTCATTTACAAATATGCAAATTTGCATCTTTTCTGGTATGCAAATGGAGACATGACAAATAGCTAATTAGGGTCAAAAGAAGCACTCTGAACCAATTAGTTGTAGGGTCTATCCCTTTCTCCTGGGAGAAGACTGGGCCTTCCTGCTCCCTTCCCAGCACTGACTCCCAAATGCCCACACACTCTGGCATCCTGTCTGGCTGGGGCCCTGACTGTGAAGAGCACTGAAACAGACGTCAGTGCATGGGCCTCAGTCTTACCTCTGACCTAGCTATGTTACCCTGGACTCATTTGACTGAGCCTCAGTCTCTTCCTCTGTGAAATGGAGCAATGACAATGACTATCTTGTCCCTAACCATCCACCCCAGCATAGGGAGACTTGGGAGGACTTGGATGTAAATAGCTTTTGAAAACTGTACTACAGGCCAGGCACGATGGCTCACACCTGTAATCCTAGCACTTTGGGAGGCTGAGGCAGGTGGATCACCTGAGGTCAGGAGTTTGAGACCAGCCTGGCCAACATGGTGAAACCCCATCTCTACTAAAAATACAAAAATTAGCCAGGCGTGGTGGCGGGCGCTTATAATCTCAGCTACTCAGGAGGCTGAGGCAGGAGAATCACTTGAACCGGGGGGGTGGAGGCTGCAGTGAGCCGAGATCACACCACTTCACTCCAGCCTGGGCAAAAGAGCAAAACTCCGTCTTGGGAAAAGAAAAGAAAAGAAAACTGTACTACAATTTGTCTGATAGGCACATCACTTGTAATCTTACAAAGTACTTTCTGCCCTTGATCTCATTTAATCGTCCCATCAACCCTCTGAATTAGATGAATTCAATGTAGGGATAGGATGGCAGTAGGTTTCATTCCACATGCCAACTCTGGCCAAGTATGAATGGTGCTTGGAGTGGTGTGTTGAGAAGGATTCAGAGGCCAAGTCTAAATTCACCAAAAAAGAGACTGTGAGCTCTTAGTGACATTTCCCATGGGCAAGTGTTTGGATTCTGGGAGGTCATGTGCTGCATACTTACCTACCTGAAAGATATGGAATTTGGAGCAGGAACCTGGGTTCCAGTCCTGTCTGCTCCCTTGATTAAGTTACTTATCCTTCCTTGGCTCAGCTTCCTAGTATAAAGCAGGGAAAATAAAACCTATGTCTTTGGGTTATTGTAAAGATTAGGCAAGGGAAACTTAGGCAAAATCTCTTTGTCATCTGAGAGGGGATGTCCATTTAATTGGCATGTCAGTAGGGCAGGCATATTGTCCATTTCACAGGTGAGGAGCTTGAGGCCTGGAGAGGGTGGATGACCTGAAGAAGAAGCTGGCAGCATCACCAGGCAGGGCTGCATGGCAACTGGGGCTGCTTCTCTCTCTGCCACTACAGGATCCTGGCTCCCTCACACCACCCCCATGCTGATGCCCCACACGGGCTGCAACAAGCCCTGCTGGCCTGGCTCCATTTCTGGGTGTGAAATTTGGCTGAGTCGGCACCTGGTAGAATGGAGCAATTGCTATCCTGGAGCCTGGGGCCTGGGACAGGGCCAATGCGCAGACCAAGGGTTGATGGGCGGATCTGACCAAGGGTTGGTGGGTGGGCCTGGCGGGCTTGGCCAGGGAACTCGCCAAAGCTGGGCAGCTGGCAGGAGTGGGGCAGGAGAGGGCCTGGCTTGAGGACAGCCACTCAGGGAAGCTGAGACCCAGGGCCTAAGCTCAAAACAGAGCCCAGCAGCATGAGTGTCTGCCTGGTTGCTGGCGTGCCTGAGCATGTCGGCCGGTGTCTCCGAGCTTGTCTTTGTGTGTGTGCACGTGTCTAAGGGTATGCTGGGTGCGTGTGTTCTTATAAATGAGTGTGCATGTCTATCAGTGCAAGAGCTGGTGCACCCATGTAGTTGTGCACATCTGTGTACCAAGGTGTGTCTGTGTCAGTGTGAGCCTACACATCTGTGTATAAGCAAACTTCTTGCATGCATACATCTGTCAGTATCCGTGTGTGTCTGTGCATTTCTGCCTGTATCTGCAAATGTCTGCTTGTGCACTGTCCATGCAGGTAGGTCCACACTGGTGTGTGTCTGATGACCTCTGTCAGTATCTGCGGACATGAGTCTGTGCTTTCTGTTAGCATCTGTGCAAGTGTCATCTACGTCTATGAGCATGTTTGTTCTTTCCAGTGCCTCTATGTGTCTTGTACCTGTATGTAAATCTGTCCATGCCTGTCGTGAGTGTCTCTGCAGCTGTGCCTGTATGTTGGTGTATTTTGCAGTGTGTACATCTAGTGAGGGTATTGGTATTCACTTCAGGATGCAGGCATGGCTGTCTCAGGGTGAGCAGGATGGAATCTTCCCTGTGTCTGCAGTGGCTCCCGGTCATCACTTCCATCTTTGCGCTGTGGCTGAGGCCTCCTGGACTCTCATGTTCCTTTCCTCTGCTTGAAGGGAAGCTTTGCTCAAGGTTTCCCAGGGTGCTGCCTCTGACAGGACCAGGCCCTGGTGTCCCTGAAGGAGGACCCGCTTTGCCCTTTGGACTTGTTTATCCCTCCCCTCACTCTTTCCTCCTCTCATCTCCTTTCCTTTTTCTTTTCTTCCTTCCATTCCTCATCCTTGTCCCTTTTTTCTCTCCCTCTTTCTTTCCTTCTCTCCTTCCTTCCTTTTTTGCAACTCGCTTGAAGAGACTGGGTCTTGGGCTGCTGCGGGAGTGACAAATGACGTTTCAGAAGCCACACTTCAACCTCTGGAGAGGGGTCCCCACTCCCGCCCCCATGCAGATGCAGCTCCAGAGCCACCCAGTCTCCGGGGGCTCTGTAAATTAAAGCCATTGCATGCCCCATTGCATTTTAATCATCAGCCCCCAGCAGTAGCTCCGAGTGAGAACCCATGACCTTTTCTCCTTCCCTTTTGAGGAGCCCTCTCCCACCGCTCCTACACTGCTGGTAAAAGGCAGCCGCACTGCCTGCTGGAAGACCTGCCAGCTTGGGCTTCAGAGCACTTCTGCCTCAGATCCACGACGATCCCTTCTGTCATCGTGGGACCTTTCCTGGGATTTGATTTAGGGCGACGCTTCCTCCTGTCTGTGTCCTGAGTCCTGCCTTCCCTGGCTGGTCCTCTTTGCTTAGTCACCCAGATCATTCCCAGACAGCTGCGCCCTGGATATGGCTCCTCTCATGTGCTGCCTGGAAATGTCTCCTCTCTTCTCACCTGCTGAGAGGTCCTTCTGGGCAGGGACTCGGGCAGATTCATTCCTGCCTGCCCCACATTTCCCTAGCCCAGGGCCTGGCCCGTTGCAGTGCTGAAGGATGATTCTGGTAAGAAACAAGGTACTCCAGCTCACATCTTGCAATGATTATGCCTCCCCCACTCTCCCTTCTCCTTGCAGTTCTCTCTCTTCACTGATGATTTTGGATGCAATTTAAAATAAAAATATTGATTAAAAATGGAAACTATATAAATAAAAATAAAAACACTTAACATCAATGTGTCATTTGAGCTTTAACATAAAGAGAAAACATGTGAAGGTGACAATTTGTGGACAATTCCAAATTAGCATGAAGTTCTCAGCTGGTAAGTATCTTGACTTTTTTCCCCTCTCTTGGGGTCTGTGGAATCCTGACCAGGCATGTGGTGCAGTAGAATGGGAGGAACTTGGCTTCGGCCTTGATAAGCCTGGGTTGAATCTTCCACTTATGGGCTTTCTGAAGCTCAGTTTCCTTATCTGTGTAATGGGGAGAAAGACCCTACTTCATGGCGTGATTGTGAGGCTGATAGAAAAGGGCACACAGGGGCCAGGCCCAGTGGCTCATGCCTGCAATCCCAGCACTTTGGGAGGCCGAGGCAGGAGGAGTTCGAGACCAGCCTGGCCAACATGGTGAAACCCTGTCTCTACTAAAAATACAAAAATTAGCTGGGCATGGTGGTGGGTGCCTGTAGTCCCAGCTACTCAGGAGGCCGAGGCACGAGAATTGCTTGAACACAGGAGGCAGAGGTTGTAGTGAGCCAAGACTGTATCACTGCATTCCAGCCTGGGCAACAGAGTGAGACTCCATCTTAAAAAAAAAAAAAAAAGTCAGGCTGGTCTTGAACTCCTGACCTCAGGTGATCTGCCCGCCTCGGCCTCCCAAAGTGCTGGGATTACAGGCGAAACCCTGTCTCTACTAAAAATACAAAAATTAGCTGGGCGTAGTGGCAGGTGCCTGTAATCCCAGCTACTTAGAAGGCTGAGGCAGGAGAATCGCTTGAACCCAGGAGGTGGAGGTTGCAGTAAGCTGACATTGCACCATTGCACTCCAGCCTGGGTGACAGAGCAAGACTCTGTCTCAAAAAAAGGAAAAAAAAAAAGAAAGAAAGAAAATGGTGCACAAGGCCAGAAGCAGTGCCTTGTGTCTATCATTTCACCTTCAGAATACAGCCAGAGTCCAACCACTCCTTCCACAGACACTGCTATAGTAGAGGTCCATGCCCAGTGGTCTATTCTCTACGCAGCAGTCACAGTGATCCTGTTAATTAGCATTTAAGTCGTAGCACATCACTTGTCTGCTCAGAGCCTGCAGTGGTGCGTATCTCATTGGGAGTAAAAACCAAGGTCATCATAGCAGGCTCAAGGCCTCACATGGTCAATCATCCCTCACCCCAGGGCCCCCATCCCTGTCTTTACTATTCTCCCCCATTGCACTTCCCTCCAGCCCCACTGCCCTCCTGGCTGTTCCTGAACATGTCGGGCACTCTCCTGCCTCAGGGCCTTTGCACACGCCATGCCCTTTGCTGGAATGCTCTTCCCCCAGATATCCTCATGCCTCCCTCCATCACCCCCTTCAGGTCTTTACCCAAGTGTCCCCTTCTCCATAAGGAAGACCCTGTTCTTTCTGACCTATTTTTATCTGTGGCACTTGTCACCATCCAGTATATATATTTTTTTGCTGACTGATTTTCTATGTTGCTTGTCTCTCCCTGAGAGAATGTGAGCTCCTTGAGAGCAGGGATGTTTTGTCTTTGTTTTCAACATCTGGAACAGTGCCTGGCAAGTCATGGGCGCTCAATAAATATTTGTTGAATGAATGAATTGCTCATCATTTTGGAGGGTGCCAAAACATAGGAGCAGCTATCTTCCAACTTGGGCAATCAGAGGTGAGAATTCTGCAATTCTGAAAGGGCATTATTTCAGCATTACTTTGTTAGGGAGGCAGTGGGGGCCCTTGGGAGGAAACCCCATGGTCCTTCCGCTTGGGGCAACCAGCTCAGGAGGAAGTACCATGTGCTGGTTCCCAACTCAGCGGGAGAGTCAACAGTGTGTTCTCGTGGGCCAGCCAGGCATCAGGGATCCTGCTCCCTGGAAGCCTCTCTGTGAGCTCCCTGCCCCGTGGCTGCAAGCATATCCGAGGCTAAGGCGGGCCTTCCAGGAGGCTCACACTCAGCCAGGCTTCTCTGTGGAGGTAAGGGCACCAGAACGCGGAATAAACTTGTACTAAGGTAGGTATTTTAGCTGGTGCTGGAAAGTTGGGGGAGGATTAGCTACCAGAAGAGCACGGGCCGGGCACTGCAGGCCCAGGGAGCAGCGCGGGCAGAGCCGAGCATGTAGGAGGCTCTTGGTGCACTGGCTGGGGAGGGACAGGCAGCGAGTTGTGGCTGGAACGTGTCTACTTACCTGCGAGAACCTCCTGAAGCCAGGATTGAGTCTGCTCCATGTTTGCCTGCCCCTGTAGTGCTTACAATGGTGCCTGGCCCTCGCAGGTGCCCTTGACGTCCGCTGTGTGGCCTGTTCAGCTCAGGCCAGGAGTCTAGGAATTGGGTGGTCTAGGCACCTCTGATGGTGCAGATCAGACCTCAGAACAGGCCTTGGAGAAGACAGGGGTTGGGGGGTTTGGCTGGGAAAATGGTCTAATCTATTTGGTTGTTGCAAAAATAATTGCAGTCTTGCCATTAACTTTGGTAAAACTGCAATTACTTTTGCACCAACCTAATTCCTTTATTTTATTTTTCTTTCCTTTTCTTTTTTTAAACAATGTTTTGTAATCTACCTTTATTTTAAAAGTAGTTTCTTCCAAGATTGGCACAAGGGTTTCTCCAGAGCTAGAGATGAACCCAGGTCATAATGATCTCCCTAGTCTGGACACATTCATGGCTAAATATGGCTTTGTCTGGATTTTAGAACAGGGTTCTTTACTTTTTTTTTTTTTTAAATGCCATGAACTTCTTTAGCAGTCTTCTAGAGTAGTGTTTTATTCTTTATTATTATTTTTTTTTAGAGACAGGGTCTCACTCTGTTGCTCAGGCTGGAGTGCAGTGGCATGATCATAGCTCACTGCAGCCTCTAACTTCTGGCCTCAAGTGATCCTTCCACCTCAGCCTTCCAAATAGCTAAGGCTAAAGGTGCGTGCCATCACTTTCAGCTAATTAAAACAATTTTTTTTTTTTTTTTTGTAGAGATGGGGTCTCACCATGTTGCCACACTGGTCTTGAACTTTTGGCCTCAAGTGATCCTCCTGCCTCGGCCTCCCAAAGTGCTGGGATTACAGGTGTGAGTCACCATGCCCAAACCCAAATAGTGTTTTTAAATGCATAAAATGAGATACATAGGATTACAAAGGAATGGTTACGGTTCTAACCATAGATCCCAGGTTAAAATGGCCAGTTACACTCTTTTCGAGGACAAATATTCCACTCTGTGAAAACAGAGCACAAACCTTGGCTTCTCCTCCTGCACACTGGAGGGTGGGGTTGGGGGAGGTGTTTGTGCATATTTTTGCAGGGCTGTCCTGGGGGTGGAGATAAATGTCTGAGAGGCAGAGTTTGGAACCCTAGGAGGATGCCACTTGGAGGCAGATGGCTGGGCTGCCTGGGGGAAGGGTTGAGCACCCCATCTCTGGAGGTGGTGAGCTGGAGGCCCATCTGTCAGGGATTCTGGGGTCAGGCTGGGGTGGGTGATTTCTGCCCAGGTGGGAGAGGATTTTGATTTTTCCTGAGCTACTTTTGGTGGTGAATCTAGGAGGTACGCAGGGCTGTAGGAACTTTCTCTTTTGCCAAACCCTGAGCCACGCCGGCAGCCCTGGGAATGAGAGAATGGTTACTTTGTGCAGGCTTCCACCCGCCAGGCCCATAGCAACAAATTTACCCCAGTGCCATCTCCAATTTGCCTCAGAACCAGTAATTGATCTTGTTCTTTGGAAGACAATGGCTTCAGGGTAGGGAAACACCTTGCTCCTCTGTCTGTCTTCCAAAACCATTCCTGGGGAAGGGGATGGATTGTAAACCATATCACCCATCCTCCCGCAACAGCTGTGCAGGCTTTCAGTTCTGAGCCTAGGAGGGGATCCCTCCTTCTTTCCTCTGTGGCACCGTCACCCTCCCTGGCAGCTTGAAGGCCTTCGACATCACCCAAGAGCCTTTGAAATTGTCCAGTCCAAATCCCCTGTGTGGGAGCGTGGATGGGGTCACTGAGGCCTAGAGAGGGCAAGGGCTTTGCCTAAGTCACATAGCCTCAGGGTAGCAGGGCGGGTTCTGGAACCTCAGCACTGACTCATCCTGCTGTGTCTGGAGTAGGGAGAGCTGGCAGTGGGAAGGCAGCCCCGGGTCTCCTTTGACAAACACATCATGCTTCCCACCTAAACCACCTCTGTGGGTGGGGAGCTGGGGACTGGTCTATTAGCTTTCTCCCGCTGTCCCCCGAGGGTGCATTTGTCTGTTTTGCATTTTTTCCAGGCTGTAGTTAGACAACTCCTGGTCCTGGGGGGAGCGCTGCAAAGAGAAAATGTCAGGGCGACATGCCGCCAAGATAACATTAGCGAAATATCAAGTCCTTTATGATGTCAAGAGGGATTCCTTCCCGCTGCCGAAGCTGCCTAATGACATCATAAAATAGGCCTGCAGCAGCCGCAGTCCCCCTGAGTCATCCATCAGCCCTGTTCATGGAGGGTCCCAGCCCGCACGCGGGGTGGGGGGTGCCGGATTTTAAACCCAAAGGAGGCTCCAACAGAGCAGTACTGTGATGAACTGAGGGACAGAGGACACCCACAGCTCCCAGAAAGGGGCAGCCTCCTGGCGGCAGTGCCCCTCCATGGCTGACCTGGACACTAGGGGACAGGCATGTCTCCAAGGCCCCTCGGAGACCTTGAGGCTGAGTTGGCTGCCATAGGAAACTAACACCTCCCGGGGAGGACCGCACCCAGCCTAGAGTACCTCCGTGGTGCTAAATGAGAAAAGAGAGCCAAGCCCAGACTTCTGGTTTCCTGAGGGCTGACCTATCTCTTGAGGGACAGACAGGACTGCTGGGCCCACGGGCCCCATCATCTGGTGCAATGAGACCAAGAGTCACCCCACTGGAGACAGATGGAGGAGGTCTTTGGCTCCTTTGAGGCTGGCATGTACTCTTGCATGTTTTGTGTGTACACTTGCGTGTGCCCATCTAGCTGTATAAATCTAAGAGTGTTCACAGCACATTGACAAATGGGTTGGTCCGCATGTGTACAGCCCGTGTGTACACACTCATGCCTGCATGCCTACTGTCCACCTGCTTTCATTTTTGTGTGTCTGAGTCTACAGCTGCCTAGATACCTTTCTCTATGTCCATGTGCTTGTGTTTATGCATGTCAAAGTGTCTGCCGATGTGGGGAAGGAGATGTGGAAGCAGATAAGGAAGAGTGAAGGGAGAAGGGGGATCCCAGAGGGTGAGTGGGTGCGTGGGGTGTAGGGGTGCCAAGCACGTCCACTCATCACGCTAGGCGGAGGACATCAGCTGTGTGTTGGATTCACCTGGGGAAGCTGTAAAATCTACCCATGCTCCAGTCTCCCCTCAGATCAATGAAATCAGGACCTCTGGAGCCAGGGCCCAGGTACCAGCATTTTTTCAAGGCTCCCCAGGCGACTGTAAAGTGCCACTGGGGTTGAGAACCAGGGGTGTACTCAAGCCTGGCTATTCTAAGTGTGGTCTGAGGACTCGCAGCATCAGCCCACCTGGGAGCTTCAGAGAAATGCAGAATGCCAGGCCCTGTGCCAGGCCTCTTGAGTCATAATCTGCATTTTCATCCCACAATCTGTATTTGAATAGGATCCCCAGGTGATCTGTACATCCATTAAAGCTTGAGAAGAGTAGAGCGGTGCTTCTCCACATAAGCAGGCAACAGAACGTGTTTTAACAAACCCTCTGGGGTGATTCTGTTGCAGAATTTCTGATTCAGTAGGTCTGGGGTGGTGTCTAAGAATGTGCTTTTCTAACGAGTTCCCAGGTGAGGCTGATGCGGCCAACCTGGGGCCTACACTTTGAGAACCACTGGTATGATTGTAGCATATGAAGGAGGCAGACAGGGGGAAAAGGGAGTGGAGGCGGGGGTGTTGGGGAGGGAAGGTGGGATGGAAGGGGAGAGGACAGCTTAGTCACCTGGGAAGATCATGTCCCTCGAGAGTCTGCCCTGTCATTGTCTTAGGGTCTTGATTTTCCTGACTCTTGGGCTAGGCCAGGGATGGGGCTAATAAAGGGAACAAGAAACATACAGAACTCTACCGAGAATTGCTGGCATTTATCCTCTCCTTTCTGGTCCCTGCAGAGCCTCTCCCCACCCCTCATTCTGTTCAGTACAGGGATCCAGGGCTGGATACTTCTCTGGTTCCTGAGAGCCCCAGGCCAAAGACGCGGGCCCTCTCAGAGCCTGAGCTCATCAAAATGCCCACATGCCTTCTTGGGAGTCCAGCGCTCAGAGGGGGCTCAATAATCAGGGCACCCATGTATCCAGTTTGCCTGTGACAGTCAGTTTCCAAGAATCATCCTTTCATTCTCAAAAGTTTGCATGATAAGCCATATGGCTCCCTACTAATAATGGTTACCGAAATGATGAAAGTTCGGTTGAGGTAGAGGTGAGGAGGCTGAGAGGGTGGAGTGTGGGAGGGGACGGGGTGTCTTCCAAGGGGAAGCCCTTTGGAAACCTGCCTTTCAGGGCCCCTCTGCCTTGCCCGGCTTCCTTGGGGAGGAATGGGAGGGAGGGTCTTTCCCAGGAGGGGTCAGTACATGGCGGAGGGGGGGGCGGTCTCTCCTATGGGGCGGCCAGCCTTGTCTGTCTGCCGGTGCGGAGGCAGGAGATGGGGTGGGGATGGCGGTGGGAGCAGAGGACGGGCAGGTAGAGGCTCAGCTGCAGCCCCTCTCTTGGCTGGGGCCAGACCGTAGTATCAGTACCTCTTTTGCCTGCATCTCCGCCCCAGGAACCTGAGGGCTGGGGGAGGAGATAGGGATCAGCGGGAATACCAGAGGTGTGAGGCAGGCATGAACTCACCCAGGGTGTGCCTGCTCTCTGAGCCCTGCCAGGCCACCCTCCACCCGCTCCCAGGTACCCCCAGGCCGGGTTAGACAACAAGCTTCAGCCAGCCACGGCAGGGGCGTCCCAACGCGCTGGCTGGGTCCCAGCCAGGCTGAGGCAGGGAACTGGGTAGCCTAGTGCTACCCAATACTTCTTCTGGAAATAGCCGATAGTGAACCAAAGTGGATCTTCTCCGCCCACCCCTGCTGGGTCCCCGGGGGCTGGTGCATTTGGGGGAGCAGCAGGGAAGTAGAGCTGGGGCTGGGGAGAGCAATTTAGGACTGGAATTTTGCCATAGACTTGTGGTCCAGAAACAAGGGAAGTCAGTACTTTCAAATGACCAGGGGAACTGGGAGACCTGTCTCAGCTTGGGACAGGGGGTGAAAATCAGGAAGAAGTTGGTCCAGCAGTGTGGGCCAGTAGAAGAATGCCACTGTGTGCCCAGTGGTGTGCTCACAGGCATTAACTTGGAAATCACGGGCAGAAAAGCCGGAGGAAGCTGTGGGAAGTATTTACCAAGCCAAATACATTAAAGCACCTCTTGGTAACTTCTGATTCTGGATGAAACCAGAGATTCACATGTGGTAAGGTGGGCTGTTAAAGTCAACTGGTTGACATGGGCTTGGTGGAGTATGGGTGGCCCCCTAGAAGCTGTGGGTGTCCTGAAAATGTAGGGGGAGGGCTCTAGGAGAAAATACTCCTACCCTTGACTATCTGCTGAGTGGGCCCGAGCCTCCTGGCTAGGGGCCCCTCCCAGCTGCCCTGTCATCACTCAGCAGTCCCCATTTATGCCTGAAAGCACACTCAGGCCCTCCCCACACATGCTCTTCTATCCCATCCCACTCGTCTATAAGTGCACCCATGCCACCCCTGCATACACTGGCACCCACCACCTCCATGCACATCCCACATCCGAAAGCACAGGGAAGCAAGTGGGCCTCACCCAGGAGCTTCGCACAGAGCATGCCGTCGAGACATCTTTGCATAATGAGTGAACGGATCCATCTGTGAGCCGTGACCTTTTCTGGCCATGCTCCTTTTCTGTGGGCTCAGAGTCCCAAATCCAGCAGGGAAGTGGGGGCAGACAGCATTTGCCCCAGGGCTAAAGGCCATAACCCTGCTCTCCAGAACATTACCTGGTAGTGGCTTTCCCTGCCTTGTGGATATGAGCTGCTGTTCAGAGCTCCCTTTCCCCCGTGTGCTTATAAGGGACCCCTGCCAGTATCTCTGCCTATCGTTCTCTGAGTCATTTTTTGTTTAGCAAATGTTTCCTGGGCTTTCTGTGTGCTTGGCCTTCTACTGAACTCTGGGGCCCAGAGACTAGGAGAACAGTTAGCTCATCCCTTCCAAAGGACACCCAGTGACTCTGGGGCTTGGCAGAACCCTCAGGCTGGCCACCCCTCCATTCTGGGATTATATCCTTCCTGGACCCTTCCCCACCTTCACTCCCATTTCTGCCCTCACACTCACACACTTTTCTCTACCATGTGACAACCACCCTCCTCCTCCTTGCCATTCTGCTCCACCCCTCCTTTTCCTTCTTCACTCTGCTTTGACTGGATGACAACACCTGGTGGCCTGGTTGTGTTCTCTTGGTTCTGGGACAGTGGCGGGAGTGTTGTGGAGGGTCTCGGATCCCTCTCTGGCAGCTGACACTCCTGTTTTGGCGCTGGGAGGAGCAGAGCCAGGTGGAACCCAAGTGGGTGGGTGGAGGTTGCCCCTACTGGGTTCTGGTTAGGGGTTTTGGCTTCTTGAGGGCCTGAAGCGTGGCAGGGAGGGGAGGGAGGACAAGGAGGGGGAGGAAGGAAGAGAGAGAGAGAATGGGAGATAGAAACAAGAGTGAAAGAAAGCCACAGTGACCGAGAAATAGAATTGGGACAAACGAACCAACAGACAGAGATTCTGACTCTATTACCAGGCACTTCTTAAAGATCACTGTTGGCCAGGCAGTGGCTCACACCTGTAATCCCAGTGCTATGGGAGGCCGAGATGGGCAGATTGCTTGAGTTCAAGAGTTTGGGACCAGGCTGAGCAACATAGTGAGACTCTGTCTCCACAAAATACAAAAAATTAGCCAGGCATGGTGGTGCGTGCCTGTAGTCCCAGCTACTCAAGAGGCTGAGGCAAGACGATCGCTTGAGCCCAGGAGGTGGAGGTTGCAGTGAGCCAAGACTGCACCACTGCACTCCAGCCTGGGTGACAGAGTGAGACCCTGTCTCAAAAAAAAAAAAAAAATATTCACTGACTTTTCTTAGGCATGCACTTGGCTCTATCTCAGTGTGTGAAGAGATGCAGCATGTGATGCTCAGCCCTGGGATGGCCTCAGAAAGGGCTCGGGTCCTGTCCTGGACTCCAGCTGCAGCTGGCCACAGTCCCTACCCCTGCTGTGAGGGCCTGAGTGTGCCCTCCAGGAGGAGACCTTGGAGAGTGGCAGTGACGTTTCTCTGAGGGCACTCTGGCCCTGGGATGCTCTTGTTTTCCCCTCCATGGCCCCCACCTTGTTGAGGTCTTGACACCCCTCAGCTTAAGCCTTCAGGGAGCTTCAGAGATTGGAAATGAGCTTTGTAGAGGATTTTGTGCATTCTCAGCACCCTCTGGCCACACCTCACATGGGTGGCCTTTAGCCTTTCCTCAGATCCTCGATCTCGGGTCGCCCTCCTTTGTCCCTGGCTGTGGGCTTGGACCTGATGAGTCCCGTCCTCTGGTCCCTGTGAGGCTGCCTAGGCAGGGGTGGGACTGGGGGCTCAAGATAAGGAGCCTGACCTCTCCTTCTTTCCTGCCGAACTGTCAAGAAGCTCCCAGGCAGGTTCTGATCCATCCCAACCTGCTCTGCAGGCCTCCTGGGCTCCTCATTTGCCCTTTGCCTGGGGGACCCCTCCCCAGGCCCGGCCAAGGCCCAGGAGCCCTGCTAAGAGCCACGAGCAATCTCCTGAACTTAACAAGGGATCATGGCAGGAGCAGAGAGTCCCTTTGTGTCCTCACAGCACAGCACGCACCCGCCCCAGGACAGAGGGGCCCTGGCAGCCTCCAGCCTGGTTATCTGATTTAGGGGCTGATGGGGTTTCTAATGGAAAACAATATGGTAATTTCAGAATGTTCCTGATTAGATGAAAATGATATTGCATCAAAGTTACTTCCTTAATTTATTCAGAAAATAACAAGAGAGAATTCTCTCCTAAGATCCTTAATTAAACCAGAGCTTCCACCGCAGGCTAAGCAAGCTCTGAGCTCCAGGTGTGGGGAACAAAGGCCGCTCCTGGCCTGAATCTCTGAGGGGCTGCCCTTGGCTGTGGGGTCTGGGCAGGTCTTTACCCAGATAGGCTGCCCATTCTGCCAGGAGGGGGCGTTGGCAGAGACAGGGCCCAGGCTGAGGCTCCTTCTGCTGCAGGGGCCAGTGGGGTGGTCATCCTAGAATCATTCCAGTCCCGTCCTGCCTTCCTATCTTCTCCAACTTCTTCCTGCTGGGTCCCCAGTGATCCCGATCCATGGAGACTCAGAAAGCTGGGGTGGCAGAGCTGGGAGCCCAGGGCATCTTCAAGACATGGGCCAGCTGGGTGAGCATGGAAGATGCTGGTGGGGCCAGTTAGGATCCGCACTGGGTCAGCTTGGGGCAGTCGGCACACCTGAAAAGTCTTCGCCAAACAGGCTCTGATTTGAGAGGGAGAGGTAGGGCTAAGAGAAAGAATACAAGATGCTGAAGCATCTGGACTTTAGCAACAGGGAGAAGGAAGCTGTGGCCGCTCTTAGGCCTGAAGGGGCAAGGGAAGGAAGGACAGAGGAGGGGCCGCTGGACAGAGCTGTGGCCATAGAATAGCTCAGCCAGTGCCTGAATGCAGTGAGTCAGAGAGGAGATGGGAGGCACATTCCCAACCTCTCTCTTTTCCTGCCCTTGATTCCTTGCTGGTGCCACATATTAGCTGGCCTGGACTGGAAGCCAGAGGGTGGGAGAGCCTGGGAGACACACTTCATAGGGAAGGCCCCTGGAGGGCCCAGAACAGGGCAGAAAGTGAACCTGGGGACAGAGCAAGCACAGCTTCCAAGGTGATGGTAAACAACCTTTCATCTGACTGATGCCTCAGAATTTCTCCAGCACATTTTCATCCATTTTCCTTGTCATTCCCCGCAATAGCCCTGAGTATACACTGTTGTCTCCAGGAGGAAGCAGGCTCAGAGAGGTCAAGTGATATCCCTGAAATCACACAGTGGGGAGGTAATGGAGTCAAATTCCATTCTGCTTTACTCCACCTCCCTCCCCCTTTCCCCCCAATTAGACGCTTGGGTGTATGAAAGTGCTAGTCTGAGCTGGGTGTTACAGTTTCCTGGTGTGCAAGGGCCCTGTCTAGAAGCTTCTGTGAGACCATGAGGGAAGTCCTGTTTCATGCCCATGGCACGTCAGCAAGCCCTTGGCACTTTGCAGACCAGACTACAGCAAACTCCCCAGGAAACAAAAATGTCTAATTCGTGTGAGAGCTCCTGCTTTGGGGTCTGCTATAGAGTGGGGTGAGTCTGGGATCTGCTGGAGCAGGAGCCAAAAAAGGAGGCATCATTCCTGAGTTGGAATCATTTTGGAAGGAACTCCCCATCTTCCCAGGGACCATCTCCATTTGTCCACATGCCTGCTGGTTACACTGCACCAGCCTCAGTCCCCCCCACCAGACACCAGCACCCCACCTGCTGAGCAGTGTAGCAGGGGCCAGGAATAGCTGGGGATCCATGTGTCTAATCCTCTGGGTGGCAGGAGGAACCTGGGTGGGGTTCTTGGGAAGCTTTCGACTTTGAACTCTGATGTGGCAAATGGGTAGAGAGTTAGAAACGTGGGCTCTGAAACTGACTCAGAAGGACCATGAAGTGCGAGAAGAGTTCTGAGGGTGGGGAGGCTGGCAAGGCACATGCTTGTATGCGTGGGTGTGTGTGTATACATCAGCACATATGTATGTGAGGATGTGTGTGCAAGAGAAAGAGAATTGTTAGGTCACTGGCGATCAAAGGGTCAAGGTCAAAGGAGGCAGGGCTTGGATGGACTGTGATAATAATAGAAGCAGCTAGCATTTATGTAACGCTGTATGACAAGCCTGTTCCAGGCCCTTTACATAATTAACTATTTTAATCTTCACAACCAATTTAGGAGGTAGATACTATTATTACCCCATTTTACAGGTGAGGAAACTGAGACACAGAGGGGTTCAATGATGAGCCCCAATATTGGAGCTAGGATTTGGGCCCAGGTCCAAGTCATGACCACTGAGGGGCACTGCGGCCCCCAGCCTGTCCTGGAGGGCATGGTCCTGGACCCTGCCTCCTGCACAGGGCTTCTGGACTGCTACTTTGATGCTCTGTGTGTCATGCTCTTTGTCCCCAGCAGGTCTGTTTTGGGGGATGTGAAGTTGATCCCACAAAGTTCAGGTATCAGGCGGGAGGTCCTAACTGAGCCAAAACAGGGAGGTGTCAAAGAAGCTTGGGTTTGGGGGGACCATTCATCCTGGATGGCAGGATGCAGGGGTTGTAGGGGGATGAGGCAGAGAAGTGAGCAGAGGTGATGTGTAAAGGGTCTTTGTCGGCCAGACTAAGTCATGACACCTCCATCCTATAGCATGGAGGCAGGAGCCCTTGATAAGGGTTTCACACAGGAGAGTGGCATGGTCATCCTAGAAGGCTCACTCTGGTGCGGTGTGGACTGGAGAAGGAGAGACTGGAGGCTGAGCAGTTGATGAGCTGAGTAATGCCAAAACCCCCAGGCAAAAGGTGATAAGGCCTGGGCTGGGTCAGGAGGTGGAACTGGGGAGATGCTCTTAAGAGGTAGAAGCATCAGTGTTTGGGGATAGACTGGACATGGTGGGGTGGGGGAAGGGAGTCACTGAGAAGGACACCTAGGTTTTTGGTTACCTGGGTGGGTAGAAGTCGTACGAGGAAGAGCAGCTCCTGCTAGTCCCGTAGGTCCCTCAAGGCAGCAGAGAAGTCTGTGGCCCTGGTGGCTGAGGCTCGGCTACCTGGAGGAGCCTAGGAAAAGTGACCAGGGCATCTTCCCATAGGCCAGGGTATCACATGGCCCTGGAGAGATTTGGAGCCCTGGATTCTTTCCTGCTGGACACCAGAGACTGAGGAGGCAGGAGGTCAGAGGCATGGCAGTGGACAAATCAGGAAATGGGGGCAGGGATTTGTTTCCTTTGGAATCATTTTCACTTTCCTTAGCCTCCTCTGTTTCTAAAAGACTCAAACAGGAGATGGCAGGAGAAGGAAAACTATATATCATTCATTCATTTTTTTTTTTTGAGACGGAGTCTCACCCTGTCACCCAGGCTAGAGTGCAGTGGCACGGTCTCATCTCACTACAACCTCCGCATCCTGGGCTCAAGCGATCCCCTTGCCTCAGCCTCGTGAATAGCTTGGAATACAGGCGCGTACCACCATGCCTTGCTAATTTTTGTATTTTCCTAGAGATGGTGTTTCAACTCCTGACCAGTTTTGAACTCCTGACCTCAAGTGATCCGCCCACCTCGGCCTCCCAAAGTGCTGGGATTACAGATATGAGCCACTGCACCTGGCCTCATCATTCATTCTTAAGTCTGAAATTCCAGAGAAGCCCTGTGCTACAGTGGTTAGAACTCTCATTCTGTGGTTAGCTGGGCTTCACATTTCAAAATTATCACTTTGTAACTGGGTGTTCTTGGGCAAATCACTCTACCTCTCTGAGCCTTAGTTTCCTCATCTGGCAGTTAGGGATCATTCTAATACATACCTCATAGGCTTGTTGTGAAGTTTAAGGTAGTGAAGGGCCTCCATGGCAGCTCGTAATGATGCTCAGATCTGTGCAGGGTGACAGGGAACAGGGCTGCTATGGCATGTCTCCTAGGAGGCCTCCCCCCTCCACAGGGAGGGGACACAGCTATTCTTTTGGAACTGGGGATGGGGAAGAAGGGGAGGGGTGCCTGTAGGTCTTTACTGCCTGGCAATTCCAGGCCCTGCCTCTTCCTCGCAATCCTGGAAAAAAAAAATGGCAACCCCCCATCCCCCCGCCACACCATCTCCCCTGCCTAGGCATGGGCCTCTCCAGATAGGATTTGGACCTGCCACGTCTCAGCCTTTCCCCCTGGCTGCAGACAGTGCCCAGCTCAGCCCAGCTTCTCCCCACCAGGGCAGTGCCTCAACTCCAGCTGTCCTGTGCCTGCAGGTCCCAACCCGAAGCCAGGGCAAGTGGTCCCTGAGCTCTCAGATGACCCAGAGGGAGTTCTGAGGTCGGGGCAGGACCCAGCCTTGCCGCAGACCCATCTACATCCTTCCAAGGTCAGAGCCCACAGTCAGAGCCCACAAGGAAGGCAGCAGAGGGTGGTCACTTCCCTCTCTCCCTGGCTCCAGCTCTGGGAGCGAGGAGCCTGACCCCTGGCCTGAACTCGGCTCTTACCCCAACCCCAACTCAGAGAGTTTGCTGGCAGCAGCCTGGATGACTTTGGTGTAGTTTCTGTGGTTTAATAAGCTACAAAAACGACATTATTTTAAGCCAATCTGGATATAGCACAAAAACTCTCACCCCGTCTGTTCTGTGAAACTCAGATACCCTGACGAGAACACAGCTCACAACCAACTAATACAATATTCTACTGGGCGCGCTGTCAGCGGGCCCCACGCGGGAGCCGGCTCCCCGAGGAGGACGGCCCAGCCGCGCAGCGCAGGCCGAGGAGGGAGGCGGCGGCCGGGGCGGCGGAGCAGGCGGAGGGCCCAGGGCCGGGGTGGGGGCCTCGCGGGGTTGGGGGGACTGCCTATCTTCTCCCGGAGCAGCTGGGGCCGGCCACACAGAACCCCCTCTCGGCTCCCCTGCCCCCATGGATGGGGACGCGGGGAGGAGAGGAGAGAGGAGAGGAGAGGAGAGGAGAGGAGAGAGGAGAGGAGAGGAGAGGAGAGAGGAGAGAAGAGAAGAAGAGAAGAGAGGAGAAGAGAGGAGAGGCGCGTTCTGGCCTGCTGACAGCAGTTCTACTCCCACAACTCACATATGTCTGATTCCGAAGCAGGGAAGTGTGTCCAACACACCCAATGCAAAGACAGGTTGTTGAATATTTTTTCTCTCATCACTAAAAAGGATTCCCTGCTGGGTGCAATCAAGATCCATAAACTCGCGGCTCGAGTCGGTGTGAAAGCAGCGCTCCAGCCCAGACTCCCTCGCTGGCGCTAAATGCAGGCTCCGGGCGGGCGGAGATGCGCCGGCATCCGCTAGCAGCCTGGCCTTGCGACCGGCAGTTCCCGGCACATTAGGCAGTGCGCTTATTTTGGGCTCCGCTTCAGTGGATTAACTTTCAGTGTAAAGTTTTGGAGCTTGGGCACCGTCCCCGTGACACTGCCCCCTCCCCTTTCGGTGGGTACCAAACTTCACAGAGCCAGAGTCAAGGAGAGCTGGCTGGGTTCTCAGCAGCCCTGGGGTTCAGTGGCTGTTCTCCCTGGCAGCCTGGAGAGCCCCCCAGCTGGCTGACCCAGCCTGCCTTAGTGGGGACCAGGTGCCAACGCCTCTCTCTGGGGCAGAGACACTGAGCTTGCAGGGTTTTGGTGATTTTGCAAGGTTCCCGTCGGGGGTTGATCTGGGCTGAACTCGTCTCACTTCTGCTGGTGGTGGCAAGCCTGGTATCACCGCCCTCCACACACTGGCTCCCTCCTGCCTTGGGCATAGGAACCCAGGACGCATCCTGGAGGCTGGAATCCTGATGTTTATATGAAGATAAGGGTGCCTTCTTTCTTCTGAGATGCCTTCCCCATCCCTCAAGTAGGGAGGCTGAGGCAGAAAGGGAAGTGGCAGGAGACTTAGTTGGGCCATAGGAGAGCCCCAGGGAAGCCGAGGGGGCAGAGAGAGGGTGTGAGGGAGAGAAGAAAAGGGAACACGGCCAGCCCCTAGACTCCTTTCTGATGTCTTGGGAAGGAAGAGATTGGGGTTCTTGGAGAAACCTGGGCTCCTCTTTCCCTCCCCCCACCAGATGCTCAGTGACTGTCCGCTGGGAGGTGCTTTCAGATCCAATGGTTTAAAACTCTAGTTCCCATGAATTATTAAGAAGCAACTGAAAATGTTGTCTTCAGAAAAGTTCCCCTTCTTCCTCCAGCATCCCATTTTCTGGGGGCCTAGGATGTGTCATTTAAAACCAGAGTGAGCTTCAGAAACAACATGCAGGGTGAAGCAGCCCAGTGAGAGTGCCCAGACTCTACAGGGTGTGGACTGTGTTACTTACTCACTCATTCATCCCAACACATCATCAGGGCTGACTTTGTTTAGGTTACTGGATGGGGGCTTTGGGAGGCACGGCCTGGTAAGGGAGAGTAGATGCATACCTGTTCACACATTTGTTCATTTATTAACACCGAGCATGAGCCAGGCACCGTGTTTGGGTGCCGAGTGCAAGCAGATGCAGTTTAAGTATGAAGCAGAATGTGAAAAGGGCTGTGAAGGAGAGAAGGGCTTGGGGATTGGGCTGCACGGAGCCTCTGCAGGCAGCGCTGTCCAGGACCTCTCCCAGCTGCGAGGCAATGCTGAGTGAAGGCTGGATGGACTACAGTGCCTTCCGGGCCTGCATCCTTTTAAGCTTTGCATCAGCTTGCAGAAACCCACAGGGATGCAATCACTGTGCCTCAAAGTTATATCAAGGCAAAACCCAACGATGAGAAAGAGGAAATGTTGAGGCAGTTTGGGGGAGCCCTGGATTTTTTTTTAAAAAAGCCTTCTTTCCACTCATAAATCACCCTCCTTTGAAACCCCTCCTCCACTTTCTCTGCTCTCTCTCTCTCTCTCTCTCTCTCCAAGAGATCAGCACATTGCAAAGACAGGTTGTTGAATATTTTCTCTCTCATCACTAAGAAGGCCTCCCTGCTGGGTGTAATCAAGAACCATAAACTCGCCTTGCGGCTCGAGTCAGTGTGAATCGAGCCCCAGTCAGCTTTCCTCGATTCAGACACGCTCTGGCCGGCTGACAGCACGGGCCAGGCCGGCGGGTGACGGCCAGGCTGCTCTCGCAGATGCATCCGAAGGGGCTGCAGCCAGTGGGGCTGGGTCTCATAGAGTCTCCGCCACTGGCTCTGTAATGACCCGGCATGGAATTCAGGGCGCCTCTCCTGAAAGGTCAGGAAGGAGAGAAATCAATGCCTGCAGACAAGGAGTCCGTGCATTGACAGGTGCCACAGGCACTCCTTGGCCCTCACCCCATGTCCCCAGGTCCCCGGGGAGAGGAGACAGACAGGATGACCTCTCAGACTTGGCAGTTATTTCTGATGAGCAGCCTGACCAGATGGCTTTCTCTCTGGTTTTTAGAATTGTTCCTTTCAAGGTGGAAGAGGGCATGGACCTAGTGTTGCCCCAGTGGGCTAGGGTTGGGCTGGAGGGTGGTGATATTGGAATAAGAAGGGAGAGTGAAGGAGAGGCACCTGGGGAGCTGGGCTGGTGGCTGGTTGGCTGCTAAGGGAGCTGTCCTGTTCTTTGCCTATAAAGACAGGAACAGCAAGGGTAAGAAGTCTTCAGAGGGAAAGCTGGGGAGGAGCCTTTCCCGTCTTTCCTTGACTTTCTGTCTCTGACAATGTTACTGCCACTGCCTGGACCCCTGGGCCAGATGGTCCCTCCTTCCTGAAAGAGCTGCTTCCAATATCCCTTTCAAAAGATACCCTCCTCCTGCCAGCCAGCAAACCTTTAGGACACCTGAGTGGTTTCCCAAATATGCCTTGTACATTCCCACCTCCAGGCCTTTGTGTTTGCCATTTTCCCTGCCAGGCAGGCCCTCTCTTCCTTCTTTTTCTGGTAAGCTCCTTCCTACCTGTCCTTCCAGGCTCAGCAGAAATGTCTCCTTTTTTGAGGAGCTTTACCCGACCAGGCTGAGGTCACCGGTGGCTCCTGGGGAACTCATGCAATTCAGCCCTTAACATACTATGTTGTGGGGATCTGTCCATCTGCCCTTTGGGTGAGAGCTTCCCCTCTAGGGTTGGGACTGAGTCTGACTCAGCTTTACGTGCCCAGGGCCCAGCACTGAGTCTGTTGGGATGAACAGGATAGAAGTTTTATCACCAAGTTTCAACACTGCTCTCTGTCTGTACCTGCCTACCTGTGTACCTGTCTACCTGTGAACCTGTGTACCTGAGTGGGAGAGTGTGCCCTGGTTTCCATGCATCAGTCTTTGCAGGAATGTCTTTCTGCCCACTCTTCCCTTCTCCACCCTCCAAACCAGATAGGATGCTCCTTGAGGGCAGGGCGAGCTCTGCTTCATCTCTAAAAGCACAAATGCAAAGTGGGAGCTGGTAAAGATGTGTGGAACTGGGTCTGGATTTTGCTAAAAGGGACCTGTTCAGGCGGGAGCCCTCTAGGCAGGGTTGCTGTTGTGGCTTCCCATGAAGGGCCTGAGCAAGTCCCTGTGCAGGGTCCAAATGCTCACTCTTCATGGGGTGGGAGGGTCCTTTCCATTCAAGCATGGAGAAGCTGCAGCCCCAGAATCTGCAGGCTCAGCCTCAGGGGCTGGCTGTCCACGTTGGGTCTTCACATTCCCATTAGCCAGTTGTGGGGCTAGCCCTGGGGCTCTTCTCCCGGGGCTGCCAAATACGATGGCTCTCCAGAACAAAGGGCAGCGTTGTTTCTGCTGCTGCCTCCATAGCCTCCCTTGGGAGGCCGGGAGCCAGGACTCAGACAAAGTGTGGGTTTCCTCTCAGGTGGACAGCACGCCTGCCCTCCCGCCTATGCAGAGGCCACAGAGATATTGCCCACCAGATTCAGGGCTCTCATAACTCTTTCAAGACAATCACTTTATTTATATGACTTTGTTTAAAAAACCCACAGACGATCCACCACGGGGACATCTCCGACTGGCTCAGCTTGGTTCTCTCCTATCCTCTGAGTCCATAACTCTTAGTCTTTTGATTCTCCCAGTCCACACACTATAAAAATCTTATTTCTATAAGGTCTTTTATGGTTACCAAGATAGTCAATAGTGTCATTTTCATTCATATCATTCTGCAGGGAAGTTAGAGGAAACGAACCAGACAGAGGAGAGCTATAAATAAGGTTCAGCTACACAAGGCCCCAAGCAGATCCCACTGTGTTCTTTTAAAACTACTCATGCACAGAATACACACACACGACATATACCTATGCACATGTATGCCCAGTCATGCTAGAGACAGGTGCACACGAACTCACCCATGCACACAGGATGCTTTGTCCACATGCTGCTTGCATACACACACGCATGTATGTGCTTGCACAATTTAGCAGTTTTAGAAAAAAGCCCTTTATGGGATTTGCCTGTCTTTGGAGGGCCAAGAGCAGGCAGCAGTACTTGCTGTGGTGAGATGGGGGTACTGAAGCAGGCCAGCTCAGAGAACGCATTCCAAAGCCATGAACTGCAAGGCTGGGCACCTGGCCATCCATGAGCTCATGTGTGGGGAGCTTTGGAATTCCCGCCAACACAGGAGCTTAGCTCCGGCCTGAGTGGCAGAGGCAGCCACCCAGCCAGCACTGGGAATGCCGGGCCACTCTCAGAGCTTCCTCTGACTGTCTCTTGGTGTCATCTGAGGGCCAAACCCCTCATTCTTTGGAGGAGAGCCAGCTAGCTTCACCATTCTGGTTTGTGCCTTGCTGCCACACCTGATTGTCCACAGCCCTGCTGCCCACAGCTTTGCCTTCAGGGCAGGACCCCAGAGGAGGAGCATAAGTTGTGGCCCTAGAACAGAAAGCAGGAAGCCTTGGGCACTGAGGCCCAAGAGAGGCAGAGAGAGAGCTGGCAGGGGAGGGGAGGGTAAGAAGTCTTCCGAGGGAAAGCTGGGGAGGAGCCTTCCCCATCTTTCCCTGACTTTCTGTCTCTGACAATGTTATTGCCACTGCCTGGACCCCTGGGAGCAGGTAGGGGAAGGGAGGGGCTGCATGGCTAGTGCCAGAGAACTGTACTCTCCTTAGAGAATTCCAGGCTCATTGGCCTGGGGTGCAGAGGAAGGAATGGCCGCTAGAGTCAAGAGGTCTGGGTTCTAGCACTGACTAGCTGCACACTGCAGCCTTTTGCGATGCTGGGCAGACACCCTCCCCTCTCAGGGCCGCTATACCCCAGTGAACCGTAAGGAGGGATGCGCTCTCAGGTTCCTCCTAGTTTGGGAACTGCAGGTGGATTAGGCACACTTCAGGGTTCCAGGGCAGGTGTGTCTCCTTAGCTTCCCCATCTGCAAAATGGGGCTGATGATTTTTTACTGTTGGCGACATCCCAGGGACACTGTGAGGGAAACTGGGCGAAAGTCCAGGTGTACGGATGAGCTTATTTGGGAACTGGTGGCTTTGGAACTCATAACGAATGCAACCCATCAGGGTGCCCAAGACCTTGCAAAGGATCCCCTCCTACCCCCAGCTTCTTTCTTCCTCCTTACTACCCAGCACCCCCTGTACTCCCCCAGCACTGGAGAGCTGAGAATGCAGCCCAGGGCTCTGAGCTCGAGGCCTTGGAATTCCTCTATTCCCCTACTGCCTTCTTCAAGGGAACTATTAATTGTAATTTAAGCCTCCCAAGTTAAAAGCAGCGTGCAGATTTAAGGATTCTTTCATCCCAATTACACATCGTTTCTGGCTGCACTTTAGTGCCAGGCTTTTATCTGTTGTTCTGGGGAATCACTTATTGGCCAGAGCAGCGGGCTCCACGCAGATTGCTCCCTGATTATGTTTAATGGCAAATGGAGAGTTAACTCTCCTCCCTCCCCGGAGCTGTGTCGGCACTTTTCCCAGCCCAGCCGAGAGCAGCCCAGGGGAACAGGAGGGCATGGAATGGGGGAGCTGCAGGGACCTCCATGTCCTGGGACTGTTTGTGCAGGGCTCCGAGGGGACCCATGTGGCTCAGGGTGGCTAAGGGGGCAATGCTGCCCCCACCCGCTGGATGACCCAAGTGCTGTGTTTCAAATGCTGATAGCAGCCCTTTGTTTATTCTACACATTCCACTACCATGGGAGGCTACTGTGCATTCATGCCTTGGGCTGGCCTGTTTCCTCACCCACACTGGAGTGTGCCCGGCAGTTAGGGCCACTGCATCAGTCTTATACACACTTGCACACTCCGGGTGAGCCCAGCTCCTGAACCTGCACTGCCACACGCACACTCACACACACTCACACTCACAATCAACATCTCCATGTGCACGATCACACTCGACTTGCATAGACTCCCTACTCTCACCTGCGAGCACGCTCTCAGCTCAGTCCCAAACATGCACAGGGCTGGACCCTTCTCCACCATCAAATGGAGACTTTTCTGTCTGTCTTTTTGTCTTTTGCTCACAGAATTAGGCTGCCAGAGGAGCTTGGAGTGGATCTTGGAATGTCAGGTGATGAGATCATAGACTCAGACCCCTGTGCCATTGAGCCCCCAGGGTCACTCACTTCCACTGGGTTCCTGAGCCCCAGTAGGATTGTACCTTGTCACAGAGTTTGGGCTGGCTCAGTCCTTTGGATGCTACTCTGTGAATCTCAAACTTGACGCTCCAAAGCAGAGCTCCTGGTCTCCCCCAAACCTGCTTCTCCTGCAGTCCTCCCCCGTCTCAGCTCTTGGCAAGTCCTTGCTTCCATTGCTCAGGACAAAAAAACCCTGGAGTCATTCTTGACTCCTCTCTTTTTCTCACTTCCTACTTCTAGTCCATCAGCAGATCATGCTGGCTGTATTTTAAATACATATTCTTAATCTGATCACTTCTCACCACCCCCACTGCCACCACCTCGACCAACCCCACGAAGACCTGGTTTACTGTAGCAACCTCCAGACAGGCTTTCCTGCTCCTGCTCCTCCCCTCCATGCGGCAGCCAGACCCTGTCCTTCTCTGCTCCTCTTGAAGAAATACTTGAGGACCTTACAGGGGCTTGTGAGTCCTTATGTGATCTGCTCCTTTAACCCCACCCACTCCTGACTTCTCCTCCCCTATTTTCTCTCCTGCACTCCTCTCCAGCCACAATGACCTCCTTGCTGCACCCGTGCCTTAGAGTCTTTGCTGTTTCTCTGCCTAGAATGCTTTTCTACCCGATCTTTGCTTGAATAACCCTCTTCCTCCTCCTTCAAGCCTGCTCCAATGTCACTTCTTAGTGAGATCACCTTAAATATCCTATTGATCCTGCAACCTGCTGCCCCTTCAGCCCTGCTCTCCCAATCCAACTTACTCTGCTTTTATTCTTTTTTTTCCTTTTTCTCTTTTTCAGCAGAACATATACCTTCTATCACAAGTTGGGTGCACTGGGAAACAGACTCCGACAGAGACTTCGGCTTGCAGGAGGTTTACAGGGGAAGGCTCTCACAGTGGAGGAAGCAGAACCAGGCAGAGGGAACAGTTGAATTGTGATGTAGTCACAACAAAGGCCTCAGCTGACCCCATGGGGAGCTGTGAGCTGGGGGGACTTTCAGAGTCGCTCTGCATTAAGGTGAGGGGGCTGGGGAACTTATAGCTTCATCTACCTACTATTGGGTGTGGGCTGCCCCCAGGGAAGGGGAGTGACCTTGGGTAAAGCAGCTGTCTTCTTTGAGCACAATTCTGGGGAGGGACTCAGCTGAATGGCTTTGGCCACCAGTGCTCAAAGCAGCTGGGGGTGAGTGCATCCGCTCAGAAGTGGAGAACTGGGTGCCACACCACAGCGTCCACTTTGTCTTTTACTATACATAAATGAGTAAATGTTAATATATAAAATTTATTGTTTGTTGTCTGGGTGCAGTGGCTCATACCTGTAATCCCAGCATTTTGGGAGGCCGAAGCAGGTGGATCACTTGAGGCCAGGAGTTAGAAATCAGCCTGACCAACATGGTGAAACTCCGTCTCTAGTAAAAATACAAAAATTAGCCAGGCATGGGGGCATGCACCTGTAATCTCAGGTACTTGGAAGGCTGAGGCAGGAGAGTCGCTTGAACCTGGGAAGCGGAGGTTGCAGTGAGCTGAGATCATGCCACTGCACTCTAGCCTGGGCAACAGTGAGACTGTCTCAAAAAAATAAAATAAAATAAAATTTACTGTTTGTCTATCTCTCCCTCTAGAAAAGTCCCATGAGGAAAGGGGATCTCTGTGGGTATAGCTCCCTGATGTTTTCCAAGTGCCTGGAACAGTTTTGGCCCATAGTAGGCTCTCCATATATATTTGCTGAATGAATGAATGAACCTGCCCGTTTTTCAGTGTGCTGCTTGTGACTGCCATCAATTTCACTGGAATCTCAATCCCAGTTTTGCTACCAACCAGTTGTGCAAACTATGGGCAAGTTGTCTAACTTTTTGGAGCCTCTGCTTCTTCATCAGTAAAATGGAATAATAGAAGTACCCATCTGACAGGGTTTTAGGATGTAGTTAACTAATGTTTGTAAAGCGCTTTGCAGGTGCTTTGGACAAAGCTGATAGTCACTGAATATTAACTTGTTGTTAATGTTGTTAGTACCTTGGGCTCTCCTTGCTTTGGGTTGCTGCCAGGATTCTTATCAGACTTGAAGACAAAGCCAAAACTCCAGCTGGGAAATCTTGACTTTCCAGGTATACAGGAAGAGGTGGTGTACAGAAGTCTGATCTGCAGAGGTCATTATTGGTTAATGAGGATAGAGGTCTGCTTACAAGTCTCTGGCCGGAATCCTTGCCTTGGGGCAGCTCAATGTGTACCTGTGTGTGTACATGTGTCTGCACACATGATTGCACAGAGTTAATGCAAGCTACATTCAAAGCTGTGCATTCCTAAAGGATAACTGCTCATAGGTATTAGGCCCATATAGGAAGCCAGTCATTAGCAGGGTCAAAAGAGCTATCTTTCCTTCCTATCTTCTGCTCACTCTTTACCTTCTACGTGGGCTTCTTCCCCATTGCTCCTCTGAATGAACTCACTTCCCAATATGCAGTGACTTCCTTGTGGTCAAGTCCAGTGGTTGCTTACTTGACCTCAGCAACAATACTGACCACCACTCTCCATCTTTACTTCCCTGATTTGGGTATAATGAATACCATGGTATGTCTCCCTGGCTTTCCTGCAAAAGGACTCATTGAGGCACTCTGTTCTCCCAGTCAATGAAAGCATCTGTGGCCAACAATATTCTGAGTCTTTTCCCAAGAACTGCCTTTGGCCAAATGGAACTGCCTCTCCCAAGTGTTACGCCACCTCCCAAGGGTTATTACACCACCTCCCAAAGGGTACTACATCTCCCTGGAGATAGTTCCAATTCAATAATGGATAACTCTTCCTTCATTTTGGGACATCTCTAAAGGGTCATAGTTGCTCTAGCACTTTCCACCAGCCCTTGGTCAGCCCAGATTTACCTCTGTTGCCAATACATCAGAGTTCAACTTCTCTCTCTGCCTAGCCTGGCTTCCATTCCTCTTTGCTGGTGTTGTGCCCAAGAGCACTCTCCAATAAGTCCTCTGCATGCAAATCTCCATCTTTGATCTATTTCTAGGGAACTTGACCTACTACTACAGTTGGTGCTAGAAGTGGTTCCTAGGAAACAGACTCTAAAATGGGATTTTGGAGCTGGATCATCCACCGGCCAGTTGGTAATAAGAACCCCATCACTGGTGGTGGGTGGAGGTACTGATAGCCCCTGACATGCTCTAGCAGTGCAATTGTTAAAACTTTCACTGATGGGGAAGTGGGATGGGATACTGGTGAAAGGGAAAGTACTAGTGGGTGTACTTTCTCAGACATTCGAGAGGCTCAGAGGAATGATAATTATGAAGTCTATGGAATTAAATGATTGTTGCTGGGGGCAAGCAAGGCATTGGAAAAAGACAATGAAATGCTGAGAGTGATTAATCACCAATTTAAGGTGAAGTGTGAAAGCCAGAGGGCCTCCTTGCCGTCAGATAAAGAGGCTTTCTCCTGCAGCTGGAAGGCAGAAAAAACTGAGGTTTGGCCCAGGAATGAATTGTTAGGGCAGCAGATTTCTAAAGAAAACTGAATTCTCAACATAGCAAGTCAGCCCTGTTTGATTGATCAGGGCTTGACTGGGGGCTCTGACACTTAGGACAGGGGCATCTGGATGGATTCCCTTGAATGTCTTGAAACTCTAGGTCACCCTGAGCCCTCTGAGGCCACAGAGTGTCTGTCCTTTGCTTTCCTGTGAAAGGCTAGAGCTTCCCCGGTGTGATGGTTAATACTGAGTGTCAACTTGATTGGATTGAAGGATACAAAGTATTGATCCTTGGTGTGTCTGTGAGGGTGTTGCCAAAGAATATTAACATTGGAGTCGGTGGGCTGGGACAGGCAGGCCCACCCTTAATTGGGTGGGCACTGTCTAATCAGCTGTCAGTAAATATAAAGTGGGCAGAAAAATGTGAAAAGGAGAGACTGGCCTAGCCTCCCAGCCTGTGTCTTTCTCCCGTGGTGGATGCTTCCTGCCCTCGAACATCGGACTCCAAGTTCTTCAGTTTTGGGACTTGGACTGGTTCTCCTTGCTCCTCAGCCTGCAGACAGTCTATATTGTGGGACCTTGTGACTGTGTAAGTTAATACTTAATAAATTCATATATAATATATATATATATTTATATATATGTATACTATTGGTTCTGTCCCTCTAGAGAACACTGACTAATACAGATTTTGGTACCAGGAGTGGTTCTAGAGGAACAGAATATTAAGGATGGAGTTTTTTCATTGGTTTTGGGGTTTCTGGAGTTGGCTGCTTAATATGATTTGACCTCAAAATGCTAAGGACTCTAATTCTAACAGTATGGAGAACACTGATAGTCCTTGGTGTGAACTATTTAGAGAGTTATGCAAATAAAGCTATTTGACACTCCTGATTTGCTGCTCATGAGAGGCAAGGATTTCCGTGATTCTATACGTAATAGCTTTGAGCATATGTGGAGAACCAAAGAACATAATGAAGCTGGCTTGTTGCTTCTAAGTTCAGTGGACAAACTGATGAAAGAAAATGATGAACTCAGGAATTTTGTCTCCTGGCTTCAGAAGCAGATACTGAGCCTCAAATCTGCTAAGACTGCCCTGAGTGAGAGTCTTATCTCCTGTAGAGAAAAACCTGAAATTGTGGAAAAACAGACACAAGCTCTTATCATGTGAGTGGCTGACCTGCAACCAAAGATGGGTGCATAGCCTCTCCAGGTGTCTACTGTTAAAGTGAGGGCATTGATTGGAAAAGAGTGGGACCCTGAAACTTGGAATGGGGATGTATGGGAGGACCCTGCTGAAGCTGGAGACACTGAGTTTGTAAACTCTGATAAACCTTTTTGGAGAGAAGGAACAGCTTTGCCATTCCCAGTAGTGGCAACATCCCCTCCTGGACCCATGCTGCCATCAGCCTTTCCACCTTTGCCTGAGGAGATAAACCCTGCACTGCCTGAGACGACAGTGATGGCCTCCTCTGAGGCAGTTGCCAGGCAAAATAATGTTGATTCTCCTCAGGAGCCACCCCCAACACCCCTGTTTGCTTCTAGACCTATAACTAGAATAAAGTCCCAGCAGGTCCCCGGAGGTGAGGTTGAGAGTATGATCCATGAGGAGGTGAGCTACACTCAAAAAGGGGAGTTCTCTAATTTATATAAACAACAATCTGGAGAACAGTCATGGGAATGGATATTAAGAGTATGAGATAATGGTGGAAGGAACATAGAGTTGGATCAGGCTGAATTTATTGATTTGGGCCCACTAAGTAGGGACTTTGCTTTTAATATTGCAGCTTGGGGAGTTAAAAAATGTTCTAATAGTTTATTTGCTTGGTTAGCTGAAATATGGATTAAAAGATGGCCCACTGTGAGTGAGCTGGAAGTGTCTGATCTCCCTTGGTTTAATGTAGAGGAAGGAATCCAAAGGCTTAGAGAGATTGGGATGGTGGAGTGGATTAGTCACTTTAGATCTACTCATCCCAGCTGGGAGGGTCCAGAAGATGTACCCTTAACCAAATAGATTGTGAAATAGATTTGTGAGGGCAGCACCTGCATCTTTGAAGAGCCCTGTAGTTACTCTTCTCTGTATGTCAGATCTAACAGTGGGAACCACAGTCACTCAACTACAAAATTTAAATTCAGTGGGAATAATTGGATCCCGAGGTGGCAGGGGCCAAGTGGCAGCACTCAACCATCAAAGGTAAGGTGAGCACAGCTACCGTAATGGGCAGCAGAGGCAAAGCAGCAATCAGAATAGTCTGACTTGTGTAGAGCTCTTGCACTGGCTAATTAATCATGGTGTTCCTATAAGTAAAATTGATAGGAAGCCTACTGCATTCCTACTTAATTTATACAAGCAGAAAACTTTCAGGTTGAATGGGCAAAAGACTAATTTGAATTATAAAAACAGAGAATCACGGCCCCTCAATCAAGTCTGTAAACTTGAGCCAGTTTACAGACCCAGAACCCCTTGAATGAAGGGGAGGCAGTGTCCTCTTGAGGAAGGACCCCACTACATTACTGATAATTTATGCAGTGAATCTTTCTTCCATCCTTCCCCAAGGAGACCTCCAGCCTTTTACCAGGGTAACTGTGCACTGGGGAAAGGGAAATGATCAGACATTTCGGTGACTACTGGACACTGGCTCTGAGTTGACGTTGATTCCAGGGGACTCAAAACATCACTGTGATCCTCCAGTTAAAGTAGGGGCTTATGGAGGTCAGGTAATTAATGGAGTTTTAGCTCAGGTCTGACTTACAGTGGGTCCAGTAGATTCCCAGACTCATCCTGTGGTCATTTTCCTAATGCCAGAATGCGTAATTGGCAGAGACATACTTAGCAGCTGGCAGAACCCCCACACTGGCTTCCTGACTGGTAGGGTGAGGGCTATTATGGTGGGAAAGGCCAAATTGAAGCCATTAGAGCAGCCTCTACCTAGAAAAATAGCAAATAAAAAACAATATTGCATCCCTAGAGGGATTGCGGAGATTAGTGCCACCATCAAGGACTTGAAAGACACAGGGGTGGGGATTCCCAACACATCCCCATTCGGTTTTCCCATTTGGCCTGTGCAGAAGACAGGTGGATCTTGGAGAATGACAGTGGATTAAACTTAACCAAGTGGTGTCTCCAATTGCAGCTGCTGTACCAGATGTGGTTTCATTACTTGAGCAAATTAACATATCTCCTGGTACCTGGCATGCAGCCATTGACTTGGCAAATGCCTTTCTCCATTCCTGTCCATAAGGCCCACCAGAAGCAATTTGCCTTCAGCCAGCAAGGCCAGGAATATGCTTTTATTGTCCTACCTCAGGGGTATGTCAACTTTCCCGCTTTGTGTCATAATCTTATTCGGAGAGACCGTGATTGCTTTTTTGCTTCCGCAAGATATCACACTGGTCCATTACATTGATGATGTTATGCTGATTGGATCCAGTGAGCAAGAAGTAGCAAACACACTGGACTTACTGGTGAGACATTTGTGTGCCACAGGATGGGAAACAAATCCGACTAAAATTCAGGGATCTTCTACCTCAGTAAAATTTCTTGGGGTCCAGTAGTGTGGGGCCTGTCGAGATATTCCTTCTAAGGTGAAGGATAAGTTGCTACATTTGGCCCCTCCTACAACCAAGAAAGAGGGACAATGCCTGGTGGGTCTATTTGGATTTTGGAGGCAACACATTCTTCATTTGGGTATGTTACTCTGGCCCATTTATTGAGTGACCTGAAAGGCTGCCAGTTTTGAGTGGGATCCAGAACAGGAGAAGGCTCTGCAATAGGTCCAGGCTGCTGTGCAAGCTGCTCTGCCACTTGGGCCATAGGACCCAGCAGATCCAATGGTGCTTGAGGTATCAGTGGCAGATAGGGATGCTGTTTGGAGCCTTTGGCAGGCCCCATAGGTGAATCACAGCGGAAGCCTCTAGGATTTTGGAGCAAAGCCCTACCATCTTCTTCAGATAACTACTCTCCTTTTGAGAAACAGCTCTTAGCCTGTTACTGGGCTTTGGTGGAAATTGAACGTTTGACTATGGGTCATCAAGTCACCATGGGACCTGAACTGTCTATCATGAACTGGGTGCTTTCTGACCCATCTAGCCATAAAGTGAGTGGTGCACAGCAGCATTGCATCATCAAATGGAAGTGGTATATATGTGATCGGGCTTGAGCAGTTCCTGAAGGCACAAGTAAGTTACATGAGGAATTGGCTCAAATGCCCATGGTCTCCACTCCTGCCACCCTGCCTTCTCTCCCCCAGGCTGCACCAGTGGCCTCATGGGGAGTTTCCTATGATTAGTTGACAGAGGAAGAGAAGATTAGGGTTTGGTTCACAGATGGTTCTGCACAATATGCAGGCACCACCCGAAAGTGGACAGCTGCAGCACTACAGCCCCTTTCTAGGACATCTCTGAAGGACAGTGGTGAAGGGAAATCTTCCCAGTGAGCAGAACTTCGAGCAGTGCACCTGGTTGTGCACTTTGCATGGAAGGAGAAATGGCCAGATGTGCAATTATATGCTAATTTATGGAGACTCTAGCCAATGGTTTGGTTGGATGGTAAGGGACTTGGAAGAAGCATGCTTGGAAAATTGGTGACAAAGAAATTTGGGGACGAGGTATGTGGATGGACCTCTGTGAGTGGTGAAAAACCATGAAGATATTTGTATCCCATGTGAGTGCTCACCAGTGGGTGACCTCAGTAGAGGAGGATTTTAATAATCAAGTGGATAGGATGACCCATTCTGTGGACACCACTCAGCGTCTTTCCCCAGCCACCCCTGTCATCGCCCAATGGGCCCATGAACAAAGTGGTCTTGGTGGCAGGGATGGAGGTTATTCATGGGCTCAGCAACAGGGACTTCCACTCACCAAGGCTGACCTGGCTACAGCCATTGCTGAGTGCCCAATTTGCCAGCAACAGAGACCAACACTGAGCCCTTGATATGGCACCATTCCTCGGGGTGATCAGCCAGCTACCTGGTGGCAGGTTGACTATATTGGACCTCTTCCATCATGGAAAGGGCAGAGGTTTGTCCTCACCGGCATAGACACTTACTCAGGATATAGGTTTGCCTGTCCAGCATGCAATGCTTCTGCCAAGACTACCATCCTTGGACTCGTGGAATGCCTTATCCACTGTCATGGTATTCCACATAGCATTGCCTCTGACCAAGGCACTCACTTTATGGCTAAAGAAGTGTGGCAGTGGGCTCATGCTTATGGAATTCACTGGACTTACCATGTTCCCCAGCATCCTGAAGCAGCTGGATCGATAGAACAGTGGAATGGCCTTTTGAAGTCACAATTACAATGCCAACTAGGTGACAATACTTTGCAGGGCTGCAGCAAAGTTCTCCAGAAGGCTGTGTGTGCTCTGAATCAGGGTCCAATACATGGTACTGTTTCTCCCATAGCCAGGAGTGTCCAGGAATCAAGGGGTGGAAATGGAAGTGGAAGTGGCATGACTCACCATCACTGCTAGTGATCCATGAGCAAAATTTTTGCTTCCTGTTCCTGTGACATTATGTTCTGCTGGCCTAGAGATCTTAGTTCCAGAGGGAGGAATGCTGCCACCGGGAGACACAACAATGATCCCATTAAACTGGAAGTTAAGATGGCCACCTGGACACTTTGGGCTCCTCCTACCTTTAAGTCAACAAGCTAACAAGGGAGTTATAGTGTTAGCTGGGGTGATTTACTGGACTATCAAGATGAAATCAGTCTACTACTCTACAACGGAGGTAAGGAAGAGTATGCATGGAACACAGGAGACCATTAGGGCGTCTCTTAGTATTACCATGCCCTGTGATTAAGGTCAATGGAAAACTACAACAGCCCAATCCAGGCAGGACTACAAATGGCCCAGACCCATCAGGAATGAAGGTTTGGGTCACTCCACCAGGAAAAAAACCCCACAACCTGCTGAGGTGCTTGCCGAAGGCAAAGGGAATACAGAATTGGTAGCAGAAGAAGGTAGTCATCAATACCAGCTACAACCACGTGACCAGCTGCAGAAACGAGGACGGTAATTGTCATGAGTATTTCCTCCTTCTTTTGTTAAAAACATGTTTGTGCATGTATACACTTGTACTAAGAAAATATCTTCATTTTATTTCCTTTTTCCTTTATCAAGTGACATAAGATTTATTGACTTCATATCAGCATTCAAGTATTGTTAACTTTATGTAATAGTATTTGGGGATTGGTGTGTTTCTGGTTGTAAGAAGGATAGTTGTATTATATTAGGCATAATTATGACCTTATTATTGTCTTTATTTGAAGATTATGTATGATCTCAGGAGATGTGTATGGGTTCAAGTTGACAAGGGGTAGACTTGTGATGGTTAATGCTGAGTGCCAACTTGATTGAAGGATAGAAAGTATTGATCCTGGGTGTATCTGTGAGGGTGCTGCCAAAGGAGATTAACTTTTGAGTCAGTGGGCTGGGAAACATAGACCCTCCCTTAACTGGGTAGGCACCATTTAATCAGCTGCTAGTGATTATAAAGCAGGCAGAAAAATATGAAAAGGAGAGACTGGCCTAGCCTCCCAGCCTACATCTTTCTCCCATGCTGGATGCTTTCTGCCCTAGAACATTGGACTCCAAGTTCAGTTTGGGACTCGGACTGGTTCTCCTTGCTCCTCTGCTTGCAGACAGCCTATTGTGGGACCTTGTGGTCATGTAAGTTAATACTTAATAAACTCCCCTTTATATATCTATATCTATATCTATCCTATTAGTTCTGTCCCTCTAGAAAACCCTAATACACCCAGGCCTGAGGATGATGAAAAGGCCTCTACCTTGCAAGATGCCATGTATCATGTACCCTCCCCCAATTCCCGCCCCAGCTTATGGTCTCCCACCTCCTCTTCCAGCAACCAGACCAATAACTTGGGTTAAGCTGCAACATAACCTGGCTGCTAAGGGAAGAAGTCACTGCAGGATGCAGCCAGTGAATACCAGCAGGAGCCGGGAGTTTAACTTCATTTCTCTCTTGCATCATTGACAGGCTTGCCACCTCTGGTTTCCACCCTGCTGCTCTATCTTCCATGTTGCTGTTACAGGGATCTTTTCAAACAGATATCTCGCCACATCTCTGCCCTGCTTAGAACCCTTCAGTGGCTCCCCCTGTGGCCTCAGGACAAAGCCCCCATTTCTTCACTCAGTGCTGCCTCATCTCTTACCCCCTTTTCTATGTATTCCTCTTTTGGTACTTGCCACGTCTGTTCCTATGTTGGCACTTTGCTTTTGCAGCTTCCTTGCCTGGAAACTCTCTCCCCTTCCTCACTTCACTGGGGACTTTCATATCTCAGTTCAAGGGCCACTGGTGCTCCTCCTGCAGAGACATGTGTTCTCCAGCTCCCCTCTTCAGGGCTGGCTCCTCTCTCCTGGGCTGCTGAGGGCATAATAGGCTGCAGAGGGCTCTCAGCCACTTCCCTCCCTGGGGACTGCCTGCAGCCAGACAGCTGCCTTCCCTAGGGTAATGCCCCCTCTGGGGACCAGCCCACAGTTACTGGTGGCTGAGAAGGACTCAAACACCTGCCTCCTTTCACTGAGTTTGGGACAACCTTGAATCCCTTCCTACCTTCAGAACTTCTCATAGCTGAGGTCTAAGTTGCAACCATATTACTGGGCCAATCCCAGCTTCCTCCGTCTTTATAGGCGGATCCCTCCAGAGCAACCCTCCTGCTGCAATGAACTTCATGCAACTGTGTTTCAAAGTCTTTCCAGAGATAACACCTTTTAAAGCATTCTTAGATTTTCTTTCTCTGGGATCTCTCAGAACCATGCATATATATTTGATATTGTGTATTTTTCAGTTATCTGTTGCTGTGTAACAAGCCATCCCTAAATGTAGTGATTTAAAATAATGATATGTTTTTTTTCTTGATTTTATGGGTTGACTGTCCTCAGCCAGGCAGCTCTGCATCACCCAGTGTAGCTTAGGCCACTCATGTGTCCGCATTCACCTGGGAGCTCCACTGTAGCTGGAATGTCCAGGATGGCTGCTCATCCTCCAGGATATCTGTCCACATGGCCTTTAATCATCCACTAGTCTAGCTTGGGCTTCCTTATACTATGGTAGCTGGGTTTCACGAGGAAGAAAGTGGAAGTGGCCACTTCCCTTAGGGATTGGTCTTATAAGGTTTAGAATCTCACTTCTGTCATACTTTCTTGTCAAGGCAAGTAACAGGCCTGCCAGATTCAAGGGGAGGGGAAATAAGCTCCACCTGCTGATGGGAGGAGCATCATTTGCATCTAGGGATGAGAAGGAGTAAAGGAAACTATCTACCACAGCATGTAACACCATGACACTGGGAACTCCTTGAGGGCAGGGATTCATCTATATAGCATCGTCCCTAACCCACGCACTTCCAGGAGCTGTCAGAGATTTCTGATGACAGAGTGAGCTCCAGCCCCAATATTACTCATTCTGTGTTTGGCCCCCATAGATCCTGGGCAGGAGGTAAAGAGGTAGTGAAGCCAAGCCACAGGTTGTCAGCTGCCTCTCTGGGGACATCGCTTTAATTTCCAAGATAGCAGTCCAAATGCTGTCTGGAGTCTATTTCTGGGCACAGACTCTGCCCCTGGGGCATGAGTAGGGCACATTTTATTCAGCCACATGGTTACCCAGGGCCCCAGAACCAAACACAGGCTTAATAATTAAAGCTTGTCTCTTCTCTGTCATGTCATTGTACATTTAGAGCATGTGGAAGTCATTAGTGTTGTTTGTCAAATATTTCTGGCAATGCACCTGCTGAACACATGAAAGGATTGCACTTCTTGGCCCTCTTGTGGTTGGGTGAAGCCTAGTGATTAATTCTGGCCAATGAGTTGTGAATGGAAGTGACTTGTGCCATATATGGACATTTAATTGCTACATGAAGCCCTTCAGAGCTCTTTCCCTCTGCCTTGGAGACTGGCAATGTTCGAGATGGTGTCTGCTCCATCAGTTGAGTGAGGATACATGGAACAGAGCCCCAACCAACCCATGATGCACAAGTGGCATGAGTGAGAAATAGTATTTGCTGTTTGAAGCTGCTAAGATTAAGGGATTGTTTGTTATGGCACCATGACTGAGCCTATCCTGTGTGATACAAGGGCCCTGACTCATCTTGAGCTCAACTTAGCATTTAGATATATCTGGAGCGGGATAGAGGCAGGGCTCTGGGGAAAGAACTCACCTTCAGGGAAGAAGGAATAGAGACTGGAGTAGATACTGTGGTAGGAATCCAACACTATATTAGCAGCCCAACTAATATAAACAACTAATATATTAACATGTGTTAGAGTTGTAAAGACGTCATAGTAACACTGAATGGAATAAATATTCAGGAAAGTGGGACCATTAAAAAGATTCCTACCCCTGCCTCCTACATGTACGTTTCTTTCCTTCCCCTCCCCCTCCCCCAAATCCCCTCATTCACTGCAAGGGATTTGAATAGTTGTCGTAAAGGCAGAGTGATTTGAATGCCCAGACATTTGCATATGGGCTTTCCTTCTGTTGCTTTCTTTATTCTAGTTCGGTGGCTCTCTAACTTTAGTGTGCCTAAAAATTTCTGTTCATGGCTGTATAAACAAACCCATGTATACTGTACTTTATGAGTGGTTTGAGTTTTTCAAGGGTACTTTAGACTATATGCAGTTCTTGTCTTATGCACAGACTTCAAAATCTAACCTCTGTGTAAGATGATATTCCATTGTTCAAAACCAAAAGAACCTTGTAAATTTTATGAGACACGGAGGGCACAAGATGTCAGCAGCAGCTGCTTGTAGGCCATTATCCACCCATCCCCCAAGTCCTGTTGATTTTACACCCATGGTCTAAGCCTCCATCATCTCTTTCCTGGATTACTGTGAAGGGCTCCTAACTGCCTTTTTGCTTCTATTCCTGTTCCATCCAATTCATTGTCCATACCAGAGCCATCGTGATCCTTTCCAAACACCAATCTGGTCACGTTCGTTCCCCGGTCTGAATCTCTTCACTGGCGTCCCATTGCGCTTACCAAGAAGATCGACACTTTTAATGTGTTCTTAAGACCACAGGATTCAGCCTTGCCTGCCTCTCCAGCTTCATTTCACAGCAGTCTCCCCTTTGGCCTTTTACTTTCACCGACACATTCCTGTCCCTCTCCCCCATCGCAGAGCCTTGGCACCTGTTATACCATCTGCTCAGAATGTTCTTCCCCCACCCTCTCCTTTTTGCCTGGTTAACTCCTACGCATGCTTCAGATGTCAGTTCAAATGTTACGTCCTTGGAGAAGCATTTAAGCCAGCTTATTCTTTATTTGCTCTCATAGAATGTGTTGCTTTCCTTCAGAATATTTATGTCAGTTTGTAATTATATACTAATTTGTTTGATTATGTGATGAACACTTGTTTCTTCCACTAGAATGTAAGCTCTAGGAGAGCAGGGGCCATGGCTTCCTTGTTATTCTTGTATTCCTAGCACATGCAATGTATGTTTGCTGCATGAATGATTGAATGGTACCATAGTGGTTTCAGTGGCAGTGATAGTGGCTGCGGAACTGAAGCAGTGATGGCATATCCATTTCCATCTGTTTTGGGCTATTATTTACTCTTATTCTCACCTCTAGCTTCTGTGGCCTGAGAAATAGGAATTATCTCCAGATGCAAAAACCAAGACCCAGAGAGTAGACAAGACTCAGGGCCAGTGAGTGGTGGAGTCAGATCCAGAATCTGCTCTCCAGATGCTAGGAGTAGAGTTCCTTCTCAGACACCGTACTACTTTCTGGCCTGTATTCTGACAAAACAGATGCCTCCTAAGGTCTCCAGTGTGGATGACTTGTGGGGTACTGATAGCAAAGTAGCATCTTTTACAAACAGTCCTCCTACCTCTCTTCCTCTTTTTTCTCCTTTTCATCTTTCTCTTCTTTTTCCTCTCATTTGATTAAAAAGTCATTTTTAAAAATAAGGTCAGCATGGCTGAGACTTTTTGAAATGTTTGGGCTGTGGTCAGCCCAAAAAAACTAGACTGAGCACAGTTTGCCTAGTTAGCCCCACCTGTGGGGCTGGTGAGGACCCGTATGTAGGATTAAGGCAGAAAACCTCAGACTTCAGGAAATGTGCTAATGCCAATTATTGCTTGTTAAGGCTTTAGGGTTTGATGGCACTTATGTGGGTTGGGGGCAAGACTTCTCTTAGAAGGGACTGACATTTCAATTTCAGTCGTTCTGGGAAGAAGTGAATCCTGGAGCAGAAAATGAGGAGGTATGTGGTAGAATTTAGCTGGAGGGGACATTTTCCTCCTCTTTCTGGAGACTTGGTTTAGTTTGTTCTGGATTCTGAGGCCTGGAGGTAACTAGAGCATTATATTAGTTAAGGCAAGGCCAGCTGCTCTAACAGATAAACCTTTAACATCTTGGTATCTTAACAGAAAAAAGTTTATTTTTTATCTCCAAAATAGATGTTCTGATAAGTGGTGGTTTTCTTCCAAGTGGCAATCAGGGACCCAGGCACCTTCCATTTTGTGGCTCTCCCATTCTTAATGGAGAGAGTCTCAAAGTCACCTAGAAGCAGAAAAACTAACCGGGGTCAGGTCTCAGCATAGCTTGAGCAGGTAAGTACAGACCCTGCTCCAGGAGTAAATAGCTCATTCACCAAAATTGCTGAATAAGCTGCCGACATGTACCAGGAGGAACCAGGGGGATCCATGTAGAGGTGGATCCCAGACTCGGGCGGGGTTGGGGGTGGAAATATAAGTGTAGATCAGGGAGTGTGTATTGATCTAGGAATCCTTTCCTGGGATTAAGGATTTAATGCCTGGCAAGGACACTTGGAGTCAGTGCTAATATGCTGCCAGGATGTCTCCATGAAGCTTGGACCTGCAGCTAATTAGATGGAGGGATGCTGGAATTGCTGGTAGAGTATTGAGGAAGGAGTCAGAAGACTTAGAGATGTGATGTGAGACTATGATACCCACTGACTATGTTTTCTAGAAAAGTCCGAAGGATACTTCCCTCACTAAAGCCATAAGAAAGGCACTAGTTATGGATATACAATATTATTGAGGAGCTCAGTAGTGGCTATCTTCTGCAGGCAGGGTTGACAGTAAGAGATGCTGCACTGGAACTGGGCTCCTCGATGACAATGGGAATGATGGAATTTTGGAATAGGAGAGACCATGTGCCAGCGGGAAATAGAGGAAAGGTGGACTTGTTTGCCACATCAAGCAGTAGAGTCAAGTGGCAGCTAGAGGTCTTCACCCAAAGGATCTGTGCTGATAGCTAATAGACCATGTTCCTAGGAGCTGGACATATGGACAGCCCACAAGGTATTACTTACCTTATATAACCAAAAAAGGTCAAGAACAGGTGAGCCAAAAAGATCAAGGCCTATGGCAGCTTCCATAATAGAAAATAATGAATCTTTAGCCATTTTCCAAATCTGAGCCCCTTTTCAGACCCAGAGTCCATTGATTGAGGAGGAGGCCCTGTCCCCTTGAGGAAGGACTCTGCAAAGCCACTTCAATTATTTACAATAAATGTCTTCCCAATCCTTCTCCAAAGAGACTTACAGCTATTTATCAGAGTACCTGTACATGAGGGAAAGAGGAAACAATAAAATTTTTTGAGAGCTGTTGGGTATTGAGTCAGCTGGGGATGCAAATGCCACAATCACTCCCATATTAGAATTGGGCATATTGAGGGCAGGTGATAAGGGAACCCTGGTTTAACTCTGTCTTACAGTGGGTCCAATAGATGCCCACACTGAAGGTTTGTTCATTTTCCTCGTTTCTGAGTATGTAATTAGCATGGATATACTTAGTAGTTGACAAAACCTTCATATTGGTTCTGAAGCCCAAGTTGAGATCTTTTAAAATGCTCTTTAACTCTTTGGCCAAGATATTAAATCCAAAGCAATTCCATATCTTAGGTGGCATTGTAGAAATTAGTGCTGCCACCAAAGGCTTAAAGGATTTAGGAATTGGTTTTCCCCACCACATTCCCATTCTATTTATTGATAGGGACCCTAGAAATCCAGATTGGTCAAGGATAATGACCAGTGGACCATCAAAACAAGGGGGAGTTCTGATTGTAGCTGCTGTGCTGGATATGGCATATTTACTAGAACAGATCAACATAGCCTCCAGCATTTGATACATGGTATTTGATCTTTTCAATTCACATCAGAAAAAAGGATTAGAAGCAGTTTGTATTCATATGAGAAGGATAGCAATATATATTTACTGTCTTGCCTCAAGGCTATGTTGATTTTCTTGCTCTTTGTCACAATATCATCTAAAAGGACTTTGATTGTCTTGACATTCCAAAAACATCATGCTGGTCCACTATACTGATGGCATCATTCTCAACAAATCCAACGAACAGGAAGTGGCAAGTAGTTGGACGTTCTAGTAAGAGACATTTATGTCAAGAGGACATATAGCTTACGCAGATTCAGAACTTGAAGCACTGATCAAGCGTTTGTAGGTATGGCTCCTTGAATCTCCTACCATAAAGAAGGAGGCATAGTTCTTGGTAGGCCTATTTGGAGTTTTGAGGTAGTGAATACTTATAGTTGGGAATAGTGTTCTAACCCATTTATTGAGTGGCCCAGGAAACTGTCAGCTTTGAATGGGTTTTAGATCAAAAGAAGACTCAGCAACAAGCCTGGGCTGCAGTGAAAACTTCTCTATTTCTTGTGCCATAAGACCTTGTAAACCAATAGTGTTAGAGGTATCTGTAGTCTGGCAAGCTTTATCAGGAGACTCACAGGGGAAATCCTTAGAGTTATAGAGCAAGGCTATGCCTTCTTTAGTAGAGAACTACTCAATGCTTGAAAAATCAGCTTCTGGGGTGTTACTGGGCCCTAACAGAAACTGAGCACCTGACCATAGACCATTAAGTGAATATATGGCCAGAGCTGGCCATCATGAGCTAGGTATTATCATATCTGAGTCACAACGTTGGCTAGACACGTTAGCAATCCATCGTATGAAGGAAATGGTACATTTGAGTCAGATCTGAACAGGTTCAGAGGCTCAAGTAAGTGCATGAACAGGTGGGATAGATTCCCATGTCATCTATCTTTGTTGAACCAACACCTTCCTTTCAGCTCATATATATCCCCTTGTCAGGAGATTCCCATGACTAGCTAGGAGATTCCCTCCTCCCATGGAGGAGGAAAAATCCTGGGTTGATTCAAACATGGGTCAGTTCAATATAGTGGTGACACTAAAGGGCAGTGTTGACAGGAGATCTTTAAGCAGTACAGTTAGATCATTAACTTTTTATGGAGAAAGGAGTGGTCTGACATGAGTATATACATAAAGTTTTGGGCAATGGCGAATTGCTGGGCTAATTGGTCAGGGGCCTGGAAGAAGCAAGATGAAATGATCAGAGCTAGGGAGTCTGGGGATAAAGGACACGGATGGCCCTATAGGAATGGACACAAAATTTTGGTATTTTTGTGTCTGATATTAATGCTCATGAGAAAGCATCCAATGTAGAAAAGGTATCAAACAACTAGAAGACAAGACTTGTCCATTGAGTGTCAACAAGCCTCTGTCCTCAGCTGTCCCATGTATGGTGGCAGGGATGGAGGATCTGCATAGGCTCAATAATGTGGGCTTCCTCTCACCAAGGCACATCTAGCCAATGCAGCTGCTAAATGTGTGACTTGTCAACAGCAGGGCCCAACATCGAACCCTTAGCATGGTACTGAGCCTTATGGAGAATGTCCAACCATTTGGTGGCAACTGCCTCTGGAAGAAGCAACAATTTGTCCTTACTGAGATTGACAAAACTCTGGACATGGTTTGTCTTCCTTGCCCATGGTGCCTATGCCAGCACCACTACCCAGGGGCTTACAGAGTGATTAGTGACATGGAATTCTACATAGCATCTTCTCAGATCAAGACCCCCCACTTTACAGCAAAGGAGGTATGACAATGGACAAATGGCGTTGGGATGCATTGGTCCTATTATATACCAAATTACTTGGAAGCTGCTGGCTTTATAGAATGTTATGTTATAATCATCCGTTAAAAACTCAGTTAAGGTGGCAGTTTGAGGAATCCATAAGTCTAGAATTCTGTTCTCCAGGATGCAGTGTATACATTACACTAATGGCCATTGAGTAGTGTTGTGTTACAATGGCTAGAATATATGGATCTAGGGATCAAGGGGTGAAAGTGGGATTGTGCCCTTTCACCATCATTTCCAGGGACGAACTTGGGGGAACCTGTGCCTCTTATCCTAGAATCTTAAGGCTCTGTGGATTTATAGGTCTTGGTCCCAAAGGATGGGGCACTTTCACTAGGGGAAATAGTAAGGATTCCATTGAACGTAAAACAAAGATTCCTTCCCACCAATTTATTTTGGGTTCTTTGTGCCAGTAGACCAGCATACAGAGAGAGGAGCTAGATTTGCTGTTACATAATGGGGACAATGAGGAATATGTCTAGAACTTTTCTACCCTCCCTGTGAACTTTCCCCATTCCCTACTTTACTTGTGCCTCTTGGGAACTATCTCTTGCACCCAAGTTCATGTGAATATATGGCCAGAGCTGTACTTTTGAGAGATTACAGTAAGACAGTCACATTTAAAATTTTGTCATAAGTGCAATGGAATTCGTTGAAGGGTTTTAAGCAAGGGTGGCACATGATCAGATTTGCATTTTAAAAAGATCACCTTGGTGGCTGTGTGGAGAGTAGATTGGAAGGATTGGAATGGATTTAGGAAGTCAGGAGGCAGTTATAGTAGTCAAGACATAAGATGGTGGTGATTTGGACTTGTATAATGGTTGTGGTAGAGATGGAGAGAGAAGTTGGTGGACTCAGGATATTTTATAGTGAACAGAATCAATAGGACAAGAGTTCCCTTTGTCTGTTTCAGATCAATTTGTTTAGAACTTTGCCTTAGTGCATGCACAGATGTTTGTCTGAGCACTCCTTGTCCTCTCTAAGGCCAGTCAGTGGCTCTAGGGAAAGCCCTGCTTAGATCTCTTACTGGCAGCTGCTTCCTGGGAGGAAAGGGCTGTATGTATGAATTAAATAATTTTACCATTGAATATTGAAACCCCATCATGCTCAAGAACCCTGCGGTGAGACCTCTCTAGCTTAGCCTAACAGAGAGAGATGTTTCTCTCTTTAGGATAGCCAAGACTCCAAGTTTCAGTTCTGTTTGAGCCACCCAGAGTGGCAACTCTGCAAAACTCTTGAGTTCCAAGGCTATGGTGTTTAGTTGATTTTCACTGTGATGAAGGGGGTCAAGGACTGGTTTGTGGAAACACGATGGCGACCTTTGAGATTCTCAGAGTTGGAATCTCTGAGGAAGTAGAGTTGAAGACAACTCTTCAAAAGACTGGATTTCCTGTTATCAGTCAGCTGAGGGCTCCAAGTTCTCAGAGTAATGAGACTGCCTTGGTGTTCAGGGGCTAGTCAAGCCCGATGCATTTGGATTACAATGTTTATTATTTCTTGGATCTCCTGGAATGATTTTGGCTACCCAGGCAATCTCCCTAGAGCCTGAATTCCCCATGGCCTGCAGAATGTAATATCTAAAGATGGTGATAGTGGTGTCTCAGAATGACTGAGGCCTGGTGATTGGCCACTTGGGACTTAGTAGGGACTCAGTAGGGACTCAGTAGATGTGTGCTGGGTGATGTGAGAGGTGGGGCAGAGCCTGATAATTCCCAGGATTCTAGCTTAGGTGACTGGGTGGTGGGACATTGAATTTAGTTTTGGATATACTGAGGAACATCCAGGGAGTCTTGCTCAGCAGGCTGTGGAATATATTTGTATTTCTAGTGTCTAGAATAATGCCTGGCATGGTAGGAACTCAATGAATAATTGTTCAACTGTATTTGTTAAATTCTTCTCTCCAATTCCCCCAGCAACTCAGTGATCGATCAGGAGAGTTGTCACAACTTTTTATTTAGGATAATTGAATCCCTAGGTGAGAGGTGAAGTTGGTTAAGGTTGAAGACCTCTTGCTGATGAGCATGTCTTGGGATAGTCTCCACAAAGCACTTGATTCATTGAAGCCTCCTTTGGATATTCAAGGAGGTGAAAGATGAAGACCCACAGGTATCCTGGGACTTAGCTTTTTTGAGTGAGGTGGATTGGGATATGGGTGTGAAGTAGGAAAGGCAATTCCCTCTTTCCAGATCAGGATTCTACCGTAATCTTTCTGATTGTAGAGGTTATAAGTACAAGCTTTGGAGTTGGATAACATGGGTTCAGTCTTCAATCTGCCATTTTCTAGCTTTGTGACCTTGGGAAAGTTATTTAAGCTTCAGGCCTTATTTTCCATATTTGTAAAATAAAGATATTTATATCATCTACCTCATAATGTTGTTGTGAGAATTAAATGTTATAAAGCATGTAAGATGCTTAAATGTTGGCATATAGAAAGCATTCAATAAATGCTACCAATAATTCAATAATGCTACTAACCATTAAATAATCAATCATAGTAATAATTGTTTTTATTTTTCCAGCAACATCATGCATTCTTTATACTTCTTCTAATTTATGAAAAAGTATCAATATTATTATTCCAATTTTACAGATGGAAAAAAGAAGCTTGGAGAAGGGGAAATGACTTTACCCAGCTAAGAATATGGCAAAGCTGAGCCAACTAGTCAAGTTTTCTGACCCCAAATCCTGTATTTCCCATGACTCATCTTGTGGAAGGCTGAGGTATAACTGAGTAGGTTTATCTAGCTAAGTCCAATAGCAATGCCAAAAGGTGAAATTCAAGTTCTATGAGAGTGGACACACCTGCCAACTTAGCCAGGAAAGTGTGTGTCCCATGTGTGGGTATGTGTGGTTGTGTTGGAGGGTGAGGGTAAATTGGTGAAATATCTCCCCCAACTCTCCAAGCCCTCAGAAATTCCCAACTCACAGAAGAGCATATTTTCGAACACCTTTCTGAGACCATCTTACCCAGGTCCATCTTTTGAAAAGCCTTGTCCAACAAAGCTGAATTCAAATGAAAGAGAAAAGCATTCCTTTTCCAAGGGTCTCTGTATCCTGTGTCCAACCTGAGCCAACCAAATAGCTCAAGACCTGGGAGAAATCTGAGATTAGAATATCTAGATTTTAGTTCTGATTCTGCCACTCTATGATGTGAATAATTCCCTTTCTCTCCTCAGGCCTCAGTTTCTCTGTCAGCACCAGATGGGGACTTCTTCAGCCTGACACTCCATAACTCAAGGTTGCACCCACATCTCCTACCTTTGGGGGAAGGAGAGAGGGATTATGGGACAGTGGCATCAATCTCCTTCCCAGGATGGATCCTCTGAGCTCTATATTTCTTGCCTATAGTGACCAGGGAATTTTCCTCTATTGATTGCTTTCTGTAATCGAGCTTAACAAATAGAACTTCCCTCAAATGATTCTTCCAACTAAACTGATAGAAAGCTAACCTTGTTATATTTATTGACAGAACATTGAAATAAATATTATAGGTCTAGAGGGAATGTTTCAGCTCATTGATTTTTTTAAGGAAATAATAAATGGAGCCTATTCCCTTTGGCATATTATGCTGGGAATAATCTGAAAAAATGCTTAGCTTGTTCAACACAGAGCTTAGAAACCCTCCTTCCACTCCCAGTGGAGCAGGGACCCTTTGCATAAATCTGCTTTGGCCCAGACAATCAATTTTCAATTTTAATTATTTTCAAAACTCGTTTATTATTTGCTTGTTCTGTGAGTTTGGAGCTTTGCTTTTTAGTGAATTTGTAGCCAGAGTGGTCAGAGCTCTGGCCTGGATGGGGAACCTGTGGGATTTCTTAGTTCTACCCACCAGAGAGGAAAACTCACTATCCCTCTTTCCAGGGACATTTGTTCTAGAACAGGGTCTGCAAACTATGACCTCTGGACCAAATCCAGCCCACTGCCTGTTTTTGTAAATAAAGTTTTATTGGAAAACAATCACGCCCATTCGTTTGCACGTTGTCTGTGATTGCTTTCTTTTTCTTTTCTTTTCTTTTTTCTTTTTTTTGAGATGGAGTCTCGCTCTGTCACACAGGCTGGAGTGCAATGGCGTGATCTCGGCTCACGGCAACCTCTGCCTCCCAGTTTCAAGCAATTCTCCCTCCCCAGCCTCTCGAGTATCTGGAATTACAGGCACCCTCCATCATGCCCAGCTAATTTTTGTATTTTTGCAGAGATCGGGTTTCACCATGTTGACCAGGCTGGTCTTGAACTCCTGACCTCAGGTGATCCCCCGTGCCTTGGCCTTCCAAAGTGCTGGGATTACAGGCGTTAGCCACTGCGCCTGGCCGACTACTTTCTACTACAATGGCAGAAGTGAGTAGTTGCAACAGAAACCACAGGGCCCACAAAGCCAAAATATCTACTACCTGGTCCTGTGCAGGAAAATTTGCCCATCTCTGTTCTAGAGTGTCTTCTCTCTTGCCCTTTTAAATGAAGCCAGCATCCTTCACCTACTAATTCTGGGGCTCCCTGGACTGAGTGGCTACTATAATAACAGTAGCCAAAGCCTACATAGTGCCCTTCTAGGTACCCAGCACTACCCGAAGAGTATTACATTTGTTAGTTGTCATTTTATCCTCACAGCTCTTTGAGGTAGGGCAATTATTAGCACTTTTAAAAATGTGGAAACTGAGGCACAGAACAGTTGAGTATCTCATCTAAGGTCACACAGGTAGAAAATAGCAGAGCTAGCATATAAATCTAGGCTGACTGGTTTCAGGGATGGTGTCAGAGGTGGCAGGCTCTCAGGGAAGGTCTAGATCAATGTCCCCAAAGGGCAGATGGAGAAACTGAGGCCCAAAAGGCAGTCACACAGCTGGTGGTACAGCTGGAAGTAGAATCTAGATAAGGGTTCCAAGGCCAAGTCTTTTTGTTGTTATTATTACATTGTTTTACTCAGCTTCTTTTTATCAGAGCCACGCAAGGGGATTCAAAGACCATTAAAGCCAAGCCCTGTATCACCCACATCTCCCATCCCACCGAGGCTTTGAGAATCATATTATCTACTACATCACTCACTGCATCTCTTTCTCACAGTCATTTCTTCTTTTACTCTCCTAGGTTGGTGGAGGAATTTGGTACCTGGCTCAAGGGTTTCTTTTTTTGGGCAGTTTCAGCATTCATTCATACCATAAATGCTGCTGAGGACCTAGAACACACTATATTTGGTGATTTGCATGGTCATTAGCAGCCCTTTGGGAAAGAAGTTAAACCGTGTTATAGACTAGCATACAATCAAAAGTTTGGGCTACATAGATGGCAGTCTTTCCCAATTAAAAAAAAAATCACTCGTTGATCCCTTGTCCTCCCTGCCTATCACCATGACTTTGACCTTCCATTCACAGCCAGACTGACCAGATGAGTTTCGACTCCATGACTGTGTCCATGTCCTTCCCTCCTACTCACTCCTCAACGCACTCCAGTCTGGTGTCCATCCAGAGGCCACCATGGAGACTGCTCCAAGGAGGCCCCTAGTGGTCCCCACACTGGAAGGTCAGTACTTTCCAGTTGTACCTTCAGACTTTCTCCTGCCTTTTGAAACTGTTGAGCACTCCCTTCTCCTTGAGAGGTTTGCCCTCTAGCAACACTCCTCTTGCTCTTCCACCTCTCCAGGCATGCCTTCTCAGGAGCCTTTTCTGGTTCTGCTCCACCTGTCTTGTTCAATTTTGGGTTGTCTTGGGTTGCATCTTAGACCCTCCACTTACCGCACATAGGATCAAGCCATAGCTCCAGCCACTTACTGCTTATTCCCCCAGGATTTCCTCAGATCTCAACCAGCATCCTAAATCTCTTTCCTGAACTTCAAAGTACAACCAGACATCATTTGGAAGTCCCTCAGGTACTTCAAAATCAACTTTTCAAAACTGAATTCATTATTGTCCCCTCCCCATACATGACCCATATTGATGACTTATTTCAGCACCTACCAAGCTGTTCAAGCCCAAGGCTCCTGCTGTTTCATCTCGTCTTTAGAATTGGCCCTATTGATTCTGGTTCTTAAATCCCTCTCACATTTATTCTTTCCATTTCACTCTTGATGCAACTGCCTTACTTTAGGTTCCTGTCATCTCTCACCTGGATAATTAATTAGTTAATTAATTTAACAACTATTTATTGCATATTACTATGTGCCACTCTCTGGGGGAAATGGTATTGAACAAGACAGACATTGGCCCAGCTCTCATGGGCTCAGATCCTTAGCAGGGAGAGAGCTTCAACAGATAAAACAAATACTTAGATAAGATAATTTTAGATAATGTTAGTCCTGTGAAGAAAGTAAAATTGGATAACGTGAGTGAAAGTGACTGGAGGCAAACTTCTCTAGATTGAGGGTCAGGAAGGGCTGTCTGGGGAGGTCACATTTGAGCTGAGATCCCACAAAGATAGGTGAAAGAGCATTCCAAGCAGAGGGAACAACTGGTGAGGAGGACTTGAGGTGGGAATAAGCTTGGCTGAGTTCAAGGAACAGAAAAAGGCTGTTGGAGCTGGGGTGTAGTGTGTATGGAGAAGACCAGCAGGAAGTGCATTTCAAGAGGCAGGTAAAGGCCACAACATACTGGACCTTGTAAGCCATGGTAGAGTTTGGATTGTATTCTGAGGGTAATGAGAAGCCTTTGAGAGGATTTTAAGCAGATGAGTTCTGATTTACATTTTAGAAAGCTTGGGCTGGGCACAGTGGTTTATGCCTGTAATCCCAGCACTTTGGAAGGCCAAGGTGAGTGGATCACTTGAGGCCAGGAGTTCAAGACCAGACTGGCCAACACGGTGAAACCCTGTATCTACTAAAAATACAAAAATGTAGCCAGGCATGGTGGCGTGTGCCAGCTACTCAGAGGCTGAGGCAGGAGAATCACTAGAACCCGGGAGGCAGAGGTTGCAGTGAGCCGAGATCCTGCCACTGCACTCCAGCCTGGGTGACAGAATGAGACTCTATCTCAATTAAAAAAAAAAAAAAGAAAGAAAAGAAAAGAAAACAAAAAAAAAAGCTTGTACTATGTGCTGAGAGTGGGTTGCATGAGGTCAAGTGTGGAGGCAGGGAGGCAGGGGCCACTGTAATTGTGTGGCTAGAATGAAGTTGTGAAGCTAAGACAGGAAGGGATGTGGTGGGGTCAGGATTTGTTTTGGAGGCGATGCCATCAGTCTGTAGATGGATTGAATGGCGGGGTGCGAAAGAAAGAGGAGGCAAGTATGTCTCCTCAAGACCTTACCCTTCTCCCTCCCTATGAAAAGAAAAAATAGCAAGCTCTGAACAAGAATTACATCTCTTTTGCCCTCTCCTGCTCTGACATCCTGGCACAGAAAGGTTCTGGCGCCACACTTGTCTTGCCCAGAGGCATCCTGGCCTGGGGTTGAGACTGGGGTGTGCCGCATCATGAACTGAGCCACTGGGGATGGAGTTGGGTCATCCTCCCACACCCAACTGCTCTTTGTCCTTAGAGCCAAAGCCTTCATCCTGGCTGCCCTGTGTTAGCCAGGAGATGCTCCTACATGGAGCCGCAGATTCCCCGACACTGCCTCAAAGGCTGAGAGTCACAGGATTACCTATAGGCTCCACCCCTCCCTAGCCTGGCTGAGCTCCAGATGCCTCCAGGCAATGGCTAGAGCAGCCAGCATGAGCCCCACATGGGCTGCTTTTCAGCTATGTGACCTTGGGTAAGTCATTTCACCTCTCTGGGCTTCACTTTCTTCATTGTATATTGGGGCAAATTAATTCTATCCCACCGGGTTATGGTAGGATGGAAAGGCCTGGCCTTGACTTCTGACTCCATTTTGGGTTTTGGAGACTTTGGGTGCTAGAATCCTCCTCTCTAGAATCTTCCTTGTTCATCCACAAGGAAGGATGAACTTGTGTCTCTGGAGGCTCTAGGGGAAAAGAATAACTTGGTTTTAGTTTTGCAGAAGCAGGTGAATTCTCCATGAGGGAAGGTGGGAATGGAGTGAGGAGGGTAGTTTCCCAGGATTCTCTAGATATGCCTTTTCCTGACTATGATATTCTGGAAACACTGAAGCCATCTTTTCACCTTTAATTATCAACCTTTGCAAGTGGAGATCAACGGTAGTAATATGTTCAGGGACCAGGCAGGGCATGAGTGAAGTGGGCTTTGTGGGGGCTGCGGTCAGTATGAGAGTTCATACTCCATCCCAAGGGAGTCGGGGGAGGGAGAGTAGCCACTGCTTAGCTCCAGCCAATTGTTGACATTTGGGAAGTTGAACCTGGTGTCGCCAGGTCTTCTGAGTTTCCAAGAGAAGTCAGAAATCTGGAATTTTATGTGAGATCTCCTGAATTTTAAATGTTGGCAACTAACTCAATTAAACAAAAATACCAATGTGGGACAAGCAAGAGTTCCAGGATGCATTTGGCCCGCGGGTGGCCAGTTTGTGAAGCCTGATACAGAGTCACTGAGGAATAGTTAGGGTCTAACAATAGCCAGGTGCACCAGCTCACAGTGAATACAAATATAAAGCACTAGGAAACACTGACAACTTCATGTTTACGTATCCTGACCGGAAATACTTTTCACATCTGTAGAAGATGGAAAGGCTTGTGACTTTTCATTTTCACTAAATACTGAACAATATCCAGTGTCCCTGTTAACATTGGTTAATCAGTTGATGGCTGAACACAAAGTGTGTTATACCTATTCATATATGTGTGTGTGTATATATATATATATATGCATATTCATTTATTTATTCACATAAGCTCCTGTCAACAAGTTCCTATAATTACAGTGTAAGACACAACTTTGGCTCTGTGTCAGGTTAAAAATTATTTGAAATAGGCTGGGCATGGAGGCTCACACCTGTAATTCCAACACTTTGGGAGGCTGAGGCGGGTGGATCACGAGGTCAGGAGATCGAGACCATCCTGGCTAACATGGTGAAACCCCGTCTCTACTAAAAATAGAAAAAAACTAGCCAGGCATGGTGGCGGGCCCCTGTAGTCCCAGCTACTTGGGAGGCTGAGGCAGGAGAATGGCATGAACCCGGGAGGTGGAGCTTGCAGTGAGCCGAGATCCCGCCACTGCACTCCAGCCTGGGCGACAGAGCGAGACTCTGTCTCAAAAAATAAATAAATAAATAAATTAATTAAAGCAAATTACTTTAAATAAAAAGCAGGATAAAGTAAGTACTCTAAGAGTTACAAGCAAAGGGCTGTGTAAGTGAGGCACAAAGATAATATTGATTACCTTTAGGGGACTTGGGGACAGCTTCAGAGAGGAGATGACATTTAACCTGAGCTTTGAAAGGTGAGTGAGGGGAGTGTGAAGGAAGTAGATTTCTGTTAGGATTCTTGTCTGCAAGCAACAGAACTAACTCAGCATCACCAATTTTGATGGTTATTTTGATGTGTCATCTCTACTGGCCATAGGATACCCAGATATCTGGTTAACATTAATTCTGGGTGTGTCTGAGAGAGTATTTCCAGAGGAGATTAGTATTTGCATTGGTGGACAGAGTAGAGCAGAGCACCCTTCCCAATGTGGGTGGGCCTCACCTCATTTGTTGAGGGCCTGAGTAGAACAAAAAGGCAGAGGAAGGCTGAGTTGGCTCTCTCTGCCCGTCTGCTTGAGCTGAGACATCGGTCTTCTCATGCTTGTGGACTGGGACTTGCATTGGCACTCCTGGTTCTCAGGCTTGTGGACTCAGTCTGGAATTTACACCACTGGCTTTTCTGGGTCTCCAGTTTGCAAATGGCAGATCGTGGGGGTTTTCATCCTCCACAGAACCCTGATTAATACAGTAATTAACAGAAGGCTAGGAACTCACACCTGTGAAAGGCAGGGATTGAGGAAGCCTGGATTGGCAGCCTGGATTAGGAAGCAGGAAGCTGAGAAACTGCTAAGAAGCAGGATTGAACTCTGCCACCATTCAAGTTAGCCTCCAAATGGCCGTGATCCTTGCACCTTTGCTCAGGATTCAGCTTCCTGGGAGACAGTGACTGGCTGGCTGACTTTAGGTCCTGTCTTCCCCAACCTCCGCAGACAGGTGAAGGCTAGGGCCCTCTTTATGTGCATAGTTGGTGTGGAGTAGTGGGAAGTAGACACAGGAATTACCCTTCTGCCAAGGCTCTATGCAATGGTAGTTATTCCCAACCAGTGCTCACTAATGAGGAGGGCACCCCTCCTCTTCCAGATGGAGCAGTTAGTCCTGTGATGGTGCAGCGCAGGGCCTCAAGAGGACTCCAGGTTCTGTGAGGCGAGGAGATGTGTGGCAGAGGCTGAGTGGGGAGGCCTTACTGATCTTGGGTTTCCATTGGAGCCCATCACCGCACTGCCTCTGAACCACACTAAGGCACACACTACAGTCAGGAACACAGTTACTTCCTTTGTTCTACTGGACAAGGGGCCCTGTTCCTGTCTCAGGTTTTATTCCTCCTTATCAACTACAAAGAAATAATGGCTTATTTATTAAAGAGAAGCACCTTTTAGTTTCACTTATTAAAAGAATGAACAAAAAGGAAAAGTAATTTAATTAGTTTTGGAAACAATCTAAATATGTAGTAATAACAGGTTGATTAAATAAATTTCAGTACATATAATAGAATTAATCTGTCAAGGTTGCAAAACAGCCTAGCTATTCCAACCCTATTAAACAATTATATCAAACACACAGACCACACACACACACACACACACACTCAGAAAAATGACTGGAAGGATGTACACCAAAATGCTAGTGGTGATTATCTCTGGGTAGTAGGATTCCGGGTGAATTTTATTTTCTTCTCTTTGCTTATTTTATCTTTCTATAGTTTCCCTCCCTCTCTCCCTTCCTTCCTTCCTTCCTTCTTTCCTTCCTTCCTTCCTTTCTTTGACGGAGTTTCACTCTTGTTGCCCAGGCTGGAGTGCAAAAGAGCAATTTGCCTTCAAGCCATTCTCCTGCCTCAGCCTCCCAAGTAGCTAGGATTACAGGCATGCACCACCACACCTGGCTAATTTTGTATTTTTAGTAGAGACGGGGTTTCTCCATGTTGGTCAGGCTGGTCTCGAACTCCCGACTTCAGGTGATCTGCCCACCTCAGCCTCCCAAAGTGCTGGGATTACAGGCGTGAGCCACCACACCCGGTCACCTTTCTGTAGTTTCTATAATAAACATGAGTTACTTTCCAATCAGAAAAAAGGTTGTGTTAGAAAAATAAATTTGTCATTACATTGATGAATAACAATCATCATGACAGTCCGAATAGACCAATCTTTTAATACCAGTCATGAAAATCAGCTGAGCATATACCAAGTGATGTGTAACACAGATCCTGAACAAAACCAAGAATGTGGCTGAGAAGTGGGTTGAAAGACATTTACATTGTCCCCAAATTGCCTTTCCCTCTCCCCACCCTACGAGGGACAGCCATCTTTCTGCTTGACACCTCCTCTGGGGGATGGGAAGCAGGGTCACTGCTCCATCCATCCAAGGCCTGTGGCTTAGTGATTTTGCCCATGAGATTTAGGACACTTTCACCATAATATTTATTCAGTTTTATGGCTTTAAATATAACCCTAACTCCTAATAATCAATATTGATTTAGCTATAATATCTTATTTATAGACATAGTCTTCTGGTTTGCATATGGGCTCAAACTGTAATGCAGTAGAAATAAGCCACTCACTGCCCTGGCCCTGGGCCACCAATGAAGAGACTATCAGCCCCTGATGGATGGCTCGGAGGCCCAGACAGAGTTTGGGTTTCTGATGCCCACTTCTCCCCACCCCCTCCAAAATGGCTGCTTTGGGCAAGGCAGAAAACCACAGAGCCATCCTGGGACTGAGAATGCCTTTTCACCTCATGCAACATAATTGTCATTCTTAAGGAGACAAGCCTTCCACCTGGCCTTATTGGAGGGCAGTTATAACCAGTAGAAATGCTAATAGAAATAGGACCCCGAGGGAAAGAGAAATAGCTAGAAGTACAAAAGTTTAAGGGTATGGCTTAAGAAAATAGAGACTTGCCTCCAACTTACCCCAAGTGGGCCTGACTGTGATGGTATGGATTTCTAGAGATATTATTTTGCTATAATTAGTGTTGAAGAGGTGTCCAGGCAGCACGGCCCCTCATAGGGGTGGCCACTGGCCTGGCCACCATGATCCTGTGTGATTAAGATCTACGAGGAAGGGTAGAAGAAGCCAGAACTGTCTATCCTAGAAAAGAGAACACTCAGAGAGACTGGTGATGCTTGCCTAAGACTAAGAGGTTAAGGAGATAGCCATCTCTTGTTTACCAATGAGCTATGCCTTCCTTTGATCAGAATAGTATTCATTGCTCAGAACACCCCCTCTCCCCTTGAAGTTTCTGGGAATTCCCATGTGTATTTGGTGAGCGTGGTGGGGATTTGTTATTTAGCTTCCTGTACTCTCCCCTGTGACATGCACACACCAACATCCATTCACCCTTGCATGGAAATGGCTCTAGATTCCACAAGTAGAGTCTATAGTCCAGGCCTCCCCAATCAGATCATCTCTTCTCCTTGATTGCAAATTTGTTCATGGTGAATCCCAGGACTTTGGGAGGAGCTACCAGAAAACAGTGTGGTTCTCTTTCATATACTTGAACCTGAGAGCATGTAGTGGCTGAAGCTCCTGAAGCCACCTTGATAATTAGGTTGTGCTTGAGAAAAAAACCAACATAAAATAGATGAATTGAGAGATATCTTGCAAGAGACACATACTATTTCTTCTGTACCTACAATCCTCCCACCCCCACTCCATACAGTACTAAGGAGCACATGACCTTTTTTCTTGATCACAAATGGTTTTACTAGGGGTGAGCGCCTAGCTCCACTTGACCAATCAGACTTATTCTTTTAGCATTTGGAACATAGACACAGGGACTAAATCAGTAAGATGGTATTGGGCACTAGAATGGAATAGTCATGTAGAGTTGGGGCCAAAGTAGATGCTCCAACTTATCCACCTGCTCCTGGGACACACTCCCCTTCACATGCAAGTCAGAGTTATGGGGGAATGCAGAGAAACAGACATAATAAATATATGAATAATGTTTTGGTTGTCTCTTGCTGTATAACAGACCAGCCCAAAACTTAGTGGCTTATAACAACAATTTATTATTATCTCTCATGTTCTGTGGGTTGACTAGAATTGGCTAGGTCCTTCTCATTTGTGGTCACTCATACTGTTACAATCAGACTATGGCTGGGGCTGGTGTCATCTGCAAGCCCAGCTGGGATGGATGCCAATCATAGCAATTGACACTGTCTATAGTCAGGGAACTCTGCTAGGGCTGTTTCCAGAGTAGCTACAAATGGCCTCTCCACGTGGCTTGGGCTTCTTACCGCATGGTAGTTGGGTTCTAAGTAGAAGTGTCCTAACAGCAAGTGTCTGAAGAGAAGGGGAGCAAAAATGGCCAGTCTTCTTAAGGGCTAGGCCTGGAACTGGCATAATATCAATTCTACCCTGTTCTGTTTGTCCAAGCAGTCATAGACTACCCTAGACTTAAGGGGTGGGAAACATAGACTCCACCTCTCGGTGGGGAAAATGGCAGTGTTACAGGCAGGGAAGGAATTGATGGTGGCCATCTTGGACCTCAGCTAGCACAAATAATAATGATTTCTAAGGGTAACTGGTGAAGCTTGTTAACAATTGTGCAAGGCACTTTATATACACCATTTCCTTTAAGGTGCTTTATATACACCATTTCCTTTAATCCTTAGAACAATTTTATTATTACACATTTTACAGTTGAGGACTTTAAAGCATGGAGAGGATGAAATAAAATATGGAGGATATTGTAGTGTCAAGGAGCAGAATTAGGCTGGGCGCGGTGGCTCACGCCTGTGATCCCAGCACTCTGGGAGGCCGAGGCAGGCGATCACTTGAGGTCAGGAGTTCGAGACCAGCCTGGTCAACATGGTGAAACCCTGTCTCTACTAAAAATAAATTAAAAATAGCCAGGCATGGTGGCAGGCACCTGTAGTCACAGCTACTCAGGAGGCTGAGGCATGAGAATCACTTGAACCTGGGAGGCAGAGGTTGCAGTGGGTCGAGCTTATGCCACTGCACTCTAGCCTGGGCGACAGAGTGAGACTGTCTCAGAAAAAAAAAAAAAAGAAGAAGCAGAACTGACTAAACTAAAAAAGGTTTAGTAAGATGAGAAGAAACTCAGTGATGGAAAACCCCTAGAAATTGCCCAATCCAACCCCTTCATTACACAAGGAAACCCATACCTAGAGAAGGGAAGAGGCTTTTCAGTACCACCGAAAAAGGTTTAAATGATATGCCCACTTATTTTCTCACTTAAGAGGGATATGAGAAGATGGGGCAAATCCAGGAAAGCTGTAGCTGGTGGTTCAAGTCTCATCAAGTTTCTTGTCAGCTTTTCACTTTACTACCCTCAGAATGTGAGTGATCTCGTCTTGGTCAGCCAACTGTAGCAGGTGATCTCAGAGCTACTCACGGATGATTGGAGCAGGGGGATACACCTCACCAATCTGGACCGATCACATGGAAACAACCTCATGTGGCCACATCTAAAGCTGGAAGGGAAGGATAAGCTTCTCCATGTGTCTCCTTCTTCCACTAAGCTCCATACAGACTTTTCCTTCTACGTCATTGCCCAGAACTGGGATACACCAATCATTGACAAAGGAGAATAGGATTATCAAGGCTGATTTAGACGAGTCATGATGCTCCCTTGGGCTGGTCTCTTTATAGCCTGATATCTGAGCAAACTCTGCATTCTGTTAGCAAGGAAGAAGGACGAGGTATAGCTATTGTATAGGTAGCCAACATTTTCTGCCACATGCAGCTTTAAGAGGTAAAGAGAATGGCGTCTGTTCCTGAGGTTTCAATTCCACTTCTGGGCTCCTGTGGGCTAGATGTGCTGTTTCCTGTCCTTGAGCATCTGTGAAATTGCCTGTGATATCCTGACAATTAATTATCATTTACTTAAGCTAACTTGAGTGGGTTTCTGTTCCTTGCAACCAAATATGTTGTGCCTAAGAAAACCACTGAGACACTTCGTGACGCTTTTGTTTCATAATTTTCTTGAATAGGTTTTTCTAGAGTGTTTCGTAATTGACTAAAGTGCTCGTGCCTGTGTGGCACTGGACTTGCATTCAGGAGACCTGAGACCCAGTCTTGGGTTGGCATGCTTGCTACCATTACTTCTAGAAACCATGGTGAGCATTGCTGGTTAACTACAGCATTCCTTCCCACTGAACCCAAATATGGCCCTAGAATTCTTAATACAATGCTCAAAGCCAGCCAACTGGTCAGAGTTGGTATATGAGATGAAATCCATTTTCCATTTGCAGCTCTAAGCTTGGTGGTACCAAAAAGCCTCTTCCCTTTACTAGGTATGGGTTTCTCTGTGTAATGAAGGGGTTAGATTGGGTGCCTTCTAGGGGTTTTCCATCACTGAATTTCTTCTCATCTTACTACCCAAGTTCCATTTACCAGGCTTGACATAGCCCATGGTTTCTGATCACACCACAGGGAGCTCAGAAAGTGAAATGGCATGATCCTGGGTGTAGGTAGTAGATGTAGACTGGTCACGTTCCAGTGATTAGGGATGCTTCATCTCTTCATAGGATTCTGGAGGAGCTCTGGTCTTCATGTGGTGACTCTGGAGCTCCCATTCCCTAGTGTCACTGAGAGGGGAACACATAGGCAGCTGGATTCTGTCGCTTTATGAAAATCCTATGGGCAGTGTAGAGCTGTGGTTAAGATCACAGCCTTGGGCTGAGAAAGGCCGAGGTTCAAGGCCTGTCTCTGTTTCTTCCTGTGTGTATGACTTTAAGATGGTTATCCAGCCACTCTAGGCCTCAGTTTCCTCATCTGCAAAGTGAAAATAACACTACCTCTATTGTAGTAAAGACAAAATAAGATTATGTGTGCAAAGTCATCAGTCAAATGCCTGGTACACAGGAAGTATTAAACACACGGTAGCTATTATTGTTATGCCATTTGGGGACATTTTTCATGTCATTGGGATGGTGCCACCCCTTTCCCGATATAGAGTCCAAGAAGGTCGCTTGGCCTGAGTCTGGGGCAGGCAAGAGGGAGGGAGGACAGGCAGTCTCTCCCAAGATGCTTGGGGCAGCCCATGACCTGCAATTCTGGTCCCACACTGAGCCGATTCCACTGTGACCCATATTTTATGCAATGCTGGCAGATGGGGCTCATTTGGAGGACAGTGGCTGGGAGCTGGGGTCAGCGAGGGGACTGCAAATATTGTCCCATGAGGCAGAGCCGAGGCAGCTTAGCCTGGAGATGCATGCGGGGCCTGTTTTCTTCCTCACACACTGAAAGGCTGTTATGGGCAGAGAGCGGATGCTGGCGGTAGCCCCAGAGAGGAGGGAGGGAAGCGCAGAAGGTGCCCTGTGATGGTGCCGCCTCTGCCGCTCACAGCCTGCCCAGTGGGGCTCTGAGCCCCTCCATCCCCTTCTCACTTCACACTGGTGGCTCTCATGGGGTGCTTTCTAAACACACCAGTTCCTGAACACCAGGAAAACACTGCTAGTTCAGTAGATCACAGTGGTAGTGGTGTGTGTGTGTATGGGGGGACACAATCCCCATCTCCTTCCCCGCTCCCCTTTTTCCTTGAGTTATTTGAGTAGGTTTTGCTTTCTTAAAATCCAATGACCCACAGATTGGAGGTGCCTGCACCTCCTTAGCCCCAACATGGGGACCTTAGTCCCTCCTAAGCTGGCATCATGGCAGCTGAGCATCGATATACCCAGCCCATGGCTCTGACCCCAGTTCCTTTGTGGCCCTGGCCATGCCAGCCAGACCTACTGGCGAGGACGAAGCCCCCTGTCATCTCTTTGTGTGGTGTTGTTTGGAGGCTGACTCTCTGCACCACAGGGGCCATGGGCATCCCCTTCCTCACCTAGGGGGCATCAATAGGCTCTTGGGGTGCACTGCCACCTCTGGCTACCCATGCCCTGGGTGATGGGGGCAAGCCCAGGGGAAGCAGGCCACTTGCTCAGGACCCTAGACTCTCAGCACGGCACTCCTGATACCCAGGAGCATTCAGGAGGCACTGACAGTTGTTGGTGGGGGTTGGCGGGGGGGTAGAGGGAGAGGGAAATACATTTTTAAAGATAACCTGGAGGCAAATATAATATTTATACTTATTTATCCTCAGAGCTCACTCACAAGGCCCCAGACATGTCTAATGAGCAGGAATTGCAAAATGGCCATGAGTCCTACTTGTTTGCCTTTGCAGAGTCTCTGAGCAGTCACATGGACCCAGATTTTTCAACTGTGTGACCGCTGCAGGCAAAACGGCTGTAAGGAACACCAGGACGTGCAGCAAGTGCCCGACTCCCAGAGGCATCGAGCCACAAAACTGCCAACCCAGGAAAATGAGGCGCTCCCTTCCACCCCCCTCTTGGCAGAACACAGAGCATTTGCACTTACACACGTGTGTCCTCGCTTCGTGTGCCGACACGTGTGCACACACGCAGGCACACAGAGACTCTGTGTCTTCATGGCCTCCCTCATGGGCCTGCAGGCATACCCTTGTCCAAATTCATACACACTCCCCTGTCTATTCAGACATGTTGTCCACAGGGACAGGATGCTCCGTGGCTAAGGGCTGGTTCTGGATGGGGGCTCTTCCCTGCTCCGCTCACTCTGGACACCAATGACTGTAAACACTATGTGAAGGGGCTTCCTATGCAGAAAGTCAACAACAGAATTAACTGAGACCAGCACAGTCTGCTCTGGAACGAGAATGACATACAGTTTACTATATGGTTAACTCAAGCATCTAGGCATAGTATCTATATGCATAGTTATATAAATACATATACAAACATATATGTATACATAGAAATAGAAAAGTGTATGGCTAGAGAAAATGTACAAAAATATACACATGCTGCACAATTGGACCTGACACTAACTTCCAGATCTTCCTCCTGCAGAGTGATGAAGCCTTTCACTGGTGGGGCTGCATGTATCCAGGCTCCCCAGATTGGGTCAGGTCTGCTGTTTTAAGGTTGGGAAGTCACAGGTGTTCCTTTTCTTCACAGCACTTCTTACAGTTGTTATTCTACCTCTGTCTGTGACACTGGCTTTTCCACACCGTGTTGCACTGGTTTGTAAGCTCCAGAAGGGTAGGGCCATATCTCTTTGCTTAGTATATATTTCAAGTGCCCAGCACACAGCAGGTCCTCAGTACATAGACGGCTGAATGAAGGCATGGCCCTTTCTTCTGTTGTTTTCTTTTTGTGTCCCATAGCAATCCAGTCGCACACGTTGGGACCAGGAGGGTCACTTCTTTTAATGCTGACAGCATTGAATTCCAGATCTTGGTCTGAAAAGTGCAAATTTCTTTCTTTCTTTCTTTTTTTTTTTTGAGACAGAGTCTCGCTCTGTCACCCAGGCTGGAGTGCAGTGGCGTGATCTCAGTTCACTGCAGCCTCTGCCTCCCCGGTTCACGCCATTCTCCTGCCTCAGCCTCCTGAGTAGCTGAGACTACAGGCTCCCGCCACCATGCCCGGCTAATTTTTTAGCCAGGATGGTCTCGATCTCCTGACCTCTTGATCTGTCTGCCTCGGCCTCCCAAAGTGCTGGGATTACAGGCGTGAGCCACCACGCCCGGCCGCAATTTCAAATACAACACCAACGCCAACTGTATTCCTAAGGAGGTGATTTTCTTCTCCTTTGTACCACTGGTAGCCTTTTTTTTTTTTTTTTTTTTTTTTTGAGACAGAGTTTCGCTCTTGTTGCTCAGGTTGGAGTGCAATGGCGTGATCTCGGCTCACTGCAACCTCTGCCTTCTGGGTTCAAGTGATTCTCCTGCCTCAGCCTCCTGAGTAGCTGGGATTACAGGCACCTGCCACCACACCTGGCTAATTTTTGTATTTTTAGTAGAGATGGGGTTTCACCATGTTGGCCAGGCTTGTCTCAAACTCCTGGCCTGCCTGGGCTGCAGGGGTTGGGGTGGGTGATTGTTTGGGAAGTCATAATCAGTTTGGGTTTTCTTTTTTTTTTGAGATGGAGTCTCACTCTGTCACCCAGGCTGGAGTGCAGTGGCACGATCTCGGCTCACTGCAAGCTCCACCTCCCAGGTTCAAGAGATTTTCCTGCCTCAGCCTCCCGAGTAGCTGGGACTACAGGTGCCCACCACCACGCACAGCTAATTTTTTGTATTTTTAATGGAGATGGGGTTTCACTGTGTTAGCCAGGATGGTCTCGATCTCCTGACTTCGTGATCCGCCCACCTTGGCCTCTTAAAGTGCTGGGATCAGTTTAGGTTTTCACAGGGCAAAGTTATTTCTAGACATAGTCTGGCCTGGAAAACATTCTTTTGGCGGGAGCAGCATGTTCTAAAAGCCATGCTGTGAAGTCTTCATATGCAATTGCACTGGGTCATGCCTGACCAGTTTTACTACAAGTCAGAAGAGGAGGTTGATAGTCTCTTGACTGATCAGGGCTAGGGCAGTGAGAAATCCTGACCCACTCATTATGCTAATTTCTATCAGAACACTTGCTCCGGCTTCTGGGTGGCCAGATGCCTGTCCCCTCACCTCCAAAGCAAAGAAGGAACTGCAGTTTTCTGGATGCCACAGATTTAATGCAGTTTTCTGGATGCCGCATGGTTTAATTGGAACAAACCATAAATTTCTTTAATAGACAGTTGGCTTTGCTAATGACTGTTTTAAAGAAGGGTTTCAGGGCTGGGTGCGGTGGTTCACACCTGTAAATCCCAGCACTTTGGGAAACAAAGGCGGGCAGATCTCTTGAGTCCAGTAGATTGAGATCAGCCTGGATGACATGATGAAACCCCATATCATCCATCTCTATAAAAAATACAAAAATTAGCCAGGCATGGTGGCATGCTCCTGTAGTCCCAGCTACTCAGGAGGCTGAGGTGGGAGGATCTCTTGAGCCTGGGAGGTCGAGGTTGAAGTGGGCTGAGATTGCCCCACTGCACTCCAGCCTGGGTGACAGAGTGAGATACTGCCTCAAAAAAACAAAAAAAACAACAGAAAAGAAAAAAGGGTTCTGGTTAAAAGCTCTAAACCCTACATCATTCTTTTGGGGCAGAACGCTTCTGACACATAACTGGCTTATAAACCCGAGTATCAGGGCACCTCATTTATTCACCCAGCAAGATGAACTTCCAGGTCTCACTATGTCATGGGTGGGTGGGAAAATCCATGGCGCAGATGCTGGTCTGCAGTCCTCATGACTGGTCGTCACGTAGTGTTCCCCACTCTCATCTTTCTGTTTACTTGGGATGTATAAATAAAGCAACAACAATAAAAACATAGAGCACAGTTAGCTCCCCAAACACCTCCCACAGCGTTAGGCCTTTCTCCTTGGAAAATTCTTTTGGTCCTGTGCAGTGGTAGTGGATGCTGTGTGTGACTGCCGGATCCCTTCTTTGGGAAGAAGGCACTCATTCCCCGGCTTCTGGAGCATTGGCTGCTCCCCGTGGAGTCCCTTTCTGGGAACTGCTCTTGGCTGAAGACACCCGGCCAGCTCCACGTTCTGTCTCCTCCCTGGGGGCAGTCCACATCCGGTCTTCGGCTGTGCAAGGGCACAAAGGCCCTGCCCCTGGCCTCAAATCGAACCTTCTCTGAAGTCCCAGCCAAGTGCCAGAGCTCCCTGTGGGAGCAGCTGAGGCCTTCATTTAGACTGCATTACAGTTCAATTTCTCTCTCTGTCCAATCCTGCTTCCTTCACCCTTGACACGTGTTGAGTTTCTTATAAATTCCATTTACATAAATCTCCATCTCAGAATGTTTCCTGGGGAATCTGACTTGCACCAGCCACCTGGGACCTTTGCAGCATTCCAATGCTTGATGCTTTTGGCGTACATGTGAAACCGCATGTTTTACATTGAGAAAGTCTGGCATGACCATAGCTAGTCCTGGGTAGCCAGGATTCAGGGTCAAGTGTGGTAAGATCTCAGGTGCTCTCTGACTGAAGTTTGTGGGATTTTAAATTCAACCCAAGACTTCCACTGAGCTTAACGCTTTGGATAGTAGGCAGGGCTTGCCAAGTGGCATGTTTATGCCCATGCAAGTCTGACTTCTGCATCTCTGCCTGTGCTCAAAGGAGTGACCTGCCTGTACCTGGGACAGTCAGAATGGAGCTGGAGGATCCTCAACACTTCCTCCCTTTCTCTTCACTTGGGGGCCTTCAGAAGGAGAATGTGAAGCTCAAGAGTTCATGTGAAACACGGATCTGAGAACTGTGCATATCCTGAGTCTGTTTGCACTGGGATCCCTTTTGGGGAGCTAACCCTGCTGACTTTATTTCCAGGATCCTCTGTGATATGGTTTGGCTGTATCCCTACCCAAATCTCATCTTGAATTATAGCTCTCATAATCTCCATGTGTCATGGGAGGGACCTGGTGAGAGGTAATTGAATCACGAGGGCAGGTTTTTCCTGTGCTGTTATCATGATAGTGAATAAATCTCATGAGATCTGATGGTTTTATAAAGGATGGTTCCCCTGCACACAGTCCTTTGCCTGCTGCCATGTAAGACATGCCTTTGCTCCTCCTTCATCTTCTGCCATGATTGTGAGGCCTCCTCAGCCACATGGAACTGTGAGTCCACTAAACCTCTTTTACTGTATAAATTACCCAGTCTTGGATATTTCTTCACAGCAATATGAAAATGGGCTAATACACTCTGTCAGCTGCCTGCTGCCTGGATTTGGCCAATAAGAAACATTGGTGGGCATCTGGATGGTGGAGGAAGAGGGAGAACCTAGGATATTTGTCCCTTTCCCTTTCTGTCTTGGTGGCTTCTCTAGCTGCGGCTGCATCCCCTCCACGGCTCCAACTCCTCTAGGTTCTGTGGCTCCGGTCTCTTGAGTGGCCCTGGCCCATGACATTACCTCCTCCCTTTGTCTCTCCAATCTAGAGGTGACAGTGACTTCCTGCTTATCTTTGGTCACCTCACTGTCACCTGGTGGGGGTTCAGTTTCTCTATGACCTATGTAACCAATTCCCTGCACTAAATTCCTCCTATTATAAATTCTTAAGGTGATTTCTGTTTTCATGGTTAAACTCTGACTCATACGAGAATTTTGTTGTTCTAGTGGAGTTGGGGTCTAATTTAAACAGGGGATGATCTGTTGAGCTCTGTCTGTAGAACAACTGGTCTAATGACTGAATCATTCCACAAAACTGCCAACAGATCACCCTGGATCACCCCTACTCTGTCCTGCCCCCACTTTCATCTTAGAATCCAGTCATGGAAGGGCTCTTTTGACCATGTCTGCCACACCCCTCCCCCGCTTTTTTTGAGACAGAGTTTCATTCTTTTTGTCCAGTCTGGAGTGCAGTGGTGCGATCTAGACTCACTGCAACATCCACCTCCCGGGGTCAAGCGATTCTCTTGCCTCAGCCTCCCAAGTAGCTGGGATTACAGGCACACACTACCATGCCCAGCTAATTTTTGTATTTTTAGTAGAGACAGGGTTTCACCATGTTGGCCAGGCTGGTCTCATACTCCTGATCTCAAATGATCTACCTGCCTTGGCTGGGATTATAGGCGTGAGCCACCACGCGGGGCCAGAACCCCCTTTTTATGGACTATCTCATGGGAAATATGCCCAATAAGACCCACTCTGGGAAACCGTTATGGCCTACACTTGGATTTTTTTTTTTTTTGAGACGGAGTCTCACTCTGTTGTCCAGGCTGGAGTGCAGTGGTGTGATCTTGGCTCATTGCAACCTCCACCTCATGTGTTCAAGTGATTCTCCTGCCTCAGCCTCCTGAGTAGCTGGGATTACAGGCACCCACCACCACTTCTGGCTAATTTTTGTATTTTTATTAGAGACAGGGTTTCGCCATGTTGGCCAGGTTGGTCTCGAACTCCTGACATCAGGTGATTCACCCACCTAGGCCTCCCAAACACTTGGATTTTTGACGGCCCATTTGGTTACGCACTGGGTTGGAGCTAGAGCTATTTTCAGAGGAAAAATACTGTCTTCTCTATGGACAGGAGTAACTGTCCATTTGGGTTCAAGTCCTGGTTTACCATGCTCCATAAGCTGGGCATTACTGATTTCCTTAGTATTTCCTTAGGGTTTATTTGTCCATTCTCAGCCACAGTAGAAAGCTGAGTCCACATCCTCTGATTATAGTTAAGGAGCTGAAACAGGACTTTTAGTAGGAGTGAATGGGGTAACCCACAGACCACCCTTAGCACAGTGCTTGGCTCTTGGGAAGGATTAAACAAATGCTGGCTGCTGTGAGCTCCACCTGCACTGCTCCAGACCCTCGATATATCCTCACTCAGGTTAAAAAACAGGCTAAAACCTTGGGAGGTTGAGGTGGGCGGATCATAAGGTCAGGAGATCGAGACTGTCCTGGCTAACACGGTGAAACCCCGACTCTACTAAAAATGCAAACAATTAGTTGGGCATGGTGGCATGTGCCTGTAGTCCTAGCTGTTCAGGAGGCTGAGGCAGGAGAATCACTTGAACCCAGGAGGCAGAGGTTGCAGTCAGCCGAGATTGCACCACTGCACTCCAGCCTGGGTGACAGAGCGAGACTCCAACTCAAAACAAACAAACAAAAAACAGGCTAAAACCTGCCTCTAGACTCGGTAAATTTCACGGCTACCTCCCATAGATTCTGAGATCTTGCTAAAGTCTCAGGGATCTAGGTTGCATGGGAGACCCAGAGCCTCTTGCATACGTTAGAGCCCATGACAACCCTTGTCCCCTGCAAAGCTTATTTAGGCCCTGCCTGGACTCTTGGGGATTGGCAGTGGGGTGTGTCTGAGCCACTCTCCAGTTCTGTCTTCTGGAGGTACCCTCTCTGCTGTGTCCTCAAGTAGTTAGCTCTGCTCTGCCTGGCCCAGCCCATGCAGCCTGGAAATCCTAGTGATCTGAGCCCCAAACAATCCCCCACCCCAGATACCTGTTCCCCCATCATCCAGCAGAAGTAAGGAAATGGAGAGAAGTTGCTACAGGAGCATTTGGAAATGGGAACCAATGTCAACTCTTGCACCAGGGACCAAAAGCTCAGACTGGTGCAAACAAAAGTGTTTTTGTCCCCAGGGGCTGGTGACCATGGTCACCTCCCAGCCAAGAAGCAGTGAGCTTCACAGAAAACTCCTTACTCCAGCTTGCACCAGGACAGGGCCCTCCTTGAAGCCTGGGGAGCTGACATTTCCAAGAAAGGGGTGGTGGGGGAGGTGGGACCGCAGCTGGGCCCCCGACCCCCTGCCGTCCTCAGCTTGGAGCCAGGGCCGGAAGGACCACTTCTAATAGTGACTCAGCCTTTGTCTTTGGCCAGCCCGGCTGCATGGGGCCAGGCGGGGTCTCTGCAGCTGGCTGAGTTTGCTTCCGCAGTTCTCAATCCTGGGTTTTTTCCACTGACCCCCAACTTTTTATTTTGGAAGTTTTCAAATTTACAGACAAGCTGAAAGAATGGTCTAATTATTACCCATGAACTCTCCATCTAGATTCAGCATTTGTTAACAGTTTGCCATCTTTCCTATCTCTCTTTTTTTGGTATAGTATTCGAAAACGGGTTGTAGGCATCATGATTCTTATCCCTAAATAATTCTCACGCTTCTCCTAAGAATAAAGACAATCTTCTTCATATCCACAATGCCATTATTGCATGTGAGAAAATTAACAGTAATTCCATAATATCAGTTAATTTCCAGTTTATATCCATATTTCCCAATTGTCCTAAAATGCATTTTATAGGTTTTTTTTATAGTTCAATTTAAAAAAAACCTAATTATGGCATATGTTTTTATGCTTTGCATTTTGTCTTTTAAAATCTAGAATCCCAGCACTTTGGGAGGCTGAGGTGGGAGGATTGCTTGAGGCCAGAAGTCGGAGACCAGCCTGGGCAACATAGTGAGACCCCCATCTCTAAAGTCAGGTGTGGTGGCACACACCTGTAGTCCCAGCTACTCAGGAGATTGAGGCAGGAGGATTGCTTGAGCCTAGGAGTTAGGGGCTGCAATGAACTCTGATTGTGCCACTGCACTGCAGGCTGGGCAACCGAGTAAGAAACTGTGTATCTAGGAGGAAAAAAAGTAAATAAAATCTAGAATAGCCCTTTTAACTTTTTTTTTTCTCCTATCAATTAGCTTTTTGAAGAGTCTAGGCCAGTTTTCTTGTACAGTAGAAGTTTCTACACACTGGATTTGTCTGATTGTTTCTATGTGATGTCATTTACCTTGTTTTTCCATCTTCATTTTTTTCCTGTAAGCTGGATGTTCATCCTAGATGCTTAATTAGATTCAAATTAAACTGTTTATAAGAATATGTCCCTAGTACTGTGCACATCACATTGTAACACATCAGGAACGTATTCTAGTTCGAACTTTTCTTGGTGTTCAACTTGAAAGCATGAAATAAGGTTTGATGATCACCTATCATATGCCAAGGGCTTTGCAGAGCTTCTTATCTGGACTTACAAAACAATTTGGAGGAGAGGAGATTGGCCTCCTTAGTTTATAGATGAAGAGCTGAGGCACGGAGGTGGCAGGGGCAGAGAAGAAAATGAACACTTGTCAAGGAACCATTGGTGTCCAGGGATGGGGCAGGTGTGAAAGCCGTGATGCTTTCATTATACAGGGAGCTCTGGGAAGTTAGATGGCTCACTTAAGTTCCCAAGGTCAGTTGAGGGGTAGAGCTAGCTTCATATTCAGATCATCTTCCTCCCAGTCCTGACCTCTCCCTGGATGTCCTTTTTGGGTTCTGCATGTCCAATGGATGCACTAGTCTGGAGTCCAGGCTCCATCGTGCTGGGTCAGCCTGGCATGCTCATGTCCTCAGTAGGCCCTGAGTGGTGACTCTGAAGGCCTGGAATCTGAGAAGATGCTTTAGGTCAGCGGCTGTTTATTTTAGTCCCTCATGACACTACCAGGACCAGAATAGGGTGGGTAAGTGGGTATTTCTTCTACCTCTCCCAAGAATTCAAGTGTAGGTGGAAGGAGGTGTGGCAGTGAGACCCGAGGAGGCCTCCTAATCTGGGGAAGCTAAAGGGCCAGACCACAAGCCCAGTGTCTAAGCAGAAGGCATCTGGGGAAACTGGGGCCTGATGAGGGGCAGAGGCTTGCCTCAAGTCACAGGTGGAGGCAGAGCTGGGAGTGGAACACAGGTGAGAGTCTGGACTCCTTAGGCAGTGAAAACTGTGTGAAAGGTAATCTTTTTTCAGAGTGGAACGGGAGCTGGAAGAGGAGTGCTCAGTGGAGGGCTGCAGGGGTGAGCTGATGGAGGTGGAGGTGGGCAGAGAGAGAACAACACAGGCAGGAGGCCACTGGCTTTCAAAGTGTGGGGTCCCCCAAGGTAACACAGGGCGTGGGTTGTAGGGTGCATGTGTGTCTGTAGGAGTTCCCCAAAGACTTTCTTTCTTTTTTCTTTTTTTTTAAATTGAGACAGAGTCTCACTGTATCGCCCAGGCTGGAGTGTAGTGGCCACAGTCTCTGCAATTTCTACCTCCTGGGTTCAAGCGATTCTCCTGCCTCAGTCACTGAAGTAGCTGGGATTACAGGCATGCACCAACACACCTGCCTAATTTTTGTATTTTTGGTAGAGATGGAGTTTTGCCATGTTGGCCACACTGGTCTTGAGCTCCTAGGCTCAAGTGATCCACCACGCTTGGCCCAAAGACTTGCTTCAGTGACATCATAGTGCCTCCCTGGCAGACACTGGGAGGACCTTCACTTCATCCATTCCCATCGCCTTGATTTCACCTTCATCTTCTCACTCGGGACTCTGATATCAGCCTCCTTGAGGGTCTCCAGCTGCCAGTTTCACCATTTCTAATCTATCTTCCACCCCGTGGCCAGAGCACTCTTTCTAAAACACCTCTGGTCAGGCCACTCCTCTTTAAACCTTTGTATCACTTAGCCGTTGCGATATAACAAACGACTCCAAAATTGAATGCCTTAAAAGAGGTCAGTGGGCCAACTCCACTGATCTCTGCTGGGCTCCATCATGTGTCTGCTGGCAGGTCATCTGGGAACCACTGGTGGCTGGATGACCCGGGATGGACTCGCTGACATGTTGGGTTGTTGGCAGGTTGCCAGTAATTTGGGCTGGGCTCCTCTGGGACACCTCATTTCTCCTCCGTGTGGCCTCTTAGGCTTGTTTCCATGGTGGTCTCAGACTTCAAGAACACTTTTCAAACCTTTGTGCTGCATTTGCTAATGTCCCCTTCTGCAAAGCAAGTCACATGGCCGACATGCTCATGTCCAGATGTAGTGGGGAGACTGGGGTGGGCAAACAGATTCCACCTCTTTATGGGAAGGGGAAATTTGTAACCATTTTGCAGTCTACCACAATCTTTCCAGACTCCACAGTGCTCTCAGGATACAGTCGTACCCTCTATACTCTCTGTCACCTGTTCCCAAACTATCTTCCCATTGTGCACCCCACACAGAGCTTGTGCTGCAGTTTACCCGGAATCTCACCATTTTCAAAGCACCTTTCTTCTCCAATGCCTTTGTGTGTGCTGTTCTCTTTGACTGGGGTGCCCTCCCCACCTCTGCATCCTGTGCTTATTTATTCTTCCAGGTCCAGCTCCAATGCTACCTTATTCTAGAAGCCTTTTCCGCTTTATCTCCATCTGCATGCATCCTCACTTCTGGATCTCAGAGCCTTTTGCTTGCGTGTGTGTTGCTGCACTTCTTTCCCATTGTCTGGGAGCACAAGCTTTGCTCGTGGCTAGTGGAGCAAGAGCTCTGAGTAAGGCTCTCCGTGTTAGAATCCCAGTTCCTTCATGTACCTCATGACCTTGTGCACAGCACTTTACTTCTAAGCTTCTGTTTTCTTATTTCCTTTTTTTTTTTTTTTGAGACAGGGTCTCACTCTATCACCCAGGCTGGAGTTCAGTGGGGCCATCTTGGCTCACTGTAACTTCTGCCTCACGGGTGCAAGCGATCTTCCCTCCTCAGCCTCCTGAGTAGCTGGGACTATAGGTGCATGCCACCATGCCTGGCTAATTTTTGTATTTTTTGTAGACATAGGGTTTTGCCACGTTGCCCAGGCTGGTCTTGAACTCCTGAGCTCAAGCGATCCCTCCACCTCGGCCTCCCAAAGTGCTTGTGTTACAGGTGTGAGCCACCACACCTGGCCTCAGTTTTCTTATTTCTAAGAAAAGAGGGACAAGAAAAGCCCTTACTTTGTAAGGTTGTTTTGTGAAACTAATGATGTGCCTGTGAGGTGCTTGGCAGGGTGAATGTGAGCTCCCATGAGGCTGTAAGCACTTTGTGAACAGGAGCTATGTTGGCTAAATCTCCTCCCCAGAGGGGAAGATTTAGAACACTCCTCATGTGATCTATGTCCACATGGCTTGACATGGAACAGGTCCAGGGTAGAGATCCTCAGTGATCATTTTTGTGAATTGACAACTCCCCCAGATAACAATGCGTCCCTGCAGATGCAGCAGACATAGGGCTTGCCTGGTTTAGGCTTTTCCTCAGCACCCCTCAGTGTGGGACAAGACTTGGCTGGGCCCACAGCCAGCAATAAAGTGGATGCTAATAACATCATTATATGCTGAATAATTAACTGTCATTTAAATATTCATATGTTGTTGGGGGCAAGGCCTTTTATCAGCATCTGGGGACGTGTCGGCAGAGGAAGGCGATAGATGTCGGCAAGGCTGACTTTGCCTGTGAAGGGCGATCTAGGGTCCAGAGAGAGCCGTGGAGTGGCCACCAGACAGTAAGCTAATATATAACCGCAATATTCTCACGTGATAAACTGCAATTTCATAAATGCTTGATGCATATGTGCAAGCCTGAAACAATATTGGAAGCATTAATTTCATTTGACTAATGCTTATCTATATTTTATTCTGTTCCATTTTTAAAGAACCCTCTCTTTCTTTCATGCAAAGGGAGGTGGGGCCGGAGACCTGCAGAAGGGCTAGAGTAGAAGGGCCTGGAGGTTCTTACCATCTGTCTGCTGTGCTGCAGGTGCAGGTTGGGACCAGGCTGGTGGACTGTCCCTGAGCCTAGGAGCCCTGCCTTGGGGAGTTCTGACTCTGGTTCCTTGGGAGAAGAACTCAGGCTCTTGGTGGCATCAGGGGAGAGCAGCATGGCACCTAGTTCCTGGCCAGCTGGGTTGAAGCTGCTGTCAATTCCTCAATTGTTTCTGCAGGGGTGAGCCTGGAAGGGATGCCCTAGTGACCCTGCAGGGAGAGGTTTGGGAAGGTAGGGACTGTTACAAAGCAACTACCCCATGGTGGTGAAGTGGGCGTGGGAGGAGGAGGAGGGGGAGGGGAGAAAGAAAGTTAAGGGAGAAGGACAAGGGGCTGGAGGAGGATGGAAAGAAGAGGGAAGAAGAGAAAGGCAAGAAAGGGATGAAGGAGCCTGAAGGGGCTTGTGCCGAAGGAGATGGCTACCTTGGAGGGAGCAGGGCAGATTGGTGTGGTAATTAAGAGCAAGGGTCCTGGAACTGGACAGTCCTGGACTTGAGTTTTAGCTGTGCCTCTAACTAGCTCTGTGACCTTGGGCAAGGAACCTACCTTTTCCAAATGCCAGTTTCCCATTTGTCAAATGGGAAAAATTGTAGTACTTAACTGATGTATTCATTGTACATTTTTGCATAAATTTGAACAAATTACCACAAACGTAGTGGCTTTAAACAACACACGTCTCATAGTTTCTGTGTTAGGGGTTTTGGCAAGGCTTGATTAGATCCTCTTCTGACAATCTCACAGAGCTACAGAAAAGGTGTCAACCAAGAGGCATTCTCATCTGGAGGACTGACTGGGGAAGGATCTGCTTCCAAGCTCACTCAGATTGTTGGCAGGATTCACTTCCCTGCAGTTGTAGGACTGAAGGCTCTGGCTCCTGCTGGTTGCAGGAGGTAGCCTGCAACTCCTAGTTCCACAGTTCCTTGCCATGTGGGCTCCTCCAACATTGCTGCTTATGTCATCCAGCCAGCAGGGAGAGCCTCTATCTCCAGCCTGCTAAGATGGTCCTGGGAATGGGATGTAATAATGGGACAGACCGCCCATTACCTTTGCCATATCCTATTAGTTAGAAGCATGAACACCAGGAGGCTGGAGTCATAGCATTTACCTTCAGGCTTGTCTGCCATATCTGAAGATGACAGCCTGTAACTACTCAGCATTGGACAATGTTCTAGGTGCTGTATCCTACCTCATTTAATCTTCCGAACAACCCCATGATGTGCCATAATTATTGCCACTGTACTGATGAAGAAATGGCAGCCCAAGAGCTTAAGTAACAGCCATATACTTAGTAGCAGGTAGAGTTTGGACTTGAATCAGGTACTCTGGTACCAGGACCCAGACTGATAGCCACCATACAATCCAGCCTCCCAGGGCTGCTTGTGAAGATAAACCACTTAGGATGCTGAGGACAGGTCTTGGTACAAAGTCTAATAAATACCACTCCAAAGTAACCCATTTGTGACTTGGCCTCCTTTGGTAGCCTCTGTGTGCTCCCTGTACCCTTGTTGTGACCACATCTGCAAAATCTTCACATCCCCAGGATCACCAAAGCCAAGCCCAGAGCATTGGAGAGCAAAAAGGGAGCATGGAGGAATGAAGTCGTGTGTTCTTCCCCTCATCTGAAACACCTCCAGCCCAAATCTATTCACCTCTCTGGCCTTCACTTAAATGTCACTTGTTTCTTCTTGCTACTGTAACAAATCACCACAAATTTAGTGGCTTAAGACAATACAAATTTATTATCTTACAGTCCCAGGAGGCAGAAGTCTGAGATGGGTCTCAATGGGCTAAAATCAAGGTGTCAGCAGGGCTGTGTTTCCTTCTAGAAGATCTAGGGGATGGCTGGGCAAAATGGCTCATGCCTGTAATCCCAACACTTTGGGAGGCTGAGGCGAGAGGATCACCTGAGGTCAGGAGTTCGAGATCAGCCTGTCCAGCATGGTGAAACCCCGTCTTTTCTGAAAATACGACAATTAGCTTGGTGTGGTGGTGCACACCTGTAATCCCTGCTACTTGGGAGGCTGAGGCAGGAGAATTGATTGAACCTGGGAGGCGGAGGTTGCAGTGAGCTGAGATCGCACCATGGCACTTCAGCCTGGGTGACAAAGAGAGACTCTGTCTCAATAATAATAATAATAAAATCTAGGGGAGAATGTGCCTGTTTTGCCTCTCTACTTTATGGAGGCTGTCTGCATTCCTCGGCTTGTGGCACCTTCCTGCATCTGCATAGTCAGCAATGGCCAGTCGAGTCTTTCTCACATCACGTCACTTTGACCCTGGCCCTTCTTCTGCCCTCTGATTCTCTTTTAAGGACCCATGTGATTACATTGGGACCACTCAGATCATCCAGGATAATCTCCCTATTTTAAAGTCAGCTGATTAGTACCCTTAATTCTGTCTGCAACATTAATTCCTCATTTGCCGCATAACATAACATGGTCTCGGTTTTGGGATTTAGGATGTGGACCTCTTCAGGGGCCATTCTTCTACCCAGCACACTTCCACAGGGGGTCTGGGGCTCTGTGACATCCTTTACTTATCCCATCACTACCTTAGGCTTCTTCCAGGGGTTTCAAACTCACATTGGGGCCAGGAGCAAATGCAAATGAATCCTCTGAGTGTAGGGTAGTAAGGAGTGGTAGCATGGTGACAAAGGAAAAGTCCTTCCACATTCAAAAATTTTAAGGCATGATGTTGGCCAAATTCAGCCTGCAGACTGCCAGTTTGTGCCTTGGGATCCTGTTAGACTATGACCACCTTGTGAGCTGAAGCTGGGGCTGCAGAGAGGCTAGCACCTTAGGGCAGGGTAGTCAGAGGCACGTTCCTGGGCAGCCAGGTCAGGAAAGGCTCTCCTGCCTCCAGGCTAAAGTTGCTTGTACTGGACCATATGCCAAATGCCCTCTTAGTTGGGTACCCTGTGCAGGGCACAACCCATGCACTGTCCATGGCTCTGTCCCTAGTGTCCCATACGGTGTGTGGCACATAGCATGCATGTGGACTCAATACTTGTTGGATGTGTAATTGAATGAAATCCACTGCCTTCTCACTCACTCTTTACCCTGCTCAGGGATGTGTGACCTCCTTCACAAGAGCTCAGCTTCTCTTGACAGGCACTGTGGATGTGTGCATGTGTGTGCATGTGTATCAGTCACAGGCTTCAGTGACTTGGAACCCAAGGTCTTTGAGCCTTTGCTAGGAAATCACCGTGGCCTGTGACCAAAAGGCTGGGGCCAGGGACTGACTGACGGAGGGGGTTCCAGCCCGCTGTTGCCACTGCCCCAGCCACTTCCTTCCCATTTTCTCCCCACCACCCCCCTTGAATTCAAGATTCCCCAGAGGTCGAGCCTGGTGTAATTACAAGGTATCTGCTGCCTCCCCATAAATCTAATAGACTTTTTGGCCTTGTCAGATTAAAACTTACCTATCAACCCGCCGCAGTCCTCTAGATCTCCCTAAATCTGTACTTGGGAGAGAATTTATGGCCAGGAATTGCATTTTGCAAAATGATTAAAGTTGCCAAACAGCCATAAAAAGTTGCAGGAGGAGATATGGTTTTTTTGAAAGTCTGCTTAATTTATAAGGGGTGGAAGGTTTATTGTCATTTAGAGTCCACAGCGAGGCAGCGATGGAGCGTTCGGCGGCAGCTGTGCACAGCTGCTCTCGCTTTATGCCTTTTACATGTTTTTAAATTGCCCTGTTTGAATCTGGCCTTCTGCAGCAGCAGAAACGCCCTGGTTTGCAGGAGAGAGGCTGTTCCTCCTGTCCTCTGTTGTTCAGCCCTGGTGGCCCCAGATCCCTGCCTCATCCCCAGGCTCACCTTCCAGAAGCTTTTCTGGCTGATCTCTCTGCATGCTGACTGCCCCATCCCATTCTATGATCCTCTGCTCGTCTCTCTGAAACATTAACAAGCACTCACATGCGGAAAGGCTTTTAAGTTTATAGGCGATTTCACGTGTCGTATCTTAGTACTTATCACCCTGGATTAAATGATTAAATGAGATAAAACATGTAAAGCTCTAAATACAAGGCTGCTACCTAGTGAGCTAATAAATAGAATTAGGGCTCCCATTTATTGACCACTTACGAGGTGCCAGGACCTCTGCTCTGAGCGTCACATGCATTAATTCATATAATCTTGCCTGCCACTCTCTGAGGTAGCTGTTAATTGTGTTTGTGTTTTAGGAAGCCTAAAGAACTGAACCATGCAGTCAATGTTCAATGAATATTAGCTGCTTCTATTCATATTATTAGGGCAGGAGTCTTTTCTGTTCTTCTTCCACATTGGCACCTAGTAGGCACTCAATGGGAATTGCTGAATGCAAGCAGGCCTGCATACCTGAACAACACTGCTGTCACTGCCTAATGACCCTCATCCTCTGTGGGTACAAGGATCAGACCTCAATCACCTGAAGTCTAAATTAGTACTAGACACATATTAGTCTATATATATTTGAAAAATGACTGGACCCAGGGATGATGGTGTGCACCTGTAGTCCCAGCTACTCAGGAGGCTGAGGTGGGAGGATCGCTTGAGCGCAGGAGTTTGAGGCTGCAGTGAACTGTGATTGTGCCACTGCACTCCAGTCTGGGTGAGAGAGCGAGATCCCATTTCTGAAAAAAAAAAAAAAGGAAAGAAAAGAAAGATGATTAAATAAATCAAATCCTCACAGCAATCCTATGAGGATGGTTTTGGGAATTCCATCTTACAGAGGAGGAATAGGAAGCTGAGAGGGAGTATAACGTCTGCTAAAATCACAGCTATAATGGCTGAGCCATGATTTGGATTCCAAGTCCAGTGGGTTTTTTCCCACCTCAGCCCAGCTGACCACCTGTTAGGCATTTGGAGGTAGATTCAGAAATTTTTCTTCTTCATTATTACCATATCTAATATTGATTAAATACCTAGTACTCACCAGCTGTACATACTGTCCCGAATCATGCTCACAACATACTTGCATGATGTTTATTATTTTCTCCATTGTATAGATGCGGAAATTGAGACTCAAAGAGGTTGAGCAGCAATTCCGTGAGCTGAAACTTAAGCCCAGATGCATGTGATTCCAGAGGCAGGTAATTATGATAAAGGATGGTGATTGCTATAATGAGGGAAGAACTCTAAACCCAGCCTGGCAAAGGCAGCGAGGAGAGGAGAACTGTCAGGGCAGGCTTCCTAGAGAAAGTGGCTTCTAAGCTGACATTTGAAGGATGAGTAGGGATTTGTCAGATAAATGATAGGGGATCATGTTCTAGGCAGAGGGAACAGCAGGAAGGCAAAAAAGAACAAGGCTGATTGAAGGATGTGACTGTTGAGCCTGGCCAGAGGCAGTCTTGGATTCCCTCTGGCCTCAGTCTCAATCTCCACCTCCCTGGGGTGCAGAGATGCTCAAGGTGGGAGAGGAACCCATCGGCTGTGGGCTGGGCTGCTTCCTAAGTTTTCATCAGCTCTGCCCTCACTCTCGGCTCTTTTTTCCAGGCCCAGGCCCACTCGCCTCCTGTGAGTATCAGGGAAGTCCAGTGCTGTCTGCTGCTGGCCTGTGATGGATGAATTGGCCCTCTTGGACTTGGTCCAGTGCTTTCAAACTCGACTTTGTCCCTCCATCCATATGTTCAGGCTTTTTTCCCTCCTCCCCACAGCCTGGGCATGGCAGGTGAAGGAGCCTCCTCCTCTACTTTCTCTGCTTCTCAAATGTTCTAAGACTTGGGAGAAGCCCAAAGACCTCCAGGCTCTTCACTCATTCATTCAACAGATACCTTCTGAGCATCTGGTATGTTCTGGATTTTGTCGTAGGGGTTGTGAACACAGCAGGCCAGGTTGTTGTCCGCATGGAGGTTATCATGAACAAATGCATCAACGAGAAGATTGTAGGGAATGGCATGAGCTTTGATGTTACTAAAACAAGTTGGTGTCATTGGAAGTGACTGGGGGATGCGAGAGGGGCTGTTTTGCTAGCATGTAGGGAAATCCACTCCATAGAGGGGATGTTCGAACCGAGATTTAAATGAAAAGAAGCCACTCAGAGGAAGATCTAGAAGAAGAATATTCCACACCAAGAGAGCGACAAGTGCAAAGTTCTCAAGGTTGGAATGGACTTTACCAACTCAAGGAAGAGAAACGAGGCTGGAGCTTGGAGAGCAGGGGCAGAGGTGGGTAGGGATCAGATCCTGCAGGGGCTTAGAGCCCATTGTCAGACTTTAGATTTTACCCTAAGTGCAACTATAGCTCTTGGAGGCTTGGATCGGGGAGAAATGTGATCTGGTTTACACGGTAAAGGATCACTCTGCTTTCCATGTTGAGAACAGGTTATCGAGAATTCTGACAGCCACAAATCCTAACCCACACCAAACTCTCCTCCAGATGCACCTCACCCTGCTGTACTTCTAGGTCCTTGCGCCTGCAAAACCCTCTGCCAGGTATGCCTTTCTGCTTACTTTCTAGAACATTCCTATTCATCTTCAGGACCCAGCCCCCAGGCACTTTCCTGATGGGCCCTCCCCCTCGCCCACAGTAAGGGTTAAGTTCATGTTCTCATTGCCATTACCCAATTCCAGCCATAAGCAGACTCAGCCTGTTTCTGGGTCCCTCCCCCGACTGGACCAGGAGCTCCTCAGACATCAGGATTGCAGTTGACTTGGCTGTGAGAGCCCAGGACCTGCACACAGCCGGGCCCAGCCTGGGTGCCTGCCAGCTAAACAAATGCTTTCTGGGTGGACACGAACTCATTGAGTGCCCAAGTCATTAACAGAAGCACGAGGTTAGCAAGCACCCTCTGTTTAAACAAATAATAAGATTAGAAGTATGGTAACATACTACTTACCACAGCATTTAATTTGAATCCATACTTACTAGAAATCGTGGCATCTGGACACTGAGTTTCCAAGTGTTTACTAAAAGCGGCAATAGCCTGTGATCGTCAAAATTTGAATAGTTCTTTCTCAAGGACTGTTCCCTTGCTACCTTGAGACTAGGAATGTCTGTAAAAAAAAAAAAGAACACATTTGTTATAATACTTCTTGTAAATACTTGTGTTGGAAAGAATACACTTATTAAAATACTTCCTATATTCCTGTAAATCCTGGTGTTTGTTCATGTGCAGTTGTAAACCTGTGTTTGTCACAGGATGCTGTGTACACTCTCTGATATTTTTCTAATTCAGCTACTGATACAGAAGAACTGTGCAGCTTCTTAGTAAGCTAGGAATATTTAAAGGCTGTCTTCCTTGTTCATGATCTATGCAAGTAAAAATTAACGAATTTTGAAACAAGGTGGGGTCTCATTCTCTACCAGCTGTAAGCTTGGTGAGGGCAAGGAAGGTAATGGGATCCTCATTCGCTGAGGCTTCCCTAGCATGGGGTCTGCCCGCAGCGGCAGATGCTTGTTGATGGAGGCATGAGCGAACCTTGGCATGTACAGGCCAGGATTCCCTCCACCAAACTCAACTGCACCTCCTCCCACCATGAGAGTGTATGGCTGGGCCTGAGGCCTGCCAGTTGATTTCACTGTGCTGGGAGGAATCTAGTTCACACTCAGCCTGGGTACTGCGCTGTGAATGTCCTCACACCAGGCAGCCCTATGAGCATGGCACTGGGATGCCCAGTGATGATACAGGGGAAACAGCTGGATCATTGAAATGTGCAGTTTTCACTTGACTGTTTGGCAAAGACCCTAAGACCCTGAATAAGTTGTTTAGCTTCTTTGGGCCTCGGTTTCCTCACCTATGAAATGGGTATCATAATATATTTTTGTAAGATAGCTCTCCAAAGACTAGTGGCCCTATTTGACTGCCAAAGTCCAGACAAGTGTTGCTGACTCCCCACTGCCCTCATCCTATCTTGGCCTTTGACATCAGAGTAGAGAATCAAGAAAAAGGACCTTGTCCCCACTCTGATTAAATCCATGATTGCTCTGCTCAGACATCTCAGAGCCCGATGTGATGGGAGGTTTCGAGACTATGCCAGACTCCGTTGTTCTTAACCCCCAGTGCAGATAGCCAATGTGTGTACCTGGCCTGAGCACAGCGGCTGCTTGGCATGTTCCTTCCTTCACCCTTCCAGGTTGAAGCCATCCTGGCAGGTGCCTCTGTGTGACTGGGTGCCAAATGGCAACCCGCTCCTCTCCATTGATGACGTTAACCTTCACATCTCAGGGCTTCTCTTGTAATATCCATGCATTCCATGGATAGTTACTAAGAGCATAGCACGTGCAAGTGCCAGTTAGCACTGGGAATATAGGAGAACAAAATTAGTTCTGCCCTCACGGAACCTGCATTCCAGCGGGAAGGGGGTGGATGTTTTTGGGTAGAGACACACAGGCACCTGGGGTCTGTGAGGTTGACAGAGTCTGATTCCTGGTCTGCAGGCTTTTGATGCTCACTCCTGGAAGTCAATATCCATCTTCAAGTCTGCCTCCCTAATGCCCAGTTTCAAGTTTCTGGGGGAATTAATGAAGATAATGCTGTACGGTGTCTGATATGGTGCTGGGCACATCCCGGGTGCTTGGAAGTTGTAGATCTCTTTCTCTTTCCAACACAGATCTTTTTGTGTCCCCCTTCCTGTGTCTTCCTCTTTGCCCTGATTTTCAGGCAGAGCAGGAAGAGGGGCCCTTTGTACTTAGGGCTGAAGGCAAGCCACTTCTTTGGTTTCAGGGACAGCCTGCTGAGGGAGGTGGCATAGGAGGAAGATGAGACATACCCGGAGATCTTGGGAAAAAGGATGTTCAGTGCCTCTGCCCTCGCTGCCAATACTGAAGCAGAGGGAGGCAAGGCCCAGCCTGAGGTCTCCTTAAAGGTGAATGAGACCAGGCACGGTGGCTCACGCCTGTAATCCCAGCACTTTGGGAGGCTGAGGCAGGCGGATCACCTGAGGTTGGGAGTTTGAGACCAGCCTGACCAATATGGTGAAACCCCGTCTTTACTAAAAAAAAAAAAAATACAAAAATTAGCCGGGCACAGTGGCTCACACCTGTATTCCCAGCTGCTCAGGACACTGAGTCAGGAGAATCACCCGAACCTGGTAGGTGGAGGTTGCAGTGAGCCGAGATTGAGCCACTGCACTCCAGCCTGGGCGAGAGAGTGAGACCCTGTCTCAAAAAAAAAAAAAAAAAAAAAAAAGTAAATGAGAGAGGGAACATGAGCTAGGCTGAGCAAGAAACAGTGAAAACAGTTACTCTCAACTTTGCACAGTCCCACCAAAGAGCGGTGGCATCTTGCTGTGTAATCCAGTGAACTGGCTGTTTTGGATCCGATAAGACCCTGGCTTGAAACCCTCCACCAGCAAAGTGAAGGATGGCATTGTTGTCCATCATAAAAATCAATGGTTCTTTTGCTAAGTGGCCAATATTTATTTGGCTTTAGCATTGTTTAATTCAATGCATCAATTAAAGACAGTGTAATGTCTGCTCTGGTCTTCAGCCTCAGCTTCTGTGTGTCGTTACCTCATCTGTTTGAGATCACTCACATCCTTACGTCTCTGCTCCTTTGTCCCCTTGCGTAACTCAAGGACAGGAGTAATTGACGTGAAACTTTTAAAAATTAATTTCGCTGCATATGTCACTGAGGGAGAGTGCAAGTCCTCCCAGCCATTTATAACGTCACGGTGATTGGTCCTGACAAAACAATACCTTAAAAACTCACCAAAGTAAATTATGGCCCGAGCAAATGGCTGCTCCGTGGCAGGGCCGGAGGCTTGGAGGAGAGCCAGGCAAAAACAAAGTAATGTGCTTTTGATATTAATAACAGAGATGATATTGATCTGCAAGCTAGTGTCACTTCTCCACTCTGGCGAGGAGATTGCTCCCGGCATTTAGTCCACTGAAAGCCACTTTCCATTCAGGCCATTTAATTTTGTGAGTCTTTAATTATGTGAAATGGAGTCTAGTTAAAGGGCCAGGTCCCAGTTTTGCCAGGCGGAGACGTGGGCTGTGATTCAGGAAGCTGTCAGAAATGAATATAACTCAATTCTTAGACCTGCAAATGCAGTAGTCTTTCTAAATGTTTATTTCATCCCTGCACTTCTCTGGCCTGGTGCCATTGTGCATCAGGACAGACACAGACTCTGATTACAGGATCACATTTTTCAAAGACCTGAAGTTAATGTGCCTGTTTTCTGCATAATAAAAGTCATAACTCACAGGGACCTCCAATGCCTCTCCCCTGAAAGGGGGCCTAGACAGACTGCAGGAGGGCTGAACATTCCAGCCTGGATAGCGTGCCCTGTACCTGGCCCAGTTTTGGACATTCAGTCTCCCTGCGGAGCTGTGACGGAACATGCTGGCAGACCACAAGTCAGACCACAGGCCAGCCCGTGGGGCAGATTATGTATCAGAGGTTCACGAGACAAATTGGGAAGAAACCCACATATAAGACCACAGTGATGTCCATGGCTTCTGATTTAGGCTTCAGGGAATGTCATCACTACAGCTCTATACCTTGGATTTATCTAAGTATCTTTCCTTGGGTCAGATCCGGTCAAAGTCTCTTTCTCCCTTTCTCTTGTGCATATAGTCCTGTCTCTGTGTGTCCCTATGTTCCAGAAAGGCAACCTTTCATCTATGTGTATATTTGAGCAACATACACATTGCTTGCAAGCTCACCACGATCCTAGAATCACTATTGGTCTCTGCTTTACAATTGTTCCTCATGTTGGCTGCTGTGTCCCCTTTTCCATATAAAATCTCTCCTGAGTGTGACTAAAGGCCCTCTTGTTGAAATGCATTTTCAGAGTTTAGAGCTCAGCCTGCCTGGGCTATCCTGCTGTTGTTCTAGTTGACACTGAGTGGTGTTCCATGATAGGAACCGCCTGGAGATATACAGACTACCCCTGCCTTCTCCTGTCCTGTAACACTCTCCAGTTGCCTGGACCCTCAAGACTTTCTTACAAAGAGGGGTCAGTATAGAATAGCATGTCTCAAAACTTGGCTCTCTGACAACTCCTCCTCTCCAGCCAAGGATTGAGACCTAAAATAATTAGAACCGCAGAGACAAAATGCTGTATCATCTCCACACTTTACTCACAGGAGGATGCACCAGAACCTTGCTCAGAGTCCCTTTCTCTTATGTTATGAATAGTTTTGACAGTCTTCATTATTATTTGTGTAGCCTACAGAGGATTTAGAAGTAGAAAAAAGAGGTGGAGAGTGGCTTCTAGAAGTAAAAACACCCAGAGCAGCAGCTGAAAGTGAAGGAAGAGAGAACTTTAAAAGCACACAAAGTAACTCAATATGAGAGGTCTTCAAAAACTTCATGAAAATGTGTATTAAGAAAAAACTAGTCCAGGTGCAGCAGCTCACACCTTTAATCCTAGCACTCTGGGAGGCTTAGGTGGGCAGATTGCTTGAGCCCAGGAGTTCAAGACCAGCCTGGGCAACATCGTAAAACCCCTTCTCTACAAAAAATAGAAAAATTAGCTCAGTTTGGTGGTGGGAGCCTATAGTTTCAGCTACTCAGGAGGCTGAGGTGGGAGGATTACCTGAGTCCGGAAGGTTGAGGCTGCAGTGAGCCATGACTGTGCCACTGCACTCCAGTCTGGGTGACAGAGTGAAACCCTATCTTAAAAAAAAAATGAAAAAGGAAAAAAATGAAAAAACTATAGATGGATTTCAAAATCTTTTTGCACCAAAATAAACCCGCACTAACTTGTTATAACATGTCTGAACAGGATCTATTTTGAGGCACTAAGAAGGATAAGACATCAGCTTGAAAAGAGCCCCTATCAAAGCAACATGAATTTTGCTAAAATTGAAGCAAGAACAAACATCAAATTTATGGTGAAGCTTGGGTGGAAGAATGGTGAAATCATTAATGCTTTACAAAAAGTTTAGGAGACAATACCCCAAAGAAATCAACAGTTTACAAATGGGTAACTGGTTTTAAGAAGGATGAGATGATGTTGAAGTTGAAGTCCTCAGCTGCAGACCATCCATATCAATTTGTGAGGAAAACATTAATCTTGCTCATGCCCTAATTGAAGAGGACGAGTGATTAACAGCAGAAACAATAGCCAACACCATAGACATCTTAATTAGTTCAGCTTACACAATTCTGACTAAAAAATTTAAGTTGAGCAAATATTCCACTTGGTGAGTGCCAAAACCATTGTATCCAGATCAGCTGCAGACAAGAGCAGAGTTTTCAATGGGAATTTTAAACAAATGGGATGAAGATCCTGAAGCATTTCTTTGAAGAATTGTAACAGGAGATGAAACATGGCTTTACCAGTACAATCCTGAAGACAAAGCACAATCAAAGCAATGGCTACCAAGACGTGGAAGTGGTCCAGTCAAAGCAAAACTGGACCAGTCAAGAGCAAGGTCATGGCAACATTTTTTTTGTGATGCTCAAAGTATTTTGCTTGTTGATTTTCTGAAGGGCCAAATAATGATAACATCTGCTTATTATGAGAGTGTTTTGAGAAAGATAGCCAAAGCTTTAGCAGAAAAATGCCTGAGAAAGCTTCACCAGAGAATCCTTCCCCACTATAAGAACATTCCTGCTCATTCCTTTTGTCAAACAGGGCCAATTTTGCAAGAGTTTCAATGGGAAATCATTAGGCTTCCACCTTACAGTCCTGATTTGGCTTCCTCTGACTGCTTTTAGTTTCCCAATCTTAAAAAAATCTGTAAAGGGTATCCATTTTTCTTCAGTTAATAATGTAAAAAAGACTGTATTGACATGGTCAAATTCCCAGGACCTGTAGTTCTTTAGAGATGGACTAAATGTCTGGTATCATTGCTTACAAAAGCAACTTGACCTTGATGAAGGTTATGTTGAGAAAGTTTATATTTTTCATTTTTATCTTTTAACTTCACATTTCCACAAACTTTTTGAAGTCTTCTCATCCAGGGAGGTTTCTCAAAGTATGTTTGAAAAACATCCCTATAGGGGAATGTAAGGGAAAGGGGTTGCTTTGTGTTGCAGAATAGCAGACTGAGACTGGTTATTTATGAACAACACAAATTTATTTGGCTCACAGTTCTGGAGGCTGGGAAATCCAAGAACATGGCACCAGGATCAGAATAGCAGACTGAGACTGGTTATTTATGAACAACCAAAGTTTATTTGGCTCACAGTTATGGAGGCTGGGAAATCCAAGAGCACGGCACCAGGATCTGGCAAGGGCCTTTGTGCCGTGTCATCCCATGGCAGAAGGTGGAAGGGCAAGAGAGTATGAAAGCAAGAGAGCAAGAGGAGGCAGACTCATTTTTATAACAAAGGCACTCTCATGATAATAATCTAATCAGCTCTTATTAGGCCCCACCTCCTAACACTGTTGCATTAGAGTTTAAGCTTCCAACACATGAACTTTGGGGGACACATAGTAACTATAGAAGGGATATACAATGAAATATGTTTAGGAAATGCTGGGTTAAAGAAAGCCAGACAGGTTTCTTAGCTGCAGGAGATTTCAGTGCTCCTAATATGCTAACATGCACTGTGCCTCTGTAAAGGCAGGGGAATAAAATTCAAGTTTTCTTAAATGTATTTACCCAAAAATATTTTTTCTCCTTTGGTCCCCACTCAAGAGGATTTTGAGAGTTTAGTATTCAGCTGAACACAGTCAGAGAAATACTGATATACCACGACTCATGTTTGTACTGGCAACTGTAGTGGACACCATCTGTTTTTGGCAGCCATTGGCTCTCCTTGCAGAAACAGCCCTCCCCAATTTTTTTAGTACATGTGATGTAGTTGGGAGTTTATTCCTCAACTTCAGCAGTGAGCACATAACCCATGCTAAGCCACTCATGACATTGCATCCCCTGGGCCACAATAACTGGTTTGAGGATAGGCACATAGTTTGATCACAGCCATGGAGATGCTATGGGACTTTGAAGGGAATTCTGGATAAGAGACAGTTTGACTCAAAAGCAAAGGATGTGAGGCTTGGAGCTGTGGCAGCCATTTTTCCAACACCTGGAGCTCAAGAAGTCAACCTGGAAGAGAACAGGGCTGTGAGGTGAAGATAAACTGGATCTGTCTTTTGAAAAGATCGGTTTGGGTGCTGTGTGGAAATTAGTATTGGTAGAGGGATCTGGCATTGAGACCAGTTAGTCAGCAAGTAGTGGGACGAGATGAGAATGGCTTGAATTAGAGAATAGGCAGTAGAAATGGTGAGGGCTCTTTAGGAGGTAATAATCACTTGGGGAATGATTGGAGGGGATGAAGAAGCAGGAGAGAAAAATGATGGCTTCCAGGTTTCTGACTTGCAAAACCGAAGAGATGGTGGTGACATCTGAAAGAGGACCAGGTTTGTTTTGGGAAAATGGAGTGGGAGGGAAGTCATGAGTTCATTTTGGTTGTATTTGATTTCAAGAGTGGTTGGGAACTCTTAAGTGTTGAGTAGGATTTTGACTTGAGGTCAGAGGAGAGCCTTGGATTGGCAATATCAATTGGGGAGACCTTGTCTTACGGAGGGTAGTGAGTTACCCATGACAATGCTACCCAAATGTATGTCTGGGACAGGAGGATAAAACTTCAAAGGAAACTGGTAAAGGAACCCTCAGAGAGGTAGAAGGGACAGAATGTTTAAAGTAGGAAGGAAAGGTCAACTTGCTGAGAATTAGAAGAGGATTGGAAAGTGTCCTTTGTGTTAAGAGATAAGAAGAACACTAGTACTTTTAGCCAGAGCTGTTCGGTAGAATAAAGGGCAAAAGTCAGATTATTGGGTGGAGGAAGGAGCAGGGAGGAGAGGAAGCAATCAGAGCAATAATAATAATAGCAAACAATGGCAAATAGGAAGTGAACACTTACTATGGGCAGGCCCTGTTCTAAGTGCTTTATGTATATTAACTCCCTTAACCCTCACAATGATTCTTTGAGGTAGGTACATGTGTTTACATTTTATAGACAAGAGGAAACAGAAGATCAGAGAGGTTATGTGATTTGCCTGATGTCACACAGCTGCTGAGAAATGGAACTGGAATTCAAAAGCAGGCAGTCTGGCTCCAGGGCCCATATTCCTAGCCAATAACTTATACCAAGGGATTACATGGTGACAACTCTTTCAGGCAGTTTGGCAGTGAAGGAGAGGAGAGGAGAGAAGAGGGGGAGAGGAGAGGAGAGAGACCTGTAACTGGAGACCTGTAGCCAAGGAGGTTTATCCTAAGATGGGAGAGACATAAATGTTTAAATATCAACAAGAAAGATCCTTTTCAGATGAAGTGGATGGATACAGAGGAGAGAGAAGAAACAATGAATAATGTGGGGTGGGAGACAATGGGGTTCAAAACACAGGAGGAGCTAGGAGGAAGGACCCCTCCTCTCATGCAGGGCTAGGGGAGAGAATGGGTGGTGATGTAGGTAGATTTGTAGGAGAGTTACTTTCTGATCAATTCCATTTTATCTGGGAAGGGGTGAGGTCACCTGATGAGCGTGAGAGGGCAGGAGTAAAGCATATGAGGTTTGAAGAGTCTGGGAATGTTTGAAAGTCATGGAAGGCAAAAGAGGAAGCTGGTGAAAAAACGTTGGAGAATCACAGGAAGCCAGTGATCATGAATTTTGTCGGTTTGTGTGCAGCACAAGACAGCAAAGGGTTGGGTTCATTGAAGATTGGGGTTTTGATAAACAGGTAGAGAAGAGAAAGTGGTGGGGGAGAATTTGGAGTACTGGTAGGAGCGTTAGTAAAATGATGGACCACAGAGTCTATGCCAAGATAAAAGGAGAAGCAGAGGAAGACAGCTGATAGGTTGAGAGAAAGATGAAAAGGTTGATGAAAGTCTTGAGGAAGCTAAAGAAGGACCATGATGCAAGATTTAAAGAAGTAGAGTAGATTGGTCAGAGAGCAGGACGCTTGAGTTAGTGATGCTGGGGGCTGCAGTTTGGGGTCATGGCAAGGCTTGTGATGAGACAGGGAATGAGTGACTGGGGGAAGTGGGAGAGAGGGTTATTGGAGATGAGATTGAGGACCTGAGAAGCCTACGTGTTGCATGGATAGTTCCTGTGGATGTCGAATTCACCCAAGATAAAGGCACAAAGTAAAAAAGCCAAAAGTATGAAATAAAATCTTAAAGTGAAAAAGAAGACCTCAGCCAGGTGCCAAAGGCTTCTGGGGGCTGATCATGATATCAACAATAATGTCTACCACAATGAGGCAAGGAGAAAGGGTAGAGCTGAATGGCACGGCCCTCAAAGGTGCACTGTTTTCTAGGCCAAAGAGGAGCAATGGAGAGTAAGATGGATACCAACCCCACCTCTGATTCTTACAGAGTAAATGAGCAGACAGCAGCATCTCTGGGGGGCTGCAGGGGAGGAAGTGTCTTCAAGAAAGACCCTGGTTCCAGTTAAGGCAGGAGATGGAGGGAACCCTTAGGGAAGACTCTCTGAATTTCCAGCTCCAGGTAGAGTTTAGGGGTTGAGAGGGGGAGTGGAGAAGTGGGACAAGGACATAACACAACAGCATTATGAAGCTGGTGCGTGTGGAGGAAGACTAATGGCCCATGGACTCATGCTCTGAGCATTGACGCGGGGTCATGGGCATGGGAGGCTGGCTTCAATGGTCTCTCGAAGATGATTGCCTCCAGGTTGTACAGTCAGGGGACCTGGTTCACTCAGCTTGGGGCCCAGCCACAATGCTAGCCCTTGGAGCCCTTCAGGGCATTGGTCATCTGGCACTGAGCAGGCTGTTCCATTTAGGTAGGGCATGAGGGTTTCAGTTCACCACAGCCCCCACGTCTCTACTGTACACAACTAGCTTGATTTTTTGTTTTCTGCTAGGTCCCATTTCTATCATCCCCATTTTTGTATTTGACTCCTGATTGCGAGTTTAAACTCTGGATTCAGACAATCTTGAACCTGAATTTTAGCTAGCCACTTAAGAGCCACGGGAGCCCAGGCAAACTCTGTGCCTCGGTTTTCTCATCAGTGAAATGGGGGCTGAAAGAGCACCTATCTCATAGATTGTTGTGAGGATTAAATTAAATGATGCAAACAAAGTGTTTAGCACAGTACCTGGTATATAGTGAGTGCTCAATAACAAGTAATACACATTTATTGAGCACTTACTATGTGCCAGTTTCTCTTCTAAGACTTCCCATGTAATGACTGACTGATGTAATTCTCTTAACAATTCTATGAGGTGAATACTATTATGTTATTTCATCATTTCCATTTGACAGATGAGGAAACTGTTGCATAGAGAGGGGAAGGAGTTTTTTTCAAGGTGAAACAACCATTAAGTAGTGAAACCGGTCAAACCCAGGCATTTTGAAGCTCCACTCTTAAACCATCATGCCATATAGCCTCTCACTGTGATACAAATGTCACTATTAATAACTATTATCACACAATTATTGTATAATTTTGCAAAAATTATATTGCAAAGTTTAATTAACCAAAACTTGGAACTGGTGCCCATACTAGGTTGGCAGTAGCATGCAGACCCTGACACTTCCTGGACACGCTCAGCCTGCCTTTCTCTGTCCACTGGTCTGAGCCCCTCTGTCTCCCAGATGGCTCAGTTTGGGATATCTGGCTCTCCAGGAAGCCGCTGGCTGTCTGACCCAGGTTTTCTGTCCATTCAGCCGAATCTCCATCAGAGGTACAACCCCCTCTTGATATGGCCTAGGGTAGGGGTGCTTAATTACACGAACTTCAGAGTCTGCCCTAGTTTGCCTCTTTCCTCCTCTCTCAATGTTCCTATTTGCACAACAAAGTCACTTTCTGTCCTTTGGGGTCCCCGTGAGACTCTTCTGGCCACTCGTCGCTGTAGTCCGTACCCTCTCTCCCAGATCTCTGCATGATTTTCTTAATGTGTCCACAATCCCCTGTTCTCCAGGGTCCTGAGTGAGAGCTGGGGATGTCAGGTTTGGGGAGGATGAGGGGGTTTCTCAGGGATCCTGGTCAGCAGGGTCTTGGAGGCCCCAGTTACTTAGAAAGAATTCCCCAGCATCAGATAAAGATTCCAGGGACCAAATGAGTACTGGGAGCCCTGGCCCAAACCCTGGCTGGCCACCCGACAGGCTTCCTAGAAAGCAGCTCACTGTGCAGTGGGTGCCGAGTGGGTGCTGTGGGTGCCGTGGGTGCCATGGGTGCAGCTTCATCTTGGCGGCCCTGGAGCAGTAGTTCCTTGGCCACCCAGCCTCACTGGCAGTGAGCCCCTGGAGGATGGAGCCCACAGCAGCCTTGTGGCCAGTGCATCACAATGTGGAGCACACAGTAGGGACCCCATAAATATTTGTCGAGTATCCCATCCTGTCCTCTAGACTGGACAACTGAGCAGGAGATGATTAAAAAAAATAAAAATACTAGCAGATACTTATATACCATTTACTACGAGCCAAGTATTATTCTAAATGTCTTCCATATATTAATTAAGTGAATCCTCATAACCACCCTGGGAGGTGGGTACTAGTGTCATCCCCATTTTACAGATGAGGAAACTGCAACCCCATGAGCTTGGGTAACTCATCTATGGTGATACTGCTAAGAAGTGGCAGAGCTGGGACTTGAACCCCAATATTGTGGCTTCAGGGTCGAGGCTCTTAACCATAATATGTGCATCCTGCTCTTTCTGAACCCTGTCACCAGGTCACCAGAGATAAGAGCTCATGTCCAACAGCTTCAGCTAAAAGGGAGGTATTGGCTCTGTGCTTGGAAGGTTTGGGGGGGCCTGGCCCTAGGGTTCTGGGGGTCCAGGTGATGTCAATAGACCAGCCATTCATGCAGCCTCTCTCTGTCTCTGCTCTGCTTCCATCTGTAAGCCAGCTTGTGTCTGTTCCGTGACCACAGGGGCCAGCTCCCAGAACTGGCTGCCCCACCAGACCCACAGGTTGTGGAGAAGGGCCAGCTTGGCACAGGGAGGGGGTGTCACAACCAGAAGAAGGGGGCAGAGGTGCCAGGCAGACAAAGATAACAGATGGAGACTTCGAGCTCCTGCCCCTGCAGGGGGTTTATACCTTTTAATAGCCCTCACTACAACCTAGAAGCTCCCATTTATAAATGAGGAAACGGAGGCACAAAGTAACTTGTCAAGGGTCCCACAGCTTGAAGTGGCACCAGCGGCATGCAAGCCCAGGGCTGCCTGATTCTGGACTCCATGCTGCCTGGAGCTTCTCAGACGGAGGCCCTGGGGGTCATATTGCATGGCTCACCTTGGCTTCCCCAAGACCTCAGGGCAGTTCTGTGGTTAGAGGACACAGGCCGAGAGGCACCTGGAGGGAGGGAGGCCAGGCCTCACCAGGGCCAGTGGCCAGGCTGGAGGGAATCACTGGTTGAATGGTGCTCAGGGTCCTGGAGCTGGTGGAGGTGGGTTCCCTGCCCTCCCCTGGCCCTGCATGGCCCCCAGGGCTGTGAGTCTGGGGACTGGGCACCTCCCCTGGGCCTCTGGCAGGGAGCGAGCAGTGCCTGAGGCAGGAGGCAGGCAGGCATGGCGTGGTCCCTGCCCATCTGGGGAGTGCTTGGTGGCTGGCTGGAACTGAGCAGTGGACGGCGTTTGGACTCAGCAGCGTGAGCCCAGCTCGGAGGCTGCGAGGCAGAGCCGTGAACGCCAACAGTCTGGAGGCAGGCTCCGGAGGGAGACAGGCTCGGGCCCATTCGCTGAGCTTGGTTCCCACGACAGCTCAGCAGACAGATGGACCTGGGAATCCTCACTGCCTGGCCAGGAGGGCGCACACATGAATGGAAATGCAGGCACCCCGGTGGGGAGGGACAGGCTGGAGGTTCCCAGGGAGGGCCAGGGGGGCGAGCCAAGGAGCAGGAGCTATGGCCTGGGCTAAGCGGTTAGATAAACCAGTTGGGTGTGCTGTGCTTCTTGGTTAGACTGATCCCTGGGCCTCGGCCCAGGTATAGCCCTGACCTTGACCTCAGGCTTTGCCTTGATTCCAGCCTCAATCTGAATCCTGAACTGGAACCCAGACTGAGCTGTGACTCTGGCCTCTGCTCAACTGGGCCGGGACCTTGGTCTTAGACTGAGCAGACTGAGCCCTGACCATGACCCCAGATTGAGCCCTGATCATCAAATCCATTTGCCTATGTCCTTCTCTGAAAGCAGCCCAGAGCCGACTGCCCACAATACTCACCAGTAGGGGTGGGTAAAAGGTGAGGGCCGGGCCCAGGTGGTACTGACAGCCTCTGGATGGCACAGGAGAGCAAGAGCAGAATTGACTTAGAGTGGTGGTGGGGTCGAAGGGTGGCATAACTGACCAGGAAGAGAAGACTCGCCTGCTGGGATGGAGACCAGAGGGCAGTGTCCCCTGCCCACCTTGAGCAGGTCCAAAATTCAGGCTGAGGAGGACAGAGCCCAGGTGGGTGGGCTTATGGGGTCCCAGGAGGCAGGAGGCAGGAGGCACTTGAGAATGAAGCAGGAAAGGCAGGACTGCCCGCCGGAGCCAGGGAGAGGACAGTGCGAGTGCAGTTGTGACCAGAGCTGGGGCCTGGGGAGGAACCCTCTTCCCAGGACCAGAGTCACCTGGAGCTCGGAAATCAGCAGCACCTAAGAAAGACAGGCAGGCAGAGGCCCAGCAAGGAGATGAACGCAGATCATTTGGGAATGAGCCAGCCAGGAATGACTTTGGTTAGGGGCTGGTGGTGATGATGGAAGGTGTGGAGTATTAGAGGGCACTCCCTGTTCTTGGTACTTCCAACTATGATCTGATCTAGTCCTCCTAACAGTTTAGTGAGATCTTGCAGCAGCGGCCCTGGATGCCCCAGTCTCCAACTTCCCCTGGGCACTCACTGCCCCATACCTGCCATGACTCTTCCTTAGGGTTCCTCTGGCTGCCAGAGTGTGCTTCCCTGGCACTGGAAGTGTATGTGTAGGGGGGTAGGTGTTAGGGCCCCTGGGAACAGTCAGCAATGGACTGGGGTGGAAGCATAAAGAGTCCAGCTTCCTCTCCTTCAAAGGAGACAGCTCTGAGGTCAGTTCTACGCTATGTCCTAGACCAGAGGCTGGGGAAGTTTGTTGGCAAAGGGCCAGAGAGTCAATATTTTAGGCTTGGAGGACCATATGGTGTCTGTTGCAACCATTTAACTCTGTCATTGTGGCAGAAAATCAGCCACAGATAATACAGACATGAGTGGGCATGGCTGTGTTCCAATAAAACTTTATTTACAAATTCAGGAGGCAGGCCTGATTTGGCCTGTGGGCTGTAGTTTGCCAACCCTTGAGATGGCCCCAGTAGGCCTGGGTCCAGCGTGGTCACCAGCTCATTCACGCGCCTTTCATTGCTCTCCTCCCCTTCCCAGTCTCACTTCTCCACTCCCTACTGGAACTTCCAGGATCTCTTCTTAAATAAATGACTTGATCTTGAATTCTTGTCTCTAGGTCTGCTTCAGGGGACCCCCAATCTAAGACAGATATCCCCAATTTCACATGAAGAGACTGAGGCAGCTGGAGGCAAAGCAGCTTGTACAAGACCCCACAAGAAGAGGAGGAGTTGCTTTCTTGAACTGCTGTGGTTTTACCCACAGTCACCGGACCGTGCTGCCGCCCTGGTGGGAGGATGTGTCTGCCTGCACAGGTTGAACAATCTCAAGACACCTTGCTGGAATTGGCAGAACATTGAGCTCATTCGGTCACTACCAGGGCTATCAGGCACAGAGGATGAGGCAGTCCTGCCCTGCCCTCTAGAACCGAAAGTCTGGACAGGGAGTGGCAGTTAAATGTGGGGCAGAATGAGATCAATGTCTCCAAGGGGTAACCCTGTCATCCTCTCCCTTGGATCTTCTCTGGGAGAGCTGCAGGACATGAGCGATCACTCTTTCTTTTCAGATGGGTAAACTGAGGCTCAGAGAGGAGATGGACTTGCCCCAGGCCACACGGCTTATACCTGGCAGAACTGAGTCTGTCCCAGGGCTCTTTGAGCACCTGGGGATGCAGAAGCTGGCGGGGTGGGAGGTGGCGGGGACTGTGGAAGGCTTCGTGGCTCTCATGGGCACTCCAGCTCACTGTCTTTACTGCCACAGCCACTGCTTCTACATTTGCTATCTCATTGGATCATGGCGCCTTGAACAAAAGTGTCCTTACTCATTATCTAATTGAACTCCCATTTTACAGGTGGGAAAATTAAGACCCAGAGAAGGAACTTCCCAGAGAGCTATCCAGTGAGCCAAGTCAGAGTTAGGAGCAGGAGCCTCAAATTCCCAGGAAAGCAGCACGGTCCTCGAGTTCCCCCAAAAGCCAGACGGCATCTTTGACACCTGACTCCCAGGGGCCAGTCCTGGAGAGGACACCTGGCCTGGAGCCAACCTTCCTCTCCTCGCTGCCAAAGCTCTGCTCTCTGGGTTCTGGCACTGTCTGAAAATTCCTCCGTTGGTCTGCTCTCGGCAGAGCATAGATTATCACTCTTGTGCTAATTATTTTTATGATTAAAAGATGATAAATTATTAAACAAAGTCTGAAAAATGTGCCAAGATCTGCTCTGAGGCTGGGCCTGAGAAGTTGCCCCCTTGGCGTCCACGTTAATTAATAAATGAGACTCTCCGTGGAGAGGAGCCACAGCTGGTATATCTGGCAGCCAGGCAGGAGCTGGCGGAGGCCAGATGCCATGCAGGTGGGGAGGAAGGGACTCCCTGGGAGTGCCCAGCCTGGGATTTGGTAACAGAGTCCCCTCCCTCTCTGCTCCCAGCCTAGGACTCAGCGGAGAGCCCCTTGGTACCATCCGAACATCTGGCCTCTGGAAGAGGCCTAGGATTTCAAGCTGAGAAGCTCCAGCTGATACTTTAATGCTGTTCCCCTCTCCAAATGCAGACTTGGGAGCACCCCAAGTGTCTAAAGGAAGGCCGGAGACCAGGATTCAAATCTCTGCGAGCCCATTTCTCCTTGGGTAACTTTTGGGTAGGTCACTCAATGAGACGCCAAGCCTCAGTTTCCTCATCTGTAAAATGGGTAGAAATGACATCTATTTTTGCAAGGGTATTGAGAGTGTTAAATAGGATAATGTCTATCAAGAGCACTCAGCTCCCAGCAGATGGTCAAAAAATGTTAGTTGGGCTGACTTGAAGCTTGGGTTTTTTGCTGTGCTGCCATAACTAGCTGTGAAACATTGGTCAGGCAGATTTACCTTTCTGAGCCTCAGTTTCTTTATCTGTAAAATGGGAATGAGAACTCCCAAATCTTAGGATCAAAGGGAAAACTATATGTGAAGTGTCTAACAAAGAGTAAGTACTCAATTAATGGTGGCTATTTTATCATAATTGTTTATTACAGCGCCAACACACTGAAGTTTCAACAAGTGGGTATTCCTCCTTCACCATGGGCACTTCTTCCTGCATCCTTTGCTGGTTCTCCTCCCTCCCCACCTTACTCCTTGCAGCGCCCTGGGCTCAGGCCTCCATGTCTTTCTTCCTTACACTCTCTCCCTTGTGAGCTCATCCATCTGTATGCTGATGGCTTCCACATTTCTAATGCTAGCCTCGACCCTCTTCCCAGAACTCCAGACTCCTACAAGCAGTTGCCCATTCAAACTCTCCCCTTGGGTGTTTAATAGATATATCAGATCTAATATGTCTAATAATGCATCTCAAATGGAATTCCTCATCTTCCCCTCTGCAAACCTGTTCCCCACCGCCCCTACAGTCTTCCCCACTTGGTTAATGATGGCTCCATCCTTCTGGTGACACCTTGGAGTCATCCTTGATTCTGCTATTTCTTTCACTTCAAATACCTAAACCATCAGGAAACCCGGACAGCTCCACCTTCCACCTCTGTTAGAACCTCAGCACCTAGCCATCCCCCATCACCTCCCCCACTCCCACCACCCTAGCATAAGGCACCATCACATCTTACCTGGACTCTTGCAGTAGCCTACTAATTGCTGTCCCTGCTGCGGTACTTGACCCCTATAGTAATGCTCTACATAGCTGCCAGGATGATCCCTTTAAAACACAAACACTAGACCCAGTCACACCTGCTTATAATCCTCCAAGAGGCAAAGTCTTTGCCAAGGCCACAAGGCCCTGTACTACCTGAACCTCCCCGCTTGCTAAGACCTCCCTCTCTTACTCTGTGCCAGCCACGCCTACCTTGGTGCTTTCCGTGAACACACCAGGGGCACACTCCCACCTTGGATCTTCATACTGGCTGTTCACTCTTCTCATTCCTCACCTCCCTCAGACCTCTGCTCAGAGGTCACCTTTGCTGTGAGGCTTACCTTGACTGTCCCATTTAAAAGTGCACCCCGACATTCTGCATGGTGGCTTCCCTCTTCCATTGTGCATGTCCTCTTCTTACATACTGGAGTTTCTTGAGCCTTGTGTTTGCTGTCTTCTCCCTCCAGCATTATCCGTTTTGTGCCCTGCAGCATTCCCACAGCAACCAGCACAGCCCTTGTGTGGTGGAGGTGCCGGGCATACTGAGATGCATCTGTCAGCATCTGCCTCCTGGTACCTTGGGCCTGCATGTCTGGCAGGCAGGTAGAAGAACACGCTGGCCATTTCAATGTTAAGACAAAGAGGTAGAGAAGGCTGGATGAAGGAGGTGATGACTGAACCATATCCTGAGGCAGCTGGGGTTTCCAGGAAGAGGACAGAGAGAAGGACATTCAGGTGGAGGAGCCAGCAGGTGCGAAGGCTCGGCAGCTCAGAAGCATGCTCTGAGAATGGCAGGTTGTCAATGGCAACCCGGGAAGGGGATGGGGGAGATAAGCTGGAGAGGAGGCAGGTGCCTGGGGTGGGGTGCAGAGGGAGGCCAGCTCAGATCTCCTGATTCTGCCTGGTCCTCCACCCTCTGCATAAGCAGATGGGGCACATGCCCACCCTCGTGATTTCCCAAAGGATACACAGTAGTTTAATTGCCAGAAACAGGATATTAGCAAAATAACCATATTTCATTGTGTCTGGGATGCACAACTATTTTCTACACCACTCAGAAACACTGCCGGCTAATGTGTGCCATGGCATGAAGACCCATGTGAAAGCATGTGCATCTTTCCAGTTGTGGCTTATATGGTAATAGGTAGTATTGCCTAGCACTGTAAAAGGACTTCAGATATATTATCTCACTGCATTCTTGCACCAACAATGGGTACCTATGAGACAAATAAATTAGTTCCCCATTTTACAGATGTGACAACCAGTGCACAGAGAGATTAACTAACTTGCCGTCCAGTGGGCATGTGGTGGAGCCCAGGGTGAAACCCAGGCAGTCTCTAAAGCATTGCCTTCCAACATGCAATGGAGTGTGAAATGCGGAAGCCATGGGGAAGCACAGGAAATCGGCCATGTAAGATAGGAAGCAATGGTTCGATTTATTCAGTGGTGACGTCCACCACAGCTGCATTCCAGTAATCTGCACCCCTCATCCCAACATCCTCACCCTGCTCTGCCTGTGTTGGACAACTCGTCTTCTTGACCGGAGGTGATCTCCCACAGTGAGGTAGCCCTACCCTTTTGTTTCAGCTCTTGGAAAACCCCAAACCTCAAGGCCATACACTCCTTGTGGCCAAGTGAGCATCTTGGCAACTTCCCGGCTTTTCCAAAGAGAACTAACTCCTGCTGGGGGCCCCCCAAGTCACCCCTCATGGCCCTTACTTCTAGTGCTCTGGAAATGGCTGAAACCAATGGATTAACTTGCTTTCCCTATTAAATATTTACATAAACACGCTCGGGAAGGTGTGTGTAAGTTATCAATAATGCAAGGCCAGCCTAGGCTCGGTGAGAGCTAAGAGACCCAAATTGTATCATCATAATCCATTATTCACATATAATGCGTCTATTCTCCTCCATTAGCGCAGGCAGGAAATGCCCCTGAGTGCCGGGCAGGGCTTTGGAAAGCGCAATAAATGGCGGACAGACACATGGCGGGAGGGCGGCAGCTGTAGTTAAACAAGTGTAAATTAGCGCCCAGCCTCGCTCCCTGCCTGCAGCCAGAGCGGCGGGCACAGGCCTGGCAGGGAGGGGTTACAGGATGTGGGGAACTCGCTATCAATCTAGACAGCCCTCATGGCCTCCCTGGAAACCCTTCCGGAGGAGCCCTCCAGCTGGCCGCGTGGGAGACCACGCCTCAGAGAGCACAGGCTTCTGCTCTGCAGGCCTTGGCTGGAATCTCAGCTGCACCACTGAGTGGTGACCTGGGGCGAGAGGGTGGAGGGGGCTGCTGCGCAAGCTGCCCCCACACTGAGCTCCGAGCCCCATCTGTAATACAGGGATGAGAATCACCGTCTCACAAGGTTGTTGCGTGAAGGAAATAAAATGAGAAAGGAGAAGTTCCCAGCATACGGCACACGGGAGGCCCTTAGAGAATGAAAGAACACTCCTCTCCCTCCTCCCGCTAGGCGGTTTCAGACTTAGGAATAAAACGGGAGAAGCTTTGCACCGTACCCAAATGGATGTGGTGCAAAGGCAATGCGAGGTAAAGACAGAAGTGGCTTTATGTTGTCCTCTCGTCAGCTTTGCTGTCCCTGCAGGAGGCTCCTCTCCTCTGGACCCCACCCGAGTGCCCGGTGCTGCGGTCCGTCTCCTGGGCTCAGCAAGCACACTCACCATCGCCACCCCGTCTCCAGGACTTCTTCAGCCCTTAGTCCGTCCACACCCTCTTCTCAGCACTACCGTATTCCCCTGGGAGGCAGGTCCTGCACAGAGACGAGCACATCTGCTGTTGAAACGACCCCAGACCAAACGAAAGTTTTTGATTACCCGTGAACTGGAAGGTGGACTTTTGGTATAAAGAGCACCAGACTGGGAGTTGGGAGAGCTGAGTTCTTATCTCTGTCACCGCTGATGCTCTGTGGTTTGCGGAGAGTCCCATGGCCTCTGGACCTCAGTCTGCCTACCTGTAAGAGTAAGGGAATTAATCAAATGATTTGATGATCACGCATGACTTAGTGAATGTGAAGTGCTAGGTGTGTCTCAGGACCCTTCCTGGCTCCAGAACCCTCAGGATCAGAGGCATCATGAGATTCTAGAATCAATATTCTGGTTCAAGTCATTGCTTTGTCTTGTCTCCACAGCTACAGCTGGATTTTTTCTAGCACCGAAGCTGTGTCGTGGTACAGAGACCCAGTGCCCTGGTGTCAGGTGGATGGGCATGAGCTTGATTCACCTTTTACAGAGGAATCACATTAGCAGCCCCTCCTTACCCCTCCCCTCCCACTGTAAGGGGTCATGAGCCCAATGCCTAAGGGCATGGCAGTGATGGCTGTTCAGTGGAGGCCACAAAATAAAATGTGAATTTGGAAAGGCAGGGAGCAGATGACCAGGTTTTGTACTTTTCGGACAATGGTGTCCACATGTGGGCGGTTTGTCTGGGCCAGACCAGTTCTTGGCTCTGATGCCACCTCCTCAGAGAGGCCCTCCCTGCCCTATCTAAGAGCCGCCCCACTACTCTCTTTCCCCCATCCATTTTATTTTTCTTCCCATCACTACCTGACATTTTATTGTGTACCTACTAGTTTTCTTGCTCATTGTGTGTTTCCTCGACTGGAATGTTGGCTCCATAAGGACAGGTATCTTGTCCGTCTTGTTCTCTGCTGTTCCCCTGAGGCCTGGCCCCTAGTAGAAATTCGATACGTACTGAATGAATGAATGATTGTAGATTCAAATTTAGCACACATATATTGAGCACCTACTCTAGGCCCATCACTGTGCAGGTGCTTTTACATATGTTACACATTTAATCGGCTTAACAATGACATCTATTCATATATATTAAGACCAGTGGGCACTAACATTAAATTTCAATTAAGTGAGCCTGGTAGGAATGCTTCACATCTCCTCCCCTGCTTCATGTGTGCCAGGGGGCTAATCATGATTGAAAGGCTGAAGCAGTTGAATGATGTTGTGTTCCTATGTCCTGATGCCTTCTCCCAGGCTTTCCTTTTTTTTTTTTTTTTTGAGATGGAGTCTCTCTCTGTCGCCCAGGCTGGAGTGCAATGGTATGATCTTGGCTCATCGCAACCTCCGCTTCCTGGGTTCAAGCGATTCTCCTGCCTCAGCCTCCTGAGTAGCTGGGATTATAGGCATGCGGCACCACACCAGGCTAATTTTGTATTTTTAGTAGAGACGGGGTTTCTCCATGTTGGTCAGGCTGATCTCAAACTTCCGACCTGCTTCGGTGATCTGCCTGCTTTGGTCTCCCAAAGTCCTGGGATTACAGGCATGAACCACCGCACCCAGCCTAAACTTTCCTTCTTGTCCTTCCTTCAGTTCAGCTCATCTGCTCTCAAACTCAAGGGTGTTTAGGTAAAAATGACTGTACTAGGTTATATACAAAGAAAGCCAGGGAGCCGATTTCAAGGAATTGAAGAGAAATTTGAACTCTATGCAACTTTTGCCTGATGTACCAATTTTGGAATCAAATGCTCATATGCTATATAAGATTACTGTACTAGCTGCGTGGCTTTGGGCAAGTTACTAACCCTCCTTGAGCCTCAGCTTCCTTATCTGTATATGAAGATATTAATAGCTACCTTACAGAGTATATAAGATCTGCATATGATCTGTATATGATAAGCAATAGGTGGGTTTGAATCCTACTTTCAGCGCTAACTAGCCATGTGACCTTAGACAAGTTTACGTAATCCTTCTGTTCCTCAGTTTCCTCATCTGTTACATGGGTGATATTAATAGGGTGTACCTTTTGATTGGGCTGGACCCTGTTTGCATTCTGCCCTGAAGGAGAGCGGGGCTGTGGGTCAAAGCTGCCCTAATTATAGGTGCAGCATCCGGAGCAAGGTGTTGCTTGGCTCTGCACTGCTGGCAGGTGTGGAAGTCCTTGCCCCATGGGTGAATTCCAGCGCAGTTACTGCCTGTGGGGCAGTAGTTGGCAGGTGGCAAAAGAAAAACTTTAAGAGAACACAGATGGTCACACTTGACAAAAAATGTTCTAGCAACCTCACCTACTGAAATCTCCAAATGTTCTCCAGTCCTGGGTACTTTAAACATACACTGGCCCTAATCAGTCAGCATTATTATAGTCCTTCGTTCATTTAACAAATAGGTATTGAGTGCTATTATGTGACAGGCACTGTACTAGGGAGTGAGAAAACAAGTCAGGCACAGTCTTCATCCTCATGGAGCATGCAATTTGGTGGCCATAGTGATAAAAAAAAAATAACAAGAATAATAAGAAGATGGCATCCATTTATAACATGCCCAGAGCCTGGGCTATGTGCTTTCATATAGCACCTTATTTAATCCTCACAACATTCCTATGAGGCTCATCTTAATATCCTCATTTTATAAATGAGGTACCTAAAGCCCAGAGAGGTGATGCGACTTCTGCAAGGTCCCAGAATTAGCAAGTGGTAGTCGAGACACTGGAATCCAGATCCATCTATTTCCACAGTGTTACTGTCACCTTTTCCTCTGAAGTAGCTTCCAAAAAGGGAGAGTCTCCTGGGCTACCTGGGACCTTCCAGAGGAAGGAAGGGCCTGGTGAGGACAGGAGAAAACAGTTGATCCTGAAATCCCTGCTCAGTGCTGAAGTGTGGAGACTGTCCTGCCGTAGATTGCAGGAACCCTATATGGGGCGAGCAGTAATAAGTCCCAGCTCAGTGTGCGGGTGGAGATGCCCGTGAGGAAGGGCCAGCCACAGGCTTGCTTGGGCAGTGGCCCAAGCTGGTGGTGTGACATCTTTACTGTCTGATTATTTATAGAGTCCCTGGGACAGCAGGCATCCAAGGCAGCTCAGAGGTTATGGGCTTGGGGACCAGGAGAAATAAATAGCCTTCAAAAACCCCAGCCTGGTGGGGGAAGATATGGAGCCAGGATGAGATGTCTGCCCCGCAGTCTGGTGGGGGCTATATGAGGAGAGGAAGGACTGGGGTCCCTGGAGCCTGCAGGGACCATGCTGGGGGACAGCTGGGGGACAGGCCAGACATATCTCTCCCTTGGCCACTGGGCTGGGGGAGACCTGAGAGCCTCAGCCCTGTGATGGAGGCAGTGATCTCACTGGGGAGGGCCTGGGGCCTGGGGCCTCGGACTCAGGTCATCATGCTAGCCTCTTGAGAGTGGCAAGGAGTCCAGAGCAGGGGCAGGAGCCTCAGGCTGTTGATTCTGCAGGAGGTCACTGTTCTATCAGAGTTCTATCAGAGAAGCAGAACGTGTGTGATCCGAGGGCTTTATGCTCGGGGCAAGGCTTTTCCTGATCATGGGAGCTGCTAGGCAGCGGTGTCAGCCTGTATTCACGTGTCTGCTCCAGACCTGGAGTCAGCAGGGCTGGCGGTCAGCAAGAGAAGATGGACAGGAAGAGGAAGTGAGCAAGGACAAGGCAGAACCCAAAAGAATGGCCTGAACACAAAAGGAGGAGCGTCACCAGTTGAGGGCTTGCTGGGATGGCATCTGCTTCTCACTGGCACCTGGGTGGCCTCCCACTGCCTCTAAGCCTCCAACTGATGATATGGGTGATCTGCAGAAGAACTAGCCCGCTTCACCACAAAGCTGCACACAAGCCAGGCCCCGAGTTTGGAGAAGCTGAAAGAGGAGATCGATCTGGGGTTGCCACCCCAAGATCGCAAGCTAACAAGGTGAGCCAGCAGGTGGGCTGCACACGCATGAGCTGAGAATCACCCAAACCCACATAGACCTTGAGTGCAAATGAAGCTGCTGCTCCACTTCTGCCTTCCAAATCTCACACAAATTTCTCTTGTGGCCACCCCTAACCCAGAACTGTGCAGGAAATTCTGGGACATGTAGTTCCAGCTTTGCTAAGTTGACACAGGACAAAGCGTGCACATTCACTGTGTGACTTTGACCAAGTCCTTGACCCTCTCTGAGCCTCAGTTTCACCATCAGTAAAATGTGGGATGGACTCCTCAGTGGTTCCTCTTTTAATGTAAAAAACAAAAACAACAAACAAACAACAACAACACAACCCCAAACCCCAAAACTACAAAAACAAAACAAAAAAGAGGCGGAGACATGGATTTCCTCATCTCTCCTTTGTGTGCAAATGAAAGCGAGGTCTCCTCTAAATAAACCTGCAAATCCCCAGGAGGCTGAGGCCCCAGGTGGGAAGCACCTGGGATAGATCATTTGCAGATCCCTCCTCCTTCGGACAGATAGAATACAAGGCTGAACTTAAGGGCAAGACCTGAGCTCTAGCATTGCTGCTGGATGACAAAGCAAGGTGGTAAGCCTCTCTGAGCCCAGCTTCTTTCCCTCTGTGATAAGAACAATTCTTTTACCTTTCAGGGGTCCATCACATAGATGTCAGATGCTGGGGTAGGGCTCAGAGTGTATAACAGGCTTCTTAGATGGTGACTTAAGATCAGCTTTGTGGAAACCACTGTGCTGTCTGAGGACAGGGAGACAGTGAATTCTAGGACTCCTCCTCAGTGGAGCTCTCTGGACTGTGGGGAGACCATTAACTAATGGTATGGAAACCATTTAAACAAAAGACTGTGGGGCTTCAGGGGAGAGGGAGACAGATTCTGCCTGAGAAGGCTTGTTGGGGAGAGAGTATTTGAACTGGGCCTTGATGAATGGATATAGCGGTGGTTAGCCCAAATGGAGGGAAAGGGTGGTTTAGGAAGAGGGAAGGGCTGGGCAAAGCCTGCAGTTGGGTGCATGCAGCGTGTATCTGGGGACTGGCAAGGACTGTGGTGTCGTGGAACAGAGAATGTGCAGGCAGGAAGAGGAAGGGTAGGGTGGAGAAGGAGCTGAGGATTAGCTTGTAGAGTCTTGGGTGCAAGCTAAAGAGTTCATCCCAGCATTAGCCAGTGCAAGAGGCTCAAGTGTGCAACACTAGAGTCGCCCCAAATGGGACACCAGGGGTCCCCACATCTTCCAGGCCTTTGGGGTAATTCCTTCACATTTGAAAGAGGTAACTCAAGCCCTTTCCACACAGTGGAAGCCCCTAAGTATTCTCAAGGGAGGCTTCCCATCCTTTTCTCAGTCTTCACTGCAGCTGGCTGCCCAGCTCCCTTCTGGATCCTGTAGCACCTGTCCTCACTTGCTGATCTCTTCACTCCAAGCTGGACCCTACCTGATTTCCTCTGCTCGGGGAGTCCACTGGTCCAGGGATGTTGGGTTGAGTAGACTTTTATCAATGGTTTATAGGACAGTGGTGGGGCATTCAGTACCCTCCAGCAGACTCGTGCCATGGGATGAGTATTTATATCACGGAAATCAGCAAATGCTGCACATCAAGGTCTTTCAGCCCCTTCCCTAGAGTTGGTTCTTCAACCCCCACCAGAACACCATTGATTATGCGCAGTTCAAATCACATTTCTTAAGTGAAGATCCTATATCCGGGCCCTATATAAAAACCCCTCAGCCAAAACCCATGCTGGGGAAGTTCCTGCTGTTGGAATTCTTTCATAGGACCCTAAGTTTTCTGCCATATTGCTGGTATTCTCTTTCCATAAACTCCCCACACATCCATTTCTCCCAGATCTTTCAGGAAACTCCACATTCTACACACAATTCAACCCTCTCTTAGTTTTGCCGTCTCTTTCCAGACCACTTCCTAGAGTGGACACTTTATATTTACACCCTCAGGGGCTCGCCAAGTTATTTTTTTTTCTATAGGAAGGAAGTTGCAGATAGGAGAGCTTTAAACAGATTTGTTTTCCCTTCCGCTATGCGAGTCAGCTAAGTTGGATTCAAAAGGTGGTTCTGCAGATACTAAAAGTGATAATTGGGATGCCTGAAACAACGTGGAAAACACTTGTAGGTCACATGCTCAGATCTGCACTCTCACTTCTGGGAATCAATTCTACAGAAACATTTGCACAGATGTATGTATAGGGATGTATGGTGGCACGGTGTGTGATAAACATTGGAAATATTCTAATCGCCTGGCAATGAGGGATAAGTGAAATAAGCAATGGAATGTATAAAGTAGACCAAAAGGTAGAAGTGGGTCTCTGTATATACTGACATGAAATATTTTCACAACATTTTTACAGAAAAAAGTTGCAAAACATAATTTTTTTTTTTTTTGGTAAAAATGTCTTAAAGTATACATATATGTGTGTGTGTGTGTGTGTGTGTGTTTATAGATACAGAAAAATGTCTGGAGGATGAGCCTTAAACTGTTAATAGTGGCAATCTTAAGGAATGGGTGTCTATTGGGGAGGGGCAATGTTCCCTTTTTTATATCATATATTTCTGCATAGTTTGCATTTGTTACCATAAGCATATATTGCTTATGTAATGTTTTTAAAACCAATGATTTTTACAAAGAGAAAATGCTTCAAACACAATGCCAAATATAGATGGTAGGATGCAAAATTGCTTACATATGGTGGTTACAACTCTACAGAAACTCGCGTCTGCGTGGACAGGAATGGAATGAGGAGCATCCCACAAGAAGTGACTGGTGGTTAGGGCGGGGTCCGGGGAGAATTCTTTTTCCTCTTTCAGAAGGCTGGGTAGGGCTGAGATCTGGGACATCTCAAATTCCTCCCAGCACCTTCCTTCATTCCACTCCTGGCCCATGTTCCCGTCACTTACAAGTGGCAGTGGGTATCAACTATTCAATTATTTTTAAATAGTCGAGTGTAGGTCTGGATTGAATAAATCACATTGATGCCAATTTCCAGGGAAGTCCTTTCATATTTTATGATTCACTCCCCACCGTTCCCCCTTTCCTTCCTTGTGCTCCTCCTAATGAACCAGGAGACTGTGCATACTGTTCAGATGTCCCCACTGCTAACCCTCAAATGGAAATGCAGCAGCTGAAAACATCGTGGTTCTGGGTTTTTTTTTTTTTTTTCCTTTTCCTCCTCACAGTCCTGGGAAATTGATATGCAGGCAGGATTATGTTTTGTTTAAAGCTCAGTCCTGGCATCTGAAAGAATACATTACCCAAATTGGTGCATGTGGTTGAAATTCTGCAAAACTCAGTTATGTCACAAGTGGCTTGCCAATGAGGGGTCCAGCCGGGTCTCAGGCAGCATAAATGCCCTGTATCAGAGAGAGTGTAACAGTGGAAAACCATCCACTGAGGAATATTCCTGAAGTCAATAATTTATCTGCTGCTGGTGGAAGGCAGGCCTACCAGGCACCTCTGCCACCGCCATGATCACCCAATATGCCACCAACTCCCAGTCCTGGGGATGAACGCTGCTTTCTTCCTTTCCAGTTCTTTTAAGATTAGAATTTGTTCAAAGAACTGATTGCACATAAACACAGAGACTAGAGGGTTTTTTTTCCTTCTCTTTTCATTTTGTAAAATGGTCGTAAAAGAAAAACAAGTCCGTTTGGAATTTAGAATTCTGAAACTGCAAGAGAAAGAACTGGACTTCACTACGTGTGCTTTGGGGTCTGCACTGCTCCTGAATCTTGTCCGTGACTAGGGCACACAGGGAGCGACTCATTGGCGATAATTTGGGAGTCACTGTGGACCCACTTGCTCTTTAAATGTTGGAGTTTTAATGATTTAGGAACCAAAAGAATAACTAAGGAGCCCAGCAGTCATTACCTCAAATAATGAGACTTTTTAATGCAAAATCAATGTTTGTTATAATGAAAATAGATTCCTCAGCTCCTGCAGGGCCAAATGTACAAATCTTTTCTGCTGTTAAATAAAATGTGATGGCTCATTTTCAGGAGGATGGTGAGCATTTTTATTCAAGAGTAAAAATAAAATGTCAGAACTTATTTACTTCTATTAAGTGCTCATTCTCAATCAGATACTCTAATCAATATCTAATTGGAGGCAAGGAACGGAAAATAATTTTTATGCCAACTTGGGAGAAGGGAAGGAAGGGAGAAGGCAGGCAAGAGAAAGCCATATAGCACATGTTCAGTTATAATAAGGGCAAATACCTATTGAGCAGATGCATAGTGCCAGGACTGTGCTAGGTGCATTACCTGTGTTATATCATCACACTGTCACAATAGTCTGGTGAAGATCGGTACCATTGTGGCTCCCATTTACAGGTGACAAAACTGAGGCTCAGAGAATCTACCTTCTCATGTTTATTATGTGGTGGAGCCAGGATGGAAAACCAGGTCTGTCTGACCTCTCAGCCCTGGCTGCCAATTACTCTATTTATCTGCCCCCTCCATCCTTCTAAAAAACAAGTCTTTTATTTTATAAAAAAAAGTGAGTCATTCTTGAGATTACCCATAGCAGAAGTTTTACTCCTATGAACACTGAAACTGTAAACTTAAAATAGTTTTGGAGGGTAAAGGTTTTTCTTAAATATATTACATACTTCTCTGTCTTGGGAAGCAGTACATGGAGTGACTTTGTTTTAGTGACTCAGAACTGGTTTCCAGACTTACCTCTGTGATGTGAGGAATCTATCGTCTAACGGTGAGAAGTGAGTTGAAATCCTAGCTCTGAAGTCTGTTACTGAGTGCCTTAGGCAAGTTTCTCTACTCCCTTTGTGAAAGGTTGGATCTCTTAATATCCTATGATTTTAAGTTACAGGAAGGTAGATGACATCAATTTAAAGAAGAATCTTCTAAACGTTAGAGTTATCTGAAACTTGGCTGGGCTATCTCAGAAGGGAGAACACTCTCTATCCCTGGAGTTATTCCATCAAGACCAGCTGTGGTGATGATATAGCTGATAAGGCATTGGACTAGCTATCTCCTAGGGGCACCAGCAAACTTCTTCTATAAAGGGCCAGAAAGTAAGTGGTTTAGACTTTGCAGGCCACACAGTCTCAGTCCCAGCTACTCAACTCTACTGTTGTAGAGCAAAAGCAGACACAGGCAATACACAAACAAATGACTGTTGCAGTGTCTCATTAAAACTTTATTTATAAAAGCAGACAAATGGCCAGATATGGTGCAGGGGGCATAATTTACTAACTCCTATTCTAGGCTCTTCCAATGAGAAACTTTATGATTCTCTTCTTGTTCCTTATGTTATTGTGCTGGGCTGAGCACTGGCATGAGGGCCTGCCATAATCAATAATAATGAGTTAATTCTTACATAAATCTCACCATATGCCACATGCCTTCTTAGCTCTTTATTTATCTTTTAACTCCTTTAATCCTAACAATGATCCTGAAAAGTAGTGATATGGTTTGGCTGTGTCCCCACCCAAATCTCATCTTGAATTCCCATGTGTTGTGGGAGGGACCCTGTGGGAGGTAACTGAATCATGGCGGGGCAGGTCTTTCCCATGCTGTTCTTGTGATAGTGAATAAGTCTCATGAGATATGATGGTTTTATAAAAGGACGTTTCCCTGTACAAGCTCTCTTCTCTTGTCTGCTGCCATGTGAGATGTGCCTTTCACCTTCCACCATGATTGTGAGGACTCCCCAGCCATGTGGAACTGTAAATCCATTAAACCTCTTTTTCCTTAAAAACTACCCAGTCTCGGGTATGTCTTTATCAGGAGCATGAGAACGAACTAATACAAGTAGTGTTCTAGTTAGGGTTCTCCAGAGAAACAGGACCAATAGGCTATATACAGAGGTGTATAAGAGGAGATTTATTATGGGCATTGCCTCACGTGATTATGGAGGCCAAGGCGTCCCATGATCTGCTGTCTGCAAGCTGGAGCACCAGGAAAGCTGCTGGTGCATTCAGTCCAAGTCCGAAGGCCTGAGAAACAGGGGAGCCAGTGGTTTTGTAACCGCCCAGTGAGTTTACCTTGCCCACTGCCTAGACACAGCGGATTTCTCAAGGCAGGGGAATTGCAATAGAGATAGAGTAATTCACGCAGAGCTGGCTGTGCAGGAGATTGGAGTTTTACTATTACTCAAATCAGTCTCCTCGAGCATTTGGGGATCAGAGTTTTAAGGACCACTTGGTGGGTAGGGGGAAGCCAGTGAGCCAGGAGTACTGATTGGTTAGTTAGGAGATGAAATCATAGGGAATTGAAGCTGACCTCTTGCATTGAGTTGGTTCCTGGGTGTAGGCCACAAGAGCAGATGATCCAGTTTATCTATCTGGGTGGTGCCACCTGATCCATCAAGTGCAGGGTCTGCAAAATATCTCAAGCACTGGTTTCAGGAGCAGTTTAGGGAGGATCAGAATCTTGGCCTCCAGCTGCATGACTCCTAAACCATCATTTCTAATCTCGTGGCTAATTTGTTAGTCCTACAAAGGCAGTCTAGTCCCCAGGCAAGAAGGAGGTTTGTTTTGGGAAAGGGCTGTTATCATCTTTGTTTTAAACTATAAAGTATAAACTAAGTTCCTCCCAAAGTTAGTTCAGCCTGTGCCCAGGAAGGAACAAGGACAGCTTAAAGGTTAGAACCAAGATGAAGTCGGTTAGGTCAGATCTCTTTCACTGTCTCGGTCATAATTTTGCAAAGGCGGTTTCAATATAACTCTCAGTCTGAGGCTGAATGCCCGAGAACCACCAGTGTGTGTGTGTGTGTGTGTGTGTGTGTGTGTGTGTGTGTGTATGTGTGTGTATGTGTGTGTATGTGTGTGTATATGTGTGTGTGTATGTGTGTGTATATGTGTGTGTATGTGTGTGTGTATGTGTGTGTGTATATATATGTGTGTGTCTGTGTGTGTATGTGTATATGTATGTGTGTGTATATGTATGTGTGTGTATATGTATGCGTGTGTGTATGTGTGTGTATATGTATGTGTGTGTATATGTATGCGTGTGTGTATGTGTGTGTATATGTATGTGTGTGCCCTCTGTGTGTATGTGTCTGTGTGTGTATGTGTCTGTAAGTGTGTGTATGTGCGTGTATATGTGTATATGTGTGTGTATGTGTTCATGCGCATGCTTGTGTAAGTCCCGGAGTCTAAAGGCCTGAGAAACTGGAGTTCTGATGTCCAAAGGCAGGAGAACGTAAAGTGAGAGAGCAAATTTGCCCTTCCTCTGTCTATTTGTGTTCTGTTGGGGCCCTCATTGGGCTGTCCGCCCACACTGGTGAGGGTGGATCTTCTATACTCAGACCATTGATTCAAATCTAATCTGTTCCAGAAGCACCCTCACAGACACACCCAGAAAGAAGGTTTTACCAGCTGTCTGGTTCTTCCTTAGCCCAGTCAAGCTGACACATAAAATTAATCCATAATAATTAGGAACCAATATTATTATTATTCCCATTTTACAGATGAAGAAACTGAGGCACATGGCGGTTAAATAACTTGCACAGGTCCCTGCAACCAGTCAGAGGTGGAGCTGGGCTGCAAACCTAGGCAATGTGGTTCCAGGGTCTGTGCTCCCAACCCCTGTACTGACTTGCCGTTTATTGCATCACTTTGAGTAAATCACGGCTCCCCATAAAATGCAAATTCCACCCTTACAGCTTACCAGCTGAGTGAGCTTGGGCAAGTCACCTACCCTCTCTGAACTTTGGCTTCCTTGCCAGACAATGGGAATTGTGATTATTTATCACGTAGGGCTCTTCTGAGGTTGCCTGTGATTTGTGAAAGCATCTTATTTAGGTCCTGGAACTTAGCTGGCGTTCAGAGAATGCTAATTCCTGCCTCTCTCCCTTAGTGATTTCCAGAGAATCTAGGAATTGCTAAGAAACAAAGAGAGAGAGGGTCTTGCTCAAGCAATTGAAGTGACAAGTTCCCACTGCCTCCTGTAGGTTTTTTCTTTTAAAAAAAAAAACATTGGCCGGGCGCAGTGGCTCATGCCTGTAATCCCAGCACTTTGGGAGGCCGAGGCGAGTGGATCATGAGGTCAGGAGTTCAAGACCAGCCTGACCAACATGGTGAAACCCCGTCTTTACTAAAAATACAAAAATTAGCTGGGCATGGTGGCGCCTCAGGAGGCTGAGGCAGGAGAATGACTTGAACTCGGGAGGCAGAGGTTGCAGCGGGCCAAGATCGTGCCATTGCACTCCAGCCTGGGTGACAGAGCAAGACTCTGTCTCAAAAACAAAACAAAATAAAACAAAAAAACTGTAAGAGTTTGTTGTAAAACTGTGTTTTTCCTACAAGGAAGTGCTCTGGCCCTCACTGTGGGAGTGGCAGGCCTGAATTATTCCTGTCGTTTTAGCAGGTCTGCTCTCTGGGGGTGCTTTCTCTGAAAGGGATCTTGTGAGGTCTGAGCTGGGAACTCTGACCCCAGGTTCTGGTCAGTAAAGTCTCTAGCTGTGGTCACTCCAGTTCTGGACCAGAAAAACATGGAGACCAGCTCTTTGGCCATCACATCATGGGAAGAGAAATGTAAAGAACGTACACATGGTTTGGCTTGTTGTAATCACTCAGTCCAGGGTAGCTATTGCCTCTACTGAAATGTACCAAGTCCTCAATTTATGCCAGGGCCTGTGCTCAGTATTTTTCATACATTTTCTCATTTTAACCTCCCAACAATGTTATGAAGTTGTTACTATTATCCCTGCTTCACAGAGAAATCTGTATCTACGTATCTATGAGGGGGCATATGACTAGCTCGGGGTACTGGAAAGGCTTAAGTAATATTAAGCCATTTGCCCAAGATCATAAGTGGTGGAGACACAGTTCAGTCCTGGGAAGCCTGAGCCTACAGCCTGTGCCTTAACTCTGTTCCCTATATCTGTATGTCAGCAAATCCTGTTTGCTTCTACCTGCAAACCGTACTCTAAACCCAACTTCCTGCCACCCTCACGACTACCACCTTGGGCCAAGATTATAGCGATAGCCTGCCAACTAGTCCCATTGATTTTATTCTTGCACCCAAACCCCATTTATTCTCAAAATAGCAGTCCGTGTGGTCCTTTTCTTAAAAAATCAGCTGTATTGAGGTGTAATTTACATAAAATAAAATTCACCAGTTTGAAGTGTACAATTTAATGAGTTTTGACAAATGTAAACCTTCAAGTTCACACCACCACAATCAAGACAGGGAACATTTCCATGGCAGTGTGTTTTTTCAAAAAACTTTAAGTCAAAGCGTGTCACTCTTCTGCTCAACATTTTCTGAGGGTTCCCATTTCCCTTAAGTAAAAGTTGAAATTCTTGCAATGTCCTACAGGGCTGTGGCAAAGAAAAGGCTATGGGTTTACCAAGCCATGTCATTTTTTTCATGGGCACAAAGGAAGACCATATTTCCTATTGTCCTTGTATCTATGTGGGGCATATGAATAGCTGGGAAGTAGATAGTACTGGGAAGTAGATAGAAATGATGTCCATCCCTTCCAGGCCTGGGGCCTAAAATTTCTGGAGAGATCCCTGCTGTTTCTTTCCTCTATTTGTCAAATGAATATGGAAGACCCCATGGAGCACTTTGAGGCCTGGAGGATCTGAGAGTTTCTGAGCTGGGAACTGAGAAGAGATACCCTGTTAAGCCGCTGAGATTTTGGAGGACTTAGTGATGCAGCAGCTAGTGTTAACCCTGACCAAGGCTAAGGTCCTGCCCGCTCTAACCTCCGTCACCCTGGAACCTGTGAATGTTCCCTTATAAGGCAGAAGGGATTTCGCAGATTCGCATCTTGAGATGGGGAGATTATCCTAGATTATGTGGGAGGGCCCAACGTCAACACAAGCATCCTTATAAGAGGGAGGCAGAGGGAGATTTGACTACGGAAGAGAAGTCCATGTGATGACAGCAGCAGAAATTGTAACGATGTAGCCACAAACCAAGGCATGCCAGGGGATGCCAGCAGCCACTAGAGGCTGGAAAAGGCAAGGAGTGGCTTTTCCTCTGGAGTCTGCCGAGGGAACCTCGCTGATACCTGGATTTTAGCTCTGGAAGACTCATTTCAGACATCTGGCCTCCAGAGCTGTGAGAAAATACATTTCTGTTGTTTTAAGCCACTAAGTCTGTGGTAATTTTTTTACATCGGCAACAAGAAACTCACAGACTGCTTCATCTGTCTGAAATGCTTCTCCTGCAGATCTCTGAATGGCTGTCTCCCTTACCTCCTTTACTTTGCTCACATATTTGTCACTTTCTCAGCAAGGCTTCCTTAACTACCTTCCTTAACTATCTATTTAAGAGAGTACCCTGGGACTCCCTCTCCCCCTTCTCTATTTTTTCTTGTCTCCAGAGAACTTGCAACTGTCCGACATACCATATATTCTGCAGTTTTCTTTTGTTTACTTATTTCCTCCCTTCATTGGAAGGTAAGTTCCAGGACCCTAACCTGTTTTTTTCACTTGCTGTGTTCTCAAGAACAGAGCCTGGCACAGTCAGCTCACAGTAAATATTTGTGAAGGAGTGAGTAAATTAATGGATGGTCAAGAGGCCCCTTGGATGGAGGAATGCCTGGACTTGCAGAGCCAGCAGGTGCCTGGCCTTTTAGGGCCCTTTGGAGAAGTTTTGGGCCTGGTGGTCCCTTTATTCATCCTTTCCTGAGCGTCTCCTGGGTGTGGCACCCTGTGGGGAGTGATTGGAGATCTGAGGCACTCGTGGACACTTCTTCCAAGGGTGTTCACTTGGGCCAGGACATGTGAATAGTTGTAGATTAGGGTAATGTAGAGAGAAGTCAGGACCCTAGCAGGCAGAGCTGGGAGCTCAGATGACAGCCAGGAGATTCCTGAAAGGGGTCTTCTGGATGGGCTGAGAAGGATGTGGACTGGGGAGGGAAGAGGATGCTCAGGCAGAGAGACTGATGTGAGTAAAAGCCCAGAGCAGGTAATCCTGGGGGTGTGCTGGGACATCCTAAAAGTTTCCTTTTGCAGAAGTAGAGAGTGCGTGCCAGGGAGATTTGCAAGATGGAGTAGGAAAGGCAGGCAGGGCCTAGATCAAAAGAAAGCCTTAAATGTCTCCCTAAGAAGAACAGACTTCATTCTGCAGAGAGTGGGGCAGGGGGCAGTAAGGACTGTTGAAGAAACATTCAAAAAGGGGGAAACATACCTGTAATTCCAACATCAGATCTCATCAATCATCTCCACTTCTTTGCAGGCCCTGCCTGGGTGTCCACCCATGTAGGAGTCACATGTAAGCCCCTGGGAGCAAATATTTGGGGCTGGCCAGTCCCTGCATTTGTTACTCCTCATCTAGCCCCACCCTTTGACCAGCATGTTCCTGTAGCTCTCTCCCTCTCTGCTCATGGAGGCTGGTCCTTCAGAATGAGGAAATCATCTCTCGGAGTCATGAAGTAGCTGAAGCATTCTCACCGCCTTGTGGAAAACAGAGACAGGATGACACTTCTGTGCCTAGAACCTGGTTCACAGCACAGGCCAGCTGGATATGATTGATTTTCATGTTACTAGAACAAGAACCCACTGAGCACATACCAGGTTCCTAGCACTGTGCTAAGGGATCTGCAGACAGCTCCCCTCTAACCCTCACGACAGAGGGGACATGTTGGGCTGTCTCCCTTTCTCCAGATAAAGAGACTGTTGCTCTGAGAGGTCACAGAATAAGTGAGTGCTGGAGCCTGGATTGGAAGCCAGGCTGTCCAAGTTCAGGTTCTTGATAACTGGGTAATAGTCCACTCCATGGCAGAGCTTCTTAAACTGGGGTCCATGGACTCCCATGGGTCTGTGGATAAATCTGAGGTTTGTGAATGAGAATAGAAAAAACAATTACAGGATAGCCCCTTATCCACAGTTTCAGTTACTCAAAGTCAACCATAGTTCAAAAATATTAAATGGAAATTCCAGAAAAAACAATCCATAAGTTTTAAATTGGGCACCATTCTGACAAGCGTGATAAAATCTCACGCTGTCTTGTTCCATCTCCCACAGGACATGAATCATCCCTTAGTCTGGCATCTCCATGCTGTAGATGCTACCTGCCCATTAGATGCCTAGTATCCACCTGGGTTATCAGATCCACTCCCTGGTATTTCAGTGCTTGTGTTCATATAAACTTATTTTACTTAATAATGGCCCTACTGGGCATGGTGGCTCATGTCTGTAATCCCAGCACTTTGGGAGGCCAAGGCAGGTGGATCACTTGAGGTCAGGAGTTCAAGACCAGCCTGGCCAACATGGTGAAACCCCATCTCTACTCAAAATACAAAAATTAGCTGGGTGTGGTGGTGGGCGCCAATAATCCCAGGTACTGAGGAGGCTGAGGCATGAGAATTACTTGAACCCGGGAGGAGGAGGTTGCAGTGAGCTGAGATTGTGCCACTGTACTCCAGCCTGGGCAGCAGAGTGAGACTAAGTCTCAAAAAAAAAAAAAAAAAAAAAAATGGCCGTAAGAGTAGTGATCTCGCTGTTTAATACATTGATAAAGACGCTGTTACATTTCTACTTTACAGATTTTTGTTTAGTATTTTGATATATTTATTTCAAAGTAGTTGATTCTGTTTAATTCTATGGATTTTATTTTCTGCATTTTAAAATATTGTTTGAAGAAGGATCACAGGCTTCACCAGATTGCCTATGGGATCCATGGAAAATAAAAAATGGTTAAGGCTGGGCACGTTGGCTCATGCCTGTCATCCCAGAACTTTGGGAGGCTGAGGCGGGTGGATCACTTGAGGGCAGGAGTTTGAGACCAGACTGGCCAACATGGCAAAACCCAATCTCTACTAAAAATACAAAAATTAGCCAGGCATGATAGCGCATACCTATAATCCCAGCTACTTGGGATGCTGAGGTATGAGAATCACTTGAACCCAGGAGGTGGAGGTTGCAGTGATCTGAGACTGTGCCACTATATTCCAGCCTGTGCAACAAAGCAAGACTGTCTCAAATAAATAAATAGTTAAGAACCCCTTCATAGGATCTTTGCTGGTCCTCCATAAGTTTTCTTTCTCTCAGTTCTTATAGGCCCAGTTGGTATTTTTCTTGTGCCTCTTTCTATCTGTGTTAGAGTCATGATAGATGTGTTTAATACCCCCAGGAGACTGAACTCCCTGAAGGCAGCACTGTGTCTGACTCTTCTGTGTATTCCCCACAGTATTTCTTGGTACATAATAGATGTATAATAAATGCTTATAAATTAGTGAATGAGTGAGAGATGAATTAATGAATGAAGAATGAGTATTGAGCAGGTTGGGGACCACCTTGGAGAAGAAATACATGTTTTGAGTCTATTATATACCAGCCACTTGAAGCTTTCATATACATTATCACATCAAATCTTACAGCTCTACAACAAAGAAATCCTGACATTAATTTTATAGATGTAAGGAAACTGGGCTCAGAACAGTAAAGCGGCATGCCCAGTAAATGTTGGAGACAAGGTTTCTTAGATTCTTTCCTCTACACTGCATGAACCCACCTCTAGGGAGGAATAAAATGGTTAAAATCCAGGCAAGGTGGAGATAGTGTGACATGAGACATAACATAGGCTCATTGACTGATGTGTGATAGGGGCACTGTTTTTAGTTGCCCTAAATGTGAAAGTTGTTTTCCTCCAGGCCACAGCCTGGGTGGTCTAGAGTGTCTCTCTTCTCCTGCTGCACAAAAGAGCAGGGACAAAGCGAAGAGGAGCCAATTGCATGTAACAAACACCTGCTGCTGACATTTTGCCAAAGGGCTCTGAATCAGTCAGGGGCCAGCCAGGAAGACAGAAACCATTCTAGGTCTTTGGAACAGAGGGAATTGAATGCAGGGATTGGTGATGGAAGCACTGAGAAGCCAAACAGGACTGTGAGGCAGCTGCTAGAGATTAGCAACAGCTGGAAGCTGCTACTACCCTAAGGGACATTAGGACAGTGGGAGGAGGTGGTGTCACCAAAGCCCAGAAACGGAGGCCATCAAGTGGGAGCCAGAGTCTCAGTGGGGGCTGCCAGCTGGGGGCGAGCTAGCAGGAGCTGGAGTTCTGGAGAAGCATAACCACTGCCACAGACTCAGCCACTGTCATAGTGAGAGAGGGGAAGAAGTACCCTGGCTTCTCCTCTGGCACCCTCCAGTCTTCTACAGATGCCTTTCATTGGCTGAATGCTAGAAAGCTAGAGCGGGAGGGAGCCTAGGAAATGGAGTTCCCTGAGATACTGAGATCAGAAAAGGGTGGGGACAGATCTGAGAGGAAACCAGTAGTTGATGGGCATAGATCTACTCCTGGAAGAGTAGGGATCCTAGGGCTTGTGGGATGTTACAGAGGGCCCTGATTTGCTCTAAGGAACAGAGATGAGGCTCTGGTTTTAAATATGAATTTGGAGCAATTACAGCTGGAGAAATGGAGACTACTCTGCCATTGAGATCAGCCTTGGAGCTCAGTCCCTGACCTCTTCTCTTTCCTGTTGCATTCACTCCCTGGGCGATTTCCTCCTGTCCCATGGCTTTAGACATCATTTGCTGGCTGATGGTTTCCAAATGTCTGTCCTTGGATCTGAATTATTCCCTGAATTATGTGCCTGTATATCTAATTTTCTACCTCATATCTCCACTTGGATATATAAAAATGATATTAAACTGAACATGTCAGGAGTCAAACATTTAATTTGTCTCCCTTGTCCCCCATTGCTTCTTCCCACCTCAGTCAATGGTATCATCAACCTCTTGGTTGCTCAGGTCAACAATTTTGGAGTCATCCTTGACTCCCATGTTTCTTTCACAGCCCACCTCCTATTCATCAAGTCCTGCCAGTTCTGTTTTGAAACAGATTCTGAATCTGACCTATCCCCACCACTTCTTCTACCACCATCTTGGTCTACCCCGCTCCCACATCCTGGCCTCAACATTTCTCTTCTGGACTATTGTAGTAGCCTTCTCATTGGGCCCCATGCTTCATTTCCCCCATTGCCCCCTCCCCAATTCTCACACAGCAGAGTGATTCTGTTAAAACTTAAGTCAGGGCCGGGCGCGGTGGCTCATGTCTGTAATCCCAGCACTTTGGGAGGCCGAGGCGGGTGGATCATGAGGTCAAGAGATCGAGACCATCCTGACCAACATGGTGAAACCCTGTCTCTACTGAAAATACAAAAATCAGCTGGGGATGGTGCGCTCCTGTTGTCCCACCTAGTCGGGAGGCTGAGGCAGGAGAATCGCTTGAACCCAGGAGGTGGAGGTTGCAGTGGGCCGAGATCGTGCCACTGCATTCCAGCCTGGCAATAGAGCAAGACTCCGCCTCAAAAAAACCCAAAAAACAAAAAACAAACTTAAGTCAGATCATATTACTCTTTTGCTCAAATGCTTTCATATCATACTTTGAGAAAAGTGCTTGCCATGGCCCACAAGGCCCTGTGCCATCCCACTCTGCCCACCTCTCTGATCTCAGTTCCCACCACAGTGCCCCTCTCTTCCTCTGCTCTGTCCACAATGGTCTTGCTGTTACTTGAACAGGTCAAGCATCCTCCTGACTCAGTGCTTTTGGACATGCTGTCCCCTCTGCAGGGGACATTATGCCCCTGTATGTCCACATGGCTTCCTTACTTTATTCAAGTCTCTGACCACCCTAACTAAAAGGACATCCCAATCTGTCTCTTTCTTTCCTTACCCAGATTTGTCTTCATAACATTCATTAATGACATTACCTGTGCTAAATTCATTTTCTCATCTGGCTTCTCCATGGAATATAAGCTCCAAGAGGGCAAGAGCTTTGTTTGTTTTCCATCATAGCCCCACACCTAGCACAGAGCTATGCTGGACTGTCAGGTAGCAGCTCAGCACCATTTCCCCTCTTCTTTGCACATTCTTGTACCATAAGGGCTAGTCACTTGGAAATTACATTTTCCAGAATCCCTGTTTTGATCCTGCTGATGGCACACATAAGATTTGGAAGGTGGAAGAGAAGCAGAATCTATGTTACTGTTCTTCCAGAAGCAATGGGCTGATGCGTGGGTTTTGGTAAATGTGAGATGTTTGCGGTGGGCTCTGGGGGTTTTCCTGAAATTATCCACCTTAGCCCTGGAAGTAGGAACAACCATTTTGGCAATTTTCCTTATTTCATGCAACTTCTTAAGATATAGCAGTGGGTTTCATTAACGTATGTCCTTCCAGCCCTTTCAAAGTTTTTTAAAGTACCTGTCTCCTAGGAATTCCAGTTTCTGTTTTCTTGAATGAACTGTCTGATACAAGTCATGGCACACAGTAGGCACTCAAAAAATTATTAAATGATTAAACATGCCTTGATAGAAGGAAATGATGGGTCTAGAATGAATCCATGCTAGACACAAAGGAGCATTCTCAGGTGCTAAGGACAGGGACCTCAGTTACTTCTATCTTGGAGGTTTACTATGACCCCAGTGTGGAGGCCCAGGTATAGACATCAGACCTATTCTGTAGGGTATTTGGAGTATGCCATGTCTATGTGTATACTAAAGTTAACATTTTAGAAAACCATGTAGTTCATTCCATGATGAGGGTTTCATTCATTCCCCGTCTAGTCATTTTTTAAATAAATATTCAGTCCAAAGAGCTCCAACAGACATTGCTGAGGAAAGAGGGATCAGAACTGGGGAGACCTTCTGAAATTTGCAGTCAAGGTTCCACACCAGATTGCATGGTTTAAGTGCACAGTCTCTTTAAACAAAGAGCGACCTCTTCCCAAGGGCTTGGGATGAGCTAGGCTCTGCACTCAGTACTCTTTACTGCCCATCTCATAGGCTCCTCCCAATAATCCCATGATGGAATGATGGAAGTATTACCTTTCCATTTTATAGATGAGGAAACAGGCTCAGAGAGGCTCAGGGACTTGCCCAAGATCACTCAGCTAAGGCAGAGTGAGGAATTGGACTCAGATTTCAACCTTTTGGGGTGTCTGTCCAGCTCATGACTACCCATGCCTTCTCTAGAATCTGACCTCTCTTCTTTCTGATCCTCAGGGTTGGGCCCCAGCAGTCAGGTCTGTATGCATTTGGCAAGATTAAAGAGGGGGCCCCCAGGCTAAGTGCAGTGGCTCACACCTGTAATCCCAGCACTTTAGAAGGCAAGGTGGGAGGATAGCTTGAGCTCAGGAGTTCGAGACCAGACTGGGCAACATAGAGAGACCCCATTTCTACAAAAAATAAAAATTAGCTGGGTGTGGTGGTGCACACCTGTGGTCTCAGCTACTAGGGAGGCTGAGGCAGGAGGATCACTTGAGATCATGGAGCCGAGGCTGCAGTGAGCCGTGACGGCACCACTGCACTCCAGCCTGGGTGACAGAGCAAGACCCTGTCTCAAAAAAGGGGGGACCCCAGAGCTTGATGTTCCTCAAGGTCCCCTTCTTTCTTTTCCCAACACAGCCTCACCACAACCATCCGCCTTGGAGGCTATCCAGACAAATCTTGTTATGCTTTTTACCCTTTTTGAAGTTAGTCATTGCGAAATCCCCAGATTCCCAGCTTACTCCTCAACCTCTGCTCTCTGATCCTCATTTGGCTCTGTACATCCCCTAACATGACTTAACTCTCTGTTTTTCCTACTCCTCAAATCCTTCCACTGCGCTTCCTATGGTTAGTCACCAGAAAAATATCCTGTAACCTCATCCTTGTCCCTGAATGCTCCCCTTCTCCTTCTTACTCTAGAGAAAACTCAGCTCCCCTTCAAGGATGCTGCCTTTCCTGAATCCCTCTCAAGTGGTGGTTGTTCATATTCCCGCAGCCCCTGAACCACAGGTAGGTGGGGTAGGTGTCCTCCCTGCTCCTTGTTGCCTCTTTCAGATCATTTATTCCTGCGCATCCCCCCCGAAACTGTGGCTTTGAAGTTGTGCCATCAGACCACACCTCTTTGATAGTCCTTGTTGCAGTCATCTAGAGAGCCCTAGTCACTCCCCTCTACCGTTCCCTGAAGATATTTAAATGCTGAGCACTCTTTCTGCAACACTGCCCTGTCTCAGTTCTTGGTGATCTCCATAGAGACCGATCCTTCTTGGTGATTTCTGCAGAGACGATCTTTCTTGGTGATCACACGTAGAGACGATCCTTCTCTGAGCCTTGCGTCTCACTTCCCTGGCTCCCTTCATTCCACCTAATCCCACTTGTCACTCTCAAGGTCACACCCCAGTGCTTATCACTAACAATAACTGTATCCCCTCCAAAATCTCAAGCATCCTACTTTCTGAACACCATCTTACCTTTCCAGCTCACTCTGCTGTGGGTGGCGGCATTGCATGGTCCCCAGGTGACAGCAGGCTGTTCTCTACCAGCAAAGGGGAGGGGTTGCCTCTTCTAGCACAGAGGGGGAATTTGCGGTTCAAGATTTTCAGGCTTATCTATACAAATATTCTCATCCATTACGTCAGGGTTCCACGCCTTACCTGTTACAGACTTTAAGGTCACCTGTGAGACTATGCACTCATTTCCTTTGCAGGTCTCTCCCTTAGTAATCAAATCCTGAACCCAATTTTCAGCAGAGTCTGCTTTGTGGCAGGAGGAGATGAGTCTCCTTTAAAGATGCCACGGGGTCCTCTGCCTTCCAAGGCATGCCTTCAGCTGGCAATTAGCCTCCCTGGACCCACTATTTTATTTTGCAAGGCTTTCCTGGCTGTCAAAAACAGTGAACCCTCACCATAGTCCTTATAATTTCCTCCAGACTGATCAAGCACCGAAGCTTCTTGCCTTCTTCCTAGTACTGCATCTCACTAACTACAGGTGAAAGTTTAGCCCTGGTGAAGCCCTGCATACCAGAGGTCACCACTCTGTTTTCCACCAGCAATGGGGTCCCTTATTGTCTTCAGATGGGTGGGCAATCTGGTTCCTAAATCCCATCCTGAGGGCCATGCCTAGTACCAACTGCCTTAGTCCTCCCAGAAGACAGAGCCTGAGGCAGAAACTCGTGTAATCACATTAATGAGAAGTTCAGACCCTTGGTAGCAAGATTGAGGGCAGTGGGGAGTGAGGCAGGGAGAGAAGGAGAGCAAACCAAAGGAACTGTAATGCTGAGCTTTGTTGACACACATTTTTGTAACAAGTGTAGCTGATGGCTTGGTCCCAGGTATATCTTCTTGCTTCAGGACCATCTGATATTGTTTGGCTGTGTTCCCACCAAAATCTCATCTTGAATTGTAGCTCCTATAATTCCTACATGTCATGGGACGGACTTGGTGGGAGGTAATTGAATCATGGGGGCAGTTACCCCCATGCTGCTGTTCACATGACAGTGAGTGAGTTCTAATGAGATCTGATGATTTTATAAGGGCTTTTCCCCTTTTTGCTCAGCAGTTCTCCTTGCTGGTGCCATGTGAGGAAGGACGTGTTTGCTTCCCCTCCTGTCATGATTGTAAGTTTCCTGAGGCCTCTCCAGCCATGATGAACTGTGAGTCAATTAAACCTCTTTCCTTTATAAATTACCCAGTCTCAGGTATGTCTTTATTAGCAGCATGAAAATGGACTATGCCATTCATGCCGTATCTGAATAGACCTGAAAATCTGGTGATGGGGGTGGGTTGTAGAGAGAATTTATCCTCAGATTTCCTTTCATCTCCTACAAAGGCTTGCCCCATGAAGCATCAACTCTCCTGCATTCCTGGGTTTTGTCACCCACCCCTTCAGTGACTCTGAAGAAATCAGAAAACATGCCTTTTGGTGTAATTTTTTCTGGGTGCAGAAGTGAAGGAAGGATCCTGCGGACTTGGAGGTGGCCCCAGCCTGCAGAATTGCAGGGTCCCTGCAGCTGTGGCTGGGATGGAGCTCACCTGGGGAGTCAGTCCCTGTGGCAGCAGCTGGGGCAAAACAAGAGGTCAAGAGCACTAGTGATGGTGAGTGAGGCCCAGAGGACTTGAGGCTGTGCATAGGAGGTTCTGAGACGCTACGCCCTGTGAAACGAAAATCAGATTATGCCATTCAGAACTTTCATGATGTCTCGCCCCATACTGGCCCACAGACCTTGTCCTATCTGGGCCCTGCCACTCTCTGAGCTCTTCTCCTTCCTCTCCCACATGGTGAGCTTTATTCCAGCAGCACTGAAGGCCCTGCCTGTCCTCGGCCCATCCCAAGCCTCCTGCCCCAGGGCCTTGGCACCTGCTTTTCTCTGCTTGGAGGGCTCTTCCCCCCAATTCAGACTGCCTGTCTCCTTCATTTCCTTCAGGCCTCTCGTGAAATGTCACTTTGCCTATGAGGTCTTCTTTGTCCACCTTACGGAATTTCATCCCTGTCCCCACCCAGCTCTCTCTTTGCCCCGCCATATTGCTGTCCTGACATCCTGTGCATTTGTCAGCTGTTTCTTTTCTGTCTTCTCTGAACTAGAACGTAAGCTCCCTGAGGGCAGAGGCTTTTTCTGTTGGTTGCCTGCATCTATAGCAGGCATGGCACATTGCTGGTGCTCCATCAATCATTGTTAAATGAACAAATGATTAAGTAAATGAATGACGGTGATGCAATCCCCGCTCCCCTAGCCATGACTGATTAGACCCCTGGCCCAAGCTGGGCCAGCGAGATTGTCTCTCCAGGGAATTTGGAACTGGGCTTGAGAGCTGATGAGGCTCTGGAGGGGCAGAAATTCAGACCTGTGAATTCAGGGGTGGTGGGGTGGCACTTCACTCCACGCCAAGGTGGAAGGAGCTGGTCTGCAGGGAGAGGAGACTTGAGAGGCACTGCAGGGGATGGAGAGAGGCCAGCGCCAGCTCCATCCTCCCCCTGGGATCCAGGAGACACCCCAGGTCCTTATGATAAATTCCTCCTTTCTGCTTAAGCTAATGAGAATGGCCTTATTTTTACTTGCAATTAAAGACTTAAATATCAACACTACCATTTACTGAGTGCCACTGTATCCATCAGGGGCTGTGCGGAGCCTTATCCTGCTTTGTGGAACCTAAGCGGGTCACTTCCTGCAGTGCAGGCCACATGGGGCCCCTCAGTCAATTGCAGTACCTCGGTTAGCGCACAACCCTTGCCGAAGGAGCTCTGAGGCTGCCCTGAGGCCTTTTCCTGGCACCCAGGGGGTGGCCCAGCTGCCCCAGAGCCCGAGGCCTCTCCTCCTCACCCCAGCACATGGCACTCCCCCAGCCCAGCTGTCACTACAGGCTCTCTGCTCCTTGCCACCTTGGTTCTGAGGCTCCAGGTCTCAGCAAGGCTCAGCCCTGGGCTTCGTCACTCCTGCTCTCCGACCCCTGCATCTGGCTCCTGTTCTCCCAGCCTCCTGAGCCCCACAGTCCCCTCCCTGCAGGCCTGATCCCAGAGTGTGGAATCTATTGTCCTCTTCCATCCCAGCCAGACCCCAGCCCAACCTGACAGATCCTCCATTAAAGATGCACATTTACACACAGCTGATTTACATAGAACACAAGGAAACCGCTCCATTTTCAGAAAAAAGAGACTCCTGGTCACTGGTCACTTGAAACAGTGTGGATCCAGGATGAGGGAGCCTCCTGCCCTTCCTGTGATTTTTTAGGCAACTGTGAAAGGGCCATCAGACCAAGAGTAGGTGGCTGGGGGAGGAAAGCAGGTTGAACAAAAGGAAGAAATGAGGTGTTGGGCAGGCACATGCTATTTAGTTTCTGTATTTGCTTTTAGAGCAATTCTATTCCTTACTTACATATGCCCTTGTGAACCTTTAGGGTCTGTTTTTAAATTCTGCCAAGCCTCCCCAGCCCTGTTACTCCCATCACACACACACAGACACACACACACACACACACACACACACACACACACACACAGAGTTTTTATTTCAAAGGTAAGCAGTCACGGGACAGAAAGGTAGGGTGTGCTGTAGAAGAGCTTTGGAGTCAAAAGCCCCATATTGACAAGGAATCCATTGGGGCTTCAGTTTCCCTACTAGTAAAATGGGGATAATAATATCAACTCTATGGAGTGGTTTTGGGGATGGAGAGATGAAGTGTGTGCATGGTGTGCATGTAAGGTACTTTGTGCAGTGCTGGGTAGGTAAAGGATCTGCGAGTGGTAGTTATTTAGGTTTAGGAAGCAAAAAAGTCAACCACGTGCCCCATACTGGCCTCCTCTCCCATCCTTCCAAGAGACTCTACCCTTTGATCTGACCCAGGCTCAGACAGATACCCATCCCTAGCTGTGGGCAGAAGTCACAGGCCATTTGTTCCCCTGCTTTTATTGGTTCACATTCTTCCCTAGAAAGGGCCCTTCTCGTCTTGTTCTGTTCTTTGTCTATTAGGCCTCTTCTCCCCTCCACTCCCCCACCAAGAAGGTGACAAAATGTGGGTCCTAGGTGGGGTGGGGGCAGACAGGGTTGGGACACAATGATGCAACAGCACTGAACATGTGCCACTATGACCCAGGTGTTATGCTAAGCTCTGCAGGTCAGCTATCTGATTTAATCACCCATTTTGTGCATTCATGGCAGGCAATTCTGGCCGAGCCCCGAGAAGTTCTCAGAAACAGTGTGGTGATCTATTAGTGATGTCTGCTGTGGATGAAGCCATGGGAATATCATGATTCCATTTGCCTTCTCAGCTGGGAGCAGTTGGGAACATGTAGGAAGGACTCTGAGCTCCAGCTGGAGCTCAGGTGGGCTTCCTGGGGAGGTGATCCCTAAGCAGACATCTGTAGAATAAGAGGATGGTAAGTTGAAGAAGGATGGGCAAGGTGCTCTGCACAGGGAAATAGCATGGGTGTCAGATATGAATCACTCTGTGGGCAGACAGGTATTACTGGGGCATAAAGCAGGAGGCAGGGAGAGATGGAAGATGAAGCAGGCAAGAAAAGCAATGAATGGTACATGTAAAGCAGTTAAAATGAATAGTAAGTGCTCAATAAGCTGTAGCTGTCATATTATTATTGTTGTTGTTGTTACTGGAGAGTTCCAATAAATGTTTCTTGGCTGATAGGCAGAGGGCAAGGCCCATTAAGCACCTAGTGGATATTGCTCAGTAAATTCCTAGTTGACTTATTGGCAGCCTGATCAATAATCAATCGACTCTGGGGAAGTCCAGCCATGGCAGGTGACAATATATCAGGATAAAGATATAAGTGGCAGTACAAATACCCTACCCCAAGTCCAAATTCAGGGAAACTTTGCATTTTACTTAGCCCCTCCTCTGGGGAAGTCCTCCTGGCTTGCTCCAAGCCTACCAGCAGTCTACTTATGTTAGCCTCTGAGTCTGGTGACTTCTCTTTGTGGCACAGCCATGGCCTCTTGTCCATGTCCTGGAGCTGTCCCCTTTCCCTTCCTAGCTGCAGAGGGAGAGCTCAGCCGGGACCCCTTCTGAGGTTGCTGTTTTCTGACCCCTCTGCTCACTCTCCCAGGGCCTTCTTTGTGACTCAGACCTTGAGCTTCCCCCACCAGAACTGGGGCAGACCCCGCCCTTCATTTTCTATACTGTGCTTATTTTGTTTTATTAGGACACAGGGTGTCGCTCTGTTACCCAGGCTGGAGTGCAGTGGCATGATCATAGCTCACTGTAACCTTGAACTCTTGGGCTCAAGCGATCCTCCCACCTCAGCTTCCTGAGTACCTAGGACTATAGATGCATACCACCACACCTGGCTAATTAAAAAAAATTTTTTTTTTGTAGAGATGGGGTCTTGCCGTGTTGCCCAGGCTGATCTCAAACTCCCAGCCTCAAGCAATCCTCCTGCCTCAGCCTTTCAAAGTGTTGGGATTACAGGCATTAGCCACTGCACCCAGCCTGCTTCCTTATTTTACAGGATGAAGGGAGGGTCTGTGCCACTCCCCTGACCCCAGGCTGTTCTGTACACAAGGAATTTCCATCCCCTTCCCTCCACCCTCAGGGTGCCCATCCCTGCTCCCACCCTCCCCTGCATCCCTCAGAGCCTAATTGAAGAGGCTCCGCCTGGCACAGAAAATGAAAGCTTTATCTTCCCAGTCCATCCTGAAGTGTGTTAAGATGATGGATGAGTTTCCAGACCTGAATGCTCCTCCCAGTAGCATTAACAAAATTGCCTTTCAGGATCCCAACTTCCACGTCAAGATGGGCTGCGGTGGAGATGGGAGCCCCAAGCTTTGGCACTTGACGGTGAACATTAAAATCATTTTAATGCTGCATTTAGGATTTGTGTTCCCTGTGTATGAGCCAGTCCCATTGCTGGCACCGGAATAAGATGAATGATGTTTATTAAAAAGCTCTTTGGTACAGCCTGATTGACCATTAGGAACACTCAGCTCGGAGCAGGGTGCGTGGGCCCAGCTTCTGGGCCTGGATGGGACCCGTCAGAGATGCAGTCACTCTTAGCCCTATGGGGTCACAGCCAAGTTTTTTCCTTCAGGCCTCTCCCACCTCCCCCAGGCTATAATGTCAAGAGGTCAGAGATGAGTCATGGCTAAGAGAGTCCTGAGTTGGAATCTCACCTCTGAAACCAGGTTGCTGATGGAGCGGGGCAAACCCTTTCCCTGTTGGCCATCAGTATCCCCATCCATGAACTAAGGGAATGGCTAGCTGTTATGGGTTAAATCGTGTCCCCCTAAAATTCATATGTTGAAGTCCAACCTCTCTCCCCATCTCAGAGAGGTAAATAGGGTCTTACAGAGGCAATCAAGTTAAAAAGAGGTCATTAGGGTGGGCCGTAATCCAGTGTAATTGGCGTCCTTATAAAAGGGGGAAATTTGGAGATAGACACGCATACCCTGTACACACACGCCACATGGAGAACCGTACGTGAAGATAAAGGCAGGGATTGTGGTGATGTGTCTACAAGCCAAGGATTACCAAAGATTGCCAGCAAACCACCCAAAGCTAGGAAAGGGGTGAGGAACGGAGTCTTCCTCACAGCCCTCAGAAGGAACCAACGCTGGCAGTGCCTTGATCTCAAGTTTCCAGCCTGCAGAACCGTGAGACCCTTTGTTTCTGTTGTTTAAGCCACTCAGTTTGTGGTGCTTTGTTAAGGCAGTCCCAGGAAATGAAAATGCTAGCTGGAGCCCCGCCCACTCGGACACTCCCTGAGGCTATGACGCTAGGATTCAGCCTGAGAGACCAGGTGGAATGAGTGAATCTGTTCTCTGCTGCTCCAGGAAAACTTGGAGGGTGGAAGCCAAGCAGGTAGGACCTTGGAGCTGAAGCCAGTGGCTGTCTTTGTTCCCAAACCACAATGGTTAAAAAGGCCCAGGAGCCCAGGAGGAACTGCTGGTCCTTTGGGGACAGTTGGGTGGAGGAGGGGGCTGGTCCCAAGTATATGAGTCCAGGCGGAGCTCTGGTGCTGGGTTGAGGGCCACTCATGACTCCGGGTCGAGGGGTCTTGAACCCCCACCTGGAAACCTGGAGCAGGAAGCAGGGATGTCTGCCTCTGGGCACATGAGAGAAGATGCACGTGTTGAGCCAATCTCAGCTTCTAGACTCTCCCAGGTCAGCTTGCTTTTCTCCCAAATGAAAGTGTTTTTCATTGCGTGGAAATGAATCCACTTAGTGTGTGTTATAGGAAAAGGAGACATTAGTGTGCGTTATAGAAAAATAAAGTTAAAATTTATGCACACCTGAGTTTGTGGCCTGAAACAGACCCATTAGTACTGACTGAGCAACCAGCATAGCCAGACACTTTCACTGCATTCTCTTCATCCTACTGACAACTCTATTTTTGTGCATATTACTGTCTCCATTTTACAGAGGAGGAAACTGAGACACGGGGAAGTGATGCGTGACTCACAGTCACATAGTAAGCTTGGATTCGAACTCAAGGAGTCTGACCTCCTCACCCCCAGCCCAGGCTGGGCCTGGCACCCAGTGACACAGAATCTTCTCATGAGAGGCTAAACCCTGGGAGAAGTGGAAAGAGCTGAGGACCACAGGGCAATTGACGAAGAACGAGGAGCAATCCGGAGGCTGTGGAGGGTTAGAAACACTTGTGCTGGCTGTGAGATGTTGGTCGGGGGAGGACTGGTGGGCCATGGGCCGTGTTTATCTGTGGGGCCACCCTGTTTACCTGGTGGCTGAGCAGGGAGCATATCCTCTTTTGTTCCTGGGAGGTGGCTTGTGTGGGGACTGAAGATGAATCGGCCCAGGCGGGCAACTTCCCCGCTACCGCCCCTCCCCCGCACGGCAGGTAGCATCAGGTGTATTTGGCAAAGCCTCGTGCATGGGGAAGGCCAATCAGCCTGAGTGAGCTGGGCTGTGCTGAAGCTGGGGATTGCTGGGGATTGCTCTTGCAATCAGGGCATTTCACACAGCAAATTGTGGTCATTTAGGCCTCTCTCCGGCAAGCTTAATTTCAGGCCCAAGCACAGAGGCTATTCAGAGACACAATGAGGTAATTTCACATTTTAAAGCAGAGAATGCAGCGTAAATTAGTAGAAAAAATCATGACACTTATAAACCCGTTCTAAAGATGTATTGTTCCCTTCTCTTCTGGGAGAAAAAAAATCAGCTTCTATTAAGATTGAATTAACCACTGGAGGAGAATTCCTCAGACGGCCCATTCATAAGGAGAAATCTATTTTAAACTTGGTGGAAAGGCTTTTGCGGCAAGTGTTAGGAAGAGAGTTCCTGAGAAGATGCAGGTGCTCTCGCAGCAGTCCCTGCACCTGGGCAGGGGGGAGCAGGGCGCTCAGGCCTGCGCCCTCTCATGCCCACCCCAGGTTGGCCCCCTTTGGGTACAGCCTTGAGTAGTGTAAATGCTGAGGTCAGATGCCCCCCAGACAGTAACTTAAGTACAAATCGTTTATTTGGGAGTGAGGGAGGGGAGTGGGGAAGTGAGATGTCAGGGCTGGGGGACTAGGGGAGCAGTAAAGAGTCCTGCATCAAGTCAGCCACCCCTGTGGGTAACTGGAGGCAGAGGAGACCGTGCTCCTTAGAGTTAGCCTCCATGAGGGCTGGGAAGCTGGGCTGTTTATCACGCCCAATCCTAAAAGTCATCATGGAGGGCTGCTCCATCAATGTATTGGTTTTAATTTCTTGGCTTTTCTCATCTTTACCCTGAAGGTGGCAAAGTGGGCTCCAGCAGCCAGAGATAGCCCTTGGCAAGGCTGTGGGGAGCCAGGCAGGTAAGGCCTGGAGTGGTCAGCATGATGGGATCTAGCACGTGCTACCTGGTTACTGGTATTCTCATTCCCAAACCCCATCCCAAGGCGCTTCCTTGGGCTCTAGCACGTCTTTTTTTTTTTTTTTTTTTTTTTTTTTTTTTTTGAGACAGAGCCTTGCTCTGTCCCCCAGGCTGGAGTGCAGTGGCGCAATCTTGGCTCACCACAACCTGTACCTCCCAGGTTCAAGCGATTCTCCTGCCTCAGCCTCCTGAGTAGCTGGGACTACAGGCATGTGCCACCATGCCTGGCTAATTTTTGTATTTTTAGTAGAGAAGGGGTTTCGCCATGTTGGCCAGGCTACTCTTGAACTCCTGGTCTCAAGTGATCACCCCACCTCAGCCTCCCAAAGTGCTGGGATTACAGGCGTGAGCCACCATGCCCAGCCATCTAGCTCTTCTTTTATTCCAGACAGGCAGGTGCCATGTCAGCTTTCTGTGTCACAGAAGGAGCCATGCCAAAGGGATAAGTCCTGTGTTCTAGTACCAGTTCTTTGCCTGGCAAATTGTCAACCTGAGCTCCTCCTGCCTTCTCTCTGGGTCACAATATCCCCAGGTATTTTGGGATGCCCGTCAAAGCTTTTCCTTGTTCTGAAATAATGGCTTATATGGCAGGGGGAAGGTGACAATGTCAGTCTGATTCCATCACCTCTCCCAGCACCCAGATCTGGCTGTTGGGCCTAGTAGACCAGTGACACTTTGCTGAATGGAGCTGGACTGTGGGGCTGCAAGGCAGAGCTCTGGCCAGACAGACTGACCACCTCCTAATCTCCTGAGCCAGAGAGAAGCCATGGATACCACACCCATGGAGTGGCCCTACTGGCCCTGGATGTGCCCAGGCTGGGAGCCGGAATGTACTGAGGAGAGATGGCCCCAGGCCATGGCCCAAACTTGGGGTCCAGGACATCAGGATCCCTTTTTACTTTTAAAATGACATCCACTTTAAGGCAAATCCATCTGAGAACTGGTGAATTGACTCCACATGGCAAACATCTGAGCGTGAGACTAAACTCTGGGCTGTTTCCTCACTTTGGAGTATTCCCTGCCTCCGTTTTATCATTTAAGTTAAAATAAGACTTTTTAATCCACTGAACTTTTCATGCCAGAATATCCCTTGACTTTCCATGCCCACCTCCTTCTCTATGATGTTTCCAGTTCATTTTTTTCAGAGAAATCAATTTCAATGTTGATCAAAAGGCTTTTTCAGAGATGCAGGTGACAGAGCCCACGAATTCAGTTCTCAAGGAAACACAGGGCCCTGGAGCTTGTCCCCCCACCTAAAAGTGGGGTGAAGAGGCTGCCAGCTGTCCAGTGGGTGGATTTCTCCCCAACACCACCTGCGCCATCCATCCCCCCAGGCTGGCAGCCTCTCGGGGGCCTCATCCAGCCCCAAATGGTAGTGCCTCCAGCCCCCTTGACAGCCAGTGGTGGCGAAATGGCTGCTTCAAGAGTTCAGCTTTCTACAAAGACAGAAATAATCAGGTTGACCAAAGGGGAAAAAAGGGAAAATTGAGCATTATGAGGGTGATAATTCAGAAAGTGTCAGCCTCAGAATAATTGAATCCGATGACATTTTGTGCTACAGGAAACAATAGCAGCTAGCCGGCTGCCCGTCTGATTCATGTCTGGTTCATGTTTAACAAAACAAGGGCAAGGGTCACGCAGCCACGAGCCCCATAAATAACCCGTTAATGGGATTTCCAAACAAGCTGTCCTCAAAGTGGCTTTCCGTCTCACTGAGAGAATATTAAAATGCAAATGGATTCGGGCTGTGTCTTCATAAACAACCGTGTTCATTTAACCTCCGACCTCCCCGCTTAACTGCCCATTCTAGCAATTTGTACGGGCTCCTCGGCCACAGGCTCCTGCGGTAATTCAGGGAAAGTGCATTAAAGGAAAGGGTTACAATTTGCAATGCTCAGTTAATCATGCTATTGAGATGTTTATGGACAGAATCGTGCTCCTCCTCACACTTGTCTCAGCCCTTGTGTCCTACCCCCGCCCCCACCAACCCAAACGTGGCTGATTGGTTCCTTTTGTTGAATCTGGTGCGGTGAGGTGGGTAGGCTGTCTTCCCAGCTGACAGGGGTCCCCTCTGGCCTCCGGTCACCAGCCTGCTTTTCCTTGGCTGCTATTCTGCTTGGGGTCTGGCCAGAGACCCTCAGTTAAATGCGGATGGTCTCAAGGCTTGTTCTCCTTTGTGAAATGGCCCAGGCTTGCCCTGGGAAGCCGCCCGTCACTTGGTTTCTTCCCAGGAGCCCATTTCTGTTCTCTCCAGAGCTGCCCTGACCCAGCCCTGGCATTGGCCTGGCAGCTCTTTGACCAGCTCCGTGAGAAGCAGCTCAAGTGGATGTTTCCTCTCTGGGCCCTGGGCATGCCTCCTGAGCCTTGACCCTCCATCAATCTGGCCATGTGGAAAGATAAGACTTGCACAAAGAGAGTAAGGGTGATGTGAGCCAGGGGTCAGGGTTTGAGGTCTGATACCCTGGCACATTTCTAGAGAGGAGACAGGCACTATGTTGGAGGAAGTGCTACATGATCTCCTCCGTTGCCTGGACAGATCACACGGGCACTGCCCTCTTCAGTTTACAGAAGGCTTTTTCACATAGATGATTTTAGCAGATCCACTCAAGTCTGGCACCTGGCACCTGGTTGGGGTTCAATCTTAGAGATGAAGAAAGCTAAACTCAGAGAGGCTAAGTGACCTGTCTCGGGTCACCCAGTGATTGGAAGGTGGGGTGGGCCTGCAGACTTGGCCTCACTCTGAGGCACAGTTTTTCCGTATGTCTGGGAGAGGTCCCAATGTTCCGTGGCTTCTCTCTGAGGGGCAAAGGGAGTCTGTGAGAGCCTGGACTAGAGTCTTTATCCTCTCTTGGGCAGGAGGAGAACTGAGGAGGTAAAGCCGTGCCGGGGAGGACATGTGGGAATGGGGGCAGGTATCCGTGTCACTGGCCCCAGCTGGAGTCGATAGCCTCCCTGTTCCGAATGGGGCTGCCCAGTTCTAGTTGGATTTTTGTGTTGTTCTTTGAGGCAAGCATTTCTGTCCTTTAGCTTTTTCTTCCCGTTTCTTTATAAGGAAGGGCAGGGGAATGAATCTACGATGATGTCTCCAGTTCGCTAATGCAGACATGGACCTCTGGGGACCACCAAAATGAGAAATATCCAACTCCGCCTTGCTCTCCTGCTTGATAAACTCAAATAGACTTCCAGTTATAAATCTGTCTCAGGATGTGTAAAGGCTGGAACTGCAGAGACCAGCCCGTTAAGGAGCTCGGCTGGGGCTATGGCCACTGGGCTTCTTGGGCCTGGCCTGTGTGGAGGTCGCCCTCCCTCACGCTTCCTCCATCCCACCCCATCCTCTTCTCTATTTCTTTTTTTTATTTTTCTCTTCTCTGCCTCTCTCCCTCAGGCTCAGTACCTCCAGGGGTGGCAGAGAGAGTGGAGGGAGGGGGTCCCACGAGGGCCAGGGAGCCTAGGGTCCTGCGGAGATCACCCGCACCTGCCCACATCTCCTGTCGGGTTTCTCTGCCACACTTTCCTTGGATGGATGGAATTTCTGTCTTTCTCTTCCCCTCCCCATTTTGTTTCTGTTTCTGCTTCTCTGTGTTCTCATCGTGTCTCTGAGATGCTCTCTTGGTTTGTACCTCTTTCTCTTTCTGTTTTCTCTGTTTTGTGGGTCTTTCCCGTCCCTCCATGTCTGTCTCTCTCTGCCTCCCCCTCTCTGCCTCCCCCTGCCCCTCTCCAGTGAGGCTTCCTGGGTTCCGGCCAGGCGAGTTCCCCTGACAGCTCTGTGCTGGCTTCTTTGTCTCCAGCTCACCCCATTCTCCACTCTCCTCTCACAGCGATTTATCTAAAATGCAAATTGGACCATGTCTTTCCCTGGCTTAAAATCCTTCAAGGCTCCCCACCAGACCCTGGCGGGTTTCCTCCCCACCTCTCCAGGATCATCCCTTGTCACCCTCTGGGCTCCGCTCTACTCTGTGTGTGTGTGTGTGTGTGTGTTTCTCTTTCTCTACACACATATATGCGCACACACACACACACGATGAGCATCTGGAGGGAGAGACACATACAGAGACATACAGATGAGGGAGATAGGGAGAGAGAGAAGTGAGACAGAGAGAGAAAGAGACAGAGAGACAGGAGGAGATCTTATGCTAGAAGAGAAATGGGTCCTTCAGTCCTCAGCTCTCCAGGTCACCCTTCCATGGTGGCAAGGCCAGGTCATGTGTGCAGAGGACTTTCTACCTACCCACATCATCTGACACTGAATCCTGTGCTAGTAACCACCATGGCAGCCTGACTGTTACGAAGTAGGAAGTCCAGGTAGGAGGAAGTCTTGGGCAAAAAGAAGGATGACTTTCTGATTGTAGAAAGTGGGAGGAAAACAGGGGTATAGGGAGGCAGACACATTTCCAGGTGGCTGCAGGATGTCGATGGCCTTGTGTCTCTGTGAAGTAGGAAGGGAGGTCACCTGCTTGTGGGATGTGCAGGGCATTCACTAAGGAGGGAGGAGAGGTGAGGGCCTGGACAGGTCTCAGAGGGCCATGTAACAAGAAAACTCGAAGGGTCTGGTGGGCGGCAGAGGACCCCCACTGATAAGCATGAACTCGTGGGTGGGTGAGTTCCTTCAGCAGCACGGATGCTGCAGCATACAAGGGGACTGTTGGAGTGACCCAGGAGTGGGTTTTTTTCTAAGGGTGTGATGGAAAGACAAGGGACAAAGGCACGGAAGCCACTGGCAAAGCATGGATGATGGGATAGACCATGGGACCTAGGTGGGATTGGGAAGAAAGGAAAGCCTGGAAGGGCAGACTGGGAAAACTCAGAGGGGAAGAAAAAGTTGGCGGTTTTGTGGAGACCGAAGGACAGGTGCAGTGAAAATAAGAGGGTGGAGGGGCTGGAGGGGCTGGAGGTCCCAGGGGCTCAGGTCCAAGAGTAGGTAGTTAGGTCACCCATTTCAGGGGTGTTGTGGCTCTGGGTAAAAGGGTCATGGAGTGGCAGCTGAGACAGTGCAGGGATATCACTGAAGGGGGACAAACCACCCACAGACCTAGTGGCTGGAAACAACCATTTGTTATTGCTCCCGTGTCTAGAGTCAGCTGGGAAGTCCTGCCGATCTTGGCCAGGCTTGGCTGATTTTGGCTGGGCTTGCTCATATGTCTGAGGTCAGCTGGCATGGTTGGTCTCAGATGGCCTCACTCACATGGCTGGGGGTTGGTTGACTGGCCATTGGCTGGGTGTTGGAGGTGACCAGGCATTCTGTGTCTCGTCATGCAGCTTAGACCCAGATTGAGAATGTGTGCAACATCACTTCTGCCTCTTTCCATTGGCCAAAGGGAGCATGGAGTCCTGTCCAAAATCAAGGGGAAGAGAACTAGACTCCTCATCTTGATGGGAGAAGCCATAAGGAAGAGAGGCTATTTTCCAGTCTACTGCAGCTAAGGCCACCTGAGATTCCAGGGGATTGGACAGACCATCAGCCCTGACACAGGTCCTCTAGGATGTAGACTGAGATCCAGGTGCTAAGGTCTTCAAAGAGGGAGGGGAGGTGACACAGAGCACTGAAGATGACAATATCAGGAATGGCAGAAGCCATTCAGGCCCTTACAGGAGAGAATGTGTGTGTTTGTGTGTGTGTGTGCATGCATATGTGTGCACATGAAGAAGAAAGCCAACCTCTGATGAGGGTGCAGGGGTGAGCGCAGTGACAACCCTGGGAAATAGTTCCTGGTACTTTGCAGATTCATAGCATTAGCAATTCAGTCCCTTTCCCCTGCCCCATTCCTCCGCTGGTAACTGACAGAAGGTCACGGCCCATCAAGGTGCTGCCCAGGGGAAGGTTGCTACATCAGCTCTTTCTTATTGACCGGACTGTCTTCACTTTCTTTCACTCAACAAGTAATTATTGAGCATCAGTCATGTGCCAGGCTCTGTGTGAGGGACAGGAAAGAAGACACAGTCTCTGCCCTTGGGGAACTCAAAATTTAGACGTTACAGCCAAGGTGTATCTACGTACACATGTACTCACATGGGTGTGTGTGCATGTGTGCACATATACACACATTCAATACCCCCTGCACCCACAGATGATTTGTGGGTTAAAATATATAAATACACTTGCAAACTAAAAAAAAAAAAAAACCTTCAAAATCATCCTGATCATTTATCTTTCTGTTTAATCTCTGACAAGTTTGAGATTTTTCTTCTTTCTTTTTTTTAGAGATGGGGTCTCACCATGTTGCCCAGGGCTGGTCTTAAACTCCTGGGCTCAAGAAATCTGCTCTCCTTGGCCTCCCAAAGTGCTGGGACTATAGGCATGAGCTACTGCACCCAGTTGAGATTTTTCTAGAATAAAAAACTGTATTTTAAAAAGTAATCACAGATTCTATTCAATGGTTTATTTGAAATGTTCCATATTCAGGATGGCTCTAGAATATATTTCTGTGAATAAAGGGATGCCAGGAACTCTCTTCCCCCAAAATAAAATATATAAAAATAACAATGCAGCAATAATAATAATAACTTCCTTGTGACACTCTGCAATTCCAAAAGTCCAATCATGCGTGCTATATCAGTTGTCCTGTAAATGGCATCTCAAAGTTGGCCTCAGAATCCATGGGAGGTTTATGAGACCAAGCATGGATTAAGTCCTGCCCAAACTGAAGGGTAGGCTGGCAGGGTCTTTTTTTTTTTCTTTCTTTCTTTCTTTTTATTTTTTTTCAGACGGATTCTTGATCTGTCGTCCAGGCTGGAGTGCAGTGGCACAATCTTGGCTCACTGCAAGCTCCACCTCCCGGGTTCACGCCATTCTCCTGCCTCAGCCTCCCCAGTAGCTGGGACTACAGGCGCCCGCCACCATGCCCAGCTAATTTTTTATATTTTTAGTAGACACAGGGTTTCATTGTGTTAGCCAGGATGGTCTTGATCTCCTGACCTCGTGATCTGCCCTCCTCGGCCTCCCAAAGTGCTGGGATTACACGCGTGAGCCGAAATGCTAGCCAATTTTGGAGGGTCAGGGTAAGCCCTTTTAAAGGAAAGCGATGCCTCCTCTATTCCCCAGTCCTGTTGCCTCTCCTTGGGCAGGAGTTGGCTCTCAGCAAAGGGCTCTAGAGCTAGGGCCAGCACTGGGTTCCATGGTTCTCCTTGGCCAGAGTCACAGATGGACAAGATCCAGTAAGAGTCATTGAATCAAGGAATGGTGGAACTGTAAGGAGTTTAGGAGACCTCTGAGCCTTAGTTATCATCTGTCAAATAGGGCTAGCATCACACCTGACTTTGGGGTTGCTACGAAGTAGAGATACTATGGACTGGGATGGTGCTGGGGCAGGTGCTCTATGGACACTATGGATGTAAGGCAGTGTCAAGGCTGTTGGTCCCCACTTCCCCCAAGTGAGATCTAGATGAAACCTGTGACTCTAATCACCGAGTCCATGGCACCTTCTCTGGAGACTGTGACTGGGTCTTTAACTACATGCTTTCCAGAGGTGCCAGAGTGCTCTAAGCTTCTTCTCAATCTATGTCCCAGGGAACTGAAGATCATACCCAAAGGCATGCCCTGAGCCAACTCAGATGCAGAGAAACTTCATCCATCCTCTTAGCCAACAATGTGTGATCTTATGCTTAGGGTTAGGTTAAGTGCTGTGCTGGAGATAGAGACAGATTGGTCATATTCCCTGCCCGCATGAAGCTCACAGTTTGCTTGGGGAGACAGACAAGATTACAGGTGATCCCAAAGCAGAGTGATACAAAACCAATCAGAGAAGGAAAGGAAATAGCCTGCTGGAGCAATCAGGGAGGGCTTCAGTTGAATAGGAATTCCCTGAGTGGCAAAAGTGGGGAAAGGCAGGAGCTGCCTGTGCATAGGCAGGAGCATGTGAACAGGAGGTTATGTGAGGAGGCAGGGCAAGAAATGAGACCAGAAAAGCAGGCAAGGGTTAGCTGGCGTAGGGCCATGATGAGACTTGCTAAGCAGCCTAGGCTTTATCAGGGAGGCAACTGCAGCCATTGACTAGAGTTTTAGGGAGCACCCAGTATATGCCAGGCTACAGCATGAGGCATATTTGATATGGCTGTTTTGCTACCCAAGTGGCTGCATCAAAGTGTGAAAGACACTGTTTTCCATTACCAAGTCACGTGACTATCAGGCATGCTCCACTAATCCTCATCTCTTTCCTGGTCCCTCACTCTCTCTGGTCTCTCCTATCTTTTCTCAAGTCTCTTCATATATATATATATATATATATATATATATATGAAGAGACTTGAGTCTTGAGTACTATATATATATATATATATATATATATGAGTTTTGTGTTTTTAGTAAAGACGAGTTTCACCAAGTTGGCCAGGCTAGTCTCGAACTCCCAACCTCAGGTGATCTGCCCACCTCAGCCTCCCAAAGTGGTGGGATTACAGGCTTGAGCCACCAGCCTCTTACCATCTTTTATTGCATCCTGAAGCCTCCTGTATCCTTCAGGCCCAAGGATGGAATGATGCTCTGAGATGGCTATCATACCTATTATTTGATAACAACAAAGAACAAAATGTTAAATGATTTGTTTTATAAGCCGCATCAAAAATCCTTCCTGGAGATGGCTCCATAAAAATCTCTAAGTCTGTTGCAGTGAGCTGAGATCGCGCCACTGCACTCCAGCCTGGGTGACACAGCAACACTCCGTCTCAAAACAGAACAAAACAAACCTCTAAGTGTCACGAAACCATTCTAGGCATGAAGCCAGGCACTGCAGAGACAAAGAGGAATGAGTGTGGTTCCTCTCAGGTAGCTTCCACTTAATGAGGGGGATGGACAAGGAAACCACTGATTTTATCCAGTGTTGTAGGAGTTTAATAAAGGTAGCAGAGGGAGACTGGTTTGTGGGGAGCCACAGGAAGTAAGAGAACCGTGCCCAGCCTAGGGAGTAGGGGCATTTTGAGAAGCATCTTAGGTCAGGTTTCCTGGAGACAGACTCTGAGATGGAGATTTGTATGGGGGAAGTTTACAGGAAATGGTTCTGGGAAGTCATGCCCATAGGGAGATGAGGGAAGCGCCCTGGCCCCGGAGAGGTTTAATTGCTAAGCAGTTGCACCGGAGGCCTCAGCCAGTCTCACAGGGAGTCCTGGAGCTGGGAAGGACAGAGTTGTCCAGAACTGAGGCAAAGGGCTGGGCCTATACTCTATACCAACCAGTCACTGGATGTGGGTGCCCCAGGGATGGGGCATAACCATGAGGGAGGCAGCCAGTGCTCCTGCTCCCAGCAGCTGGGAATGAGCACCTTGGTCCTGAGAGGAGATCTGGGTAGCACACTACAGTATCCACTACAGAGGGCCTCCCAGAGGGCAAGGCCTACACCCAGACTTGAAGAAGGAGCAAGACTGCTTCTGATGAAGTTGTTGTTCATGGCGGTGGTGGTGGTAGTGGGAACAGCATATGCAAGGCTCAGAGGCCTTATTTTTTGGGAAAAGAGCAAGTAATTTAATGTGGCTCAAGGCCAGAGCTCAGAGGAGGGCAAAAGAAGGGGCTGGGTAAGTAAACAGGGGGCAAAACCCCTGAAGGGCCCCATTTGACAAAACCAGGTTCAGAATCTCGAACTTTGTCACACCGTGATGAGGAGCCACAGAAGGGATATGATCTGATATGTCCTCTAGACTCAGTCTGGCCGTGCATGAAGGCAGCAAGACAGATGGAGGGGAGGATCATTAGGCAGGTTTTGCAGTAAGTCCTGAACTTACTATAAGATTGACAATATGGTGGAAAGAAGTAGAGGATTAGGAAACATTTAGGGGGTAGAACTGATCCAATTAGTGACTAATTAGATATAGGAGTGTCTCTTCTAACTCTGCATGTATTAACTCATTTATGGTTCACAACAACTCATGAGGTGGGCCTATTATCTTCATTTTGCAGATGAGGAAACTGAGGCTCAGAGAAGTTAAGTGACATGCTATGGTCACACAACCAGTAAATGGTAGAGCCTGGATCTAAACCCAGACATTCTTGCTTCGCAATTTTCTGTGGGAGGAGGGGCATTTTGGGAAGCTTCTTTAGGTCAAGTTTCTAGGAGACGAACATCATCTGTCAATCAGATGGATGATGGCACTGTTTTAAGGAGTTCAAGGACACAGGAAGAGACCTGGCTGGGGAGGACTATGGTGAATGATGACATTTGCTGCGATCGCTGTAAGTCACCTGAATAGAGATGTTCAAAGGGCAGGTGGTGACATGGGTCTAAGTCAGCAGAGCACTGGCCAGAGTGAGAGATTAGGGGCCATAGCCTTTAGGTGACAAATGAAGCTGAACTCACTCAGGGAGAAGGCTTGGATTGGGAAGAGAACACAGGTTGGAAATAAGAAGAATGTGGATAGTTACGAGAAAGACAAAGGAAGAAACATCTGTCTAGGAAACCAAGAGGGACCAGCCAGAGATTTTGGAGGAAACTCGGAAGAGTTGTCATGGAAGCCAGAGGAGGAGAATGCTTTCAGAAGGTGTGAAGTGTCAGAGGCTGCAGGGGCGTCCTCTGATAAGGACTAAAAACTGCTCCATTTACTGAGGCAGAGACTGGGCTGCCCCAAACACCCACCATCCTGGAGAAAATGGAAGACTGAAGCACAGGATCTAAACGGCAGCTTCCTCACTCTCTTGGTAGGAGTAGAAGTGGAAAGCATTCAAACGAAATCTCTTCTTGGAGATTGATTGGAGCAAACACCCCGTTTATCATTTCCTCCGGGATTTCACTAGCACCTCTCTGCTGAGATAGGAATCTGAGACTTGTCATCCAAAGAGGGGAGACAGATCGTGACAGCCCATCCTCTGAAACCTGTCTGCTGCCTTCACACCTGGAGAACCCCCGGAGGCAGGGGGCGCCAGTGGGTGGGCGCGGGAGTGGCCCCCACCGTGACTGCTCCCCTCAGCTCCTGCAGGCAAACACCTGGAGCCCTCCTAGCAGGCCCAGGGTTGTCCTGGGACAGAGCCCCACATCTGAAGCAGGGGTGTGTGACTGCACCATATCCAGTTCTGATGCTATGCCCTGCTCCTCCTGCAAATACCCATGTCACATGCACACACGCACACACATAGGCATACACATGCACACACAGCCTGGCTGCTGTAAGCCATCACTCTCTGTGCTGGGGAGGCCCCTGGAGTAGAGGAAAGTGTACTGGGTTGGAGCTACCTCTCACACTTCATACCAGCCAAGTGACCTTATGCCAGTTACTTCACCGCTTTGCATCTTTGTTTCCTCATTTGATAAAACAAGGTTCCATTTTTTTTTTGGAGTGCTTGATATGCAATGACTATAGTAATAACAGTACTTATTAAGTGCCAGGGACTATGCAAAATCCTTTACACACATTTTCTCACCTTACCCTCTCCATAACTCTGTAAGGTAGGTTATGTTATTATTGCCATCTTATATAGAGGGAAACTAAGTCTGTAGAGGGCAAGTAATTTTGCTGAAAACCTCATGGCTTGTAAATGGCAGAGCTGAGATTTGAACCCAGGCAGTTGGATCCTGAGTTCTTAGCCCTTTCTTTCCCTCTGATTTTTTCTTTCCAATCCCGTCCTCACATGCAGTCAGAGGCATCTGCTTGTATTACCTATGTCTGCCTATGTTACTCCCCAGCCTAAAGCAAGCATTGGCTTTTTTTAGCTGTATATTAAAAGCCAAATGCCTTCACTGGACCTTCGAGGACTCACTTGTAATCCTCCCTCAAACGGGCCTCAGACCCTAGCCCCTGGCCAGCTGTGCTGTTTAGCAAACATGCTGTGTGTGTTCACATCCAGGACAAAGGTTGGGGGTCCTGGAGGCCAGGGCCCAAATTGTCTCATCTCTGAGCACCTCCTCCAACTCCTACATCTCCTCTTCTACTCCTGCTCCTTCCCCTATCCTAATTTGTAATGAATGTTTGTGCAATAAAAAGCTAACCATAGAAATAACAATAGCAGTGGGAATACCAGGAAAAGTTAAACAGGGCAGATCACAAGCCCCGACTGAGGGCCAGCTATGTGTCTGACTTTGTGCTTGGCCCTACGGGGCAACAGCAAACTAAGGCATCAGTCTCTATTCTTAAGGAGATGACTGTCTACATGACACGCAGGACACAAGGAGATGCTGACAAGCGCAGCCTTGATGCTAGCTGGGGGTTGTAGCCAAACAAGAAAGCAAGGAGAAATCAGGGCAGACTTCCTGGGGGAGATGGCATTGGCACTGAGACTTAGAGGGCTGGGATAGGAGAGGGCATTCTGAGACGGGAGAGAGGTGCACATTAAAGTGCTTCAGTCTCCCCTAGGTATCCCCTCACCCACACCCCATGTGCCTGGCAGCCATGGCTCCATATCCCCCCACCAACTCTGCCAACCCTAGCAGTCTCGCCTCCCACCACTCCAGCAGGTGAGCCTTCCTTCAGTTTCCTCATCCTGTCTTGGTCCCCCTGATGGCAGTTCCCTTGACTGGCTAGCTCCCAGTGATGCTTCCGTCTCATCTTAAACACCACTTCCCCTGGCACTAGGTTGTCTGGGCACCCTCCTTGCTGTTTTCGCTGCATCTTCTGCTTTTCCCAGCATGACACTTGCCAGCCTCGCTGGTGATGGCTTAGTTCATTGGCCCCACCAGTTGGTGAACATGGGGAGACCAGGATCTGTGTTTATCCTACCACTGTCTCCCCTGGCACCTGTACACAGTAAGTGCTCCATAAATGTCTGCAGAATTAATGACGAAGTGCTTAATAAATGCTTCTAGGCTTCTTCTTATCACTGTCTTGAACACCCTGGTCAACATGTCCTCCTCTGCCATTGTCCCTTGCCCTGGTCTTCTGGGTCCTGGTTCCAACTCCAGTCCAAGAGTGAAGAGTTGTGCCCGGGCAGGCCCCAGGGATGCTAGTGCTGTCTTGAGAACAGCGCTGTGAAAGCCACAATGGGCCTGATCTGGAGCGCTTGTCCCTGCTAATTATTACGGACAAGCCTCCTTATTGAACCTCGTCCTCTTATTGACATTCGGATGCATGAGCCGAGGCTGTTGTTTTAAACGCGCTCATTAGCCACACAAATCAGTCCTGTTGACAGAGCGCCTTTGAATTAAGCATCTCGCCATAGTCATTGGACAAGGAGCAATTTATAATGCCATTAGCAACGCTTTCGAAGGTTACAGGCATCAAAAATTGTTCAGCCGTAATTATTCTTAATGGATACAAGGAATAAACTGACGCAGGACAGCTTTTTCATTAGCCTTCAATCAAGGCTGATGGCTTTGAGAAATGTACAGTAAGTGCGTTTTGGGGAGAAATAATGATGTTACAGCACCTTTCCCAGGAAAATGCTCTGGGTACACAGCTTAACTTTTAATGGCCTTAATTTGACATAATTAAAAAAAATTTGAATTTGTTTTTGAAGATCTTGAAATAAATTATTTGGTTCCCATTTTTAACCCTTTGGGGAACTGGTGCTAAATAGCAGTCAGGGAGTGAGGAGGCCAGTCTCTGCAAATGAAGGTACTATTTAAGGAGTTGGGGTTTGCAGGGCAGTGGTCACCAGAAAGCCCACCTGGACTGCAAGCATGAGAGCTATGCCTCCACCCCAGGATTTCCAAGTGACCTTGGGAGAAAGGATTGGCTTTCTGAGTAGCCAGGCCCAGAGGGTTTATTTCCGTGGAGTTATTTGCACCATCTAGGAAGTGGGGCCCATATGAGGAGGGAGAAGGGAATCCTATGCCCTGAGATAGGGTGGGCTACAGACATGCAGAACTGGGAATAAACCCTGGTCCTGAGCTGTGGGACCCCAGGCAAGTGACTGCATCTCTCTGAGCCTCAGTTTCTTCATCTGTGAAATGAGGATGACAATTCCTACATCTTGGGGCCATGGTGGGGGTTTGATGAGATAAACGATATGAAAGCCACTGGCCGGTGCCTGGCACACAGTAGGTGCTCAATGAATGTTCATTCCTGAGGTCAGGGACTTGATCCACCTCACCATGGTAGTTCCCATTGACCAAGGCTAGGGCACCCAAAATGCTGGAAATCTAATAATGTGGGGTCAATTATGTTTTCTAGAACTTGTCTCAGGGAGGACACTGGATATGGCTGAACAGAAGCTGCTTGGGAGTGAGGGGCAGGGATAAGGTATCTCCTTGCACTGCCATTCCCCCTGCCTGAGACCAAAGGAAAAATAGGTGCCTTCTAAACTGCCCTCTAAGGAGAGTGGGTTAGCTGAATCCAGGGCTTTTGCTTTGCTAAATGAGGGCATGCAAGTTTGGGGTGGAGCATAATTGCTGGGATAATGAACATGGCACAAATTAGGAGAGGCCACACATCTGCTTTCTGTAACTTTCATCAGGCAGGACTCAATTTATCCCCAAAATAAATGATGAACAAATCCTTTAAGTCTATCAGATTGAAGTTGGGTCAAAATATAACCTGCCTGGAGCACTCATGTGTCTGGTCTAGGCCTGATAGTACCAAGAAGGTACCCACACAGAATTCACACTAAGTCACATTGAGTGACTAGCATCCAGTAGGCTTTAACAGTGCCTCCTGGGGCTTGTTGGCAGTGGCAGACACAGTGGAGCAGCCTGGTGCCAGGCCAACAGACCTGGCATCTAGCTTTGTCCCTGCCACTGCCCACCATGTGACCTTGGACACAATGCCTCTTTCCTCTGCATCTCAGATTCCTTATCTGGAAACGACAGAGCAGCTGGAAGTCACTGCTTCAGACACCAGGAAAATTCAAACTATCAGGATGTATTCTCCCTCAAGCCTGCCTAAGAGCAGATGAAAGCCAAGTCAAAGGCTTAGGAGAGTTTTTTGGTGAAATACTGTGAATAAGAAACATTCTGTCCATTGGTTTGGTGCTTTCTGTGGCTTGGGAGATGTGGCCACTGTTGCACTCTAGTAGGTTGTGGGGCATCTGTGCTTAGCAGAACTTTATCTTGGGCTCTACTCATGAACAGGCTTGGGGCCAAACACTGAAACAGTGCCTGGGCAGATCTGGGTTCCACTCCAAGCTTGGTCAACTAATCTTTTGGGACTTCAGCTTCCTTATCTTTGCAACCTATGGAATTCAGACTTAACCTTGTTTATCTTTTCCTTCCTCCCTCTCCTCCTCTCCCTTTCCCTTCCCCTCCTTTTCCCTTCTTTCCCTCTACTCCTTTTCTCTCCCCTTCTTCCCCTCTCTTCTCCTCTCTTTTCCCTCCCTCTCTTTCCTTTGTCATTTTTCCCTCCTTCCCCCCTTTTTTTCTAGCTGCCAAACCCAATTTTCAAGAGTCATCTTACACAGGTGCCTAATATATGAAATAAAGATGGAGCTCTTCTGCTTGAAATGTGGTGGAGTTCCCAGAGTCTACCTCCGCAGCTTCCCTCTAAGGTTTCTCTACAGACCCACAAGGCTCCTCAGAGCATGGCTGACCCCTCATGAGATGGCTCTGTCCTTCCCTTGAGGTCTCATCTCCTGCTGTCTCCTCTTGCCCTCCTCCTCCCTAACACTGGCCAACCTGCCATTTCCCAACTGTGCTAAGTCCTGTCACTCTTCTCTGCCTTTGCTGGAGCTGTGCCCTCTTCCTGGGATGCTCTTGCCTTTTTCTGTGACTGGAAGACTCCAGCTAATCCCTTAAAGCTGACTTCTCAGGAAGCCTCACCTGAGAGCCCTATGCAGAACAAATCTCTCACCCATATTGGCCCCTGCAGGACTTTATTAACCAACTGGCAATAGATAGCTCAGAGGGTATTTTAGCTAATGAGTCACATGTCTTTCTTCTTGGACAAACTACAAATGCCTTATGGGCAACTGATTGAGCTTTATGCCCCAGGACTTGGCATTAACAGCACCTGCTGGGAGGTGCCCACACAACATAGGACCTGGTGCACCTCGGAAGCCCTGCCATTCTGGGATCTGGCACACAGTCGGTGTCTACCTAGCATAGGTGCTGGTGTATGCAGGTGACACCCAGCCTAGGGCATGGCACAGAAGAGGAACTCATGGGACTTGGCACACAGTGGGAGCTTGCCCAGAGCAGGTTCTGGCTCTTGGATGCTCAGGAAATGTTTGCTGAAAGGAAATTCAGTGGAATGGAAGCCCAGTTCTGGGAGAGCAGCTGGCTTCTCCCCAGTCAGAGTAGGCGGTATTTTCCCTCCCTTCACCCCTGGTGGAAAAAGCAAATGTGATCTCCTCTCAAAGCCAGGAGCAGACAGGGCTGCAGGTTGGGGGTGATGGGAGAGGTCTCTGAGGTAATGAGCAGATACTGTTTCCTTATCACCATCGGCATGTTCTCAAGCTATTACTCCCGTCACCCTCCATTTGGACTTTTTCTGATAAACACCAATATCTGCAAATTCTTGAGGCTGACTGCCTCCCCAACCCAGGGGCTGCTCTGCTGGAACTCCAGATGTGTGATAAGGCAGGGAAATACATTTTCAGTCCACTAAGTCATCACATTTTCTGACAAGGATGCTCAGGCGCGTGTAGATCTCTGATGACTAATATTGCCTTCACTCAGCAGAGGGCTTCAGAAACCATCCAAACCATCACCAGGCTGTCAGGTGTCAGCTCTTCCCCTGGCTTTGCATATTGAGAGGCCCTCTGAGGAGCTCGAAGTCCTGATACAGCAAGGCGGGGGGCTCCGTGTGGAGGAAGAGGGCTGGCCAGCGGTCAACAGTCCTTGCGCCCGGCCTGCTCTCTCTCCTTGGGTGCCCTTGGTTGCCCTATGAACCTCTCTGGGCCTCAACTTCCCCACCTGTCCAAGGGGGAGAGATGGATTCCATGATCTCTAGGGGACTTTCCAGGGCTGAAAGTCTGATTTTCTTACTTTTCCACCATTAGGAGCACAGGAGGGTAGAATCCCATGAAATGTAAGGGAAGGCTTAGAATTCTGGGGAAAATGTAAGAGTAGTAGCTGTATTCATAATAACAATAATAGTAACTACCCCTTCCCATAAGTTACTTCATCTCTTTAGAGCTCTAGAATTAGGCAGACCTGGATTCAAAGCCCTATTGTGTCCCCCACTAGCTGTGTGATGTTGGGCAAGTTATCTAACTTCTATGAGCTTCAGTTTCCTCCCATGAAATAGGCAGAAGCCCTGCGATTCGGGGATCTGGCAATGTAGACAGTTGGTGTCTACGTAGCATAGGTGCTGGTATATGGGGTGACACCCAGCCTAGGGCATGGCACGAAGGAAGCACTCATGGGGCTTGGCGCATAGTGGGAGCTTGCCCAGTGCAGGGCCTGGCTCTTGCGTGCTCAGGAAATGTTTGCTGAATGGAATTTCAGTGGAATGGAAGTTAAGTTAGAACACTGGGAGCAGCAATACATGTTGCCTTTTTTTTTTTTTTTTTAGACAGAATCTTGCTCTGTTGCCCAGGCTGGAGCGCAGTGGCATGATTACAGCTCACTGCAGCCTTGGCTTCCCCAGGCTCAGGCGATCCTCCCACCTTAGCCTCCCAGGAAGCTGGGACTATAGGTGCACACCACCACACCAGCTAATTTTTTGTAGAGACAGGGTTTCACCATGTTGCCCAGGCTGGCCTCCAATGCCTGGGCTCAAGCGATCCTCCTGCCTCAGGCTCCCAAAGTGCTGGGATTACAGGCGTGAGCCATCGTGCCCAGCCCATGTTACCTTTTAAAAAAATCAATGTTAATAATGATTCTTATAACACTTCTTATGAGGTCATGATTGCTCTCCTGATCTTACTGGTGAGTGAAATGAAGCATAGAGAGGTGAAGTAACTTGCCAGAAAGGGAGAGCTTGGGTTTGTCCATATTTGACCCAGTTTCATGCACTTAACCCCTGCACCCTGCACCACTGAAAGATGCACCCTCAGCTCACTCACTCTGCTCCCCTTGCTCAAGCCAGCCTCAGGCAGCCTGCATTGGTGCTTATGGAAAGGCAGATGAATGGTAGAGAGCCAGTGAGTTGGGCAGGATGATGGAGAAGCAGCCAGCCTTGGAGGGGCTCCAGACTGCTAAGGGGGTGGGTGAGCTGGGACTGAGGCATGGAAGAAGTCATCTGGTCACCACAATTTGTACTTTTCTTTTGAAAAACAGAAAGTTGAGAAGAAAATGGATTGCAGTCTGTTACAGATCCAGTGGCTGCAAATCATTCTGAAAATTAGCTTTCTATGGGAAAATCTATATACTAATTAACTCCATGGCCTCTCTAACGAGTTTAAGCACAATAAGGCCTCTGAAAATATCGAGGCATTTTGCAGCTGCCTTAAATTCTACCTAGGGAGACAGGCTCACAGCTCATGAGGCTGTTTGAGAGGTTCCAGATGAAAGGGGAATCTTAAATGATTCATTTCCAAGGGCAGAAGGTGGGCAGCTATGACTTTGGTCGATTGCATAGGGAAGCGCAGAGAGCCCCAGCCTTATCAGGATGGATGGAGTCCTTGCTCAGGGGCCTTAGTTGACATGGGAGTGTGGCCCAGTACTTCCCACTCCTCCAACCCTGAGTTCTCAGTGTGAAGACTGAGAAGCCATCACCAGGTCTAAGAGACCTTTCCCAGGAAAGGCTTCTAGGGACTTGGCCATATAAACCAAGGTGGGAATCTCCCACCAATTTATGGCTGTCCTAGTGGGACAGTCCTGCCCAGGCCAGGGGAGGTGGCAGCACATGCTTGAGTGTGATGTGGGGAGACAGCTCAGCCAGCGGGATCCCTGGGGCATGTTCTCCACCTCACCCCGATGCTCCAGTGTGCCCTCCCTGGGAGGGCACCCTCAGATGTGGGCCTTTGCCCACCACTTCTGTTAGACTCCACACTGGGCAAGGAGTAGCCTGGCATAGTGCAGCATAGCACACATATGTGCTCACCCCCATGAGTGTACACAGCCATATATATATGCGGCCACTCACCTGTATGCCTGCACCCATGTATATGTAAAGACACACACACATGAACACACACTCACACATATGTCTTCATTCACCCCTGTCCATAGCACCATTTCCAGAGGCTGGAAATACCACTCGCTGTCATTCCCCAGAAACAGACCATTAACCCACAGCCCCAGGTAATCTTAGGGGGAGACCTCAGTGTGTCATGCCTCTGCAGGGCAGGAGCCCAAGCCCCCTCTTTGCCTTCATCCCCTCCAGAAATGCACACGAGTGCCACTCACTGTCACCCTTCCTGAAGCAACAGCCTGGGCATGGTTCTGAACAGAAATTCCCACAGCGCTGCCTACGGCCCTGGTGTGCCTCTGGGTCTGGCGTGCTGCTGCCCACTGGCCTCAGCAGTAGATGCCTTGTTCAGAACAGGCCCTCAGGAAACATCTCATGGCCAACAAGCTCTCAAGAGTGACTTGTGGCTGACTAAGGAAGCAAGCGGGAGGGAGAGAAGGGAGGGGTTCACCCAGGCCTAGTGATGATGGGGGATGCCTGTGCCTCCTCCATTGTTCTTGCTCTGGTTCTCTCATCATTGTAATGGCTACTTTAAAAAAAAATGTTGACCATGTGCCTGGACACTGCATGAAGTATTCTGCACTACTGTCCCTCCCACTCCTATTTCCCAGTGAGGAGACTAGGGCCCAGAGAAAGGAAGTCTCTTCACTTAGAGACCTGCGTGAGGCCCCGCCCCAGTGAGTAGTAGGGCCAGGACGTGGATGGAGCACACTTGATTCCAAAGCCTGCTCTTTATGTTCAATTGCCTTCTGGGGTTCTGGTTAAGATGTGGGAGACTCCTCTCCAGGCATGAGTGGGTGTATCTAAAATGGAGGGTCCTTTGCATGGTTCCCTTCTGAAGGCTGTGAAATAGGCAAAACCTGCAGCTTGATTGTGGGGGAGACCTGGATTTGAATCCCAGCTGCCATTTACCGGCTGGGTACCCAGGGGTCATGGCTAAATCCAACGGCCAGCTCCTATCTTGCTAGGTCTTACCCACAGCACTGCACATAGTGAGCCACTTCCTCTGCCTTCTAGAAACGTTTTCTTCCACTTGGCTTCCTGGATGCTGTAGTTTTCTGGCTTTTATCCCACCTCCCTGGCTATGCCTTCTGGGTCTTCTTTACTGATTCATCTTCTCTTCAGCCTCTTACCCACGGGGTGGCCACAGTCCCAGCTCCTCCTTGAGTCTCTAATTACCCTCACTGCTCCGTAATTGCATCCAGTCTTGTGGCTTTACATACCACCTTGGGCTCATGACTTGCAAATGTATATCTCCGTCCTGGTAGTCTCCCCTAACCCCAGACTTACAGATCTCACTGCCCCTCAACGTCTCCACTTAGATATCTAACAGCCGCCTGAAATGAACATGTCCTTCCAGTTGCCCAGGCCAAGAAGATTTGGGGACCTCCTGACCCCTCTCTTTCTCTCATCTGCCACATCCAATCAATCAGGAAGCCTTGGTGGCTCCTCCTTCCTGATATCTTCAGGATCTGACCACTTCTCACCATGTCTGCTGCCTGGAACACCCTCCCCCTACATATCACGAGGTGCATCTTGGTCCAAGCCACTGTCGTCTCTCACCTAGTTATTGCAACAGCATTCTTAACTGATGGTGTTTCTTCCACCCTTGCCCCCGACAGTGTATTTCAACCAACAGCCAGAGAGAGCCTGTAAAAGACGACTCACATCGTGACTCTCCTGTGCTGAAAACCTTGCGGTGGCTCCTCTGCTTCACTCAGAGTAACAGCCCAAGTCTGCAATGGCTGTGGAGGCTTCCATGGTCACTCCACCCACCCCGGGATTGGTATCCCCCCTTGATCTCCCCAACACCTCTCTAGGGACTCTCCCCCTTGTTCACCACCCCGGTCCCAGGGCCTTGGCACTCCTTGCTCCATTGCCTAGAATGCTCTTCCCCGGGTATCCATGGGGCCTGCATGCTTACCTCCACCACGTCACCTTTCCAGTGAGGTCCACCCTGATCCTTGGACTTCAAATGCCCCTCCCCCACCCCACGACAGGCATTCCCTTCCTGGTCTCCTTACCTTGTGTGTGTACACACTCTGTATGAATCACCTCCAACTTGTTTGTTTTTTGTATTGATTATTGTTTTATGGTCCCTCACCTCCAGCTAGGATGCCTGCGCCATAGGAATAGAGGCCTGTCTGTTTCCTTCTTTGATATCCCCAAGGCCTGCCGCAGTACCTGTACACAGTGGATATCGTCACATATTTGCTGAATGGTTCTTATTTCTTAACCTCTATGACCTTGGTTTCTTCATCTGTAAAAGTGGGTTATTTTGAGGATTAAATAATGAATCTTGTTATCCCACTCTAGTGCCAGCACATGTAGGTTTCGATGCTGTCTACTCCCTTTCTGCAGTGGCTTTTAGAGATCCTGGCCTCATTTCAGATGCTGCTGATGTTGTAGCACCTTTGGCTCCCTATGGGAAAGGGGATGGTGTCGGGAGGAAAGAGAGTATGTGGGGCCTCCACATCCCTCCTCTGGAACCTCACCCTTGCCCATCATAGGCCCAGTGGGAAGCCTCTCCAGGGAGTATTTGTTTTCTGGGTCCCTTTAGCCATAAACATAGCTTTAGACTGGGGAGTGAGGAAGCTCAGGTCCGTGCCTGCCCTGATGATTCCTGGAGAGAAAAAACTGTGATGATAGGGAAAGCCATAGACTAAAACAAGAAATTTGCTTTATAAACAGTGAAACAGATGATTTTAACAGTTAGTAAGGAAGAATTAGGAAAGGGCAATTTTATATATGCGTGTGTGTATATGTATATGTATGTGTGTGTGTATATATATATATATATAAACATACACAGTTACTCTTATCCAAAAGCTTGCAAGTGCACCGCTGATGTGATGTTTTCCTAATGAAGGCGTGCATACTGACAGTGTTGTTCTTCTTTGAGGGTACTTTATTGTTGTAACACAGCAAGTTTCAATAAACCTTTCCCCTCTAAATTGCAACATATGCAAAAAAGCACCAAAACAGAAGTCATAGTTCTATTTGCTCTATGAGGGTATAAAAGTTACTCTTTTTCCATCAAGATGGAAAGTAAAAACAAAGAAAAACTGCAAAACTGTGAGTGGCTGAATGGGAGTCACCCATGAACTAGAATAGAAACCATGAACAGTGACAAATGTGCCTGGCTCTTCCCTCCCTCTCCATGAAAAAATAATTTAGTCGAGTTATGACTATATCCTGAGCTGATGGCATGCAGACCTCCACAGCAGGAGATGGCTACAATTCACTGCTTGTGTTTCCCTTCCCTTCCCTTCTGTTCTCTCCTCCCTCCCTCCTTTCTTTCCTTCCTTCCTTCCTTCCATCCATCCTTCCTTCCTTCCTTCCTTAGTTCCTTCTTCCCTCCGTCTCTCCTTCCCTCCCTCCTCCTGTCTTCCTCCCTCCCTCTTTCCTCCCTCCTCTCTCTTCCCTTCCCTGTCTCCCTCCCTCCTTCCCTCTCTCTGCCTCTCTCCGCCTCTCTCCCTCCCTCCCTACTTCTCTCTTCCTCTTTCCTCCATCTGCCTCCCCGCCTCCTTCCCTTCCTCCCTCCATCCCTTCTTCCCCTTCTCTGCCTCTCTCCTTCCCTCTCTGCATCCCTCTCTCCTTCTCTCCCTTCCTCCCTCCCTCCTTCTCTCTCTTCCTCTCTCCCTCCCTCTCTCGCTCCCTCCCTCCCTTCCTCCCTTCCTTCTTCCCCCTCTCTGCCTCTCTCCTTCCCTCCCTCCTTCTTTCTCTTCCTCCCTCCCTCCTTCTCTCTCTTTCTTCCTCCCTCCCTCCCTCCCTCTCTCTCCTTCAAATATATTTGAATGCTCTTGATGTATACTTTGAAATATATTTGAATGCTTGTGACAAAACATGAGCAACATGAGATCTCTGCTGTCAAAGAGTATTAGTCTTGTAGAAGGGACGTGTGTGAACTGACAACTATATCCTATAATAGATGTTTGGGCAAAGTACTATGAGAACCCAGAGGAAAGGGCATCTGGAAGGCTTCACGGAGGAGGTGGCATCCTAGCTGGGGCTGGAGGGATAAGTGGTTGGAGGCGTGTGGGAAGCTTTCTAGGAAAAAAGCAAAGCAGGCACTCTGGCCTGGGGGCTAGGCTGGTGCCTGTGGTTCTGTGTGCTGCTGGGGGCGGGGTCAGGTGGGAGGTGAACCTGAAGAGGTGGCATGCTGATGGGGACAGCCCTGCCTTTGCCTCAGGAAGCTCTGGTCTGTTTGGGTTCCCTGTGGTGGCTTCTCTGTGACTCAAATGAAGCCATTGAGGTGGAGGGAGCCCTCCTCTTTGCAGGCATTGGTGTAGGATTTGAAGGACACTAGCCGTGGCTCCAGGGCCTTTTCTGTCCCTGAGCCAGAGAGAGGTGAGCTGGGGTCCACCCCCCACCACCCCCCTGCACCGCCCCTGCTGGGATTTTCCTACCTTGGGGCTGCTGTACACCCATGGTAGGTGCTCAGGACTTTCGGGCCACATGAGAACACTGTCTGGGCTTCTTGACATAGAAAGTCTCCTTTAGCAGTAGTCTCCTGAGAATTCCAAAGGCTTCATCAAGCACAGGCTGGGCTGGCAGCTTCCACAGTGACGGAGCTAGGCCATCTTATTAGACCCTGATCCTCAGTGAGTAAAGGCTTGCCTGCCTACTGGGGCCTCCTTCCAAGCCCAATCCACAGAAGGGCTCAGAGGCTTCTGGAGCTGGTTCCCAAACTTGCACACTCCCAGCCACTCCTCTGTAGTGGAGGGCCCTGAACGTCCAGGCTCCCTTCTCCTGAGGCCTGGTCCTGAGCTCTGGGAAGTTGCAGCCAGGGTACAGAGTGCAGCTCAAAACTATAAATGTTAAACATCTTTAAAAAGTCATGAAGCCCCAGCCATAATCCAGAACAAGTCCCTTAAAAGTCCTGGGAATCATATGATGGAGAGTGACTTTCTCCTTTGCTGGGTGGAGAGGGCATGTGTGACCAGTGAGACTCATGGCCATGGCAACAAGAGCTGAGGAGTCCAGCAGGCTCAGGATCGAGGGCCGGAAGAAGACCAAGGTGGAGGTTAACACTCACCAAGCACTGGTTGATGGTGGCTGTGAGCTGCAGAAGTTCAAGGGCATCTGTCTTTTTACCATTGCCCAGTACAGAGCCACGTGCACGGTACTTGGGTGAATATTTGTTGAGTGGATGAATGTATGCATGGATGATTTAGTAACCTTTCCTCCAGCTCCTCCAGTAAGCCTCTGTTTCCACTCAGGACCTCCATCTCAACCCTGTCTGCTTCTCTTCACTTGCATCTGGTATGTCCTTTCCAGGAAGCCAGGCTCAGGGTCCATTCTTCTTTCTCACCTCCTCGTCCAAGGCTGATATTAAACTCACTCATGCCCAGAACATGCCTCTGACCTATTTCCTATTGCAGGCAGCGCACATTTATTAAGTTTCTTTTTTCTTTCTTTCTTTTTTTTTTTTTTCTGAAACAGAGTCTCACCCAGGCTGGAGTGCAGTGGCACCATCTCGGCTCTCTGCAAGCTCTGCCTCCCAGGTTCACGCCATTCGCCAGCCTCAGCCTCCCGAGTAGCTGGGACTACAGGCGCCCACCACCATGCCCTGCTAATTTTTTTGTATTTTTAGTATAGACGGGATTTCACTGTGTTAGCCAGGATGGTCTCGATTTCCTGACCTCGTGATCCACCCACCTCAGCCGCCCAAAGGGCTGGGATTACAGGCGTGAGCCACTGCACCCAGCTTACTAAAGTTTCTTATGTGATTTCCCCAATTTTTCCTTTTTGAGCAAACACACTTGAGAGATCTCAGATTCTCCTTCTGTATCAGAGTGCAGCATTCCTGGCAGGTTGGAGACTCTCCAAGAAGCCGAAATGCAGTCCGACAGTGAGGAGAACCAGCTTGTGGTGTAATGTTTGTCCCAACATGGAGAGAAAGTGACTTGTCCCGAGCCGCATAACCAGTAAGCAGTGACTGCCTAACAATGGATCTAACGTGGCGGCAAGAGAAAGTGGCAATCAGTTGCCTAAATTTGGGTTCTGGTTCCAGCAGTTCAGTTCTCAGGGCCTCAATTTCCTTATTTGTAAAATGGACATCATATTTCCCACCTCAAAGAGTTGATTGCAGTAACTCACGGAATCCTCACGAAAGTGTGCCTTACCCCAACCCACAGAGTTGGCTCCTGCCCAGTGGGGGCAAGTGTGAACAGCCCCTTCTGACTCAAGTCCATCTTCTTATGAAATTTGTAATCAGGAACTTGCTATTCCAACCCCTCTGCCTGGCAGTCCCCCTGAGAAACAACTCCCAGCGTAGACAATGGGCAAAACAAAGGGCAGGAAGGAAAGGAAGTGGTCTGTCAGCACCTGGGGCTGCTGTGGAGCGCAGACCCACCTGAGCTCTGCAGGTAGGCAATCCTGGCTGGGATTCTGCAGACAGGCCTGGAGCAGAGCCCCCCCCAACCCCTTCCCGGCGGCAGCAGCAGCAGCAATAGCAGCAGCAACCCTCCTTTTTTAAGTCAAATGTTGCCTGGAAGTCATTGCTTCAGCAATTACCTCTGAAACCCATTGTTTCCTCAGCCCCATTAACATGTCAGATCCTGGCAGCCGCTGACGGGGCAAACACCCCTCGGAGGGCTGCAATTCAATTTAAGGATCACCTCCCCTGCACAGACAGCCTCTGAGCCGGCCCATCTCCAGATTTCACCAAATCGAGGAGAGAGTCTCAGGGTGCAGTTTGATCATGCTGCTTCCTAAATTAAAAACAAAATTGTAAGTGTTAAACATCTTTAACAAGTCATTAAGCCCCAGCCATAATCCAGAAAAAGTCCCTTAATGAGTAATGACATATGTTGTGAGCGCACTTATCTCCTAATGTTGGATGCTGAGATGGTGTGATGAAATGGCACAGTGCTCAGAAGGGATGGATCACCACTAATGGCAGGATAATTCGAGGCTGTTGGGCTGAGGACCCTGGAGAGCCAGGTTGTCTCTCCTGGATGGCGTGCGGCGGTCCTCAGTCTCCCCTCCTGCCCTGGCTCCAGAGCCCCATCCCCACACCTGAGGCTGCTCTGCCCTCACTCCCAGGCTCAGCTCTGCTCCTGGCTCTGCCCCAGGATGGGTCCTGTAAGAATCCAGAGGTTGGGCACCAGGACCTTTGCATGGTCTCATGGCTGTGGGTCTGCCCAAGCGCCTCTGTGTCCCCACCCAAGTCACTGGGCTTTTGAACAAGCCAGGCATTTCTCCCAGTCCTATCCCAGGGCTGTCCCCCCGGCCTCCCTGTCTGCTGCCCATCCCTCCCACTCAGGCCCAGGATCCTGCCCACATGCCCCTGACCACATATTTAGGCCCCTACCTGCTGCCTGAGCCTCCACCCACTTTCTGCTGAGAACCCCCTGCTCCAGTGCTCTGGCCCCTGGCTGACCACCTCTGTAGCCCTGTCTGATGTTTATTTGCCCACGTTATAGTTCCAGACACGTGAGGAGACTAATTAGCTGCCCTTTACCTCCAGGTCCCAATTCTCAGGAAAGAGAACATGATTGGCTGAGCCTGGGTAATGTGACTGCCCTTAAGGTCACTGGGTACGGCTCACCCATGGGGTGATGAACAGCTGCCGGAGGATAGGGCTTACTTTTTTCTACTCGGACTTCAGTAATTTCAGCCCCACACATTCCACCCACGCACCAAAGTCTTCCTCCTTCCCAGGGCTGGCTTCTGTGCTACTCTCTCCCTGCTCTGCTATAGCGTTAGGATGCCCTTCCCAACTAAGCTCCTTGAGACAGTCTTTTTTTTTTTTTTTTTTTTTTTTTTTGAGATGGAGTCTCGCTGTCGCCCAGGCTGCAGTGGCACCATCTTGGCTCACTACAACATCTGCCTCCTGGGTTCAAGCGATTCTCCTACCTCAGCCTTCTGAGGAGCTGGGATTACAGGCGTGTGCCATCACGCCTGGCTAATTTTTGTATTTTTAGTAGAGACGAGGTTTCACCATGTTGGTCAGGCTGGTCTTGAACTTCTGACCTCATGATCCTCCCACCTTGGCCTCCCAAAGTGCTGGGATTACAGGTGTGGGGAAGCCCCCTGGCTGAGACAAGCCTTAAGTCAGGGTATCCCAAAGCAGACCCTGAGACAGAGTGCTCCAGGGGAAGCCAGTAAGGAAAAGACAGACACAGAGCAAGGAAGAAGAGGAAGCCAAGGAGAGCGGAATTTCAGACAAAATCCACAGAGAGGAGCTTCAGTCTGATCCTGCAGGGGAGCTCTGGAGTGGAAGTTATGGCCCTGAATCGTACCTGAGGCAAGCTGCAGGTGCGAGGAGTTAGAAGAAAAGCACCCCCCACCTCACAGTTTCTTCATTCATTCATTCATATATTCAGCATATGTTAATTGTCACATTCTGTTATTTACTGTCTGCCAAACAGTACAGATAGGTAGCTTGCGCTGGGGGCTGCCTGAGAGCTGGGAGAACTGGTTGCCAGAGCTGGGAGAACTGGTTGCCAGGTCTAGCCTGATGAAAGATGGTTGTGTGGCCTAGGAGAATTCCTGCCTGTCTCAGGATGTCTATCTGACTACTGAATGGAAGGGGGCTAGGATACTTTCAAGAGAACACATTGTTGATTCTCTGGATTGAAGAAAGGGGCTGTATTCTTTAGCCTCTGCATCCTTTTTCATGTATCTACCTCAGGAAAAGGGGACACCCTCGTGCCCTGTGCTGGGAACTTTATACATTTTATTACTTTGAAAACACAACCTCCCAGTGGCACAGATACTTTTATTAGCATCATTCTATAAGATGAGGAAACTGAGGCACAGAGAGGTTCAAAAAATGATTTGGCTAAGGTCACTCCAAGTGGTGGAGTCAGGATATGATCTCAGAGCCAGTGGGCTGTTGACTGTAAGGGAAGAAGCATGGAGAATCCCCTCCCTACCCTTTTATCTATCAATCATATCTATCTATATCCCCCAAAACTTAGCTGATACTAACAATTTAAGGATCCCCAATCCCAAAGCATTTAGATTTTAAGACAAATAAAACAGTTGGAATCCTGGTCCCATGGAATTTCAGAGTTGGGAGAAAGTGAAGAGATTTCCTGGCTAACCCCTGCAGTTAACAGATGGCAAAAAGAAGTACAGAGAATTGTCTGAAGTCCCAGAGCAAGGGAGTGGAAGCGCGGCCACAACGAGGCATGCATAAGATTCTGCAGAAACCACGTTCTCCCGCTTCACAGCGGTCTGCTCTTTTCAGGAGAGCCTGGGAAAACTTCTGACTGTGCAATTTGCTTAAAAACAACAGAGAAACATCATAGAAGAGGATCAATTCCTGACCATGCATTTGAAATTAGACACTTACAGGCATTCCCTGCAGAGTGCTCTCCACTGGGGCCCAGTGGAAGCAGCATCACCCATCAGCCGCTGGGGGTGGCTGGTGCCACCAGGTCAGGCCTGGAGCGGGGCAGGAGTCTCCTCAGGCTCGATGCTCTTGACCTGCTGCTGGTGCCAAGAGTTAGAAGCAAAGCACCCACCACCTCACAGTTTCCTCATTCATTAATTCATTCATTCATGTATTCAACATATGTTAATTGTCACTTTCTGTTATTTACTGGCTGCCAAACAGTACAGATAGATAGCTTGGGCTGGGGGCCGCCCTGAGAGCTGGAAGAATTGATTCTGCCAAGACTGTTGCTCTTGTACTCCATCTGTGGATCTTATCCCTCCATCCATCCTCTGTTCTAAGTTTGACTCATATCTTTGATGCTTCTGCCTCAGTGACTGTTTTGCACCTAAGAACTTCTTGGCTATCCTGCTCTAGGGATCACTACTAGCTAACTCTGATGATCTTCCAAAGCTCAGCCTGTGCTTGATGCTTGGAGGTCATCATCCAGCTACAAACCCAGACTGTGTGCCTCTCAGGGACCCTTGGTGTCAGGATGGGAGTCCAGGAGCCACCTGGCTGCTGTTACAGTTAAAGGAAGGGCATGTAAGGCTGAATCACAGGCTTCTGTGCATAGCAGGTGTATTAGTCTGTTTTCATGCTGCTGATAAAGACATACCTGAGACTAGGCAATTTACAAAAGAAAGGTTTAATTGGACTTACAGTTCCATGTCGCTGGGGAGGCCTCACAACCATGGCAGAAGGCTAGGAAGGAGGAACAAGTCATGTCTTACATGGATGGCAGCAGGCAAAGAGAGAACTTGTGCAGGGGGACTCCTCTTTTTAAAACCATCACATCTCATGAGACTTACTCACTATCATGAGAACAGCAGGGGAAAGACTTGCTCCCATGATTCAATTACCTCCCACCGGGTCCCTCCCACAACACATGGGAATTCAAGATGAGATTTGGGTGGGGACAGAGCCAAACCATACCAGCAGGAGGTGGTGAGGAGCTGGGGCTGGGGGCTGCCCTGAGAGCTGGGAGAATCCGTTGCCAGGTCTAGTCTGGTGAAAATCGGCTGTGTGACCTAGATCTCCTGCCTGTCTCAGGTTGTCTATCTGAATAGTGAACAGAAGGGGCTGGGATACTTTCAAGCAAACACATCTTTGATTCTCTGAACTGGGGAAAGAGGCCACATTCTATAGCCTCTGCATTCTTTTTTATGTATCTACCTTAGGAAAGGGGGACATCACTGTGTCCTGGATGGAAAATGCTACTCAGAGGTCTGCCGTAGGACAGAGCAGAGAACTGGAAATATGTCTTTCCTGGCTCCTGCGCATCCAAAGTGGCTAGGATGGGGTGGGCTTTTCTTAGCTGTTGGTGCTCACACCATGCTGGGCACAGGGTTTGTCAGATACCATGGAGCATCCTCCTGGCCTCTGCCCAACAGCAGCTGCTCCCCCACCCTGGGACCCAAAGAGGGACAAGAAAACCCTCTTTATCTGGACAGACAGTACAAAGCCCCGTTGCCATAGCAGCAACAACCATTTCCTCCAGCTCTGATCCGGGGCAGAAGCTCAGCTGGGCCTGGGCCCAGGCCCGGAGAGGCCAGGAGCAGAGGTCAACCTTGGATGTGGGAGGTCTGAGTCACTGAAGCCCCAGCAATGCACCAACAGAGGAACAGAAGCTGGCAGTCACCAAGGCTGCCTTCCTTGTCATCATTCAAAGCCGGGCTGGGGGGCAGCCAGGGGCTATGGACTGGGCCAGGGCTTGGGACCCCAGTGGCTGAAGCAGGGCTGCCCAGATGTTTAAACCTTTCATAACCTGGATGGCACAGGAGTCTGGCCTTGCAGGGGGTTATGGAGCCCTGGAGGAACTGGTGGGGAGGAAGGAGCCAAATTACCTGAGCAGGCCCTGAAATATTAGTGGTGCCAAAGAGTTTAGAAACTCCTAAATTTGTGAAAAGGAGGAGCCCAACAGCATCTCCCTGCCAGCTGGTCTCTCTCCTTTATCTGTTGAGCCCTACGGGGAATGGGACGTGGCGGAGGAAGGTTGGAAGGACTAAGGGTGATTTCCAGGGCTTCCAGGAACTGAAATGGGCTTAATGGAAGGGTCAAGACTCAGCACCTGGCTTTTCCCCATCAGGGAACAGAGGTGCTCCAGGCTGTGAAGTCACGGATGGAATTCAGTCTTACTTCTGCCAAATGCTGTTTGAAAGTGTCCAGAATGCTTGCCTCTGAGGCTCAGTGCCCTCCCATCTGTAAGATGGGAATGCTAATGCTTATCTCAGAATGTTTTGGGGAACATTAAATGAGATAATGCATGCAAAGTGCTAGAAACAATGTTGGCCACAGGAAGTACTCAATAAACAATGGTTACTAATAGTATTATTATTAGGCGGAACCAGATAAAAATGCCATTTTTGTAAGTCAGAAGTGATCACATATCAGCAATTTCATCTGGTCCAACCTGATATTGATGGGTGTGATGACCCCTGCATTGGGCTGGGGCTATGGTGTGGCGTTGAGAGCTCAGGCTCCGGAGTCATACTGCTTGGCCCCAGTCCCAGTTCCACAACTCACTCTCTTGGGTGACCTTGAGCTAGTCATTCACCCTGTTTATACACCTATTTTCTCCTCTGTAAAACAGGAATATGGATGTGTTGTTGTGTGGATCACATAGGTGAAGCACTTAGAAGGATACCTGGCACAGAGCTGGTGCCAAGTGAATGTTTGCTAAATGGATAAATGTGGTCAGCTGGGAGGGGATGATTCTTATTCCATTTACAAGGGAGGAGATAAGGAATTTGCCCAGGTCACACACCTGGGGATGGTATAGCCCTGAGACCAGTGAGTGCTTTTGCTGTTGCTCTGCCTACTTGTACCCTGCAGCCTCCTGCCCTGTCCAGCCCAGTCTATATCTCCATTCTGATGATGGTCCAGCTGTCTTTCCAGCCAGCTGGTCAGCTAGTCAGACCTACTTGACTCACCTATCAGTTCTCCCATGTACGTACGCATCTCCTTTCCTTCCTCCATGTTTCATAAAACTAACTTCTGTTGGATGTTTGAACTTGGTTGAGATGATCTAGAAACCTAGAAATATCTCTTAAAAGTCAAATTTGGCCAGGCGCGGTGGCTCACCCCTGTAATCCCAGCACTTTGGGAGGCCAAGTCGGGTGGATCACGAGGTCAGGAGATCGAGACCATCCTGGCTAACATGGTGAAACCCCGTCTATACTAAAAATACAAAAAAATTAGCTGGGCGTGGTGGCGCATGCCTGTAGTCCCAGCTACTCGGGAGGCTGAGGCAGGAGAATGGTGTGAACCCAGGAGGCAGAGCTTGCAGTGAGCCGAGATTGCACCACTGCACTCCAACCTGGGCGACAGAGCAAGACTCCGTCTCAAAAAAATAAAAAATAAAAAATAAAAGTCAGGTTTATTGGCTTAGTTCTCCCAAGGGATACAGTTGGGTGAATTGTGTCTGTCTCATACATATATGTATCGATGTAGCCACCACTATAGACAAGAGGCAGAACATTTCCAGCAACCCCCCAAATTCCCTTGAGCCCCTTTGTAGTCACTCACTTCCCTTATCCCCAGACCCTCAGTAGCTACTGATCTGTTTTTTTCCTTACAGTTTTTCCTTCCCCAGAATGTAGTATAAATTAAATAAAAACAATATGTAGCCTCTTGAATCCGGCTTCTTTCACTGGGGTTAATGCATTGGAGATTCACCCTTGGGGATTACATGTAACAGCCGCAGGTTTATTTTTTATTGCTAAATAGTATCCCATCTTATGGATGTACCATCGTTTATCCATTCACTCATTGAAGGACACCTGAATTGTTTCCATTTTTTGGCAATTATGAGCAAAGCTGCTATAAACATTTGTGTAGAGATGTTTTTGAGTGAACATGTTTTCATTTTTCCTGAGTAAATATACATAGGAGTGAGATTGCTGGTTCATAAGGAAAATGATGTTTAAATTTATAAGAAAGTCCCAAACTGTTTTCCAAACTATACCATTTTGCATTCCATCAGTAATGCATGAGAATTCCAATTGCTCTGTATCCTTGTCAGCACTTGGTACTGCTTATTTTAAAAAACTTTTCAGCCATTCCAATGGGTGTGTGACGGTATTTCCTTGTGGTTTTAGTTTACATTTCCCTAGTGACTAATAATGTTGAACATCTTTTTATATGTTGTTGTTGTTGTTGTTGTTTTTGGCATCTATATATTATTCGGAGAAGTGTCTGTTCAAAACTGTTACCCATTTTTAAGTTGTTTTCTTTTTTTATTACTGAGTTTTAAGAATTCTTTACATATTCTTTATCAGATGTCTGCTTTGCAAATATTTTTCTCTCCATCTATGGTTTCCCTCTTCATTCTTAGCAGTGTCTTTCAAATTTTATTGAAGTTCAGTTATGAATTTTTTCTTTTATGGATCATATTTTTAGTTTCATGTCTATGAAAGCTTTTCCTAGTCCAAAGCTCCCCCACCCTTCTTATTCTCTAAAAGTTTTATGAGGCCTATGATCTATTTTGTGTTAATTTTTTTTTCTGGACAGTGTTTCACTCTTGTTGCCCACACTGGAGTGCAATGGCACCATCTTGGCTCACCGCAACTTCCACCTTGTGGGTTCAAGCGATTCTCCTGCTTCAGCCTCCTGAGTAGCTGAGATTACAGGCATGTGCTACCACACCCGGCTGATTTTGTATTTTTAGTAGAGACGGCATTTCTCCATGTTGGTCAGGCTGGTCTCGAACTCCTGACCTCAGGTGATCCGCCTGCTTCGGCCTCCCAAAGTGCTAGGATGACAGGCATGAGCCACCACGCCTGGCCATTTTGTGTTAATTTTTATGTATGGTACATGGTGTGGATCAATTTTATTTTTAAACTTTCTTTTCTATTTTTTGCATATTTATGTACAATTATTCCAGAACTATTGTTTAAACGACTGTTCTTTTGTCATTGAATTGCCTTCTCACCTTTGTCAAAAATCAATTAACCATGTATATAGGAGTCTATTGCTGGACACTGTTCTATTCTATTGATCTCTCTTTTTGCCAACACCACATCTTGATTACTCTTGCTTTATAGTAAGTCTTAACGTCAGGTAGTGTGATTTCTCTGACTTTGTTCTTCTTTTTCAAAGTTGTTTTGGCTATTATAATTTCTTTGTTTTTCCATACAAAGTTTAGGATCTGCTTGTTGATTTCTACAAAATTTTCTTCTGGGATTTTGATAGGCATTGAACTGAATCAATAGATCAGTTTGGGGAGAACTGACATCTTAACAGTATTCTTCCAATCCATGTACACAATATGTCTTTCAACTTCTTTCAGTTATATTTGAATTCTTTAATCAGTTTTGGTAGTTTTTTACGTATATATTTTGCTAGATTTATAATAACATTTTAAGTTTTTTGGTGTTATTATAAGTAATACCTTTAAGTTTCTAATTTCCAGTTGTTCATTGCTTGTATCTAGAACAAGAATTGATTTTTATATGTGACTTTGTATAAGTACCACATGCTAACTGATTGTGCCATTTAATTTTTGTATATGACTTTGTATACTATGACCTTGCTAATCTTATCTGTTTTAATAGCTTTTGTAAAGATTATTTGTAGACAATCTACAATTTGCATGATTTTCTATGTAGACCACCATGTCATCCACAAATAGAGACAGATATATTTCTTCATTTCTATCTGTGTGCTTTTTATTTCTTTTTCTTGCCTAATTGCATTGGCTAGGATCTCCAATACAATGTTGAATAGAAATCATTTCTTGATTCCTTTTTCTTTTGCCCCCAACTCCATCCAACCTATCAACCTTTGTGATTAAACCTACAAAATATATCAAGAATATGAGCACTTCTTACCATTTTGTCTGTCACAGCTTTCTTGCCTGGATACAACCACCACCTCCTCAATGGTGTCCCTGATTCTGCTTTTGTCCCCTGTGGCCCCTCCTCCACAGAGCAGCTGAAGTCATCTTTCTATTTAAATTAGAACAAAATCCAAACATCTAACCACAGTCTAGGGGGTTCTATAAGAAGTGGCCCCTGCTCTCCTCTCTGACCTCATTCCCCTCACTTGCTGCACCTCAGCCATAGTAGTCTTCCTGCTGTTTCTCAAACATGCTGAAGTTCAGCATTCCCACCTTGGGGCCTTTACACTTGCATTTCCTCTGTCTAACTGTCTGCTTCCTTTGTCTTGTTCCAGTTTTACCTCACATGTCACCCTGTCATGGAGGCCTTCCCTGACCCTCTGAGCTAATGCAGACCTGCCAGTTACCCTCTAACTTGTTATTCCTATTTTATATTCTTCACAGCACTTCCTGGTGCCTAAAATTATCTTTTTTACTTATGTATTTATTTTCTATCTCTCCCCACGAGTAGTCAGGGATTCTATCTATGTTGTGTACTAGATTAATGTGTAGTATATGGTAGTTTCTCATTAAGTGTTTGCTAACCAACTTCTTCCTGCCCTATGATCGTATGAGTCTGAGTGAGATACTCTTCCCAAAGTATCCCTCAACAACCAGACGAGCTTCTTGAAAGAGTCCTTGTTTCATACCTGTTTGTTTGCTTATTTATGTATTTATTTAGAGATACAGTCTCGCTCTGTCACCCAGGCTTGAGTGCAGTGGTGCAGTCTCAGCTCGTTGCAACTGCCCGCCTCCTGAGCTCAAGCAGTCCCCATACCTCAGCCTCCTGAATAGCTGGGACTACAGGTGCATGCCATCATGTCTGGCTAATTTTTGTATTTTTGTAGACACAAGGTTTCACCATGTTGCCCAAGTTGGTCTCAAACTCCTGGGCTCAAGCAATCTGCCCACCTCAGCCTCCCAAAGTGCTGGGATTACAGGTGTGAGCCACCATGCCCAGCCTTGTTTCATACCTGTTGAGTCTACCTCTTGAATTCCCAGGAACTCCCTACCTGACTACAATTTGCCTTTGGCTGCCATCACTTTTCTTTGGTAAAGGCAATCAATGTTCTCCTTATGACAAGCCCGGTTTTATACTACTGGAGATAGCAATTGCTTTTGCTGCAATTGACTCCTTCTGTCATAAACTTGTTTCCCCCTTGGCTTCTGGACATCGCATATTACTAGTTCTTCTATCTGTCTGACTGTTCCTTTTTACTGTCATTGGTAGACTATTGTTTCTTTTTCCTATCCATAAATGTTAGTGCTCCCTAGAGTTATAGCATGGGCTCACTACCTGCTCATCTAACCTCTTGGCTTCCTGCAAAGCCCTTGATTCAACAACTATTTATGGGGCTCCCAGGAGATGCCAGACATTGAATTGGGTACTGGGAAAATATTGATGAGAAAGACAAGCACGGTACTTGTCCTCTTGGAGCTCACAGATTAGTAAACATCATGAGGCCGGAGACTTTGTTTTGTTCATTGCTGCTTCCTCAGCAACTAAAATAATGGTAAACATGCAACACATATGTGTTAAGTCAGTGCATAAATGGTATAAAGAGACAATAAGCAAGAACTATACAAATATATATAATTATGATAATAAGTGCTATACTGGGGAAGTACCAGGTAGTACTAGGAGTGTGTAAGTCCAGAAAACCTAGTCTAGTTGGGGTTGGGAGACTTGGGAGACCTCAGTACAGAGACATATAGGCTTAGCCATGAGGATGGGAGGAGTTGGTAAGTCCAGCGCGACTGCTGGCAGATTAGAAGATCTGGTGGCGAGATGTGGAGGACATTCCCAATCTGATGCTTTCTGTCTCTTTGTGAACTATAAGAAAAGTTTATCTGCTGAGAGTGAGGGGGTGAAGGGGACATTAGAGGTTTGAAAACAGAGGCAAATGTATAGAGTGTGGGACGTGTAGGGTGAGTTCAAATGTAGTAGATTTTCTTTTGGAGGTAGGTGATCATTGATTCATGATGGCTTCAGGTTGCCCAGTGGTGTGATTTCTTCAACACATTCAGCCTCTTGGGTCAAGCTGCTGAGAAGACGGATAGTTGGTTTTATTCAAAGCTGGGCTCTTATGATGTCAGTAATGGCCAGAGGGATGGGCAAGAGAGTTGGGGACATTTGAACGGAGGGACTATAATGACAAACTCTGAAATCTAAGCCAGATAAGGAGGAAAATTAAGTCATGGGGGAGAGTGACAGGCAAAAAAAAAAAAAAAAAAAAAAACTTGCTTTGGCTGGGGACAGCTCAGTTACAAATACTCACTTCCCTATATGCCCTTTCACTCAGAGTGGCCATTAGGAACAGTTCTGGCCAATGAGATGTCAGCAGAAGTTGCTGAGTGAGACTTCTATGAAGGCTGTTGAAAGTGGAAAAACTCATCTGGGATGTGCCTTCTTCTCTTTGTCCTTCTTTATCGCTAGAATGAGATGAAGGGGCTAGAGTGGAGCCTTCCATCTTGAGATCATGCATGTATCTGGTAACCCTTGCCGTAATAACGCTGCCAAACAAACTACCCCCCAAACGCAGCTTCCCATGAATCTCCTGGTTGCCTGTGATTCGGCTGCTCTAGGCCAGGCTGGGTTGTTCAGCTTTGCTTCAGGCTGTGGCAGCTGGGGAGGTGCTGCTCCAGGCATCTCTCATCCTCCTTCTGGGGCATGTTCTTCTCATGGGCAATGGAGGAAGCCCAAGAGAACAAGTGGAAATGCAGAGTCTCTTAAGGCCTAAGCCTAGAACTGGTACACAGTCATTTTCTGCCTCATCTTGTTGGTCAAAGCATGGCGAAACCCAAAGCCAGGAGGTGGAGACATTTATTTGTCTCCTTTAGTGGGAAGAACTGCAAAGTCAAATGATAACAGATGGGCAGCAGGGAGGGGTCAAGCACTGGGGTTGGTAATGCAAGGGACTACAAGAAGCACGAAAGCCACCCTCAAAACACAGCAGACCAGGAAGCCAGCGGAGTTTGATGACTTCCTTAAGCTGCTGTCGTCTGTCTATATCTTGTTAGGGGAGGAAAAATAGGTTCCTTTTTGGTTAAGCTGACTTAGTTGGATTTCCAGTAAAAGACAATTTCAAAGCTACACAGGGAGTTTAAGGATAGAAAGTGTAGGCTGAGTGTGGTGGCTCATGCCTGTAATCCTAGCACTTTGGGAGGCCAAGGCAGGTGGATTGCTTGAGCTCAGGAGTTTGAGACCAGCCTGGGCAACATGGTGAAACTCCATCTCTACTAAAAATACAAAAAATTAGCCAGGTGTGGTGGCACGAGCTTGTAATCCCAGCTACTGGGGAGGCTGAGGCACAAGAATCACTTGAACCCAGGAAGTGGAGGCTGCAGTGAGCAGAGATCACTCCACTGTACTCCAGCCTGGGTGACAGAGCAAGACTCTGTCTCCAAAAAAAAAAAAAAAAAAAAAAGGGGGGGGTATAGAAAGTGTAAGGACCAATGACTTGGAGTCTTAGGAACTTGTAGAAAGAAACTAGAATAATAGATTTTGATTGGAGAGTGGGTATTTTTAATTGATTATTTCAGAGGTGGGGAAGTTTCTGGGGGTGACAAGGTACGAAAAATGTAGAGGAGAGGAAAGGGGAGATGGAGAGGCCAAGAACTAAAAAGCCAGGGTGTGGAAGGCTTCCCCATCTGGAAGTCAGGACATCAAGAAGGAGTTGGGGTAGTTGGCCACTCTAAGTGAAAGGGCATGTAAGGAAGTCAATATTTTTAACTGAGCTGCCCCAAGCCGAACTGGGCTGCAGGATCTTAAGCCTTCAGTGAGTGAGGAAGAGTGGTCAGTAGAGAATTGGAACAAGAGAGGGCCGTATAACCAGATGGCAAGGGTCGCACAGGAGCTCTGGGTTTTATAAGAAGATGGGAGTAGAAATGAGGATGCTCAAATTCCTATTTCTAGTTCAGGCTGCTCCGTAAGATTTAGACTCATACAACAACCCTCCAGCCTTTTTCATTTGCTGACTCCAAGTCAACAGATTCAAGACCGGGGTCACCATATTCCTCTGCAAACCCAATTCTCCTCCTGGTCACCTCTCTCAGTGAGTGACCTGCCACCACTCACCCAATCCAGAATCCTGTGGATTGTCCCAGAGTCTTCCTTCTCCCTCATCCTATCATTAAATCTTACTAGTCTCATATCACAGATCTGTTTCAATCCACCCCCTCTCCTCCTTCATATCCAATTCAGGCCTCCACCGTCTCCCGTCCATCCCTGTGCCTCATCCTCCTAGCTGCACACTCTGCCTCCAGTGTCTCCCCATGAAATCCATTATCTAACACCTCAGGGAACCACACCAGTGTTGGCTGAATCTGAAATCACAGTCTGCACAAGAAGCCAATCATGAAATACCTGCTTTGTCTCTCAGATGCATGAATATGAAAATGGATTTCTGAAGCTGGCAGGGTGGGGGAGCTGGCCCAGGGGATAAGAATCAGGCTGCCCCAAGAGAAGAGGTGGAGGTTCCCCAAGGGGAGCCCAGCTGCAAAGTGGGGTCCTCTTATCCACATCAACGGGATGGGCTTGGTTGTTGTGGGGACCAAAACATCCTTGCATCGCTCTCTGCCTCTGAGGTCCCTCAGGTGCCTGAGTGTGGGACAGCGAGCGGTTGTGGATGTCGAGCAGAGAGGCCTGGGGGGAGGGAAGGCCAGATGGCAAGATGGGGGCGGTGAGAACACCAAGGAGGGGTTGGCAGCAGCTGGGAAGATCAATGCCTTTCCCCTCTCCGTGTTTGCCTGTGTTGCTATCCCTGCTCAGATGAAAGAAATTCAAATGGTTATTGATTCTCGCTGAGGGGAGAATGTGGGGATCGGGTCTGGCTCCGTTACAGCTGCCCCAGCACCAGCCCGGCTAGTCCCAGTCCCAGCCTCAGTTGGAATTGAAGCCTCGCCACCCTGGATCCTGCCTCCACCTTAGTCCCAGCCCCAGCCCAGCACCTACCCTAGCCTTTAACTTGGGGCAGCAATGCACACAGTTAAAAATACTCACTTCCCTACAACTGCCTTCATTTGTAGGGCCAAGGAGATATAAACAGAAGTTGCTGAGATATAAGCCCAGACCCCCACCTCAATCCCAGGGGACGAGGAAAGGCAGACCAGAGGTCGGAAAACTATGGGGCGTCAGGTCCAATTCCAGCCTGCAGCCCGGGCCCTTGAGCTAAAAATGATTTTTACATTTTTCAAAGGGTTGTAAAGAAAAACAAGAGTATGGAACAGAGAACATACAGGACTAAAAACGCCTAAAATATTTCCTACCTGGGCTTTTACCGCCAAAGTTTGCCAAGCTCTGGTTGAGACTGTTTTCCTGCTTGTGACTTTGCAGGTGAATTTCCCCCAAGTCTAAGCATTAAGAGCTAAAAGCCCAGGGTGGCCTCCCACAGGTCTCAGCCAGAGTCTATAATCTCAGCCCCCTGAGGGGCAGGGAAGGGAGCCCATCTTCTCAGTGAGAGCCAAGGCTGCTTTGCAAGGGCTGTTTTGGTCTCTGTGTCCACCCCCATCCCCAAAGCCTCCTCATCCTCTGGGCTGGGACATCCCAAGATGCTTCGACCATGGTGGCCAGTGAAGGAATGGGCAACTTCCCAGAAGCTGTTCTGGGGAGCAATGACCCCAGGGTACTGCGTCAGGATGTTGTGTGTCCCCTAGGGCAGGCTCCTGAGGACTGGGAGTTGTCTTGACCTCTCAGCGGCCTTCAGCTTTGTTAGCATGGGTTGCCAAACTCCCGAGGCCGTAGGGGTCAGGACAAGGGCTGTGTTCCAGATGCTGTCATCACTGCTGGGTGACCTTGGGCCAACTACTAAACCCCTCTAAACTTCAGCCCTCTGTGCTTTAAAATGGAGATGACCATAACTACCTGTGAGAGTCATTTTAAGTATTTTTTTCTTGGTTCTGTATCAGTATTTAGTAAAGAGATATACCAAAAAAAAAAAAAAAAAAAAAAAAAAAGCATGCTATCTGAATTTCTGGCTTGCAAAGAACAGACATCACAATGTAAACCCAGAGAGCCCTGGATGGGAACTGGAAGACCCAAGCTCTCATTCCTTCTCTTTGAGCTGTGGCACCTTGGGCAGGGCCTTGCCAAAGTTTGCAGAGTGGACGTGAAGATGATATAATTTGTCAATACAAGGAAAGGTTTGATGGTGACGGTTACACTTGGAAGATATGTTTCTGGAACAGCACCCTTCTTGGGGCCAGCTGCTTTTCCAGAAAAGGCCAGAGCTGGGGACTGAGTTGCTGAGCTCACAAGTGACCCCACCCCTGCCGGATGTGCAGGAATCAGCAGGAAGATGCATCGATCGCCATTGGCAGCTGGGCCACGTGGACTGCCTATTGATTTGAGGCCTGCCTCTCCCTACCTCTTCCCCAGCCCTCCCCCAGCGGGCCTCATGAGTCCCTCTTGCCTTCTGCCTCTGACAGCACAGGGGAGGGGAGGGGAGAGCAGGGGGAGGCCAAGAAATCTCCCTGATCCCTCGACAAAGAGATCTGGCAGCTGCATGTAATTCGGGACTCTGATAATCCCTAATCCCTAATCCGCCTCCATTTGCACATAAATGCAGTGCCTGGCTTCTGACCCCAGGGGTCCTGGGAGCCGTTTGGGGGGTTTGTCCCCCTTTATTTGCTTTGTGAGTCTTCATTGGCTGAAAATCCCCTGGCCTCCTGGTCACTGAAAGGAAGAGGATTCCCCAAAGACATCACTTTCTCAGGATGGAAGAGAATTCCTGCAAATGGGACTTTTAATATTCAGAGCTAGATCCCCAGAAAGGCTGAGGAGGTGCCCACAGGCTTGGCACTCCTGGCTGTGCTGTGGCTGCAGGGCCTTGGTTTGCTGGACCCTTGGAGCTGGCATAGGAGGTGGGAGGTGATGGTCCTGGGGAAACCCCAAACGGGGACACAAAACAGGGCATCTCAGAAATCAGAGCTGGAGAACTTGCAGCTGGGAAGAGACAGGCCCTTGACGGTCTAACTTCGGGCAGAAATAGCTGTAGACACAGAGGTACTTGTCTATGTCTCTAACATTATTGAGAACTTACTATGTGCCTGGGACAGTACTCAGTATTTTACAAACACTGTCATATTATGCCATAACAACTTCTCAAAATTAAGCAGCTAAGATTATCCCTGTTTAACCAGTAACAAAGCTGAAGCTCAGAAAGCTAAAGTGAGGTGCTCGGTATCAGTGTTAGTAAGTGTCTGCGTGGCTTTGTATCACTCTGGAAGCAGAGTGCTTCCACACTGTTGACTGCCTTGATATCTCCCATTGCTGGCCCATCCCTTAGACAAGGGAGGACTTCCAGGTCCTTCGAGTAGAGTGATTAAGAACTTAAGCTCTGGAGTCAGATTGCTTGGGTTCGAATCTTAGCTCCACAACTTGACATGGCCAATATGGCAGAGGGTGAAGGGCAGGGCTGCCCCCCTGCCATAGACTTGGGCAAGAGATGCCCCTGCCCTGAGCTCTGGGCTTTAAAAGGAGCTTCTCTAGCCCTCCTCAGCCCCACTCCTCTTCTGGATAAGCAACTCTTGCATCTAGGGGTTGCTCTCACCTGGAACCCTACTTTTCATTCTAGATGAAGATCATATTCCAGGTACCTGGAATACCAGGGTTTCCTGTCCCAGTGCCCCTGAACCCACTTCCAGGGCCTCTGTGGGCCTCTTCCCTGGGTCCATCCTCCTAGAGCAGGCCACAGTGCGAGGCGTGGGCAAAAGGCAGCTGCTTGCAGGTGTTGGGGTATTTTGTGAACAGAGAAGGGCTCTGGCCAGTGTGGAGCTTTGCAGAATCCAAGGATCTAAATGCAAGTCTGGACTTGCAAGTCCTTGTGAATTTATATTTGTCAAAGTCTTTCATTCAACATATTTAGAATTTTTAATTGTTTAGACTTGTGGTACATGGTCCTCCATTTGTGTCCTGCAAGTGTTCAGGGTGGTCTAGCCCTAGCACAGGGTCTGCTTGCCTGGGTTCAGATTCTGGGTTCTGCTCCTTTGTAGCTATGTGACCTTGAGTAAGTTACTAAATTCCTCTGTGATTCCTATTTTTTCATCTGTAAAATAACAGCTCATAGGATTGTTGCAAGAATTAGGAAAAATTATACATGCAAAGTGCTTAGAAATACTGCCTGGAATGTAGTAAACGCTGGCTTGGATTTAGCTCTTATTCCCATTTCAGAAGGGCTGCATTTAGAGAGATTCAGTTTAACTTCCTGTGACCCTGGGTGGCAGAGCAAAGGTCAGGAGGGACACTAAGCATTGCAGTTGAGCTCTGGGCCTTTACCACTCTCTCGCTGTATAACTTATGCAAATTTCTTATCCTCTCTGCGTCTTTTTCCCTGTGTCTAAAATGGGGATAATCTGAACCACCTCAAACTGGAGAGTAGTTAAGAATTAAATAAAAAATATCTGGCAATGCGTGGCACAGTATCCAGCACATGGTAGTTTACAATTGCTCAGTTTTACTCTCATAACATCCCCATTTCTTCTCATTATCTTTCCTACCTTCTGTTTTCACTCCTCACTCAGATTCATAGTCATTTGCTTCTGAATGAATAGATTAAATATCTGTACAATCACAGGGGATGGGTTTTCCAGATTGGGAAACTGAGGCTTGGGGAGGGAAGTGATTTTCCCACGGTTACACAGTGATGGGTGGAAGAGCCGGGGCTTGGGCCGTGAGTCATGGAGTAGAGTCCTGGAGAGGGGACAGTACGACACCGTGAGTGGTGCTCATATATGAGCCATGCAGTGGTCACAGATCTCCAGGGGGTGGGGAGCCTTAGAGATCCCCCTTTTACAATTGGCAAGACAGATCCTCAAGGCCATGAAGGGACCTTGTGCAGTTGACCCCTCTCTCTGCTATCAGTTTCAGGCTTTTGAAAGCCTGGTAAGTAAGCTTTCGTAAAACCAGGCCTGGCTTTGAGCAGGTTCATCTTCAGTTTCTCGCTGCCTCCCAACGGATGGGGCAGAAGAGCGACGAGAAGATTGGTACCTTCCCTCCCTGGATTGGACACCGGTTTCTAGAATTCCCTGAGGGGCTAACCTCTAATTTCAATATGTTAATGTGTGGAATCTAATGGCACATTTATTGCTTATGGAGATGCTAGTTATTTACATGGGAAACTGATTTATCTATTAGATAATTAGTAAACTTCAATAATTGCAAAAACCTTTTAGCAATCAGTTGACATTTAATTAACATACAATAACTGTCTTATTAAATCTACATTAAATGCCTATTGGAGTTAATTAAAACTCATACCTACAACTCCACATTCTTTGGGAATCCTCATTAAAGCCCACCAGTAAGAATGTAGATGAAAAAATTCCCTGGAAAGGGGTTTCTAATGGAGTTGCTTGAATGGTACTGAAACATTTATTCAGTGCCTTCTATGTACTTTAAACAATGGAAAGCTAGACAGAAATATGCCTTGCCTTCAAGGAACTTAGAACCTGGTAGTGGTGGGGTGTGGGGATCAATGGAATGGTGGTCAGGCATGGTGGCTCATGCCTCTAATCTCAGCATTTTGGGAAGCTAAGGTGGGAGGACTGCTTGAGCCTAAGAGTTTGAGACCAGCCTGGGCAGCACAGTCAGACCTGGTATCTACAAAAATAAATAAATAAATAAATAAATAAATAAATAAGCCAGGTGTGGTGGCGCCTCCCTGTAGCCTCAGCTACTCCAGAGGCTGAGGTGGGAGAATCACTTGAGCCTGGGAGGTTGAGGCTGCAGTGAGTCCTGTTTGTGCCACTGCTCTCCAGCCTGGGCAACAGAGCAAGATCTTGTCTCAAAACAAACAAACAAAAACAAATAGTCACAGAGACAAATGTTGCTCTCCTACTCCAACAGGTACAATGAAGGGCAGGTAGGTGCTGGGAAAAGCCACAGTATGAGGATTTGCAATTGGAATTGTGTTTAGAGGGAGTCATTCTGGCTGAGGTGAGGAGAATGAGCAGGAGGCAGATCCAAGTGCATATGTATAAACCAGGAGGCTGTTGCAGTGGTCCAAGTGAAAGAAGCTGGTAGCTTGAACTGAATGGTAGATAGTAATGAGGATAGAAAGACGTTGAAACATTCAACCCTCAATAGGAGCTAGGGGAAGGGAGAGCTAGAGGAGGACTTCTAAGTGTCTGGCTATTGGAATTGGGGGCTGATGCCATTCATTGGACGTAGAAACACTGAGAGAGGTCCACATTTGGGATGAAGACCAGGAGGTCAGTTTTGGATATGTTGAGGAAGAGATATCCAAAAAGAGATGTGAAATAAATATATAGGCTTTGAACTCAGAAGAGAAGTTAGGGCCAACAATTTCACAAATCCTAATGCTTGGGTTTGACTCTGAAGATTCTGATTTCTTTGGTCTGGTCTGCAGGAGATTCTAAAAGTCGAGTTTGAGAATGAATGGTCTAGAAGTAGAAAGTGTAAGAAAGCAGAAACCTAGAACAGAGACTTCATTGCCCACTGCCTTAATCCAGGCATCCCCAGCTGGTGCGGTTCACCTCTTCCAGATCCCATCCTTATCTGCCCATAGATATAAGCTCATATTATCCTTGATCCTGTAAGTAGTAATCATATCACCCTTGTTCCTGAGTGCTTCCTGTGTGCCCAATGCTTTGCTTCTGTTCTCCCATCTGATCTTCATAATGAAATGATGAGCTATGTATTATCTCCATTTTAAAGAACAAGGAAGCAGAGGCTCTGAGAGGGGCAGTGTCTTGCTCACGTCACACAGGTGGTATTAAGTGGAAACTAGGATTTGAACCCAAAGCCATTGGACTCCAAAGTCCTCATGCTCTAGCACTATTATATACAGCCAGTCTCACTATAAAGCCAGAGAGAGGCTCTGTAACATGCCTGTCTTATAGGTTATAAGTCAAACGAAGGATATGGATGGATTTGTGAATGCCAGCTATTTCCTTGCTCTTTGCTGGAGAAAGAGATGAGGTGTTTGCTGGTGGACTTCTCCTTTCCCTGTGAACTGCCCTTTGGTTTGGAGCCATAAAAAGCTAACAGAGAAGAAAGAATTAATATCTACTGAGTAGGCCAAGAAATTATTGTAAAGAACCCCAAACTCATATGTATATTATCGAAACTTGTCCATAAGCCAGCCCTTCTCAAAACATATTCCAGAATTAAATGTTGGTACTTAGAAAAAAAAAAAAAAGACTTATGTGGTCAAAGAAGTTTAGAAACTGCTAGACTCCTCAGATCTTTTATTATTCTACTATAAAGCTTCAAGATGGGCAGAGAGCTTATAATTTCCTAACCTTATTTAACCAAAAAATGCTGCTTTTCTCTCCCCAGCCTTATTATTTTTTAAATTATTTTTTTATTTTTTTGAGACAGAGTTTCATTCTGTTGGTCCGGCTGGAGTGCAGTGGCATGATCATGGCTCACTGCAGCCTCGACTTCCCAGGCTCAGGTGATCCTCCCACCCCAGCCTCCCGAGTAACTGGGACTAGGGCACGTGCCACCATGCCCAGCTAATTTCTGTATTTTTTCTGGTGGAGATGGGGTCTCGCCATATTGCTCAGGCTTGCCTCCTACTCTTGGGGCTTAAGCGATCCGCCCACTTTGGACTTCCAAGGTGCTGAGATTAGAGGTGTGACCCACTACACCGTGCCTTCCTTTTTCTTTTTTTAACAGAGTATCCAGGGCAGCATACCTCAAAGTGTGAGTTCCCAAAGCACTGACATCAGAACCACCTAAGAGGCTTCCTAAAAATGAGACTCTTGGTCTCCACTCTGACTCTCATATCCTGCATCAGAACTTCCCCCAACGGGGCCTGAAAGATCTGCGATTTGATCAAGCCCACCAGATGATTCTAATGCCCACTAAGCTTTCATAACTACTCTCCTAGAAGGGCTCATGTTCTGAGAAACACTTTGGGAAATGCTGCTGTGGGCTGAATAAATTTATCTTTAATTTCCATGAATTGCTATTTTAAAATGGATATAGATGCTGTAATAAACAAAATACAAATTTACTTGAACTGTTGCCAAATCCACAGTTGTTTTTGTTAAACGTTAATGTTCTTGATGGTGGTGGCAGGGGTGGGGGTGGGTACTAAAAATACAATTATCCTCCTGCATGGGGTCAGTGGAGCGTTTTGAAATTAACAAGGGGCTTTCAGGTCCCAGAATGTTGGCCTAGAGCATGCAGAAAAGACCTAACACAGAGGTTCTTGTCTGAGCTCTGTGCAGCCTGGGGATCTTAGGGGCACCTCAGAGACCATGGAGAGGGAAAGGATTTCTGACTATTTTGTTTCAACTGCAGCAGTTTTATTATGCTCCGTGCAAATTTTGTTTGGAGTCAGGGTTTAGCTGCTTTAGAAGGAAAAATAAAAAGTTTGAATTGACCACTGATGCAATTCCTTCAATTGTCAGAGGTGGGAGATGTGACCCAGAGAGGGAAAGACACTTCTTTATGGTCACCCAGTGGTCACCCAGAGGGCCAGTGGCAGGGCCAGGACAAGTTGGCCAGCAGTTGGCCCCAGATTGCTGGGATGAGTGTCGGGGCTGTTAACATGCGGCCCACGGCCAGCGCGGCCAAAGTCAGCTGTAAGTCAGAGCCGGCCGGGAAGCAGTCCGAGGAGAGCCCACGGCTTCCTCCTTGGGGCTCACCTCCCTCCCTGGCCTCGCCGTTCCTCTCCCCGTTGCCTTTTCTGAGCACCTAAGCATATGTATGAAGCGGAAATCAAACGCCTGCCTTGGACTTGACAGAACTGCTGAACTAAGAGCCATATAATGTCCTCTACTGAAGGACATCACCTTGTCAAGATAAAGCGTGGTAAACGCTCCACAGGAAGCCGGGCTTCCAGGGCGGGATCATGCATATTCATGGCGGCTCAGGCCTGCCCACTGCACCACCCCCAGGCTCCCCACCGGCCCGCTGCCCAGCCTGGGGAGCCCTGGGCAGAACGCTTGATCCGGAGCCGGACTGGGTTTTCCCACTGCTTCCCCGTCGCTGGGAACAGGCCCTGGTGGAGGCTTGTGTCCTGCCTTTATTGATTTCAAGCCCAAGTTTCCCTTCACCACCCTCCAGCTGGCTTTATGCCGCCCTCTCCAGCTTTGGGGACCCAGCAAACACACCCAGAAGACCCCTAATCATGGCGTTCAAGGCTCTTTGTGAGCCAGCCCTCACCTGTGGTCAATAGCATCCCCCTGGACTCTGCCACGAACCACCGGGAGCTTATTGTTTTATCTTGGCTTTCACCTCTAGACCCTTTTGCACTCCTGTGCTGTTGCTCAGCCAGCCCCCTGCCTGGGATCCCCTTTCCCCTTCTCTGTGTGGGGAACCTCCACTATCCTTTTAAAGTCCAGCTCGAACACCACCCCTCCCTGAAGCATTCCTTAGCCCCTTCATCCTCTTGGCAACCAGACACCATCCTCCAGCCTCATGCCCTTTAATTGCTCATTTATGTGTCTCTTTCCCTGCTCTCCACTGAGAGCTCCTTGAGGTCAGGGCAGCATCCCCAGCCCCCAGCCCAGGGCCTGGCTTGGAGTGGGACCCGTAAGGGTGAGCTGATGTCCTGATTACTATTCCTGTGTGTATCTGTCTGCTCAGGCTGCAGTAACACAGTACAACATACTGGTGGCTTAAACAACATCAATCTATTTCTCACAGTTCTGGAGGCTGGAAGTCGGAGATGGAGGTGTTGGCAGGGTTGGTTCCTTCTCAGGCCTCTGTCCTTGGCTTGTAGATGGCCACCTTCTCCCTGTGTCTCACAGGGTCTTCCCTCTGGATGTGTCTGTATCCAAATTTCCTCTTCTTTTGGGGATACCAGTCATGTTAGATTAGGTCCCACTCATACGACCTCATTTTACTTTAAGCACCTCTTTAAAGGCTCTATCTCCAAACACAGTCACCTTCTGAGGTATCGGGGGTCAGGACTTCAACATATAAATTTGAGGAGGGGGCATAACTCAGTGTCACACATAACACTGGGTAACGAGATTACCCCTCTCCCCCAATTTAGCAGGTTTTATCATGCAGGAGGTTTTATAATTCACATGAATTCTGTGGGTCGGGACATTGCAGGGATGTCTTGGCTCTGCCCCACGATGTCTGGAGCATCAGCTGGGAACATTCAAAGGCTGGGGCTGGAGTCCTCTGAAGGCTCATTTGCTCACAAGTCTCACATGTGGGCTGGGATGACACAGAGACTAGATTGCAGTTGAAATGCTTTTCCACGTGGCTTCACTTCCTCACAGCATGGTGGCCTCAGGGTAGCTGGGCTTCTTACTCAGTGGCTCAGGGCTCCACGAGCAAATGTTCTAGTGAACAAAGCAGGGCTGCATGAACTTAGTGACAGCATCTCTGTCATTCTCTGTTGGGTGAAGCCTTCCAGCTGTCTTTGTGCTGCTATAACAAAATGCCATAGACTGGGTCATTTAGAAAGAGCAGAAATTTATTTCTCACAGTTCTGGAGGCTGGGAAGTCCAAAATCAAGGTGCCAGTAGATTCCTTGTCTGGTGAGGATCCTATCTCTGCTTTCAAGATGTTGTCTTTTTTTAAACATTTTAATTTTTTGTGGGTGTATAGTAGCTGTATATATTTATGGGGTACATGAAATGTTTTGATACAGGAATGTAGCATGTAATAATCACATCATGGAAAATTGGGTAAGCATCCCCTCAAGCATTTATCCTTTGGTGTTACAAGCAATCCAATTATACTATTTTCATTACTTTAAACAGTATAATTAATTTATTATTGACTATAATCCCCCTGTTGTACTATCGAATACTAGGTCTTATTCATTCTTTTTATTTTTATTTTTTTAAACCCATTAGCCATCCCATCTGTCCTCTCACTACCCTTCCTAGCCTCTGGTAATCATCTTTCTATTCCCTATCTGCATGAGCTCAATTGTTTTGATTTTTCAATCCCACAGATAGGTTATAACATGCAGTGTGTGTCTTTCTGTGCCTGGCTTATTTCACTTAACATAATGACCTCCAGTTTCATCCATGTTGTTGCAGATGACAGAATCTCATTCTTTTTTTGTGGGTGAATAGTACTCCATTGTGTGTAAGTACTACATTTTCTTTATCCATTGATCTGTTGATAGGCATTTAGGTTGCTTCAAATCTTGACTATTCTGAACAATGCTGCAACATGGGAGTGCAGATATCTCTTCAATATACTGATTTCCTTTCTTTGGGGTATATACCCAGCAGTGGGATTGCTGGGTCATATGGAGCTCTAGTTTCAGTTTTTTGAAGAACCTCCAAACTGTTCTCCATAGTGGTTACACTAATTTACATTCCCACCAACAGTGTACAAGGGTTCCCTTTTCTCCACACCAAGATGGTGTCTTGAATGCCATATGCTCCAGAGGGAAGGAACACTGTATCCTCATATGGAGGAAGGCCAAAGGGCAAAAGGAACAAACTCCCCACTTTGAGCCCTTTAATAAGGGCACCTAATCACGTGGGAGAAAACTTCACAGCTTAAACATCTTTTAAAGGTCCCCCTCTCAATACTGTCACATTGGCAACACCTGAATTTTGGAGGTGACTCATTCAAACCATAGCACAAGCCCACAGAGATTCAAGAGGAAGGGAATTAGGCTCCATCCACTTTGTGCGCGAGTGCGCGCATGTGTGTGTGTGTGTGTGTGTGTGTGTGTGTGTGTGTGTGTGTGTGTACTACATGCACACACCACTATGTCCAGCTAATTTTTGTATTTTTTTGTGCAGATGGGATCTCACTATGTTGCTCAGGCTATGCTCAAACTGCTGGGCTGAAGCAATCCTCCCACCACAGCCTCCTAAAGCTCTGGGATTACAGATGTGAGCCACTGTGCCTGCCCTCCCTCCACATTTTGACAAAAGAGTAACAAGGTCATATTGGAGAAGAGCATGTGGGAGGTGAGACATGGTTGTGGCCATCTTTTTTGGGGAAATGCAATCTGCTATGATTGAGTTAAATAGAATTCAAAGGGACACCTTACAGTCATTACTATCAGACATGTTGGAATTGGCTGCAGTCAGGGAAAAACAATTTAGTTTCTCTTCTTTTCCTTGGAACACTATTTGGCATATATGCATATTTTGGGGCTCAGTGTCTTTCATCGTTATGTTTATGGTTATAATGACCACATCTCTCACCCATTAGCTGTGTGGCTTTTGAGGTCAGTAAGCTATTCTTCCCAGAGTGCTTGACATAGGGCCTGCGGCATGGTAAATACCCACAGTTTTTGAGTTTCCTGTGGGTTGAGCATTTAGAATCATCTGTTTGTTTAATCAGGACATATTTCTCCAGTACCTTCAGGGGTCCCAGTACTATGTTTAGGAACTTAGCCATCACTTGCACAGTAAACAGTATCTGTGGATTTTGTCATTCAACAAACACTGCCATTGTTCAGTCACTCAACAAACGCTGTTACGGCATCCACCCTGGGGAAAGAAGGGTCTCTTGGCAGAGGGGGCCGCTCTCCAGCTAATGCTGTGCTAAAGATGCATGGGGCAGAATTCTAATAGCATCGTGTGTTTCATTTTGCCCATTACAACGCCATTCTATTTTAAAGCTTGTCTTTCTAACTCTCCTATTTTTCTTCTAGACTGTGCTCCTGCTATATGGCTCCAGTTTCTCTAACCATTAGGAAGGTATTATAGTTACTGGAGAGTCATCTATCATTTTATGAGCCTCTTTCAAGGGAGGAAATAACAGGTTGTTTCAAGTGCGAGGCGATGGCTCACAAAGCCCTGCGGAACAGGCGTCCCGCTCCCAGGGGATCAGCCAAGCGGCGTTTATCTTTGACACAATAAGCAAAAGATCAGAAATGATTACAACAAATGGCCGAGTAAACAATCCATCCACAACAAAGGGCAGCTACCCAAAATGCCGGAAATTGAATCCACACACAGCAGCCAATTCCAGGCTGTGGCCTCAATGGCTCCATCACACATCTAGGGATGCAGGCACTGGGAGACAGCAGGGCTGCAGCCTCCCCTAAATGTTTTGGCTTTCCGATGCCCAAATCAGAATGCCCTTCAAGGGATTTCCTTACTGTGGCTCAAAAAGTCCATGATCCTTAGGACTTTGTCTATTTTACCCACTGCTTTAGCCCCGTTGCCTAGAACAATGGCATATACCAGACATGTGGTAAGTATCTGCTGATAGAGGGAAAGAATGCATGAATGATTGGGCTGGCCCCTGCCTGCCTCTCCAGTTTCATCTCATGCTTCCCCTTCCTCATAGTTTTCACTGGACTTCTTTCAGTTCTAGAATACAACATCTTTGTTTCTTCCAGGTCTCCTTTGCACACTCTGTCTCCTCTGGTTGGAACACTCTCTTCCACCTCTTCCTGATTAACTCCATGCACTCTTTAGGTCTTAGCTCAGGTGCACCTTCTTCCAAGAAGCCTTCCCTGACCACACTCCCTCTCCAGGCCCACCCACCCTAATGGCACTTTCTCTGGCACATTCCTTTTCATAGTTTCTTGTCTATGGTCCCCACTAGGATATAAGCTCTGTTCACCATTCTGTTCACTGCAGAGACAACAGCCAAACACCAAAGACTTGCACTCCTCTTCCACAGTGTAGAGCTGCCTCAGGGAAGCAGCTGCACAGCCAGGGACTGTGTTTCTCAACTTTGCTTGCATTCATGTGACTACCTTTTGCAGTGGAATGTGAGTGGAAGTGATATGTGTCTCTTCTGGACCAAAGCAGTTAAGCAGGGGCATTCATCCTTCATACTTGATCTCTTCCTTCATTCTTCAACCTGATGCAAAGGGTCTAGTGAAGGACTCTGAGAAAGCATTGATGAAAACCACTTAAATTCCAGAGGCATCACCCGGAGCTGAGCTCCTCAGGAGAGATGACCAAAGGGAACATCTGCATTGGATTTTGTGTAAGTATGAAGTAACCTCTGATTGCATTAAGCCACTGATAATTTGGGGATGCTTGTTACAGCAGCTAGCATTAATTGACTACTCTACTGTTTTATTTCAACAAGTATTTGTGAATAGGAGAGTTTCCTGGCCACACAAGCCTCATACCGTGTCTGTACAGCACCCGGGCCCAGCACTTCTTAGGAGCTCGCGGTCTGGCAGCAGAGAGTAATTTGGGAATCAGTTCACATCATTGTTAAAAGCATCAATTTGTTAGATTAGATGGACTGAGCCTTGTACCACTGGGAAACATAAAGATTCTTTGCTCATGGATAGAAATGGTATTATTCAACACAGAACATCTTAATTAAAATAGGCAAATAATGACCTTTGACAAAGCACACTAAATAGGGTTTAAGTGTTACTCTCTCTCTCAACCCCGGTTCCATTAAATCTTGTAGATGCCACCTCTAGCTTTCCCATTTGTCCCAGCAAGACAAGTCTCTGGGTGGCCTGGAACCAGCCCAGTTCTCCTTCCTTTCTCACTTATGGTTCTCAAGAATAACTGTAGAATGTGCTGAGAATGTAACATCCTGAGATGGGAAAGGATTGGCCAGAAGAGTCTGGGCTCTGTTCCAATCTCCCCCCTAGAAACAGGATGTTCTTCGGTGCTTTTGTCTGGTGACTCATATCTCCCTGGGGTATAAGACCCAGGGTGGGCTGCTTTCTGGGGCCTGTGGGCTGCGGTGCAAGTGGGGCACATGCAGTCAAGACTCCTTCCACGCTGGGCAGCTTTCTGAGCCTGGGGACCGGCTCCCAGTGAACCCTAGGCTTCGGTTGTCTCTTGCTACCTATCTGTAAGTCATAACCCTGCTTCATGTAACCTGTCATGTGTGTGGTTGCTCTATGTCACTGGATTCAGATAAGTGGGTAACCAGTGAACACTGAACCTACTTCACAGCCCCATTTCCTTCTCCCCAACCCCTCAGTTCAGTCTTTGTTGCCTCCCACCAGATCCACCCAAGAACTCTGGGCTGGTTTACTCCCCTCCATGTTCACATCTGGCCAACACTCACTTTTACCGGTGTTCCCCGTAACCTGCATCACAGCTATAAGGTTGTTCTAAAACCCAGAACTGGCCTCATTGTCACCTGTTGCCTTCTGGGGAAGTCCACACTCCTTACCTAAGATTCAAAGTGCTTCAAGGTATGACTCTTGCTTTTCCCTCTCACCTCAAATCCTTCATTCACATAATGTCTCAGAGACTCTAAGCCCCACCTGCCCCATTTGTACCCTGAGAATTTCCGCATCCAAGACTTTGTTCATACATTTCCTCCTATCAACACATGGCCAGGCTTCAAGGCTCCACCCAAATGCCAACTTTTCCAGGGAGCCTACCCTGATTGTCCTCCCCTGAATTCCCACAGCCCCTTATCTGTGCCTCTCTTAGCACCTCTTTTAACCTAGGTGTCCCTGAAAGCAGCACCCAAGGCTTGTATGTCTTTATTTGGAAAGTGGTGCCAGGGAGCAAGTGTGAGGATGTAAGGGGATGAGGCAGAGAAGGAGGATAGCCGATACAAGGACAGGGTACCCAGCTGGCCACCATTCCAGGCCTTAAGAAGTGAGCCTTAGGATTGTTTGCCTTGGGGAATGAAAGGTGACCCCACAGATGTTACCTACCTCCCCTTCCACCTTGCACAAGTGCCTTCCCAGTGGGTTCTGTCTGAAACTCTCCCTGGGACTTCCGAGAATCCTCAGGCAGAAAGTAAGAGGCATGTGTCATGACCTCAGACGTGGCTCTGTCAGGTTGCGCCTGCAAGAGGCTGACCAAGGCCTGTGCAGAGCCCGTCACTCAGTGGTGGCTGGAGGGACAGGGATTTTGAAATGTTTTAAAGTGGCCTGTAAGAGGTGTCCCACATCTGGCCCAGCTCCTAGTCTACCTGCTATTGCAGTCTTGGGGTATATCTTGTTTTCTTTGTCTCATTCAAGGAATCTTTGAAGGCAGGAATTATATTTCATCCCCATATCCAGCATGAGTCCTACTACATAGTGGGGTTCAAATATGCTGAATGAATTTCATTCAAATGTTTGTTTTTATTGTTTTATAATATTCAAATATTTGTTTTTTTGTTTTTATCTGTAGACAAAATATACATATATAACTTGCCCAAAGGAAATCTTCCTTCAATGTGAATTACAAAAGAATGGAAGCAGGCTAGCTATATCCAGAGAAAAATCTTGATCAAAACAATAATAATAACAGCTAATAGTTACATGGTTCTTAATACGTGCCAGGTGGTTTAAATGCTCTCTATATGCACTTATATGACCCTTACAGCAGCCAAATAAAGTATTATCATTATTATTCCCATTTTACAAATGGAGAAATGGAGGCAGGGAGGGTTTAAACAACTTGCTCAAGGTCCCATGGTTGTGAGTGGTGGAGCTGGGATTTGGCCTGGGTGATGTTCTGACCCCTGTGTCTGGACACCTGTACACCCACCCATTACATAGCCTGGCAGGGCATTGCCCAGGACAGGTAGGGCCACTGCCTGGGGTATTCTTACCACTCAGATCCTGGAAGCTGGTAGGGGCAGAGGATTTGCTTAAAGTTAATTTTTGCTAAGGTTTCTGACAAAAAGTCTGCAAATGCATGTTACATTCTTATTAGCTCCTGTCTCTGCCCATAGAGGAGGAACGAAATATGGGATTCTATCTTCTAAGTGTTTCTCTCTCTTCTTGCAAACAAAAAGGAGAAGAGCATGCTGATTTGAATAATAAACAAAGAGTATTTATAAAAGAAAAAATACAAATAATCATAAGGAATAAACAAATTTTTCTTTACTTATAAACAAAAGAACAAATTAAAACATTAATATCCCTCCCCCATCCCCCTTACTTCCTTATTGTGTGTTTATGGTTGGGTGGGTCAGGACCCTGGGGAAGAGGTTCTCCCATTCACTGCTGGTAAGTCCTTCGAGTGGTAATTTGGCAATATGTATCAGAAGCCTTAAGAGTTCGCACATGCTTTGATCCAGCAGTTCCTTCTGGAACAGATCCTAAAGAAACAGAGATGTATGCAGAAATTTAATTATAAGTGTATTTACCAAAACATTGTTGATGGTAGTGAAAAAGCAAAAGCAACTTAAATGTCTGACGATTGAGCTGGTTATATATCATAGTGGATTTCTAGGGCAGTCATTAAAAAATAATGTTGTGGAATAATATTTAATGGCATGGAAAGATGCACATGATAAAGTATTAAGTGAGAAAAGCAGGTTACAAAACAGACGAATTACTGGGGGAGATAAGACACATGTATAAACAACTCAAACATAAGTTGGAGCCTAGCATAGTAGGAAGAAAAACACATACTCTGGGACCAGATTGTCCAGATTCAAACCCCAGCTCTGCTAAAAACTAGCTGTGTGAGCTTGGACAGGTGACTCAACTGCTCTGTGCCTTAGCCTTTCATCTGTAAAATGGAGATTCAGCTAGCGTCTATCTAGATAAATCAGCATATACAAAGTGCTCAGAAGTGCCTAATACATACAAAGCAAGACGTGAGAGTTTGTTAAGGAAAAAATTTCACTTCTATCAGAAATATAAAGAATGGCTTGTGGAAAGAGGGTTCATTCTCTTGCAGGAGATGTGGGCCAGCCTCGGAGAGGCAGAAACCTGGGTCTTGAATGATGTGAAGGGCTTCTATAGATGGAGAAGGGGCAGGTTGAAGGATTCCTTCCCCAGTGTTTCCCAGGAGGCCAGCTACAAGGCTTCCCCCAAGGGGACATTGAGGGAGCGCCTCTCCACTGAGCCACACTGGGCCTGGGATGCATGTGGCTGCTGGGAAACGGTGAGCCTTAGCCTGGGGAGGTTGGCTCTCAGTCTCTTGGGCAGCTCCCCTCTGCTGCCCCGGCCAGGCCTTCTGTTTGTGTAGAGCCGTGCATTTCTACTTTTGCCGAATGGCACAGTCTTGCCAGGCAAGTTTTAAGACAGAAGGTTAAGCCTTGTTTTAAGAAATATGCATGCTTTTAAAGAGACGAATTTTATTTTTAAAAATTATGTTTTTATAGAAGGCCCTGCTGTGCCAAAGTTTTGGGAAAACATTAATCTTACAGACTTGTTGGATGTTAGAGACTTCAGTGACCATTCACATCATGTAATTGATTGATAGATGGAGAAATGAGGGCAAGAGACTGGAGAGTTTTATCCAGGAGGTCATGACAAAACCAGGGCCAGAGTCTAAGGCTCCAGACTCCCAGTCAGGTCTGTGAAGGCAAAGCCAAAACCCTTATGCTGGGCCACGGGAATAAAAAGGGACAGATTTTGGCTCCATACGAGGGTATTTCTTTTCTTTTCTTTTCTTTTTTTTTTTTTTCTGTTGTTGTTTTTTTTTGAGACAGAGTTTTGCTCTGTCACCCAGGCTAGAGTGCAGTGGTACGATCTCGGCTCACTGCAACCTCTGCCTCCCAGGTTCAAGCAATTCTCCTGCCTCAGCCTCCCCAGTAGCTGGGATTACAGGCACGTGCCACCACGCCCAGCTAATTTTTTGTATTTTAGTAGAGACGGGGTTTCACCGTGTTGCCCAGGCTGATCTTGAACTCTTGAGCTCAGGCAATCCACCTGCCTCGGCCTCCCAAAGTGCTGGGATTACAGGCATGAGCCACCGCACCCGGCTGAGGGTATTTGTTTTAACAGGGAAACCTGACCAGAACAGAAGTTGCCTAACAGGTAGTGAGCTCCCCGTCACTAGGGTCATGAAAGCCAAGCCTGTGGGACTCTTGAGAAATGACACATCTAATTAAATAACTTCTGAGTTTTCTTCCAATTCTGAGATTCCACTGTGCCATGATCTTTCATCATTTTTAAATTAATCACTTGATAATAAAACACAGGAATCCTCCCTTATTGGCAATTCCACTTTCCAGGGTTTCCGTTACCCGAGGTCAACCACAGTCTGAAAATATTAAATGGAAAACTCAGAAATAAACAATTCCTAAGTTTAAATTGCATGCCATTCTGAGTAGTCGTCTTGCTTGATTCTGTCCCGGGCGGGAATCATCCCTTTGTATAGAGATCCGTGTGTACGTGCTATCTGCCCATTAGTCAGTCAGTAGCTGTCTTGGTTTATCAGATTGACTGTGTATGGCAATGCTTGGGTTCAGGTAACCCTTATTTACTTAGTCATGGCCCCAAAGTGCAAGAGTAGTGATGTGGGCAATTTGAATATGCCAAAGAGAAGCCATAAAGTACTTCTTTAAGTGAAAAGTTGAAAGTTCTTGACTTAATAAGGAAAGAAAAAAAAATTGTATGCTGAGGTTGCTAAGATCCATAGTAAGGATGAATCTTCTATCTGTGAAATTGTGAAGAAAGAAAAAAATTGTGCATATTTTTGGGCTTCGGTGTTGTGGTTTCAGGCATCCACTGGGGGTCTTGGAATGTATCCCCCTTGGATAAGGCGGGATTACTGCATTTCAAACATAAAGAAATAAAGGTAAAAAAAAAATGTAATAGAAACTCATATTGCACCATCCAGATTTAGGAGGTTAATATTTTGCTGTATTTGTTGTAGTCTGCTCTTCTTTTTCTCAGGAAGAAAAATCACAGATACAGCTAAAAGCCCCCATGTTTTCTTTCCTCCTCAAAGGAAATTTGCTCAAAGTTTTTAAAAAATCACTCTGTACCAGTTTTTATACATTTAATGCATATATGTATAACCATAACAATATGTGGGATTGCTTTTTGTGTTCTTAAAACTGACGTTAATTGTATTGTACTGACTTTGTCCTTTTATAACTGATGTTTCTCATTTAATGTTACATTTTGAGATTTAACCACATCTGTGCATGAAAACTTAGTTCATTTGTTTCAACAGCTATATAGTAGCTCATTGTGTGAATGAACTGCACCTGACTTACTTATTCTCTGTTCACGGACATTTAGGTTGCTTCCTAATTTTTCTCGATTACAATATCTAAAAGTGGTATTGCTGGATAATATTATATGCACATCATCTTCAAGTTTACCAGATATTGACAATTTACTCTTCAAAGTGGTGTGCCTGTTTACAGCTCCACCAACAGTGAGAGAGTTCCTGATGCTTCCATCCTCCAAAATCTGTGGTGTTAGCAGTCATTTTAATATTTGCCAATCTGATATGCATGAAAAGTTGTCTCGGTGTTGCTTAAATTTATTTTCTTTCCCTTTTCCTTCCTCCTCCTCCAATACTATGCACACTAGTCATATTGCACTGTCTAGGACCTCCAGACATCCTAGTTTGTTCTTGGCTTTGAAAGAAATACTTCTAACATTTCACCATCATACATGATATTTGCTGTTGGTTTTTGGCAGGTGATTTTTATCATGTTAAGGTTCTCTTCTTAGTTTAAGGGTTTTTTTTTTTTTTAATCATTAATTAGTGTTGCTGAATTTCATCAGATGCTTTTTCTAAATCTAT